>NC_000006.12:90773261-91398261 GCF_000001405.40 Homo sapiens | reverse complement strand
AGTTTAATTTAAAAATAGAGAAACAAGTATATAAATAAAATGAACAAATATGAAGAAAAACTAGGAAAATTTTACACAAATGAGTAGTGAGTAGAAAATAGCTCTTCCAGATATTAAAACACATTATAAAACCCCTATAATTAAAATAGTGTGGTCCCCATGAATGAATAAATGGAAAGACCAGTGAAATAGAGGATAAATTCAAGAAATAGGTATAAGTACATAAGGAAATGTATTTTATAATTCAGATGATATTTTAAATCTCTCAGGGAATGATAGGTTTAAGAAAGAAACATGTTTAAATGAGCACTGGATAGCCAGTTGGAAAACAAACTCACATGATACATCAGAACATATTCCAACTGGATCAGAAATCTAAACACTAAAGCCAAAAATCTAAAACAATACAAAACAGAGAAAGAAGCAAGCAAACAGCCATAAATACTATTTAAAAATGTAGGTGACTTTTATAATTTGGGTCTGGGGAAATCTTTTTAAATATGACTTTATGTATATCAGACTAAAATTAAAAATTTTATTTCAAAAAAGGATACAAAATAAAAGAAAAAGACAAGTCTATGACACCTTGTGTACAGGATGTATAACAAAGAAAATAAAAGCCTATATAGGCAACAAGACAGGAAATAAGTAAAAGCTATGGACATGTTTTACAAAGCAGATAAACATGAGAATATATAGAACATCATCAGTTTTCAGGAAAATGCAAATTCAGACAATAATTAAGTACCATATTACAACCATATTAGAATGAGATAGGCAAAAGTTTGAAAAGTCCAATAATATAAAGTATTGGTGAGGAAACAGAGTAACAGGAAGTCTTATTCACTGCTTGCAGAAGTATAAATTTATACAAATACTTCCTGAGATTGGACACATATTTTAATATCCAGTAATTCCCCTTCTAAGGCTTTAAGAATCTCTTTCAAGTGTGCATCAGAAGCCTCATATGAGGATGGTTAAGAGCACTTAGTATTTATGAGTGTGGCCTTTGAAGCTAGACTAGCTGGTTTCAAACTGTACCTCCAACACATAGTAGGTCTAAACCAGGGGCACATTACTAAAGCTTGCTTTGTTTTGGTTTCTTTGAATTTACAATGAGAATAATAATGGTGAATTGTGCTTTCCATATAGGTTTTCTCCAAGTTTTGTGATTGTTACAACACAGAAGGTCCCTAAGCAACACATAGCAATGGATCATGGTATTTTTTTCTCATCTCAATCAGTAGGAGACAATATTCGGACTTAAAGTAGGTAGTCTAGCCTAGCACTCAGGCACATAGGATTTTGATTTGGAAGCCCCAATTTTAAGTCTCTGCTATACCACTTATCATTGTATGACTTTTAAGAGATTTATCTAGACCTCTCTGATCCTCAGGTTTTTTATAGGATAGCACCTCATATGGTATAAGTGCTCATATAGGTATTGAATGCATAAACGAATGAATAGTTGACTAAATGAACACATAATATGTATCATATATTAGAATTAATATTAATTGATGATTAATTATTAAAAATATGATGATAAAAACATCATGAAGCCAGGACATTGTTGGTGAAATGTATACACACACACGTGTGTGTGTGTGTGTAGCAACAAAACAAATACAGATGCTTTGGAATTTACTATGGGGCTATCTATGTCTTGTTAAACCCATTGTGAGTTGAAAATACTGTAAGTCAAAAACCCATTTAATAGACCTAACCTATTGAGCATCATAGCTTAGCCTAGCCTACCTTAAACATGCTCAGAACACTTACATCAGCCTACAGTTGGGCAAAATCATCTAACACAAAGCCTATTTTTATGATAAAATGTTGAATATCTTATGCAATTTATTGACTGCTCTACTAAAAGGGAAATAGTTGTATGGGTACTCGAAGTGTGGTTGCTACTGAATGCATACCACTTTTGCACCATCATAAAGTTGAAAAATCCTAAATTGAACCATGGTAACTTGGGGACTGTTTATATATTTGCTGAGACGACTTGCATTTATCTTAGAGATTCATTTCTTTTTCTCTATTATTCAATAGAGTAAAATTGCAGTAACACAAACAAGGAACAACTCAGTATTTTTCTACTCCCTGATTCAAATATGAATTACCCTTCCCCCTTCCTTGCCCATATAAATGACAGACTTTCAAATTTCCCCTTCTCTTCAGTTAAGATATAACCATTGACTCAGAGAAGATATAGTTAACTGCTTGTCTATTTTTTAGCTCTTTCCCTTCCTCCTGTTGGGAACTTCAAGGACAGAACAAGGGACAGTAAATTAAAGAAACACAAGCAAAAATTCACTTATTTAGTTGATGCTAGTGTTTCTTTTATTTTGCCTGTTGATGCCATCTGTCATGGTAGACATCCAAATGTTCACTTTGTAATAGATTGTGTCTATGGTTTATTCGGAACCTGCCTCCCCAGTCACACACAGAGACCTCCAGACCGGACAGTTTCTGTAGTGAAGGATGTGCTCTCCAGCTGATCACATGAAATGTACCATTTAGCTCCTGCTTTCTCATGTCCTACCCTCTCTTACTGGAGATAACTTCATGGCACCTCAAGCTTAGCTACCTCTGTTGCATTTTCTTGAAAACTCCAAAAGTAGAAGTGCAGTCAACACCTTGCAGCTCTTTTTCTCTCTTATCAATCATCAGCTTTTACAGTCAAACTCCTGCCTTTAAAATCTTCAGACAAGAATCGGATACCAGTCATTTTGTTCATGTCCCGCCTCAAACTTGGAGGGATAAAACTGAAGATCTTCTTTTTCTCACTGTATTAAGGTCAGATGACACTGAATGAATCTAAGAGCTCAGTTAGCTTGTAGCCAGGGAATGTGGGCCATTTACTCCTTTCTGTTTCTTTAGAACTCTCTCAGTTGGTTTAAAGGGAGATGCTTAAAACCTAACCTCTCTGCCAAGAGGACAGAGGTGAAACACCAAGCACTCTCTTCTCAATCAAAAATTTTTCTTCCTATGAGTTTCTCAATGCAATCTAGCTTTCCACTAACATTGGGTGGAGAATGACGTGGTGGGGAAGTTATATGGACCCCTCTGGCTTCCTTTAGCCATACTAAAGGTGGGTGTGTGGAAGTTCCTTGTCTGTTCTTTTTAGAATACAGAGGTACTTAATATTTGTTAAGTTCAGTTTGGGGGATACAATAGGAAAAATTCTATTTCATGATATATTATTTTCACTTTCTTGCTGGATGAAAGCAGAATGTAGAAAAAATTAAAACCAGAGGCCTGAAAGGGTTTGTTAGCAGAAGAGTTGTAAATATACATAATGTTCTCTACAGTGACTGGGTTTCAAATAGAGGCACTGTGAGCTCTGTAAGGGGCATGTCAGAAATGGAATAGTGAAGCTGGAGCCAAGAAACACAGTAGGCCAATGAGGTACCAGAAGGAATGACTAAAGAATCGAACTATAAGGCAGATAGCATCCCTGTGATTTACCTTTGATTTGCTGAGTTTAGCAAGGCACTGAGCACATAGAGTAGATTCAATGTATATTCGTTAAATGAATGAAATGCAGAATGAGCCAATGTTCCAAAAGAAATGTTTTAATTGCCCTTCAGTAGATGTTAGCAGCTTGACTTCAAGAGTCATTGATACATGACTGTGGGCTGTGGCTGCATCAGCTTCTAACCTTGAACAAATAATTTCACATCTCTGTTTCTTAGATTTTTCAACTGTAGACACAGGATACTAATTATATGCTAGTCACTAAGCCAGGCGCTGTAGATAAAAAGATGAAAATGATCTAGTCCTTATTCTCAGAATCTTCTGGCTAATGGAAGAAAAAGATAAGGAATCTAAAAATTACAACGGATTTATGTGTGGCATTGTTTTGTTAAGCACCCAGTGTCATGGTTGCAGAAAGAATATTTAACAACTATAAAGAGGTTAGGGTACAAAAGGACTCTTAATGAACCAAGATGAGTTAGACAAGAAGACAGAAATGTAGTCTAATAAGAGGATGTTGCATATTCAAAAACTTGGAGATGTGTGCCTGTGGTATGGTTATCAAGCTACGAGTAGTTTTGTGGAGCAAAGTGAGATGCATATGGAGTATGGATAGAGTATGTGACATTTCCTAGCTTAGACTGTTGTTGCCCACAAACAAATGCAGAGTTAGCCGCTCTTGTATCCCCCAGGTGAATCCTGATACAGATTAGCATAAGTACGTAACTTCATCCACTTCCTTAGAAGGGTGTCAGGGCAATTTGGGATTCTAGGCAAATATCCAGTTTCCGCTCCTATCCCCTTGCAGGCAACCAGTCAGTTTCCACATAACCAAGGATAAAGTGGAGAGACCTTTTGAAAACCACAGGACACCCTAGAGGACGAAATGAAGACAGAAAGGAGAAACTCAAATCCAAGAAGCCTAAAAGGAGAGACTGGACCAGTTAGTTCAGTAGACTACATGGAATAGAAATAGTAATTTTCTGCTGCAGAGCAAGGGAGTTGCAACAGGAGAGCAAGCAGTGGGTCTGTGACAACTGGCTAGAGAAGGGACTGTTGCTGAGGTGAAGGTGTTTCACCTTGGGTATTTTAATGGATGGGATATAAAAGATCTTGGGATGGATATAAGCCACCAATTTATCTAGATGACTCAAGGAAGAAAGGAATAAAATAGAAGACTAGCTAAAAATGTAAATCACCTGGGTAGTTATAATCCCCCCAAATGCATATGGTAATGGATCATTTCACTAATATTTTACTTCATCTTGGTCAGAGTTTCAGGGCCAAAAAGACAAATGTATTGGCATAATACGGGACTTTATTGGATGCCATTGCTACCCAGGAAGTCATGGATATTGTTTAACTCTCGAAACAATAAAAGAAAATGCAAGTTGGTGAAAGCTATCATACTGCCCTTCAGTGTTTGGCAAAACATTCATGAAATGTTGAGGCCATGTCAGTGCCAAAGCATAAGTAATGTGCTTTGGTATTTAACTCTTGAAACAATGACCATATACAGCTCTCCTATTAGGATGCATGAACACTGTGCACAGCTAGCACAATATAAACATATGAAATGACATGATAAGATCCAAACATGGCAAAAATCCAAACACACATCCACATCACTGAAATAAAGCCCATTGTGATGTCAGCACCAGCTCTCTGAGGAAGCTGTCTCCTGAATAAGGGATATTAAAATCCCATAAAGAAATTATACCAAGGGCAGTAACATAGTTTCATTACTGAGCTAATGATATGGCCATTGGCCTTTTCACATAGAAATACAGATAGACCCCCATTCCATGGAATCCAATATTCCCAGACATTATCCTCAATATGTGTCCTCCAACCACAACATGTGAGTCTATTGAAGCATATGTGCTGTGTTGCTGTATATTTTGGATACTATGGGGACCCAGAATAAGTAACTTATGTAACATATTTCACTTGTGCCACTTACTGAACAGTTATTTCACACAAATTACTATCTTCTTAACTTCACATCATAAGCCCATGAGGTTCTATACAGCAAGTATTACTCTACTTTACCGGGGTAGAAATTGTGGCTTGGAGGTTACCTGCCCAATATAAAACAATACCAAATAAAGTTAAGACTTTACCCAAGTCCTTTGACTCCAATCTAGAATTCCTTTGATTTCTAAAATGTCACAGAGGTAAAAAAAAAAAAAATATGTTTGTAGTATGAAAGTTAAATCAATAAAATATTCTGTATTTTTTGGTGTTTTATTATGACATTGAAATATGATTTACAGAAATTTGTTCACAAAATTGGCACAAACTGGCACTAATTTTCCATTAAATGGAAAATGACATTTGAGTGGGACAAGTTACATTAATTAAATGAAGAAATTAAGTCTGATAGATTTTAGTAACAGATAGAAAAAAAATGACTTCATTATTTTAAAATCACCTTTGAAATGTCAGATTTTTTTTATAAGGAAGAATTTGTAACTGAAGTGCTGCCCCCATGCACACAATTTCACCTGTAGTCCTCTAAAGTTGCTTGAATATTCTTACAGATTCCAGGTGCCTCAGGGATGAAATACAGGTAAGGGTATTCTTTACAGTAAAATTCCTTACTGAAAAAATAAAATCCTATTGCTTTGAGGCTCATGCCATCTGATTATGCCATTCTTTTTCTCCTCCCTCACACAGTCCCCTCATTATTGGTAATATGGTTTCTCCCCTTCTTTCTCCCCAGTCTTCCTCTTTTACCCAAATTTTGCCATCTTTCTCAGTGACTCAACATCAATTTGAGTTAACCATTGATATCTAAGTCTCTCAGTTCCTTGACATGCTCATCTCCACTGAGAGTCTCTTTGCATGCCCCCATAGATACACATTGCCTTGGGGGTACAATTAGCTTTGTCATCACCTGAAACTTCAACCTTCATTGAAACCCTAACATCAAGTGACATCAAGGAACACCCTCACTCTCTCTGATGCATACCTCCAATCTTTTGAGCTCACTGGTTCATCCATTAGTACAAATCTTCGACTTTTCCAAACTTCTCTGCTCAATCTCTCACTGACATCAGCTTCTTGGCTCCACTCTTCTGGCTAGTTTAGATTCTAAAATTCATCATTTATATTCAAAACTTGGCATAAGGCCTCATTTCCCTTGACATTTTTCTCTTTGATTTTGCATATGCTGGACAAACTCAACCATTTATTTATGCCTGTACCCATGGACTGGTACAGTGCTAGCACAAACAATCCAGCAAATTTGATTGGTTTTGCCTAAAAGTTTTGATCAGGCTGGGCACAGTGGCTCATGCCTGTAGTCCCAGCACATTGGAAGGCCGAAACAGGCAGATTACTTGAGGCCGGGAGTTCGAGACCAGCCTGGCCAACACTGCAAAACCCCCTCTCTACTAAAAATACAAAAATGATCTAGGCGTGGTGGCCCACACCTACAGTCCCAGCGACTTGAGAGACTGAGGCAGGAGAATCGCTTGAACCTGGGAGGCAGAGGTTGCAGCCTGGGTGACAGATTGGGACTCTGTCTCAAAAAAAAAAAAAAAGATCAAATATTCCTAGTAGATATTTAACATGACAATGCTAATATTTTGTTTTTTATGTAAGCCTGCCTTTCTACTATTCAACTGGATCATTTTATAGTCTCTTTTCGAAACCTTCTGAAATCTGTCTTCTTCTTTTTTATGTTTGGTGACATAACTTCAATGAAAAAAAAGCTATAGTAGAGGAAATGTCTATTCTTTTTTACATCACCAATACAAAACTAAAACTATCTTTATGAAACCCATCTCCCGCATCCTCAATTCTATTGTGACCTTTCCACATTCTTTAAACAAGAAGTTTGAGTGAGTGTTCACTACTTGCCAGACACCAAATGCTTCTTTCCCCTTAAGCCCTGGCCCCCATTACCTCTTGTTATCTCAAGAACCTCACTACCATGGGGACTTTGGTCCCTGCCTTTCTTTCTTTCTTTCTTTCTTTCTTTCTTTCTTTTTTTTAATTCAACAACCAAAGACTGATCTTTGTAATGCTTCAACATGCTCAACATGTTTTCTGAACGTTACATCTTGCACTGAGGGGAAAATAGAAAAAGAAATAAATTAGCTTTTAGCCCATATTTCTTTTTTTTTTTAATCTTTCTAAAGGAAAAAGAATCTGAAAACCTAATCTAGGAAGTCTTTTGTGATTTAACCTTATGACAAACTGATTTTTATTGTCTTTTTTCCAGATTGCTGTCCAGGGCACCAGCGAATGCTGCACCCGTTCTTGGCATATCATCCTTCTCGTAAAAGGCAATCATGGCAGGAAAACTGAGACCAATGGCTTTTTCATTCTCCACCTCTCAGCTCTCCATAGTAACGGCACTGGTTCTTCTCATTGTGTATTCCTTTTCAGATGCATACTTTCTCCCTTTAACAACTTTTTTATATATAATTTAAAAAATAAATTATTCCCAGAAAGCCTCGCGATCTCAAGGATTTTTTAAAATTTATTCTTTTATTTCAATAGGTTTTTGGGGAACAGGTGGAGTTTGGTTACATGAATAAGTTCCTTAGTGATGATTTCTGAGATTTTGGTGCACCCATCACCCAAGAAGTGTACACTATACCCAACGTGTAGTCTTTTATCTCTCACCCCGTTCCCACCCTTTCCCTGATCTCCAAAGTCCATTGTATCATCTGTATGCCTTTGCAACCCTATAGCTAAGCTCCTATTTATGAGTGAGAACATACAATGTTTGGTTTTCCATTCAAGAGTTACTTCACTTAGAATAATGGTCTCCAATTCCATACAGGTTGCTACAAATGCCATTATTTCATTCCTTTTTATGGCTGAGTACTATTCCGTGCTATATATATAGACCACATTTTCTTTATCCACATGCTGATTGATGGGCATTTGGGCTGGTTCCATATTTTTGCAATCATGAATTTTGCTGCTGTAAACATGCATGTGCAAGCGTCTTTTTCATATAATGACTTCCTTTCTTCTGCGTAGATATCCAGGAATGTGATTGCTGGATCAAACAGTAGATCTACTTTTAGTTCTTTAAGGAATATCCACACTGTTTTCCATAGTGGTTGTACTAGTTCACATTCCCACCAACATTGTAAAAGTGTTCTTTTTTCACCACATCCACACCAACATCTATTATGTTTTGACTTTTTGAATATGGCCATTCTTGCAGGAGTAAGGTGTTATCTCATTGTGGTTTTGATTTGCGTTTCCCTGATCATTACTAATGTTGAGCATTTTTTCATATGTTTGTTGGCCATTTGTATATCTTCTTTTGAGAATTTCCTATTCAGGTCCTTAGCCTACTTTTTGATGAGATTGTTTGTTTTTTCTTGCTGATTTAAGTTCCTTGTAGATACTGGAAATTACTCCTTCATCAAATGTATAGATTGTAAAGATTTTCTCCCACTCTGGGGGTTGTCTGTTTAATCTGCTGATTATTTCTTTTTCTGTACAGAAACCTTTTAGTTTAATTAAGTCCTACGTATTTATCTTTGTTTCTGTTGCATTTGCTTTGGGGTTCTTGGTCATGAAGTCTTTGCCTAAGCCAATTTCTAGAAGGGTTTTTCCAAAGTTATCTTCTAGAATTTTTGTGGTTTCAGGTCTTAGATTTAAGCCTTTGATCCATCTTGAGCTGATTTTTTGTATAAGGTGAGAGATGCGGATCCAGTTTCATTCTTTTACATGTGGCTTGCCAATTATCCCAGCACCATTTGTTGAATCGGGTGTCCTTTCCCTACTTTCATGTTTTTCTTTACTTTGTTGAAGATCAGTTGACTATAAGTATTTGACTTTATTTTTGGGGTCTCTATTATTTTCCATTGGTGTATATGCCTATTTTTATACCAGTACCATGCTGTTTTGGTGACTATGGCCTTATAGTGTAGTTTAAATTTGGGTAATGTGATGCCTCTGGATGTTCATTTTGCTTAGTCTTGCTTTGGCTATGTGGGCTCTTTTTTGGTTCCATATGAATTTTAGGATTTTTTTTTCCAGTTCTGTGATGAATGATGGTGGTTTAACACCAATTATTTATAGGTTTGGTCATTTAACATAATCCCAAACTTCTTGGAGGTTTTGTTCATCTTTTTAATTCTTTCTTCTTTGTCTTTGTCAGATTGGGTTAATTCAAAAGCCTTGCCTTTGAGCTCTGCAGTTCTTTCTTTGTGTTCAATTCTACTGCTGAGACTTTCCAGGGCATTTTGTAATTCTCTAAGTGTGTCCTTCATTTCCAGAAGTTGTAATTGTTTTTTTTATTTATGCTATTTCACTGAAGATTTTTCCATTCATATCCTGTATTTTTTTTTTTTATGTTGGACTTTGACTTTCTCTGGTGCCTCCTTGATTGGCCCAATAGTCGATTCTATTAATTTTTTTTCTTGTAATCCAGAGATTTTGTCTTGGTTTGGATCCATTGCTGGTGAGCTGGTGTGATCCTTTTAGGGTGTTAAAGAAACTTGTTTTGTCATATTACCAGTATCGTTTTTCTGATTTCTTCTCATTTGGGTAGACTATGTCAGAGGAGAGATCTGGACTCAAGGGCTACTATTCAGATTCTTTTGTATCATGGGATGCTCCCTTGATATGGTGCTCTCCCTTTTCCCCTAGGGATGGGGCATCCTGAGAGCCAAACTGCACTGATTTTCATTTCTCTTCTGGATCTGGCCACCCAGCAGAGCTACTGGGCTCCAGCTCCAGGTTGGTACTGGACAGTCTGCAAAGAGTCCTGTGATGTGATCTGTCTTCATGTCTCGCAGCCATAGATACCAGCACCCGCTCCAGTGGAGGTAGCAGGGGAGTGAAGTGGACTCTGTGTGGGTCCTTGGTTATATTTTTGTTAGGTGCACTGGTTTTGTGTCGGTTGGTTACTAGCCAGGAGGTGGCGCTTTCAAGAGCGCATCAGCTGTGGTTGTATCGGGTGGATACAAGCTTGCTTTAGGGTCAGGCAGTGGGCAGGGCCATAGAGCTCCCAAAGGATTACGCCCTTTGTCTTCAGCTAGCAGGGTGGGTAGAGAAAGACCATCAGGTTGGTGCAGGGTTAGGCATATCTGAGCTCAGACTCTTTTTGGGTGGGGTTTGCTGTGGCTGCTGTGGGGGATGGGGGAGTGGTTCCTGGGCCAATGGAGTTATATTCTCAAGGAGATGATGGTTAGCTCTGCTGCATCACACAGGTCACCAAGGAAGTGGGGGAAAGCAGCAGCCACAGGCCTCACCCAGCTTCCATGCAGCGCACAGCCCAAACAGCCCATCTCACTCTTAGCGTGCCCCTGCCAACAGCACTGAGTTTATTTCCAGGCAGCCATTAAGCGGGGCTGAGAACCTGCCCCAGGCTGCAAGCCCTCAAGCTGAGAAAGCAAGCAGACCCACAGTTTCTCAGCTGTCTCACGGAGCCTGCAGAGGCAATCCATCCCCTTCAAAGGGTCTGTGGATTCTCTCAGCTTTCCTGGTATTTTCCTGCAGTAGTTCTTGGAGCAAAAATTCACGATGTAGGTCTCTACACGCTGCTCGTGGGTCTGAGTGCGAGCTGGAAGTTAGTCCTGCTTCCTATCTGCCGTTCTCCTTCTTCTTTACCCCCCTGCCTGTTTTTGTACTGCTACTTCATAATTCCCTTCACCACAGTGTTTCAGCATCACTGTATTTTTTGCAACACTACCAAAAGACAAACACTTTCCAAACTCAGGGACTTGGACCACTTGTGAAACACACTCTTCCCTTGACTTTTGTGGGTTTAGTTCGTGATCAATGCCTTGTGCTCAGAGAGGCCTTCCCAGACTATAAAATGTAGGTTTACCTAAGCTCTATCATCTATCTCAGCACCTGTTTCCTTTTGGTACACATTACATCTGAATAAATTTATTTGTTGTTGAGTACTTAGTACTTTCACTTAATACTTAGTACTTAGTACTTCTGACCATGCCTCCTTCCCAACTGTGAGTTCCATGAGGACATGAACTAAGTCTGTGTTTTTTATTTCTGTGTTGCCTAGGCCCTAGATTACTGGAATATATTAAGTAAGAATTATGTTAAATAAGTGAATCAATGAATGAATAAACTCACCATTGTTTATATTCCATTTTCATAGCCAAGCATTAGTATTAGTTTTGTCAGAAGAAACTGATTATGCTAACAGTGGCCTTCTCTCTATCATATCTAATAATCTACTTGAAACAAACTGTATTTTTTGTTCATCCCCTTAACATTAGGTTTAACCAGATTGGAAGTTATTATGTTTCTAGGGATATGAGACACTCACCGGGGCACATTAAGGATTTCACAGATCTTGAAAATGCAACTAAAATCTTCTCACACTGGCTTCTCACACTTGTGAACCACAGACCAAGAGAGGAGCTAATTACTATACTAGGTAAAGTAATTTAATCCTTATTATAATGAAAGCCTAGGGTTGCTACTACACAAAGGCAAAGGAAGATGTATGTCTGGAACCCAGGGCCTTTCTTTTCCTAGTGATAACTGTCAATAGAAAAATGCAGCAGCAACAACAACTCTTAAAAATAAAAAAGACAAATAAACATTCATACTGTCAGTGATGAAATTTTGAGTCACTCATCAGGAAGTAATTCAGGCCAGACAATATGCTGGAATATGTTGAAGAAAATCTAAAACTAGGTGTCCCAGGAGGGAGGTGAAATAATTATAGCCTCTAGACCAGCTACAGTAGTAAGAACAGTAGCTGGTTTCATTTAGGTTTTGGCCTTCAGCCTAGATCATAACTGCCCACCACCTAAAGGGGACTTATAACTCTTCTTTTAGGGAAGAAGTGCAGACATTTGTTCTCATAAAGAATGAAGGCTCCGTGTTGTGTTGTGGAAGACAAATATAATGGGGTGACATGAATGGATCTGTGTAGGTCAAGGAATGTATTATATTGGGCATATGTATCTCCTCAGATTCTGTTGGTCTCCCCTGTTCCCTGCACCTTTGGCCATTTGTTATACTTTTGTCACCTTTGGGGTCCTAATTACTTCATATGGGCCATGAACTTCTGTGCCTGAGGGGAGCCACCCTACATTTGGGGATTGGAGGACTCTACCCACAACTTCCAGACAGGAATAAAGTGCCATATCATCAGGCATAAAATATGGCCTCCCCAGAGGCTGCCAAAGCTTTCAGACCAATGTCAACTGGAAATGTGGGGAGTCAGCACCTTATAAGAGAAATAAGATCAATGATAAGATAATGAAAGACAGGACACAGAAGACACCAACAGGTACTTCTGCTTTTCTTTTCTTGCACTAGTGGACTATTCTGAGGCAATCTTTTCAAAATTATCATACTATGTCCCAGGTAGCCCTGCAGCTAGTTGCTTCTCTCCACAGTTCATCATGAAAGAATGGCCAGTAGATAGTTTATCATATGCTATTTTTCATCATTCATTCCCTGTTTCAATTACCTATCTGCTCATCTGCTCCGGTCTTTTTTTTTTTTTTTTTGAACCTAGGTTTTTTTGTTTTGGTTTTTATTTTTTGAGACAGGGTCTCACTCTGTCACCCAGGCTGGAGTACAATGGCACAATCATAGCTCACGGCTCACTTTGAACTCCCGGGCTCAAGCAATTCTCCCACTTCAGCCTCCTGAGTAGACAGGACTACAGGCATGTATCATCACACCCAGCAAATTTTTGTATTTTGTTGTGGGGTAGAGATGGAGTTTCACCATGTTGCCCAGGCTGGTCTTGAACTACTGTGCTCAAGCAGTCCATCTGCCTTGGCCTCCCTAAGTGCTGGTATTACAGATGTGAGTCACTGTACTTGGCCTGAACCTAGGTTCAGAGTTACCAATAAATGTTAAGTCCTGTGAATTCCAAAATTTCTATGTATTTAAATATATTTATTTAAGAATTTATGAATCTATAACCTGTAAGAATGCACATGACAAAGAGTTGTTTTCTGGAAGCATGAATTAAGGTTACTTCATTACTTCAGTAATTTTTAAAAAAACTTTCTGTGGATTTGAATGGGTATCATACTACTGTATCTGTAGCTTATCTGTGTTCTTTTTAACCTTTTCTCTCTTTTGAAAGAGCAGCAAACTTTATTCTGATATTCAATAGCTGTCTTTTACATTTTCTATAGATATTGCATAACAATTAACAAAATTAAGAAATGTATTATTGAAATAAAATTATCATTATAAAAAAGATCCATGCAGTCTCAGTGAGCTATAACATAAACATTATTTCCTCAACATACTGGCATCCCTCATGAGAACTTACTAAAATACACAGCAACAGACACTACGGACAACTCATAACTTGGAATCTCAAAAAGTTCAGAGTCCACTGGGTAAAATAGACACTCAATGCAGTAGACATTGATAAAAGTTATAATAAAGAAATGCACCAGGGCTCAGAGAGCAAAAGGGAAGGACCAATTAACACTGCCCACCAAGGTTGTCAAAAAAAAAAAAAAAAAGGTAACATTTGGAATATGTTCTAAAGGATCAGGAAGAAGTCTCCAAAGGAAAGAGAAGTAAAGACTGTTCCCAGCAGAAAAAAAAATTCACAACGAACACTGACATTTATTATGTTTCGAACAGTGATCTGTGCTCTGGAAATAGAATGGTAAACAAGGCACATAAGGTCTAGAGTTTTGGTTCCAGTAAGGGACAAATACTGAACAAAGGGAAAAATATTAGTTATGAGTTCTGTGCATGTAATTAAAACAAGAGAACATGATAGAACATGACTGGGGACTATTTGAGTGCTAGTGGTCAGGGATGGCCCCACTGGAGAGGTGCCATTTATGACAAGCAGCATGAGCCATCAGAGAAAGGGATGAAAAGAAAATGTCCATAGCAAGATGATGGAATTTGTGTAATGAGAGAAATAAAAGCAGCTCAGTTAGATGCATAGTTAGGGAATTGTATGTTGAATTTAATCCTAAAAGTGTGAGAAATATTTTATGGATATAAGAAAGGAAGGGACTTTTCTAGTATAGTGTCTGCGATTAAAATGAGAAGGACCTGCAGACAGAATAATAAGGAAGATGATGCAATTTTTTATTTGGTTGAAAGAAGGGGCACTCCTGAGCCCAGAAAGTGGCAGAGTTATAGAAAGATGGACAAGATAATTTTTAAGAGAGATGTAGATGATGGGTATGTTAAGACTTAAGAAGTGACAATCAAAAGATTTAAAGGTAAAAATATTGACAAAATTAAGGAATACAAGTAGGTGCATAGTTTGGGTGGTCACTTGTGAATAACGATGCAATTCACCAAGAAAAGGAATTCAAGTACAGGTATAATCTTCGTTTTCAGTGAATGGTGGATAAGTGAGGGACAGAAGAATACTTTAGTCTGAGACATGCTGATTTTGTGATGCTTGTGAGATTCTCAGTAGTCAGCATATAATTAGAAATACAAATCTAAAGCTTAATAGACAAAGCAGAACACACTTCAAATTCAGTAATAATGATGAGGAAAAATCATACAAGAAATATTTGGGATCGTTAGGATTTGTGTGAATAAATTCATCATCTGATTACCAATCTGCAAGCTCTTCCAAACATAAATCAGAAAACTTTGTCATACATACTTCTCCCATTACCAAATGAGAATTCTCTGAAGAAATCACACATGAACAGCTTCAAGGAAAACTGCCTCCATGATACAGAAAATCTTCCCAGTCAGTTGATACTCTTTTGAAGTCAGTAATAATGGATCTAGCAAATAGGCTTAAACTTGGAAATTCTCAAGCTGCTTTACTTCTGTTAATCTCCAAGGTGAATTTTATGGGTACTTAGATTCCAAATTCAAATCCTAATTTGTTCTCTGTATTGTGCCTTACATATTTGGGTATTCAACATATAAAAGTTACCTGTCTGTGCCATAAATACAAGAGATACAATAGAATTCTTATTGAGAGATAGGGGAAAAAAATGTAGGTTCCCTTACAATGGGAAAAATATGCTATTATATAATTAAATATACAGTGAATTACTTCTATTTTCTGATCATGAAAAATCAGAAGTTGTAAAATATATCATCTGTTAACATAAAAAAAATCACATTACATAGTAGAAAAATCATTGGGTTTAGGTTCAGAATACCAAATCCAAGTCCCAGTACCACCATTTATTAACTGTGAGAATGTAGACAAGAAATTTAATCCCTCTAAGCTCCACTCTTTATCTGAAAAATGAGAAAAATAGTACCTAACTTCTAGGGTTGTCATGGTAATTAAATGAAAATTCATGTAAAAAGCAGTGTATAAACCACAAAGGATTAAACCATGTAAATTTCAGTTAAGGATGGCACCTTTTAACCATGTGTTAATTAAATAGATAAACAGGTTGTACACCTGACTGAAATTAAGTCCCAGGCATGACTTAGAGAAGAACAGAGGATTGGGTCTAGACCCAGTTCTATTTCTACCTAAAACTTGTGATTCAATAACCCCCTAGAAGAACCAGGAAGCTAAAGACAGTTACTTCTTGTAGTCTTTCAAGTTTGATGGAATGCTGAGAAAACAGTACAAAAGAAAGAGGATTGTGAAGTTGACAGTCTCATTACCTGAATTATAATTGAGTGAGAATAACTCAATTCAAATGGCTTAAGTATCAATTAGTTAAAAGACAAATTAAAGCTGTGATTCCAAGCTTAAGGGTAAGGTGAAGCTCTGAAAGTCACGGCATGAAATCAAGAATGCAGCGACTTTCTGAAGTTCCCGATGTGCTGAAGCTCATAAGCTATTATTAATTGCTATGAAAAATCAGATAACTTAATCTAAAAAAATGCTTCTTATTGAATTTAAATGTTAGATTACTTTTACATTGTTTTCAAAATAATATATATTAATACTTTATTTTTAAAGTATATTTACTATTAACTAGATGCAACATTAACGTTATTTTAAAAAGTTAAACTTTCTGTTTTGATAAATAAGGTGTGGTATCTAATAAAAAAATAGAAAACTAAAAAGAAAATTTTAAGATCTGTAAGTCAGAGGTTCTCAAAACTAGCTGCCCATTAGAATCTCCTGGGTGCTTTGTAAACATACCATTTTATGGGCTTTATCTCTAGAGGATCTAATTTTACATATTAGGTGAGTCCTGGGCAACAGCAGTTTTAGAAGCTCCACAAGTAATGCTAATATAAAATCCATGCTAAGCATCTCTTACCTCAAGATGAGATGCATGGACTTTATGTAGATCCCAGGGCTTTCATGCATGTGCATACCCTTTAAGCATTACCACTAGAAGTCTCTGAGTAGATAGAAGTAGAATTGCTACAATTCTACTTTAAATTTTAATATATTTTAAAGTAATATAAAATAATGTCATGCCCTAACCAGTCTATTAGTATTCTTAGTTAATTTCTCTATATGTTGCCACAACAAAGAGAACTGTTAACATCTTCTGCTTTTCTGTCAACCTTTTGGCCAGTGTTGTCATACATAAGTTCTACATTGAATTTGTCAAAATGATCAAAATCATCACCCCTCAGTACAAAATCACAGCTCAGGAGTTTAACTCATTTATTTATCTGGAAATAAGTTTTGAAGAATATTTAACCTAGGAGACCAATCAGAATGCAACCTTCTTCAAAGGTATAAGATTTTCAGAAGTCAAGCTAAAGATTTTATAGTAGTTATGTATAAGTGATTGTTGCTTTCCTCAAACTTTTCAAATTCTTGGTCCTTCTATTAAGTATATTTCAAAACAGTACACACAGTTAGCAGTATGTTATATGAATATTGTTGGTTTTGTTTTTAGACTGTTGTACATCCCTCATCCATGCAAACTATTCTATAGCCCTCCATGGAGAATACAAGTCAGTCTCTTTATCCTTCATAACAGAGCTTGATTTTTCCATATGCATACCAGTTACCTAAAAACATAAGTGCAATACTACAGGCAAGACCTACTCCATATGCTCTGCTAAACTGCTATACAACTCTTGCCAAAAACAGAGCTGACATAACTGATCTGTGTAACATTACCTGAATTCTAATTCACTACCTGCTCATTTAGATTATTAAGTCTCATTTTGTAACAAAATATGAGAACGCTAAATAACTGGTCTAGTTCTTAGAAAGTTTTTATGTCATGTTTGCCTGCAAGACAATAAACTAGTTTTGAGCATATATAAATAATATAGATATAATTTTGCATAAAATGTATAGTATGTATAACATAATATATATTAGTATTATATTAAGACCAAATTAATGTTAAATTTTATATTGAAACCAGTAAGATCTACTAGAACCTTATGCAGTAATGGGAATAATGAAAATGTTTTATTCTGTGCTAATCAATATGGTAGCAACTAGACATGTAGCTATTGAACAATTGATATGTGGTTAATAAAACTGATCAGTTGAATTTTTAAGTTTGTTTAAGTTTAATTCATTTAACATTTATTTTAAATGGCTACATGTGAATAGCTCAGATTTTGACAAATTGAGTTTTTCAAATTAAAAGTGATGAATGCTGTTACTGCTCACATTATGTATTTAATACATAGTAAATTGTCAAGAAATAACACAGTATGAAGTATTAGGATTTTTAGCCAAAAACATTAAAATGTATATTATGTGGTGATACCAAAAATAGACAACCATTTTCTCTATAGGTTGTCTGAAATTCTTGTATTCTGTGGTTTCAAAGTCACCTAAATTCTTTTCATAATTTTCAGGTTTTGTTTCTAAACTATGACTTACATAAGAAAGATTCAACATGATAATTAAAAGTGCTCCTCCTCAAATAATGAATTGAGGGATTTCTGAATAATCTTTATTCTGAATTTGTATAATCATAACTATATGTTCTTATATTAACAATTTTTTATTTGTTTAAATATTAGGAATACCCTAATGTGCTGTAAAAGAATTTTAGTAAAATGTACAACACATTGATATGCTGAAATCATAAATGGAGTTTTCAGAATGAGTGTCACTCTTATACTCCTAATTATATTCAATAAAAACCCTTAACAAATGGTCCACTCTTGCTATTAATTATTTAGTTTACGACTAACAATAAAAACAATTTAAAAGTAATATACAATAGCCAAAATCCTCACATTGGTTAAAAATGCTTGGTTGAATGATAAGCTGATTGACGAGGTCATGAATTGTGCTTCTATTTGTTGTTCACTCCTAGGTATCTTATATGGTTCCAATTCAAAGGAATTTAGTGTTTGGAATCATCTTTTAGTTCGCCTCTTTTTTAAAATAGAAGTTGCAATTGCAGAATGTTTAACAAAAGAATCTCTCAAGAGCATCTTCAAAAACTTCTAGATACTCTCTAACCACTGGTTAGGAAACCTTGCTGCCTCCAGGTTATAATTCACTTTCTCTCCTTCCAAAGGGCCTTTAAACATGCTCTGCAAATAGGCATCACTTGATGCTGCAGAGCAATCCCACCCTCAAGTCCTGCATTAAAAACCTTCCACAAGCCAGTTGTTTTCCCTTTGCTTTAAATTCTCCAGAGAAAATGACTATAATCTCAAAGAATTTGTACAATTAGTAGAGGTATTAGAAATAGCCTAGTCTCCTTTCAGATTAGCAAAGAGACATCTATATTAATGTCTTTCCCAAGAATATACTTTCAAGAAGCAGTCATCATTCAAACTCAAAAATTCTATTTCCAGATTGCTGCTGTTTCTACTCCACTGGACTTTCTCTTCTCATGAGGACAAGCAACGAAAAATGTCAAAATACAGTGCAGATGACAAACATAAAATAATATCTCTCTCCAGTTGCATTTGCATGTGCATGTGCTTTAAAAGAAAATTGTCCCTATGAAAATAATGAGGTGCGAGAGAGCAAAGTAGCAAGTATTGCTGGAACAGCCACTTAATTAACATTTTCCTCCCATACTACCTGGGATTCTTGTTCTTTTCTGTTCCTTGGTGATCCGTTAGTTTATATACATATAACTGTGACTTCTTGTTCCATTTTGTCTTTAAAATTAACTATTCAAATTAGTCATAAATACTGAGTGAACAGGATTTCCAGATGTATTCTATGTCTAATCCTCAACTTTTGTGAAAATGGAAATTCAGTGCATTATTATTTTACTATTTAAGAAAGGCTCAATTATGTATAATTTTATTTAAATTTTAGAGTGGCTACTATTTACTGAAAACCACATAAAACCCAGGAAGAATCTTTGAATGTAACTTAATCATCTGCAGTAATTACACACGGAAAAAAATGCTTCTAGTTTATTTTGAGAGGTAGCTCGGTACAACAGCGCATGTCGCTGATTGCACTCATTGTCTTTGCTTAACTGAACATGAACAACCTCATCTCTACATTTTACATCATAAAGGAATCTCAATTTAGAGTTACTGATTTATTTTTCGTTTTCACACTGTCTCTATTTAAATGCTCCTCTTGGAACATATATTTTCAACAAATAAAAATTTTATAATTTTATTGTAAATGATTAGAATAAAAATGTGGGATCTTAGGAATGCTTTTTTAGTGGGGCTGAGAACAAAAATATTACCATTATATTTCTCTTTTCCCACACCCCCACCCCTATGTGGGATGCTTTAAGATAGCTTAATGGTGACTGTCATTTACAAAAATTTAAAATACACACACAATATTATCCCTAAGTTTGAATCATTTTATGTATTTTATGAGTTTTTGCAAAGAAGAATAAAAACAATACTCCAATGAAACTTTTTAGACTGCAAATTATTTTCTATAAATTCTACTTATAGATAAAATCCTCACAATTTCTACAAATACTCTTCTCCAGTGAATAGTCGACCCTTAATTAACCGTTTTTCCTTATTTGGGAAAGGTATTGTAAAGAAAAATCTATTTTTGTGTGTGCAGAGTCATGTGCATATGGACTTTTTGGTCAGTCATAGCTGTTCACAGAAACAATAAGAAATAGTTTTTGAAAGCTCAAATGTTGACCTCATACACCAATTCTACTGCAGTTTTCACACTGGTACTCTAAGTTCTGGAGTTGAAGGTTTATATAGTAAATATAATAACTTTTTAACACCAACAACAATAAAAGAAAATATACTATGGTGACAAAATTTTAAACATAAAACAAGAGCACCAGTAAGATTAGAAATTCATTTAGTACTTTTTAAATTTAAGAAGTATTTTTGTTTGTTTCTCATTCTTCATATAAATATATTTTAATCATATACACCATCAGAGACTTAGGAACCTGAGCACAGGCTATACTTAGATAAAACTAATAGAGGCATAAATTTTGTACCATTCTTACCCCCAGTTAACTTAATTGCCATAAGAGATCTGGAGAGAAACTGTGGTCCAGCCAGTTAAGTAATAGGTTGAGATTCTGAGACTGAGTATACTAATAATGACTCCTATTGAGTTTGCTATAAGGCCAGGTGCGTGTAATTTGTAAATATTTCTCCCAGTCACACGGTAATCTCAGATACATAGTCAAAATATGTTTTCAAAATAACATAACCTTTGCATTTCCCACTCTCTCTTCACAGGGTAGCTTCCTCCTTACGTTTTGTTCCAATCACACCTGGAAGAACAGAACACATAATAGAAAAATAATATTTTTCCCTAAAAACAAAAAAAAGTTACTGTCACAGGCCAAATATGAGATGAAGATTTGTAAATGAGAGTTTTATTGTGAAGGTCTCTGAAACACAACCCTTGAGAGAGAGTGAGAGAAACATGATTGATCTACTGGAAGGAAAAGGTAGACTGAGATGCATTTTCAAAAGAGGCCTCAGCAAATCCCTTGGCTCACTCTGAAGTTAGGATAACCCTGAAGAGACTGACCAAATTGAAACAATGGAGCTATGAATTGTAGTTCCCAAAAGGCTCTGTTGTTGAATGCGGGCTGCCCCCAGGGAGCAGGTACAACCTTGCCTGAGGCAGCTCTGTTTGGCCAAGAGCCATTTCTGGCAAGAGACTCAGCCGTAACTGGCACAGCCTCACTCCCGGAAGTGGGAAATGAGTATTTAGATTGTGAAGGGATACGGGGTGCACCTCAGCATCTATTACAGTTAATTAGTAGGAATTTTGCAGTAGCAAATTGTACATCAATAGCACATAGAAGGATTCTTGGAGGAAGAGTCATGCACCTTGCTCAAAAGCTTTCATTTCCTTGTAGCACTGGAGTCCTTATCTTTGTTCTTATTTGTGTCTTTGGCAGTGGTGGTGGAGTGGGTAAGGGGAGATGTCTGGACAAATTCTAGAGGCACTATTCTTTGATTTCACATTTTAACTTATACATTGAGGTACACATCAAACATTATTTCTTGGTTAATGCCCCTTGTCATTTTGCATTTGTGGGCTTTTAATATGTATAAAACCATGAGAGTTAAATTAGCAAACTATCTATAACCAGGAAGAAAGTGTACTGAAGTGAAAGTCTTCTAAGAAAGTTATTTTTAAGAGTTCATTCTCTATTTAGGAGATAAAGATATAGACAGACAGATCTAGATAGATTGATCAATTGGTGTATGTATAGTAAAATAGCATACTATGTTGTAGTATAATAATAACAATAAAAAATGTGAAGTCAAAATAAGTAGACAATAAAGAGGTTTTTTGGCAGTGTAACACACCTAGAATATGCTGACCTATTGTAATCAAAACAAATTATTTTAGGAAAAATATCATTTGGCTTACATCATAGCTCTGACTCCAATGGTTAAATAATTACCAATTATTACACATACATTTAGATTAAAATTAAAACAGATAAATCAAGGAATTGAGGGCCACATTCTACTTCTTAGGAAGAGTTGTTTTTAAGGTAAGCCTTCATCTGTTTGTAGGCCACCTAGAGAGATCATGTGGATAATCTAAAAATTACAAAAATTACATAACCCTGAGTTTTATAAAAATCACATTAGAGAACACTTGTATCTCTTCTTTGATTCCCTTCTCTATTATTTGACCAAAAGCACTTGACTTTAGTCCCCTTCCTAACTTCTTTTCTGTATTCTCTCTGCTGAATTTTGGTAGTTTTCAGATTATTGAATGTCAGGTTTTGACTGCTAAACAACTGGTGTGAGAAAAAGAAGCAAGAAGAAAATGCAATTTCCTCAAGAAGAAAGTGATAAATAAATTTAGCCTGGCCTTTCTGACAAGAATAAAATAATCTACTTCCTTTTTGAAAATAAAACCCATTATTACTATGAGTTCTTAAACAACCTTTGGAATCAGGTGTGATATAAATGCATTTTAATACTAAATAAACATGGTTACTATGGTTATAATAGTTCTCTGATAACAGACAATGTTCTAAATCAATTATAATGAGGTCACTCAAGACTTTCAGATACCACCAGCTGCAGAATTTATTGCAGCTCATTTTTCTCTTCCTACCCCTTCATTCTGAACACTATACTCATCCACTGCAAAAATCCTGTGGACCTTTAATCTACAATACACCTCATCACTGTTCCTTGATTTCCTTCTGCATTGCTATTTACTTAGTTAAATCTTTGTCATTTCTTATCTGGCTTTTGAAATGGTCTCCTAAGGGACTCTGTGTCTCTAATTTCTTACTCATCCAAACTAGCCTTTGTATAACTTAGTAAAACGTAGATCAGATATATTTTACTCCTTTGTAAAAAATCTCTTAATTAGTACTCAGAAAATAAAATCCAAGGAGAAGGCAAGATGGCCGAATAGAAACAGCTCCAGTCTGCAGCTCCCAGTGAAACCAATGCAGAAGGCAGGCAATTTCTGCATTTCCAACTGAGGTAACCAGTTCATCTCACTGGGACTGGTTAGACAGTGGGTGCAGCCCATGGAGGGTGAGCAGAAGCAGGGTGGGGTGTCACCTCACCTGGGAAGTACAAGGGGTCAGAGAATTCCCTCCCCTAGCTAAGGGAAGTCGTGAAGGGCTGTGCCATGAGGGACAGTGCTATCTGGCCCAGATACTATGCTTTTCCCTTGGTCTTTGCAACTCGCAGACCAGGAAATTCCCTCGTGTACCTACACTACCAGGGCCCTGGGTTTCAAGCACAAAACTGGGTAGCTGTTTGAGCAGATATCAAGCTAGCTGCAGGACTGGCACCTGAAACACCAGTGAGATAGAACCATTCACTCCCCTGGAAAGGGGACTGAAGCCAGGGAGCCGAGTGGTCTTGCTTATTCTAAAACTGACTGTATAACTGGAAGTACAACACTCCTCAGCAAATGCAAAAGAACAGAAATTATAACAAACAGTCTGTCAGACGACAGTGTAATCAAATTAGAACTCAGGATTAAGAAACTCATTAGAACTCAGGATTAAGAAACTCACTCAAAACCACATAACTACACAGAAACTGAACAACCTGCTCCTGAATGACTATGGGGTAAACACCGAAGTTAAGTCAGAAATAAGTTCTTTGAAACCAATGAGAACAAAGACACAACATGCCAGAATCTCTGGGACATAGCTAAAACAGTGTTTCGAGGAAAATGTATAGCACTAAATGCCCACAGGAGAAAGCAGGAAAGATCTAAAATATACAACCTAACATCACAATTAAAAGAACTAGAGAAGCAAGAGCAAATTCAAAAGCTAGCAGAAGACAAGAAATAACTAAGATCAGAGCAGAACTGAAGGAGATAGAGACACAAGAAACCCTTCAAAAAATCAGTGAATCCAGAAGTTGGTTTTTTGAAAAGATTAACAAAATACATAGACCACTAGCCAGAATAATAAAGAAGAAAAGTTAGAAGAATCAAATAGACACAATAAAAAATGATAAAGGGGATATCACCACTGATCCCACAGAAATACAAACTAACATCAGAGAATACTATAAACACCTCTATGCAAATAAACTAGAAAATATATAAGAAATGGATAAATTCCTGGACACATACACCCTCCCAAATCCCTGAATAGACCAATAACAAGTTCTGAAATTGAGGAAGTAATTAATAGCCAACCAACCAAAAAAAGCCCAGGACCAGACAAATTCACAGCCGAATTCTACTAGAGGTACAAAGAGGAGCTGGTACCATTCCTCTGAAACTATTTCAAACAACAGAAAAAGAGGGACTCCTCCCTAACTCATTTTATGAGGCCAGCATCATCCAGATACGAAAACCTGGCAGAGACACAACAACAACAAAAAATTTCAGGTCAATAACCCTGATGAACATCGATAAAATCCTCAATAAAATACTGGCAAAACAAATCCAGCAGCACATTAAAAAGCTTATCCACCACAATCAAATTGGATTCATCCCTAGGATGCGAGGCTGGCTCAACATACGGGAATCAATAAATGTAATCCATCACCTAAACAGAACCAATGACAAAAACCACATAATTATCTCAATTGATACAGAAAAGGCGTTCATAAAATTCAGCACCCCTTCATGCTAAAAACGCTCAATAAACTAGGTATTGATGGAACATATTTCAAAATAATAAGAGCTATTTATAAAAACCAATAGCCAATATCATACAGAATGGGCAAAATGTGGAAGCATTCCCTTTGAAAACCATCACAGGACAAGGATGCCCTCTCTCACCACTCCTATTCAACATAGTATTGGAAGTTCTAGCCAGGGCAATGAGGCAAGAGAAAGAAATAAACAGTATTCGAATAGGAAGAGAGAAAGTCAAATTGTCTCTGTTTGCAGATGACATGATTGTATATTTAGAAAACCCATTGTCTCAGCCAAAAAACTCCTTAAGCTGATAAGCAACTTCAGCAAAGTCTCAGGATACAAAATCAATGTACAAAAATTGCGAGCATTTCTGTACACAAATAATAGACAGAGAGTCAAATCATGAGTGAACTCCCATTCAAAATTGCTACAAAGAGAATAAAATACCTAGGAATACAACTTACAAAGAGATGTAAAGGACCTTTTGAAGGAAGACTACAAACCACTGCTCAAGGAAATAAGAGAGCATACAAACAAATGAAAAAACATTCCATGCTCATGGATAGGAAGAATCAACATCGTGAAAAAGGCCATACTACCCAAAGTAATTTATAGATTCAATGTTATTCCCATCTAGCTACCATTGACTTTCTTCACAGAATTACAAAAAACTACTTTAAATTTCATATGGAACCAAAAAAGAGCCCATATAGCCAAGACAATCCTAATTAAAAAGAAGAAAGCTGGAGTCATGCTACCTGACTTCAAACTGTCAGGTATGAAAGAATGGTGTTGTGAAAATTGACTAGCCATATGCAGAAAACTGAAACTGGACTCCTCCCTTACACCTTATACAAAAATCAACCCAAGATGAATTAAAGACTTAAATGTAAGATCTAAAACCATAAAAAACCTAGAGGAAAACCTAGGCAATACCATTCAGGATATGGGGATGGGCAAACACTTCATGACTAAAACATCAAAAGCAATTGCAACAAAAGCCAAAATTGACAAATGGGATTTAATTAAAATAAGAGATTCTGCACAGCAAAAGAAATTATCTTCAGAGTGAACAGGCAACCTACAGAATGGGAAAAAAATTTTGCAATTTATCCATCTGACAAAGGGCTAATATCCAGAATCGACAAGGAACTTAAACAAATTGACAAGAAAATAACAAACAACCCCATCAAAGAGTGGGCAAAGGATATGAACAGACACTTCTCAAAAGAAGGCATTCGTGCAGCCAACAAATATATGAAAAAAAGCTCATTATCACTGGTCATTAGAGAAATGCAAATCAAAACTATAAAGAGATACCATCTCCTGCCAGTTAGAATGGTGATTATTAAAAAGTCAGGAAACAACAGATGATGCAGAGGATGTGGAGAAATAGTATCGCTTTTACACTGTTGGTGGGAGAGTGAATTAGTTCAACCATTGTGGAAGACAGTGTGGTGATTCCTCAAGGATCTAGAACCAGAAATAACATTTGATCCAGCAATCTCATTCCTGGGTATATACCCAGAGGATTATAAATCATTCTACTATAAAGACACATGCACACGTATGTTTATTGTAGCACTATTCACATTAGTAAACACTTGGAATCAACCCAAATGCCTGTCAATGATCGACTAGATAAAGAAAATGTGGCACATATACATTATGGAATACTGTGCATCCATAAAAAAAGAATAAGTTCATGTCCTTTGCAGGGGCATGGATGAAGCTGGAAACCATCATTCTCAGCAAACTAACACAGGAACAGAAAACCAAACACCACAAGTTCTCACTCGTAAGTGGGAGTTCAACAGTGAGAACATTTGGGCACAGGGAGGGGAACATCACACATCGGGGCCTGCCGGGGGGTGAGGGGCAAGAGGAGGGATAGCATTAGGATAAATACCTAATGTAGATAACACGTTGATGGGTGTGACAAATTACCATGTCACATGTATACCTATATAAGAAAACTGCATGTTCTGCATATATATCCCAGACCTTAAAGTATAATAAATAAATAAATTAGTTGAATTTTACACCTTCTCTTACATTATATTCTTGCATATATCTAAGAGCAGAGTTATACTGCATTTTACTGATTACTGACAGTAACTTGTTTATTCTTCACTTGAGTATGAATTTCATCATTCTGTTTTATAATATAGATTATAAATGCCATTATAATAATTACCATTTTGTCCTAATATTGGTGTCTTTCCTTCAGAATCTAACATTATATCTTATATGTGAGATACAGTATTGTATTCCTCTGCTATCATGCTGCTAATAAAGACATACTAATGACTGTAATTTATAAAGGAAAGAGGCTTAATTGGCTTACAGTTCAGCATGGCCAGGGAGGCCCTAGGAAACTTACAGTCATGGTGGAAGATGAGGCAAACACATCCTTTTGCACATGTTGGCAGCAAGGAGAAGAAGGAGAAGTATGAGTGGAGTAAGGAAAAAATCCCATATAAAACCATCAGATCTCTTGAGAACTCAGTCTCTATCATGAGAACAGCATGGAGGTAACTGCCCTCATGATTCAATTACTTCCCACTAGGTCTCTTCCACGACACATGGGGATTATGGGAACTATGATTCAAGATGAGATTCTACCAGAGGTACAAAGAGGAGCTAGTACCATTCCTTCTGAAAATATTACAAACAATTGAAAAAGAGAGACCCCTCCCTAACTCATTTTGTGAAGCCAGCATCATCCTAACACCAAAACCTAGCAGAGACACAACAAAGAAACATAACTTCAGACCAACGTCCATGATGAACACTGATGCAGAAATCCTCAATAAAAGGCAAACCAAATCCAGCAGCACATCAAAAAATTTATCCACCATCCACTATCCACTATCAAGTCGGCTTCATCCTGGGATGCAAGGCTGGTTTAACATATGCAAATCAATAAATGTAATTCATCATGTAAACAGAACCAAAGACAAGAACCACATGATTATCTCAATAGATGCAGAAAAGGCCTTTGATAAAATTCAACATCCATTCATGTAAAAACTCTCAATAAACTAGGTATTGATGGAAATATCTCAAAATAATAAGAGCTATTTATGACAAAGCCACAGCCAATATCATACTGAATGAGCAAAAGCTGGAAGCACTCCTTTTGAAAACCAGTACAAGACAAGGATGCCCTCTCTCACCACTCCTATTCAACATAGTATTAGAAGTTCTGGCCAGGGCAATGAGGCAAGATAAATAAATAATGGACATTGAAATAGGAAGAGAGGAAGTCAAATTGTCTCTGTTTGCGGAGATTCTACATTTAGAAAACCCTATTGTCTCAGCCAAAAAACTCCTTAAGCTGATAAGCAACTTCAGCAAAGTCTAGGATACAAAATCAATGTGCAAAAATCACAAGCATTCTTTTACACCAACAATAGACAAGCAGAGAGCCAAATCATGAATGAACTCCCATTCACAACTGCTGCAAAGAGAATAAAATACCTAGGAATCCAACTTACAAGGGATGTGAAGGACCTCTTCAAGGAGAATTACAGACCAGTGCTCAAGGAAATAAGAGAGGACACAAACATATGAAAAACCATTCCATCCTCACGGATGGGAAGAATCAATAATCATAAAAATGGCCACACTGCCCAAAGTAATTTATAGATCCAATACTATTCCAATCAAACTACCATTGACATTCTTCAGAGAATTAGGGAAAACTACTTTAAATTTCATATGGAATCAAAGAAGACCCCGTATAGCCCAAGCAATCCTAAAAGGAAAGAAGAAAGCTGGAGTCATCATGCTACCTGACTTCAAACTATACTACAAGGCTATGGTAACCAAAACAGCATGGTACTGGTACCAAAACAGACATATAGACCAATGGAACAGAACAGAGGCCTCAGAAATAACACCACATATCTACAACCATCTGATCTTCAACAAACCTGACAAAACAAGCAATGGGGAAAGGATCTTCTATTCAATAAATGATGCTGGGAAAACTGGCTAGCTATATGCAGAAAACTAAAACTGGACCCCTTTCTTAAATCTTATACAAAAAATTCACTCAAGACAGATTAAAGACTTAAAAGTAAAACCCAAAACCATAAAGACCTTAGAAGAAAACCTAGGCAATACCATTTAGGACATAGGCATTTGCAAAGAATTTATGACAAAAATGCCAAAAGCAATTACAACAAAAGCCAAAATTGATGAATAGGATCTAATTAAAGAGCCTCTGCAGAGCAAAAGAAGCTATCATCAGAGTGAACAGGCAACCTACAGAATGGGAGAAAATTTTTGCAATCTACCTATCTGACAAAGATCTAATATCCAGGATTTACAAGAAACTTACACAAACTTACAAGAAAAAAACAAACAATCTCATCAAAAAGTGGGCAATGGATATGAACATACACTTCTCAAAAAAGACATTTATGTGGCCAACAAACATATGAAAAAAAATCTCAACATCACTGATCATTAGAGAAATGCAAATCAATACCACAATAAGATACCACCTCATACCAGTTAGAAAGGTGATTATTAAAAAGTCAAGGTACAATAGATGCTGGCAAGGCTTTGGAGAAATAGGAACACTTTTATACTGTGGTGGGAATGTAAAGTAGTTCAACCATGTGGGAGAGAGTATAGTGCTGCCTCAAGGATCTAGAAGCAGAAATACCATTTGTCCCAGCAATTCCATTACGGGGAATATATTCAAAGGAATATAAATAATTCGACTATTAAGACACATGCACAGGTATGTTTATTGAAGCAGTATTTACAATAGCAAGTCATGGAACCAACCCAAATGTTCATCAATTATAGACTGGATAAAGAAAACATTGTACATACACACCATGGAATATTATACAGCCATAAAAAGGAATGAGATCATGTCCTTTGCAGGGACATGGATGAAGCTGGAAACCATCATCCTCAGCAAACTAACACAGGAACAGAAAACCAAACACCATATGTTCTCATTTATAAATGGGAGTTGAACAGTGAGAACACAGGGACACAGGGGAGGGGAACAACACACACCAGGGCCTGTTGCAGGATGGGGGTGAGGGGAGGAAATTTAGAAGATAGGTCAATAGATGCAGCACACCACCATGCACACGTATACCTTGTAACAAACCTGCACATCCTGCACATGTATCCTGGAACTTAAAGTAAAATTTAAAAAGAAAAGAAAATATGGCATGGGCAGGGGGACCTACAGGAGCCAGATCATCATAAACTTTGAATGTCATGCCAAGAAGTTTCACTTTATCTTGAAATAAATGGGGAACTACTGGAAGATTATTATACTCAGGGCAAAAACATGAATGAATTGGCATTATAGAAGGATTACTCACTCTAGGTGTGGTGTGGAGAATGAATTGGAGAAGAAAAGGCTGAAGGCACAAAGAGAAGTTGAGGGGTATTATGGTAATTCAGGCAAGATGACTGTACCTGGTAGACTTTCAATAACTGCTAGTTATATAAACTAGCAATTTTAACAATTTACACCCTTCAAATCCAAGAGTAGAATCTCTGCCATCATTTCATTATTTAGAATTGGCCCATGCTACAGTTGTCTGTTCTTACAAATTTAGAATATATCTACTCAGGGCAAGCCACTACTCAATATTTTAATGATGTGATGATGTGAGTGGGTAAAATTATAAGATACATTCCTAGCCTTACAGAAGCACATCATTAAGACATTAAACTCATAAAATGAGCTAAGAATGAATATAAAAACAAGTAAAATAAAATAATCATAATACATTTTAACATATTAGGTGGATTTCAAAATACCTTTTTAGTGATAAAGAGGTTGTTATAGACTGGAACAGTCAGAGATACTTTATGTGGACTTACCATGAAGAAATTAAATTGGACTAAATAGAGTGAACTTTATATATATATCATATATATCTCATATATGATATATGAGATATATATGATATATATATGATATATCTCATATATATATATATATATATATATATATATATAGCTTCTTGATTATTAAAGTGAGAGAATTTTATCAGGTGGACTATATTGCAATTTCAGAGTGAGCTAATATATTAAATAACTGCTGCTACCTTTGACATTTTTAAGCCAGGCATCATGGTAAAAGATAGTTGGGTGTTTCTTGATCAATCATCTTAGTCACTTTAAAATACTAATTATCCCTTGTAAATGTTAATAATATAAGCAATAAAGAACAGATGGCCAAATGATCAGAAAACAGCTGCTGTTTTCCCGTCAAACCCAAAGATGTGAGCAATGTTTCTAAACAAGGGCCCAGCAGAGAAATCATGGTGATGAAATTTTCTGCTGCAGGCCTATGCCATATATCTTCTATCTAAAGCTGCTTAAGGCATTTACAGGCGGTAAGGGCCATAATGGTGTTGATGATCTCTGCTGTATGGAGTGTTCTGAGATAACAGGCAGGTCACCTTCTGCAGGCCTGCCAGGGAACTTGGGGGATAATCTCTTCAAAGCTCAGGATAAGCTCCCCAGCATCGTTCAGTTCTCTGCTCTTAGGATCTTGATGAGCTTAGGAATCAAGCTGAAGAGAACACTTAATCTAAATGCACTCTAGTGTTCCACACAAATGGGATCATTGCCATTAATAAAGACAAAAGGAAGATTTTTGTGAGCTTACCTAGAATGGTTGTTTCTGCCCTTTACACTGCCTGCTGTGACATTTTGACTTCCATCTTCTAGATCTTCTTTCTCTCTTCCTCTTATTTACCATTCCCTACCTTATTCCTGTGCCAGGCTGAACAAAGCAGAAGAGAAGGTATATCAAGTTGTTTAGCAATAAATGTATCTGATAATTTTTGAAAATCTATTGATGTTTCATAATTTTTTTACATTTATTGCCCACAGATATGCATATTATTTATTTTGAATCATTCATATAAATCCATAAACCAAACTCTCAGTGATCACACATATCTGGCCATTAAGTATGTGGAGTTTCTATGTATGATTTATTGTGTGCTTGGATGAGTAAGGACTTTAGGCACTTATTTGTACTCAAAGAAAAGGCAAAGTTTCAGGTTCTCAGCCACCTCTTGCTGATAGCAGGCACTGAGAGCCTACAGGAGCCCCTCTTAGCTACATCTATGTGGACTTGCAGCAATCCTAAACCAATGCAGCTGGATCCTGGCTCCATGAAAATGAACTTTCTGGAGCCAGTGCAGCAATGTCCAGAGTAAGATCACTTGATGTAAGTTCATACAATCTTAGAAATTTTCTCCCTGATGATGGTAGGGAAAGTGTTGAACAGTTATTCTTGAGCAGGATGTGTCCTTTCCCAGATGTAGAAACAGATGAAGATTTGAAATGAACTTTGTTTTCACAACAGTGGAAGCTTTCCAGCTCCTCTCTCTTCCTCACCGGCCCTCCCCACTTCAGTGTGCATTGTAAATGTTTCAGAGATTGGCTAATTACACACCAAATTTAATTCCATTTCTTACAGCCTTAGAGCCAAACCACATTTCCCAGTTTCCCATGGAGTTGGCATGGGCTTGTGCCTGAGTTCTAGGTAATGAAACATGAACGGAAATAATGTAGACTTCTACACCTGGCTCTTAAAAATCTCCCAGGTGTGATCCTCCTATTTTTCCCCTTCCAGCTGCTTGATCCAGACAAGCATGCTTACCTTGACAGTCAGGCATTAAAGAAAGAGACACAGATGGAAGAATCCTGGAAACCTGAATTGCATGAATTTATTCTTTGTTAGAGTAGTTCTGGTTATGTTTGGTTCTTACTCTTACAGTGTGGCTGCTACTCTAGGACATGCTCCTTACCTCCAAGGCTAGGCCTTCTTGAAGTCTCAACCAAACGCCTGAATCTTCAGTGAGGTCTTTCCACTCCAACTAGGCCAGAGCTCCCATACCTCCCAGCATTTCTCAACATTTGGTAGCTATGTTCAGCTCTCATGCCTGAAGGATCTGCTCTCTGCTAAGGCCCAGGAAGTTTCTCCTGTTCATGAGTACCCAGCACTTGGGCAAAAACCCATAGTAAAGTAGTGAACATGTACAAAGACAACTGACTTCACTCCCAATCCAGACACAAAGCTTTCACTTCCCTGGTACCACCACCCAGCAAATCTCTATCATTTCAGCAGCCTTGAATTGCAATATCTGCCACTTACAGCTCAGTAAGATTGTCACTCTACTTGGACTCCACTACACTGCACCAAAATGACCTACTGAAATCTCTGAATGTTACTGAAGCATGCTAGTCTACATTATTCCCTAACTCTAGGTCACTGTCAGGATTCTCCAGAGGGACAGAACTTATAGGATATTGCATATGTAAAAGTGAGTTTTTGTTTGTTTGTTTGTTTGTTTGTTTAGATGGAGTCTCGCTCTGTTGCCCAGGCTGGAGTGTAGTGGTGCGATCTCGGCTTACTGCAATATCTGCCTCCCTGGTTCAAGCAATTCCCCTGCCTCAGCCTCCCAAGTAGCTGGGATTACAGGCACCTGCCACCACGCCAGCTATTTTTTTTTTTTTTTTGGATTTTTAGTAGAGATGGGGTTTCACCATGTTGGCCAGGCTGGTCCCAAACTCCTGACCTCAGACAATCCGCCCGCCTCAGCCTCCCCAAGTGCTGGGATTATAGGCGTGAGCCACCGCACCCAGTCAAAAGGGAGTTTATTAAGGAGCATTGACTCACGTGATCACAAGGTGAAGTCTCAGGCTGTCTGCAAGCTGAGGAGCAAGGAAGCCAGTAGTGCCTCAATCTGAGTTCCAAAACCTCAAAAGTAGGGAAGCCCACAGTGCAGCCTTTGGTCTGTGGTCAAAGGCCTGAGAGTCCCTGGCAAACCACTGGTGTAAGACCAAGAGTTCAAAAGCCAGAAAACTTGGAATCTGATGTTCCAGGGCAGAAAGCATCCAGCATGGGAGAAAGATGAAGGCCAGAAGACTCAGCAAGTCGGCTCATTCCACCTTCTTCTGCCTGCTTTTTCTAGCTACACTGGCAGCCAATTGGATGGTGCCCACCCAGATTGAGGGTGGGGTCTTCTTCTCCCAATCCACTGACTCAAATTTTAATCTCCTCTGGCAACACCCTCACAGACACACCCACAAACAATACTTTGCATCCTTCAATCCAATCAAGTTAACACTTGATATTAACCAACACAAGTCTACCTCTTGTCAACTTGAACCCACACACTTCTCACAAAATCACAATCTTCAAGACAATAAGATCATAATTTTGCTTAACATAATATGGCTATCCTTTGTACAACCGTAAGTGCACCAATCCTTAACCTAAATGCTATTACATAAAGTTAACATTTAAATGCTGATATGAAGTCAATAAATTTTATGTCACATGATAAAGGAAAAAGAAAATAAATAAAATGAAGATATTTTCTTAGTACAAGTGTATACATGCACAAACATATTCTTAATAAAATAAGGAGGAAGTACCCATGACAATTACAGTCCCTGCTTCTGCAACTGATCATGTGGTCATAACTGGTATTGATAACTACTTTCTTCTACTACCCATTCTGTATTCCCTCTGCCTTCAGCAAGAACCTCAGCAGGTAGTGGGTTTTTACCTGCTGGCATGACCCAAACCTTCATTCCTGAAGGTCTGGGCCATTTGCAGTCCTGCCTGGATTTGGGTTGTCATAGTTTCCCATTGACCTTAATCACAGGGCATGGTAATACTAAGAGACGCCCTAAGGGATCTCCTGAATTCCCTCTTCTTTACCTCCATTGTGGAGTAGTAGACTGATTTAATCTTGATAGTCCGGGTCCATAACCCCAGCCAACACTGTAACTCCCTTCTTAGCCTGTTGACTTAAAGGTAGGAGGAGCCCAAAGTGGCCATGTGGCAATCTTAACATCCAGTTTAATGGAATCGTTGTATTTCCTGATAGTAGCATTCCTCCCTCTGGAATTAAAACCTCTAGGCCAGCAGAATATAATGTTGTGGGAACAGGAGGCAAAAATTTTGCTAGTGGGTCACTAGGGGTGATGGTGGGTGGTGCCACTTCCTCTTCTATCCCTTGATTCCTGGACTCATGAATCCTGGCTATGGGAAAAACAGCACCGTATATAGGATGCTGATTCAGAGCATACACAGCCTTCTGGAGAACTTTGTCCCAGCCCTACAAAGTATTGTCACTTAGTTGGCATTGTAATTGTGACTTCAAAAGGCCATTCCACCATTCTATTAATCCAGCTACTTCGGGATGTTGGGGAACATAGTAAGACAAGTGAATTTTTTGAGCATGAGCCCACTGCCACACTTCGTTAACTGTGAAGTGAGTGCCTTGGTCAGAGGCAATGCTGTATGCAATACTGTGACAGTGGATAAGGCATTCCATGAATCCATGGATGGTAGCCTTGGCAGAAGCATTGTTTGCAGGATAGCCAAACCCATATCTGAAGTGTCCACTCTAGTGAGGACAAACTGCTGCCCTTTCCACGATAGAAGAAGTCCAAAAGACAAAGAACTTAGAGTCTGATGTTCGAGGGCAGGAACCATCCAGAATAGGAGAAAGATGAGGCCAGAAGACTCAGCAAATCTGCTCTTTCCAACTTCTTCTGCCTGCTTCATTCTAGCCATGCTGGCAGCTGATTAGATGGTGCCCACCCAGATTGAGGGTGGTTCTGCCTCTCCCAGTCCACCGACTCAAATGTTCGTGTGTGTGTGTGTTTGTGTTGTTTTGTTTTGTTTTGTTTTGAGACAGAGTGTCGCTCTGCCACCCAGGCTGGAGTGCAGTGGTATGATCTCGGCTCACTGCAATCTCTGCCTCCCAGGTTCAAGTGATTCTCCTGCCTCAGCCTCCCGAGTAGCTGGGACTACAGGTGCACACCACCATGCCCGACTAATGTTTGTATTTTTAGTAGAGATGGGATTTCACCATGTTGGCCATGCTGGCCTCAAACTCCTGACTTCAGGTGATCCACCAGCCTCAGCCTCCCAAAGTGCTGGGATTGCAGACACGAGCCACCACGCCCTGCCCACTGACGCAAATGTGAATTTCCTCTGGCAACACTCTCACAGACACACCCAGAAACAATACTTTGCATCCTTCAATCCAATAAAGTTGACACCTTGTATTAACTATCACAGTCACTAAAAGTAATCCATTTGTGTGATTTTAATGCTTTCATTTTTTAAAATAAAATCTATACTTTTGTAATTGTATGTACATATATTTTGCTGGCAAGTTATAAGAATCGCTTGAAAGTAGTTATAACTTCACTAGAAAATAGCAGTTGCTTAAAAATATCTGCTGTTTAAAAGGTGGGAAAAAGTGGTATAAACAATATACCCAACTGAAAATTATGACAGCGTCTAAAGATGGTTCCCATAAAATCAGAAACTTCAGTGTCATTTCCGAGAATGATTAAACTTTAACTTAATGAAAAAGGAAAGAGTTATTTCTGATATTCAGAAAAAAATAAAGTTCAGAGGAAGATCTGAAAAGTTGATTTAAAAAAAACATAAAAGTGACCATTCTGATTGGAAAAAAAGATTAAACAGTACTATTAATATAAACATGTTTTTGTTAAAGAAATACATTAATTTTTTTTCAGGCCAATTTTACAATGAACATATATCATTTACCCAGTGGAAATTTATTTTTGTTTTAGAAAAAAGGGCATGCAATTATACATTCATACTGGAAAACCTTTATACTAAAAACAAAAGAGAGGTAAGATGTAAAAACATAGTATATTAGATTTCTTGAACAAAGTTCTGTAAATACTCTGTTGTCAATTAAAATAAAAAAGGTTAGATGTGTAAATAATTATTTAAACATTCTTGTAAGCCATCAGATTGTCTAGTATATGTTGGGTAAAAAAAATTAAACATACTAAGTATCCGATAAATCAAAGAAAACGTATATTGAATATAAATTACTTAAATTTACAGATAAAGAAGTTAAAAATGCTAAAATTGTCACAAATTTTGTTACCATTTGTTTGTCCCTTCATTCTTACAATAAGCATGGTTCAATTAACTAACAATTTCCCATAAAACCTTTGTTCTTGTGTTTCAGAAATTGAACAAGATGTTGGAACTGAAAGGAGGCAGATGAGCAAAGCTTGCATTTTAGGTATCTTGAAGATTAGTTTGAGAAAACTGAGCTAAATTGTATACTTTTGATGTCTCAGCTTTCAAGTCAGCTCAGACTCAGCTCTAGTCTAAATGCAAGGACATTGGATACCTCCCTTTCAAAGCTTTTCATTCCTCAAGATGAGGTATTCAATTTTTGAAATGTAACATTCCAATTCCCTCATGATCAAATGGTTTTTGAAAAAGAACAGAAGCTTCTGAAACATTATTATAACCAAAAAAAGGCAAAAATAACTACAAAAGAATAGATTCATGCTTAACCAAAACTAAAAGGCAAAAGGACATATTCCAAATAGTCTCATTCAAGGACAAAAACCAACAGAAAAATCTTTCAGCAGGGTCAAAACACTGCAAATAAGTGTCCCAAGCTTGCAAGACTAAAAGAGCTAATGGTTATGTAAACCTTATAAGTAACTGGATATAAAGAAATAGAACTACTTAGCAATGGTAATTGGGCAAAGGAGGTATGAACTAAGATTATAATTGTCCATACATGTGTGTGTGTGTGTGTGGATATATATGATATATATAATCATATATATGTTAATAGGGAAATGAAATTTCTAATTTCAGTTAAAACACTGTAAAATTTATAAGAAACAGTGCTGTCCAAGGTGGTATGTGTGTGTACATATACGCATGTAATATACATACATATGTAACACACAAATGTATATATGCTCAATATTAGTTAATTCCCTACTCATTCATTTATTCCTCATTCATTCATCTATTAGTTTATTCATTTAGCAAATGTATGACCTCCTGTGAGCCAAGCACTATGTAAGGCATTGAGAATATCATGATGAATACAACATACATGATCTGTTATTTATGGTTTCTAGGAGTCTATTAGGCAAGATGGACAATTTTGAAATAATCAACAAAGTACAATAAATTTTCATGTAAGTAAAATGGGGAATAAGCAAAAAGAACATAGAGTTTTCATGGTTGCAAAAAGAAGACACTTACGGAAGCATCTTTGGGTCAGTTATGACAGTTTGGTAATTTCTGAGCCTGAGTCCAAGTACATATTCTATTGTAGCTATTAAAAAGAAAAACAATGATTAGCCTGTGGCATCAGGTTTTCACTGTCAGAGTGTTATAACTTTTAACCTCTCTATTGAATTATAATACAAATTAATTTTAATTAAATAACAGACTTTCGAAAGCATTTAATAAGTGCATATTCCACATGGACATATGTTCAGATATCATTTAAAAAGTTATTATCTTTAAAGAAATTTTAAAATTACACTGACAAAGTGCAGTAGTGTCAAACTCTAGAGACCAAGATATATAATATGATTGTCAGACCAAGAATGGTAGAAAAAGTTCACTTGTAAATACCGAAATATGAATTTCAGAGGTGTTGGCAGAAACAGCCCATTAAACAAGTCAGCAGCTCAAAATCTGCCTAAGCAATAATTTCCAGTTTTAACAGGAAAGTTTGTTTTAGCAGGCTCTCCCAGTGATTCTGTTGTACACTCAAGTTTGAGGAGTAGAATTCTAGGGCCTCAGATCAGTTCCTCCCATCTTTACCATAAAGTTACTTACCAGCCCCCCTTTATGCTCTACACATTCCTTTGACTTTCAACCTTTTCTCTAAATATGTTCATCTCTTCTGGAGATAGCCCTATCTGTTTTTTGCTGGGTCTATTTTCTTTTTATCTGAAACACCCAAGCCTGGGATATATCTACCACATAAAATCACATAACCCTGAGGTTTTCTTCTTCTTCATGATGGACTCATCCTGAGCCCGTTTATACTAGTGAAGATACTGGCCACAAAACATCAAAAAATACAGTCACCTTACATTGAATAATACATATTTTTTATCTTGCTTAAAAGTATGTAGAAATTCCAGGCCATAAATTTGTTCAGACAAGTTCTTTTCATCTTGTGGGCTCCCTATTCCCAGGACTGTGTCCTCATTTGCAGAGTTGAAGCTGAATGTGGACACCTCTATGTTCCAAATCAAGGGAAAAGAAAACATAAGAAGTCCAAGGAAAGTGATTTCCTTTTAGACAAGTGACCTAAAAGTTACACATTCACTTTTTCCCATGTTCAACTGGCCACAAGGGTGGCTGTTCAGCCATGTGCCCAGGAAGAAGAGAGAAGAGACCTGACCTGGCAATCATTAGCCAACACCACACCTACCCACTATATCCTCTCTAGAAGTCCTCAAAGTGTATGGCAACTCCCTGGCTATTCACAATGTGTACTATCTTCTCTTCTCAGACAAATGGAAGCATGACCCTGTCCTAATCAATAAAGTGTTATACTTAATTATCTGTGATTCTTTTGTCTATGACCTCAAATCATCCTTTGATTATTGGTAGAAGCAGAGCCCTCTATAAATACAGGCAAGAGGCCTGTCTGCAAGGTATAGAAAAGAAGTAGTAAATTAGAAGGTAGAATGCTTACAGAATCCAAACGTGCCCTCATTTTGTCCATAAGTCATCTTCAATTTAAATATACATAAGCTTATATATCTTATATATATGTACGTATAGCAATACACAACACACACACACATACAATAGACAGTTTTCAATATATAAATTTGTTTTTCTCACTACAATTAATTTTAAAATCCATTTTTTACAATTCATAAAATATTTCTCCCTAGGGGAAAAATGATTACAATGGGAAAAATCTTCTAGACTATCATGCTAAAGCATCCTCAATGTGTATATAGGATTTACAGCATTTGCATTCGTGAAGGCAATCACATGCAATATTATAACTAAATACTTTATTTATGAACCCTCACTGGAGATTTTAAAATTTCATTCCCTCTGACATAGTTTTGATATTTGTCCCCACTCAAATCTCACGTTGAAATGTTATCCTCAATGCTGGAGGTGGAGCTTGGTGGGAGGTGTTTGGATCATGGGGCTGGATCCCTCATGAATGGTTTGAGCCATCCCCTCGGTGGTAAGTGAGCTCTCTCTGAGTTCACAAGAGCTCGGGTCCTTTAAAAGTGTTTGGCATCCTCCCCCAACACCCCTATTTCTGCTCCTGCCATGTGAGACAACTGTTCCCACTCTGACTTCTGGGGAAACTTCCTGAGGCCTCCACAGAAGCAGATGCCATCATGTGTCCTATAAAGCCTGCAGAACCTTAAGCCAATTAAACTTCTTTTATTTATAAATTACCCAGCCTCAAGCATGTCTTTATAGCAATGCAAGAACCACTTAATATACCCTCTTTCCCCCTTCACCAGATAATGTGAATTTGGGAATGCTCAGTCCTCTTACCTCTTGCCTGTTGACCAGTGAGACCAGAGACCAAGTCGAAATTGTTGATATGTCCTTGGCTTTGGCTATGGGTTCACCTGGACAGCGAGTGTCAGAAGGGTTGAGAGTCAGGGATTGCTATGGAGTGCAAATTAGAAGCCCTGTGAGTAAGGGTTTCCTGATAAGGTAATATTCAGGAGAATTTTTTCAGTCTTTATTGACTTCTCATTCATACATCCTCTTTCCTTCTTAGATCCCCATGGATTGGTCCATTTATTGATATCTTTTAAAAATTCAACCTATATCAAATCAGCTCTATCCTAGAGGTGACATATTCAAGTTTCATGATATCTAGAAGACATATCCCTTTAGAGAATAACAATAATTAATCATTGAAGGATGAAACTTTCTTATTCCTCATGCCCTTTACTTTCTCTTTTACACAGTAAGGGCAAAGCCCAGGTCCAGCATTTTTCTGGTGGGGTCTGAGAGTACTTAATAGATCAACAGAAGACTACATGCATTATAAAAATAATTGGGCTGGGATAATCTTAGTCATTTTATCATAAGAGTCAGGGTTTAAAAAATGCTGACTTAAGTGGGATAAGGTAGGGGAAGGGAATAAGAAAGCTACAGTAATGTGTAAGAATGTATTCAACTAAAAGTAGAAAAATTCTAAAGCACAATTATAAGAATACACAAAAGTTTTATAAATAAAATATACACATAAAATCACATCAGTATATTATATCTTAATTTGTATAAAAATTCACTTTCTTAATATCCAATTCAGTATTTCATTGACATCATCTCCATACATTTATGGTACCTGGTGGAAAAAAGAACAAATATACATACAAAATCATATTGTTCAGGGTGGGGAAAAATGGTGAAAGTAGAAAAAAACTATTTTCCGTTATTTAAAAAGTTCAGATGAAAATATTTAATATGCAGTACATACATTTATATGTAACTTGAACCACAATTTAGGCAACTTTTTTATTAAATTCCACTACTTCTGAGATTTTTATTATTTAATTAGGTTTAAGTGTACCTAGTGTGATCTTTTCAAAGGAAATTTCCTAGCAAAAAATAATGGTAAGCAATGTGAAAATGTCCTTACTCAAGAGAATAAAGTACTGCTATATGGTATATGATTGATTACCAGTTGGCATGGAATCCATGTGTTGATACTAAGTCATGCTTTTTGATTCATTAACTCTACTGTTTAAAAAATCTACAGGGAAACGTAACCCTTATTTAATTTCACATTATTTAAAAACAAACATATTCTAGCTCTTAAAACTTTACCTGTAATTTCTATTTAGTAAACAATACCAGCATCTTCTTAATCCAGGTTCAGATGTTAACTCAGGTGCATATATACCCACATCAAAAATTTTCTTTTTTTTTTACTTTTTTAATTTTTTTATTATACTTTAAGTTCTAGGGTACATGTGCACAATGTGCAGTTTTGTTACATTTGTATACATGTGCCATGTTGGTGTGATGCACCCATTAACTCATCATTTACATTAGGTATATCTCCTAATGCTATCCCTCCCACCTCCCACCACCCCACAACAGGCCCTGGTGTTCGTCTCAAAAAAAAAAAAAAAAGTTAGCCAGGTGATGTGTGTGTGTGTGTGTGTTTATTGCAAGATAGATTATGAAAACAAATCCAACTAAAAAAAAAGTAAGCGGGAGGTGAATGTGTGACAGAATGATAATCTGGAATATTCATTTGTGGGTTCACTAGCTGTATCCAAGCAGCATCTCCAACTCAAAACTTCACTTAGAATAATAGTCTTCAATCCAATCCAGGTTGCTGTGAATGCCATTAATACATTCCTTTTTATGGCTGAGTAGTATTCCATTATATATATATATATATATATATATATGTATGTGTGTGTGTGTGTATACATATATATATATATGTATGTGTGTGTGTGTGTGTGTATACATATATATATATATATATATGTATATATATATGACAGTTTATCCACTTGTTGATTGATGAGCATTTGGGCAGGTAACAATTACTTTTGCACCAACCTTATAAATAAAGACTTTCTGGGACTTCCTAAAGGTCACCACAGCCAAAATAAAGGCATTCCACAGCAGATTGTGGAGTAACTCGTTTCCAGTTGGGATCTAAGGAGGTTTAGCCACCAGTTCCAGGAACCAAGATGGGAGTGGAGTCACTAGCTATAGCAAAGGCAGCCTGGAATCCATTCGGATTACAACTGACACACAGGTGCCCTCTACCACACTCACCCTGGTGCCTCTTGAATATTCTACTAACTGATGTGGGTGGGGAAAATACATATAGGAGACATTCTGATTATGATTGAATGTTAAACCTGAGCTGACTTAAAAACAGGTAAATTAGACAGAGAAATCTAGAAAATATCTAGATTAAATTGTCTGCCATTTTGCAGACTGAGTTCTAAGAATTGGAAAGTCAAATTGAGTTACTGAAATAAAGAAAGTTACATTTTTGCACATCAGAGTCTGTAACTTGGATATTTATAGCTACCAAACATGAAAGGCCTTGCATGTCGGACTAAGGAGTTTGGGTTTTATCCTGAAGGCACTAAGAGGCAATTGAAGAATTTCAAATAGAAAAATGAGAGAAGCAGATTTGAATTGTATAGAACACATTCTAGCAGCAATGTAGAGAATGGATTGGTGAATTAAAGAACAGAAATGTAGAAAACCAGAGTAAGGGAGCCCAGAAAAGAGACTTTTGACTTAATTACAGAAATAAGTAAGAGACCACAGGAATAAGGTGTGATAGCAAGGAGGAAAAGGAGTGGACTCATTTGAGAGTGCTTAAGTGACAGCTATCTCCTTCCAGCTCAATCCATTCAACCTCAGGAGACTGGTCACTGGGACAAAATTCTGATCACAATGCTAGCAGTAAACCACCCCTCCACTTAAACCAGTTTGCTGCTCCTGTGCTGACCTCCATGGCTCCTGAATTCCTGCACATTAGCTATTATGTTTTGTTTTATTTTATTTTATTTTCATTTCTTAAAAGGTGATAAGCTACCATCTATACATATTAATACCATTTTATATACATTACATACATTGACCATATACAGTAACTAAAGTCTAAATATAAAGTATTTTCAGATTAAAACTGTATAGTGTAAAGCAGTATTGGTTGGCTGAGTGCATTTTTCTATTCCTACGGCCAAACTGCTTTTTATACAAAAGCTTAGAATGTTTTATGAGTTCAATGCATTCTAAGAGAACAGAATTCCTTAGTACAAATCCAAACTGTAGAACTTATTGGTCCCATGATTTTGTTGGTCCAAGTCAGTCTCTCTTTAACTCTGTTTATCTGTGAAATGCGGATAACACTAGGACCTTCTTCATTAGTTCATGTAAGAAACTTAGTATAGGGCCAGGAACAGAGAAAGCACACAATAAATAGTAACAATTGACTCCGTGAGAAATTTGACATTTCTTAAAATGAGTTTACATTTTTAAGTTGTATTTAGCACCAAGGAGTTTCCTCACCAAAATTTGTCTTCTCATACTATATATATTCAAATAAGGGGATCTTTATATTAAAATCTGTGAGTACAAAAGAGTAAACAGCCACATAATTCACACATTTTTCATCAGTCTGTATGTTGTTTTGGCCATATACATACAGATATCTCTATATCTTTAATTCTAAAACATTTTACAGAAAGGCAGGGCAAATACTGTCCTCTATATTTTATGTGGTGCTGAGTTTAGATGCAAAGGTTTAATTTACAACAATAATAAAGGGTAGATAAGAAATAATCCAAATGGAAAGAAGACTCTTGCCAGTTGGGTTATTTCTGCCGAGCAGAATGTTTATTTTTTCATAGAACAAATTAGAAGTTTTCCAGATGGTTTATCTAAAGTATTTTTCTCTCCTCCAGGCAGAGGATAAATTAAAAGTGTTAGGAAAAGGTCATTCCCACCTCTCCAAGAAGCACACTTTCATAATTAAAAGAAGTAAAGTTCAACCACAAATGAAGTGATCTCTACTTAACATATAAGTTACATTTGTACATCACAGGTAATTGTTTAATTTGAAGTTTGTTAAAAATATTTTAAAGTTATTAATCACCTTTCGTGGCCTTTTTTTAATTCAAAACACTAATCTTTATCATAAGACTAGCAAAAAACGGGTATGGTGGCTCACGCCTGCAATCCCAGCACTTTGGGAGGCCGAGGCTGGCAGATCACCTGAGGTCAGGAGTTCGAGACCAGCCTGACCAACATGATGAAACCCCATCTCTACTAAAAATACAAAAATTATCCAGGCGTGGTGACAGGCGCCTGTAATCCCAGCTACTTGGGAGGCTGAGGCAGGAGAATCACTTAAACCTGGAAGGCAGAGGTTGCAGCAAGCCAAGGTCACAGATCATGCCATTGCACTCCATCCTAGGCAACAAGAGCGAAACTGTCTCAAAAAAAAAAAAAAAAAAAAAAAAACCTAGCCCAGGAAATGCATTACACTAATTTCCCAACAGCAACAAATGAAGAACTGTTTTATTCAACTCATTCCTAGCTAAAAACCTATAGATGGGTGCATGATTTGTCCTATAACAACACCTTGTCAGGGTATTATTGGAGGGAAGAGGGGTCCTGTCTCTGGCACCATATTTTACATTAGATAAACAATTTATTTCTAACTTGATCCTCCCAAGATGGTAAAGGAGTAAGAATCTAATATTGAGTTTTGCAGGAGAGATTGTATCACTTGTCAAATTAAGATCGCTACTTTTGTGAGACGGAAAATGAATCTTAAAACAAAGCTGAGACTCCAGCAGAAATTCATCTCGATTCTGTAATGGTTTGCAGTTCTACACGACAATATGCTGTGGAAGTTAAACAGGAAGCAGGCTGTCCACCTGCCAGTCAAGCAGAAGGGAAGCCTCCATCCAGCCCCAAGCTTACAAACTGGGCCATGAACATGTAGGCCTGTTTATGTTCCTGTTTATGAGGTTGAACAAATAGAATTATTAGCCAGTAATTACGCAAGCAAAACAGGATGATTTCCACAGACAAACATTCTTCTGTTAATAATCATGAGGCAGCTGTAATTATAAATAGAGATATCATGGAGGCATTTATATAGCCACATTTTGGCTTTGCCCTTGTTATTTGAGGGGAGTCACTTGCACTAGAGAAAAACTTCATCTTTGGATAGTAGAGAATTTTCTTATAGTTTTAAAAGGGGAAACAGAATCAATTTTGATGGAAGATTTAAGGTAATCTCAGTACTTTCAAATTTTAAACTCAGGAGAGTGAAAACAGTAGCATCATCTATGGTCCCTAATAACTGGAAAACATGCTCATTGAAATTAAATTTCTAATGCAAGACACCATCAAGGTACCAATTCATTAGCTTGATAGGGCGGCTTATTTAGTGCACAATTAGGAAGGACTAATCTGTTTTTAATTATGGAAAATTTTCTCTCTCTCCTTCGGATGACTACATGTGGCAACGTACTGGAATCCTTTTATTATTCTGTTATATTAAAAAGTAAACAATGTTATAGCTGTAACATTTAAGTTCAGATGATCCAGGGGAATTTTAAAGACTATTATCACACCTCATGAATATGTTTGAACATAAACTCCAGGTCAATAAAAAGACTCTGTAAGTCCCCTTGCAATACTCTAGCCAGGATGTGGTAAAATAAATTTCCTCAGAATTGTTTAGCTCTTTGAGAAAAAGATGTAAATTTTTATTCCACATAAAAAAGAGAGATCCTTCAATGTTTTCTCAATTTCCTTGTTTCTCCTCTATCTCCAAAATGGAAGCAAACAGAACCTTCTCAGTTTCCCAATTAGTTTGACTTAAGAAGAACCAGTCTATGGTTGTCTTTATATGTGTGTGAGGAAACCACTTTAGGATATTTTCTGAACCCAAGTTCCGGACATTAAGGCCATACACTGTCACTCAGCAGTCCACGTGGACAGCCCTCCCCCTTAGGAGTTGGCCATTCTCATGGTCGCTGCCCAAAAGCCATCTGGGAAAACCTTTCTTCAGGAAGAGACATGATCTTCTCATTTTTTGTATTGCTTGTGTATGATTTCTTCACTTACAGTGGGAGGGTCCAAGAAAAAACACTGAAAGGAGAAGAAGTGAGGCTGCTTCCTCCCCACTCATTCTCAGGACCACAGCAGCAGCTCCACAGACATTGTTTACATGTGTGTTATAAACTATTTCACTTGAAGAACGTGTTCCCTGTTAATAAAACAAACATATTTGCTTTTCTACATTGAATTTAAGACTCTGATAGCTGCCAAAATTGTCAGCATAACATATTATGGCTTCTGAAGAGAAAAGAAAAGAATATCCCAATGCTGAAAACTTAACACTATTGTGACACCAGACACCAGAGTGCAAGGTGAGTCATTTTTTTTTTAACAGGGGTTGCAAGAAATGTTATTGGTCTCCACTGCTTTACTAGTTTGACTTACTAATATATTGTTTAGGGTAATCTACATAAATTTTATCCAGACACACCTCAGAGATGTTTTGGTTTCAGTTCCAGACCACCACAATAAAGCACATATTGCAATAAAGCTAGTTACACACATTTTTTGGTTTGCCGGTGCATATAAAAGTTATGTGTAACTATACTGGAGTCTTTTAAGTGTTCAATAGCATTATGCCTAAAAAAAATGCACCTATCTTAATTTGTAAAATACTTTGTTCCTAAAAAATGCTAACAATTCCAGGAGGCTTCAGCAAGTCATAATCTTTTTGCTCATGGAAGTTCTTGACTCAATGCTGATGGCTGCTGACTGATTAGACTGGTGATCGCTGAAGACTGGGGTGGCCATAGCAATTTTTAAAAATAATACATCAATAAAATCTTCCATATCAATCGACTTTTTCTTTCACAAAATATTTCTCTGTAGCATGCTATGCTGCATTTTACTCACAGTGGAACTTCTTTCAAAATTGGAGTCAATCTTCTCAAGCCCTGCCACTGCTTTATCAGTTAAGTTTCTGTAATATTCTAAATCCTTTGATGTCATCTCAACAATGTTCATAGTATTGTCACCAAAAGCAGATTCCATCTCAAGAAACTAGTTTCTTTGCTCATCCATAAGAAGCAAATCCTCATCAATTTAAATTTTATCATGAGATTGTAGCAATTCAGTCACATCTTCAGGCTCTACCTCTAATTCTGGTTCCCTTATAATTTCTAATACATCTGCATTTAGTTTCTCCACTGAAGTCTTGAACCTCTTAAGGTCATCCATGATAGTTGGAATCAGCTTCTTTCAAACTCATGTTAATGGTGATATTTTTTACCTCCTCCCATGAATCATGAATATTCTCAATGGCATTTAGAATGATGAATCCTTTCCAGAAGGTTTCCAATTTACTTTATCCAGATCTGTGAGAGGAATCACTATTTATAGCAACTTTAGCTCTAGGAAATGAATGTTTTAGATAATAAGACCTGAAAGTCAAAATTACTCCTTAATCCATGGAGTGCAAAATAGATATTGTCTTAGCAGGCATAAAACCATTAATCTCCTTATACATCTCCATCAGAGCTCCTGGGTGACCATGTGTACTGTAAATGAATAGTAATATTTTCAAAGAGGTCTCTTTTTCTATGCAGTAAGTCTCAACAGTGAGTTTAAAATATTCAGTAAACCATGCTGTAAACAGATGTGCTGTCATCTATGCATTGTTGTTCATTTATAGAGCACAGACAGAGTAGATTTATAATAATTCTTAAGGGCCCTAGGGCTTTTGGAATAGTCAATGAGCATTGGTTTCAACTTCAACACACCAGCTCTATTAGTTCCTAACAAGAGAGTCAGACTATCCTTTGAAGCTTTAAGCCAGGCATTGACTTCTCTCTAGCTATGAAAGTCCTAGATGGCATCTTCTTTCAGTAGAAGATTGATTTTTCTACATTGAAAATGTTTAGTGTAGCCACCTTCATCAATGATCTTAGCTATACATTCTGGATAACTTGCTGTAGCTTCTTCATCAAAATTTGATGTTTCACCTTGCACTTTTGTGATATAGAGATGGCTTATTTTCTTAAATCTCATGGATCAACATTTTCTTTTTTTTTTTTATTTTTTCTTTGAGACAGAGTCTTTCTCTGTCATCCAGACTGGAGTGCAGTGGCATGATCTCAGCTGACTGCAACCTCTGCCCCCTGGGTTCAAGCAATCCTCCTGCCTCAGCCTCCTGAGTAGCTGGGATTACAGTCCTGCACCACCACAGCTGGCTAACTTTTGTATTTTTAGCAGAGATAGGGTTTCACCATGTTGGCCAGGCTGGTCTTGAACTCTTGACCTCAAGTGATCTGCCCACCTTGGCTGGGATTACAGGCATGAATCACCATGCCTAGCGAACATTTTCTAGTTTCAATTTTTTTTTTTTTCTGCAGCTCCTTCACCTCTCTCAGTCTTCATGGAATTAAAGACAGTTAAAATCTCACTCTGGATTAGGATTTGGTTTAAGTGAATCTTGTTGCTAGTTTAATCTTCTATCCACGCCACTCCAACTTTCTCCATATCAGTAGGTCTATTTTGCTTTCTTATATTCATGTGTTCACTGTAATAGCACTTTTAATTTCTTTCAAGAAATTTTCCTTTGTATTTACAACTTGGTGAACCATTTGGTGCCAGAGGCCTAACTTTTGGCCTGTCTCAGCTTTTGACATGCCTCCTTCACTAAGCTTAATCGTTTCTGTCTTCTGATTTGAAGTGAGAGACATGAGACTCTTTTCATTTGAACGCTGAGAGGCCATTTTAGGGTTATTAATTGACCTAATTTCTATATTGTTGTGTCTCAGGGAATAGAGAAGCCTGAGAGAGAAAAAGAGAAGGGAGAATGGCCAGTTGGTGGAGCACTCAGAACATACACAACATTTATCGATCAAGTTTGACATCTTGTATGGGTACAGTCCGTGGTGCCCCAAAACAATTACAACAGCAGCATCAAAAGTCACTAATCTCAGTTTACTGTAACAAACATAATCATCATTAAAAAGCTTGAAGTATTGTGAGAATTACCAAAATGTGATGCAGAGACACAAAGTGAGCACATGCTGTTGGGAAAATGGTGTCAATAGACTTGTTCCATGCAGGATTGCCACAAACCTTCAACTTGTAGAAAATGCAATATCCATGAAATGCAATAAAGCAAAGTGCAGTAACATGAGATATGTCTGTATACTATAAAAGTTACGTACAAATAGGTTCTAAAAAGGTTCACTTAAAAAAAAAGTTAGAAAGGCTTGTGGTAACTTGCAAGAAGTAATTTTCAACAATTAAAATTTTATCTAGGGGTATAGATGAGGTCCTATACTAATAATTTGGTTTTAGAGTATCTTCATCCACAAGGTAAGTGCTCATTATTTATTCAACCTTGTCAGAAGCTCTATAAATACATGTTGCTCTTCTAATAGGATAATAATTAAAAGATAGACTAATGAAGGTAAAAATAACTGTAAAAATCTCAGAGTGTGGGCTCCAGCCTGTTCAGAAGGAAATGCCTAACACTTGGGGTGCTCTTTATGAAACACCATGAAAGGCTTAGCTGTGTAATGGCCTCATACAAATGTGGGATAATTTTACTAGCAAAAAATAAGTCAATGTTGCATGCCAAAATATGACATCAAACCAAGGCCATGTGTTTTCATTAAACAATAAGCTGGTTTTAATTATGTCAGAATTTTTTATTATTTGTATAATTCTTTTTGTCATCTGCTAATATACAGTAGCAGAAAAATAACAGCAGTCACAAAAAGTTAAAGAAAAAAAAACATTGCAGGACACTTGAAGTTCAGATAATTGTCAGGTTAAAAGCCACCAAGATTTTATTTTATCAAGAGAGAACCTGGACCAATTCATCAAACTTTGGTGTTCCTTAAGGGTATAGTTTGAGAACTGTGAACCTAATATATTTGCCACACTTTACAAATGAAGCAAACAAGTCCCAGAGAGGTCAACAATTCACTCAATGACGCACTGTTATTAGAAAAACTAGAGCCCAGATCTCCAGCTGCCGGGCCAGCTTACTTGCTTTCTTTTTTCTTTTTATCTCAGGACTTGTTCCATAGGAAACTGTGTAACTGTTTTTCTCAATTTTATACTCATTGCTGGCTCAGAGGTTGTATATTGACTGAATTTCACTAAGTTCCTATATGTCTGTACCGGTTTGCATACCCCTCACTATTAGTACATGAGTGTATACATTTCTTCTCATTGTCACAACAGTCAAAGTGACAGAGCTATTAATGGCCTTCTCCAAAGTCCTCCTGCCATCCTTTGTCTTTGTTAATTTTTGTTATATTGACAGTGAGCTCAGCTCTAGGAGCAAATTAGTCTAAGCCAATTTCTCTTTGTTAGATACACAATTTTCCAGCATCCTTGCAGCTAAGCGTTGGTCACATGACATGCTTCCGATCAATGTGATGCAAGAAGAACTCGTCCAGGAAATACTTTATTTTCCAGCAGAAAGTGATGGGCATGAAAGTTGACCCTCTTTGAACAGCCCCATCCCATTCTTTCTCTGAATGGTGCCACAGGATATGATGCCTAGAACATAAACAACCATCTTATCCCCCACAAAGCAACCACTGAAAGATGAAAAGCCAAACAAATAAGAAAGCTAAAGAAAAAAAGAAGGCCTTAATGGCATTGCTAAATTTCTGCATGAATCTAGAGCAACCCCACCTCTACACTCATTATTGTGTGAGATATTTATGTCTTGGTTGCTTGGACCAATATTAGACAGGTATTCGGTTCCTTATAATGTAACGAACAGCCTTAACTAATATGCTTGCAATTACATGATTTTCCAGTTAGCCATTCCAATGAGTTTAAAGTGGTATCCCACTTTTCGTATTCATTTGAATTTCTGGGATAATAAGTAACATTAAATATCTCTATCATGCCATTATTAACTATTCAAGTTTCATCTCCTGTGAATTTACAACCATTGTCTCTTTTTTAATCAATGAATTTATTTTATGTTCTAGATATTAATTTTGTTACCCATTCTTTAGTTCTGTGTATGTATCTTTGTTAAATAAATAATTTTGATATTGTTAGATTTATTTTTTCTTATGATTTGTGCTCTTTTGTCATGTTTAAAATGTTTTTTCCCATCCTCTGCCCTCAAAGATATTCTCTTCTATTTTGTTTATAGCTTCACCTTTCACATTCAGGTACTTAATCAGGAAGGTTAAGGGGGTTGACTTTTGCTTATGATCTCAGGCAGAAATTACACTTTATTTTTACCCATACAATTAATCAGTTTGTCCCGTGCCATCTATGAGACAGGCAATCTCTCCCCCTCTAATTAGTAGTGTCATCATGATCTGAGACAATGTTACCATTTGGACATATGTCTATTCTATTCTCAACAGTCTACATAGTATGTCTTCATATTTGCTAGCATGTGTCTCCCTCTTTAATCTTAACTAATCATAAACATGCAATTTACTTTACTAATTTTGAATCTGCTTGTCAGTTTTCTCAAAAATTTCTACTGTGATGCTGATTAGACTGGCATTACATTTGCAGATTAATTTGAAAAACTTATCTTTACATTTTTAATTTATATCATCTATAAATGTAGCTTAATTCTTCATTTACTTACTTTTTAAATTTACTTTATTTTTTTCTTGTTTTTATTTATTTTCTTTAGCATTTGGGTATTTTCTATTTATTTATTTTCTTTAGTATTTGTTTTTTATTTCCTTTAAAAATAATTTTAGTTTTTCTGTGGTTTCCATTTATTATTTTATTAGGTTATTTCTCGTGTACTTTATAGTTTTCATTCTTTCACAAATGTTTTTAGTTTTCTATACTTTTTTTGGTTTCTATTCTTGGTTTAGAGCAGCTGTCTTAATTTTTTATAAATCTAATAGCTTTTTCTGTATTCTTTTACTAGTTCTAATTGTTGACTGTACATTTAAATAAATCTCTTATGAAGGTAATTTTCATCTGTAAATACAAACCATTTTTTGTTATCATTTCAAATTTTTATAACTATTGTTTCTTTTTCTTTTTTAATCTTTGGCCCATACCTTCAGTATTAGGTTCAATAATAACTATCCTAGCTGATAGCATTCTTGTGCATTGAGATTTTACCCTACTCAAAATAAGTTTGGCAGAAAAGAGCTAGAAGTAAAAGAACTTTCACACACAAAAAAAAAACAATGCAAGATAATAACTTAGCCTGCCACTGTTTTTATGGGTGCTGACAGAAGACGCAACAGTCCTGGTTCAGAGACAAAGCAATTTATTATTCATAATAATAGCAGTAGCTGGAGTATTAGTGTAATTACACTAGTTCCCCAAACCGCAAATCTCAGACTGTGTCATAAGTGACAGGTGGAGGCTTCACATACAATAGGATGCTCCAAATGAGAGGAATCCTATGTCTAGTGAAGCTGCCACTTTTTTAGCAAGCAGTGGGGAAGACTATACTTTGTCTGCAGGGAGATCAGGTGCATTGCAGAACTATGTGATTTACGTCTGCAAGGCATTATTTCATTTTTCAAAATTTCCAGCTGCATAAACAAGACTGAAAAATAGCCCAGGTGAATAAACAAGGCTTTGCAATTTTGACATACTCAGCAAGATGCTTAATAGAGCCCATGGCTTTACAACACTATGCTATTGCTGGTCTTACATGGAATTATATAAAATTAAACTATCTGCTAAATATGATGTTAAGCTTTTGCTAAGCTTTTTGTCATATATACTCTATAATTTAGGATGTTTCTTTGTATTTCTTTTTAAGAGATTTATCATAAGGAGATGCTGAATTTTTTAAGTCCATTTGCTCTATGTATTGAAATAAGCATGTGATTTTATTAGGCCGTAAACAGGAAAATTTTAGGTATCTAGTGAAGATTCAACAATTCTCATAGTTGCAGGATAAATAGTGCTTTATGACAATATGTCTTTTCACACACTTCTAGATTTACTTAGCTAATATTTAACTTAAGATTTTGTATCTATATGTAAAGTGAAGTGAGCTTATAATTTTTTTTATAAACTATGATTCTCTCTAACAATTAAGGTTATACTAACCAGTCCTAAAAATGAGTTATCCAGCTTTCTCTTTTTTTTCTCTATTTTATAGAACAACCTGTCTTTTTCTTTAAAATTTGGTACAGCACACCTGTAAAACTATGTGGACGTGAGTATGGGGGGTGTAGTTTTGATTTGTGGAAATTTTTTTTTTATTTGTTTAAGTTTTGCTGCTGAGGAGTTCTGATTACTATTTCAATTTTCTTTTTAATGGCTATTAGTAAATTCATTTTTCATCTTTTTCCCTATAAAATTGCATCCCCTTTATTTAAATTTAGAATTCATTAATATAGAAGAATTTATTAACATAGAGTTGAGTGTGTTCTTTAAATGCCTCACACTTTTTTCCTCTTTTCCAGTACGTAAATTTAGGTGTTGTTATTTTTACTCTCAATTCCACTCAGTTTTGCTCTTATTTTCATTTCCTATTTCCTGTTTCTTTAGGTTTACTCTGTTGCTGTTTTTCTAGTGACATGTGTTAAATGCTTAGTTCTATTTTAATTATTCTTGTTTGCAAATGTAAACTATAATTTTGTCTCTAAGTACTGTTGTACTTAGCTTCTTGACAGAAAGCTAAAATGTTAATTACTTTTTAATTGTTTTTTCTCTTTCTTCCTATATTTACAAGTGTTGATATTTTTTAATTTTATTAAGTTATAACTGAAAAACATAATCTATGAGATGCTGGCTCATTCATATTAAAACCTTTTTGTAGCCAAAAACATGGTTAATTCAACATTGGGTCAAAAATGTACATATATTCTAAGTTGGACATCAAGTTATTTGTATTAATAAGAATACTAGTACAGATATATATGTATACATTTGATCATATTAATAAAATCTTCTTTTTGTCTGCTTGACCTTTCAGATTTTGATAGTTATATTTTTAACTTTCAATTACAGTTTTTCATTTATCTATATCTTTTCACATTACTGTTCTTATTTATTTTTGTTATTTATATATTTGATATATGCCATATCAAAGAATATACTGTTAGATGCATTCAGATTCATAATTATTTAACCTATTTAATCTACCGTCTATTACCATAATAGAGAGTCTAACACATATACATTCGAAGATGGGAAATATATTGGGGAAATATTATCTTCCCATAGTTTTAAAGACCTAATATGTAGCTTTTAATATCATTTTTAAAAATAATTTCAACTTTTATTTTAGACTCAGGGGTACATGTGCAGGTTTGTTACAGGGTATATTGCATGATGTTGAGGTTTGGGGTATGATCGATCTCCTCACCCAGTTTTTGGGCATTGTACCTCACAGTTAGTTTTTCAACCCTTGACCTCTCTTTCTCCCCACTCAAGTAGTCTGCAGTGTCTACTGATGCCATCTTTATGTCCATGGGTACCTAACGTTTAGCTATTCCTTATAAGTGTGAACATGCATCAAGATCTTTTTTTTTTAACGTCATTTGTAGTTTCCTGGGCTTTTTAAAAATAATCAATAAGCTGGTGGCATTATCTTCCAAGCTAATCAATACATATATGAAACCTGACATTGTAAGATGGATTCTGAAAGTAATTTAAGAGTTAAGACCAATTCCGTAACTCTCACGAGGATTTTTAAATAATCCACAACACTCCACTGTAACACCTTACATTCACTCCAGGGACTACATCCTCCTTCTCTGCAGTTATCACTATAAAAAATCTTTCAAGTGCTCTTATCAAGGGTTCTATATAGTTGGTCTGATGGCTTTGAACTATAGTGGCAATTTGTAATATAGTAGCTTCTCTCTCTTCACTCAGAAAAATCAAAGCATACAAAAACTATTTCTCCCGATGCAGTTTATGATCAAATGAAAGAAAAAGGAGTTTGGTCCAATCTAGGAAGACTACTCTTTATCTCACAAACCTTTAGTAGAAAAATGTTTCTGAGATCTATTTCCATGGGTTTTTTTGTTGTATAAAGACATTTTAGAAAATAAACAATTTTTTCCATTTTAATATTTCATGGCATGTTGAAGACTTTAAAAAAACAAATGTTCTTTCTTTAATCAGCCTGTGAATTAACTAGGCATGAGAAATGTAAAATCTATTGTAATCAAACATTTGATTTCTATGCCTTCAGAGTGTATGTCTTTCATTCTCCTACACAGAATATTTCAAATAACCTATAAGATATGAAAATCATAAACAGAAAATATTATTTTATAAAATAAGATGAAGTTTTATTATAAAATAGACTTATAATAAGCATACCGAATACCTGAGATTTCAATCTTCTTATAGAACTGAATTACTATTATTTTCCATGAATCTGTTCTCACTAGCATTTTGAAGACCTACAAATCATAACCATGCAACTTCATTTTAATAGATAAGATGAGTCAATAGAACATTATTTATTGATCCTTATTATTCCCTTATAAACAATTGAGTGGCTACTATATGTCAGGTAATAAAAAGCTACATGATGTCTCTCTGTCCACAGAAAGCTCACACTCTGGTAGAGGTAAAAGGTAGAGTCTTTAATGGTATTAATACGTTCATAAGTATAGCAAGGTGATTCACTAATAACAGGCAATGTTTTCTTTTCAAATCTAGTAATTTCCTTTCACCTGGTGACCCCTTTTCCACCCCTATATTGCCACATGGGAGCGACTAGGGTTCTATTTGTGCACAGCCTCAGAGAAAGGACATGACAAGGAAAAGGTTTAAAATCAGAAAGTCTTGATCAAGGTGCACCAAAAGCCAAATTCACCATAAATAATGAACTTGGAAACAATTCATGATGACATGAGTCAGGTTTTTTTTAGACTGTTTTTAATCTTAGATTTGGTAAAAATTTCCATGCCTAGAAAAGAAAAATAAATATTCTAAAGAAAGCAAAATTTTTAGAGAAGGAGCTACGAATGCCCTCCAACCTCCCACAAAGAGTTAGCCTGTATGAACAGAAAGTTGTGGAAGGTGATATGACCACCATCTAAGTACAGAGAATCTTAAAGGGTGAAGGTAGCACTGCCTTAGAAATTCTCCATGTCACTATGGCCAGAAAATTTGAGTAGCAACAAAGACACTGCATGAAATGTCAGGTGTAGAGAGAGCCCGAGGCAGCTTTCTCATTGTCTCCTGCCGCACAAAATCACTTAGGAGAGCAGCCAAAGTTTTCTGTTCCCTCTAAAAGGAAACAAAAGTTGAGAGTAAGAGAGTTTGTGTCAATAGACCTGACAGTATCTTGGGGAACTGACAAGCAGATGCCACAGAGGAATACGGCATAAACCAGAGACTGAAATTAAACAGAGCTGTAGATACTCAGGGGATATCCTTAAGGACAGATGCAACAACTGAGGACCAGATTTTGCAGCTCCTGCTGCTTAGCCCCTTCCTAACCCTCCCATGCTAAATATCTAGAAACTTAGATGTCACACTGGGGCGAAAAAGTAAAGGAGGGAGGGAATCCATAAATGAACACATTTGCACCTGAAGTAACTGAAGACAGAATATGCTAATCTGTCTTTCTTAGGGGTAAAACTGGGGTAGGGGACTTATAACAGCAAAGTTGTGTTACAGAAATAGCAGTTTTCTGCTCCCCTAAGATTTGTGAGTAATTAAGGAGTTAAATAAAAAGAATTTTTCAAAGTATTGAAGCTAGTGTCTCCTGCCAAAACCTGTGAAGGGGCTGAAATTTTAATTTTCTTCCAAGTTAGCTTGCCACAGTTACATAGATGCTGGCAAAAGACACAAGACTCTTAAGTCAGTGATGGGAGGCCATGTATTACCCACAGCAATAACACTGGCCAGAGAATTAGCATTTTAATGACAGTTCCCTGAGCCCCAGTTCCCACAGGACAACAATAATAGGGCCAAAAGGCACCAGCAGTGGGTTGCATTACAAAAGAGCAACCTGAAATTTAGGAAACTCGAATCTTTCATAATGAGCAGTAAATATGCCTGCGCTTTGCTCTGGGAGGAGACACTATCTCTATTTTTCAAGCCTATTTACTATCAATCATCCTGAAAAGACCGTCAGAACAAAGGAAAATCAGTGCTTCACTCACAGGCAATGCAGAAATTTTGGAGACCCATAGGGATTTGTCTCCCTACACCATACCTAAGAAGTGCAAAGTAAGTCTTGACTATGACTAATTATTATTAGAAATTAGAAAGCAGTTAATATGATATGACCTACTATACCAATACTTCCTAACATATACTATGCTATTGGGCAAAAATGTTTTCACCAAGTGTTTGATTCAATTAAAATATCAAATTAAATACTGTTTTATGTGTATAATTATTTTAAACTACTAAAATTGGCTATAGATTAAATTTTTTTAATCTATAAGTCAGATTTTCTCATAGGAATTGAAAATATTTATCTGTCTTAGATCCTTCTTTGAACAGAGGAAAAAGGGAGTTTTAGAATGTTTCTCATCACTTTGATGAAAGATAGTGCTCTATTTAAAACTGTATAGTCATTATTTTAGAATAATAGTACCTCATTAGTTTATTACAATATAAATTTATTTATCTATATACCCCATCTTTGCTGAACTTGTTGGCAGGATTCTTCTCAGTCTAACAGTTAAAGAACACTACAAGCCATAGTGATATAAACACATCCATACAGTGTTCCGATATGTCAGAAATGACTTTCTTTTTTTTTTTTATACATTAAACTCTGTGGTACATGTGCACAATGTGCAGGTTTGTTACATAGGTATACATGTGCCATGTTGGTTTGTTGCACCCATCAACTCGTCATTTACATTAGGTATTTCTCCTAATGCTACCCCTCCCCTAGCCCCCAACCCACCCTACAGGCCTTGGTGTGTGATGTCCCTGTGTACATGTGATGTCCCTGTGTCCCTGTCTCCCTGTGTCCATGTGTTCTCACTGTTCAACTCCCACTTATGAGTGAGAACATGCAGTGTTTGGTTTTCTGTTCCTGTGTTAGTTTGCTGAGGATGATGGTTTCCCGCTTCATCAATGTCCCTGCAAAGGACATGAGCTCATTCTTTTTTATAGCTACATAGTATTCCATGGTGTATATGTGCCACATATTCTTTATCCAGTCTATTATTGATGGACATTTGGGTTCGTTCCAAGGCTTTGCTATTGTGAATAGTGCCACAGTAAACATTTGTGTGCATTTGTCTTTATAGTAGCATGATTTATAATCCTTTGGGTAAATAGCCAATAACGGGATTGCTGGGTCAAATGGTATTTCTATTTGTAGATCCTTGAGGAATCACCACACTGTCTTCCTCAATGGTTGAACTAATTAACACTCCCACCAACAGTGTAAAAGCATTTCTATTTCTCCACATCCTCAGTAGCATCTGTCGTTTCTGACTTTTTAATGATCGTCATTCTAACTGGCATGACATGGTATCTCATTGTCGTTTAGATTTGCATTCCTATAATGACCAGTGATGATAAGCATTTTTTCAAATGTCTGTTGGCTGCATAAACATCTTCTTTTGGGAAGTGCCTGTTCATATCCTTTTCCCATTTTTTGATGGGGTTGTATGTTTTTTCCTGTGAATTTGTTTAAGTTCCTTGTAGATTCTGGATGTTAGTCCTTTGCCAGATGGATAGATTTGTTCTATTGAAACCAGTGAGAACAAAGGCACAACTTACCAGAATCTCTGGGACACATTTAAAGCAGTGTGTAGAGGGAAATTTATGGCACTAAATTCCACAAGAGAAAGCAGGAAAGATCTAAAATCGACACCCTAACATCACAATTAAAAGAACTAGAGAAGCAAGAACAAACAAATTCAAAAGCTAGCAGAAGAAAAGAAAGAACTAAGATCAGAGCAGAACTGAAGGAGACACAAAAACACCTACAAAAAATCAATTAATCCAGGAGATGGTTTTTTGAAAAGATCAACAAAATAGATAGACCGCTATCAAGACTAATAAAGAAGAAAAGAGAGAAAAGAGAAGAATCAAATAGACACAATAAAAAATGATAAAGGGGATATCACCACCAATCCCACGGAAATACAAACTACCATCAGAGAATACTATAAATACCTCTATGCAAATAAATTAGAAAATCTAGAAGAAACTGATAAATTCCTGGACACACACACCCTCCCAAGACTAAACCAGGAAGAAGCTGAATCTCTGAATAGACCAATAACAGGTTCTGAAATTGAGGCAATAATTAATACCCTACCAACCAAAGAAAGTCTAGGACCAGATGGAGTCATAGCTGAATTCTACCAGAGGTACAAAGAGGAGCTGGTACCATTCCTTCTGAAAGTATTCCAATCAATAGAAAAAGAGGGAATCCTCCCTAACTCATTTTATGAGGCCAGCATCATCCTGATACCAAAGCCTGGCAGAGACACAATAAAAAAAGAGAATTTTAAACCAATATCCCTGATGAACATCGATGTGAAAATCCTCAATAAAATACTGGCAAACCGAATCCAGCAGCACATCAAAAAGCTTATCCACCACAATCAAGCTGGCTTCATCTCTGGGATGCAAGGCTGGTTCAACATACACGAATCAATAAATGTAATCCATCACATAAACAGAACCAACGACAAAAACCATATGATTATCTCAATAGATACAGAAAGGGGCTTTGACAAAATTCAAGAGCCTTTTATGCTAAAAACCCTCAATAAACTATGTATTGATGGAATGTACCTCAAACTAATAAGAGCTATTTATGACAAACCCACAGCCAATATCATATTTTCTTTCTTTTTTAAAGGCATTTAGTTACAACTTTAGTACAATCTCTTTAATTATTTTTACCTAGTCATACCAGTTTCTGCCACCAGGGTCAAGGGTAAAGAGTTCGGAGGTCACTGTAATTAATTTGGTGGTGTCCGTTCTGACCAGAACTGAATTCTGGCATCAAGTTCCTCCGTAAGTCCAGAAAATAGATGAAGAAAACTAAAAAAGGAAGGGTAGCATAATATTTGTATTATTTAAAAATCAAAATTAGACTTCTACACTTTTGACAATTCCTAATACTCCGTCCCAAATTCTTTCAGCTAGATTTCAGTCCCCTGATGGTATAATGTATTTGGTCTTTGATTAAATAGTTTATCTAATGAAATAATGCTTATGAAGTGGACACTACGAACATTATCTCTACAGGTTAGTTTAAATTATACCTTTAATTAGACATAGTATTAAAAATTACTCTAAGAAAACTGCTTATCTAATTTTAGAAAAAAAAGTAGCTTGGATGAAAGAGTAAGGCATTTTAAAAAAAGACAAATTCCATAGCAGTAAAAATTCTATTTGTTCAGGATGATTAAAGAGTAAGTGGCTAATTAAATATTGTGTCTTTAGTCAACAATTAACACATGTAACATAGGCAATGCATAAGAGTTAATATTTTTCCAAGATTTAAAAAAGACAACCCAACAATTACAATAATTTTTCCCAGTTATCATCCCTCAGAAGACAATTCTAGATTCCAGGGTTATTCAGTTATAATTTTTGGCAAAAAAAAAATTAGAGGGTTAGAAATATAAAGAGTATAGGAGATTTAGATGAGCTAAACATGTGATATACTCTGGAGGCATTTTTAAAAATAATCCTAATGTTTTCTATTTTAGTTTTAATTTTAATATTGTTCTTACTACCAAAGTAAAATTTTAGATGTATAGAGAATTTTATTTTTCCTTCACTGGTTTATTTATTTATGATGATTCATTTGCATAAATAAATGACTTTACATTCAGAAATTTAAAAAGTTGTTTAAATTCCACAAGAAAATATTTGTCTAAACACATGTCAATAACACTATTTTTATTAAATCTTCTGGCTAAAGATACTGGCAGAAATTAGAGCCATCACATTTTAAGGAAAAAAAAAACAGAAATATTTATGACTCAACTATAATCCATTAGTAAAAAATAAAAAACAAGAACTAGCATTTTATTTCCAAATTGGAGACATATTAAGAGAAAGCATTTCCCAAATTGTGAGATATATTAAGAGGTGCAGATGGTACGTTTTTAAATTTTTTATTTTATTACTATAAACATGAAATAAATAGTGCACATTGTTCTGAACTGAATTGTGTTTCCCCAAAACTTATATGTTGAAGTCCTAATCTCCAATGTGACTGTATGTAGAGACACAGCTTGTAAAAAGGTAATTAAGGTTAAATGAGGTCCTAAGGGTGAGGTCCTAGTCCAGGGATGTCCAATCTTTTGGCTTCCCTAGGCCACACAGGAAGAACTGTCTTGGGCCACACATAAAATACACCAACAGCAACAATAGCTAATGAGCTAAAAACAAACAAAAAAAATTGCAAAAAAATCTCATAATGGTTTAAGAAAGTTTACGAATTTGTGTTGGGACACATTCGAAGCCATCCTGGGCCGCATGCACATATGCGGCTTGCAGGCCGTGGGTTGGACAAGCTTGTCCAAATCCAATATGACTGGTGTACTTAAAAAAAGAAGAAGAGACACTACAGATTCGCACACACAGAGGAAAGGGCATGTGAGGGACCCGGCAGGCAAGCAGCCACCTGCAAGTCAAGAAGAGAGGCCTCAGGAGAAAGCAAACTTGCTGACACCTTGATCATGGACTTACAGTCTCCAGAACAGTGAGAAAATAAATTTCTATCTTTTAAGCTATATGGCCTGTGCTATTTTGTTGTGGCACCCTAGTAAACTGAAACACAAAGTTGCAAATGGTTTTGTTATTACATGATAATCTGTGTTTAAGAAATGCTATGAGCCCGGGAGGCGGAGCTTGCAGTGAGCCCAGACCGGGCCACTGCACTCCAGCCTGGGTGACAGAGAGAGACTCAGTCTCAAAAAAAAAAAGAATATCTGGAAATTGTCCTAGGAACAACTTGTTTCTTTTAATCTTTTTGTGCTCTTTTAATAATTTTTTAAATAAGAGTATATCTTTTCTAATGTGTTCACTTTTGTTCTGACATAATGTTTAAGTATATATCTGAATCAAATTTTTACCGTTTCTGCTGCAACTGATTCATCTGCCCTGTAGTTTTTATAGTCTGCTTTAATCCAATGAACATGTCTCCTTTTGGTGTTTTCTCAATATAATGTGCTTTTTAAAGTGCTCCTTGGTAAATACTGTTTAGGAAATGATGAGGTAGTATACCTAAAATGAAAGCGTATTCTCAGCAAAATCCAAGCACTGTAATGCTATATGTACAAACCATTGACAAATAAGGATAGTTAAAAATGTCATTTTCATTCCTCCCCCCTGCTTCCCAATCAGCCCTGAATATATACTTGCTGTGCAGTGTCTTCAAAAAACAGTGTTGATGCAAATGCATGTTAAACTGGTTTCCCCTCAAATTTCCCCACATGACAATTATTTTAACTAAATGTAATTTAATTCACCCCAATTGCTTTCAACAAAGTATTTTATAATATTCATCTAGAATGTTCCAGAATGTAGGTTGACTATGATTTCACCCATCCATTGTTTTAACCACAGGTGACCTAATGAACAGCAATTCATTTCAATGGTCTGAAAGTTTCCAAAACCTTTTTGTTTTCTGTTAACCCACAGCAAGTTAATTTTAATGATATCATACCCATACACGCACACACACACACACGCACACACACAACACAAACACACATACACAGTGGATATCAATATCTGCACGTCTATATTCCTCTTATCAAGTACAACCCTCAACCACCAGATCGACATATAACTTTTCCATATCAAGCCAATCCTGTCTCAATATCCCTTATCAAAGGAATTTTTTAAAAATTACCTCAATCCTAAATGATTGAGAATTTCTCTCCTTAGCACAACTTTTCTTCTTACAACTTTAGCTAGTAACATTTTGTTCCTCAGCCATCCATGTGCATGTGTGTGTGTGTGTGCATGTGTGTGTGTCTCAATAAAGTGGAAAGCAATACGTTTCCAAGAGAATTAAAAATGTATCCAAACCATAAAAACTCTAGAAGAAAACCTACGCAATACCACTTAGGGCATAGGCATGGGTAAAGACTTCATAACTAAAACATCAAAAGCAATGGCAACAAAAGCCAAAATTGACAAATGGGATATAATTAAACTAAAGAGCTTCTGCACAGCAAAAGAAACTATCATCAGCGTGAACAGGCAACCTACAGAATGGGAGAAAATATTTGCAATCTATCCATCTGACAAAGGACTATTATCCAGAATCTACAAGGAACTTAAACAAATGTACAAGAAAAAAACAAACAACCTCATCAAATAATGGGTGAAGGATATGAACAGACACTTGCCAAAAGAGGACATTTATGTGGCCAACAGACATATGAAAAAAAGCTGATCATCACTGGTCATTAGAGAAATGCAAATCAAAACCACAGTGAGATACCATCTCACACCAGTTAGAACAGCGATCATTAAAAAGTCAGGAAACAACAGATGCTGGTGAGAATGCAGAGAAATAGGAATGCTTTTACACCGTTGGTGGGAGTTTAAATTAGTTCAACCATTGTGGAAGACAGTGTGGTGATTCCTCAAGGATCTATAAATAGAAATACTATTTGACCCAGGAATCCCATTACTGGGTATATAAACAAAGAATTCTAAATCATTTTGCTATAAAGAGACATGCACATAAATGTTTATTGCAGCACTATTTACAATAGCAAAGACTTGGAACCAACCTGAATGACCATCAATGATAGACCAGATAAAGAAAATGTGGCACATATACACCATGGAATACTATGCAGCCATAAAAAAGAATGAGTTCATGTCCTTTGCAGGGACATGGATGAAGCTGGTAAACATTATCCTCAGCAAACTAACACAGGAACAGAAAACCAAACACTGCATGTTCTCACTCACAAGTGGAAGTTGAAAAATGAGAACACATTGACACAGGAAGGGGAACATCACACACCTGGGCCTATCAGGGATAAGAGGGAAAGGGGAGGGAGAGAACTAGGACAAATACCTAATGCATGTGGGGCTTAAAACCTAGATGATGGGTTGGTAGGTGCAGCAAACCAACATGGCACATATATAACTATGTAACAACAAACCCGCACACTCTACATATGTATCCCAGAACTTAAAATAAAATAAACAAATAAACAAATAAACAAATAAATAAATATATTCAGATGCCGGCTTCCAATTGCATTCTAAATTTTTGGATATGTTTATATAAACTAAAGAAACTAGAGTCACTTAAAAATGTTATTTCCCCCCTACTTCAGTCAGACAAAAAGAATTCACAACGACCAATGTCCACATGGTTAGTTCTATCCTAATGAAGGGCTTTAGCACCATGGCAAACTTTTCAGATCAACAGCAAAATGTATTTAGTTATAAGTAGATCCAAACTCTACTGATGATGCCAAACATTTTTGTAATAAGAACTTCCCTGCATTTTTTCCAGGAAAATAGAAATGTGGTTTGATTCATTATATGAAAATTTGAAAAATGGTGGAATGCTTAGAAAGCATTTCATTAAGTTTTCAGTCAATCCAATAGAAATCTATAGCTTGCCTAGTGATAAAAAAAGAGTGAAGAAAAAAATCTCAATTTTTTATTGGAATAAGTAACAATAATTGAATTCCTAGTATGTTCCACACACATAAATTGTCTAATTCTCACAACATATAAAATAAAACTATTAGGTTCTATTATTATTCCCATGTGGAAAATACTGAGGATTACACAGAGAAGGAAATATTTCAAGACAGAAGCAATGCTGTACCACTGGAGGACATGGAGAAGCCTTCTACCCCAGAGTATACAATGAAGGGCTGCACTGTATGGAGAGAATTTGAAAACAATAATAAAAGCAACTGAAAGTCAGCCTGCTTTATATTATGAATGTGCACTGATAGTGATAAAATATTTCTCCCAGAAATAAAAATTATTTAAAATATTAAAAAAATCAAATTCTAAACAATTGCTACAATTGCAGTTGAGTTTTCAATTAGCTTACTCCTATTATTTACTCTTAAATAAACATTGTATTCTATGCAGTCATTTTAAAGTAGAAAACACTAATCATGTTTGGATGTGCAATAAGCCCAAGCGTATCATTACACCATTAACAGAGAATGTATATTACCCATCACCAGTAACCATGCCACAGCAGGTGAGTTGCTGGACTTTCTCTGAAAGCATTCTTGCTCTTTCTCTAGGAAACTAACATCATGGTTACCTTTTTTCCCCACAGTCTGTATTACCTAAGTATATCAAGTCATTGATTAATTAATTATTAATAAGTAAGGTGGTATTATGAATTAGATGGTGATTTTGAGAGCATTTGGTATAAATTCACTAGAGAATTTTGGATTTCCCAGGGCATGGTATGCAAATCACTCTTTGTAGTTTTCTGAAGAATATAGAAACATAAGGAAAACTGGGGAAAATATGCCACTTCATCATCACCTGAGTCAATGCACAGTTCCTCCCAAATGCAAGATCTCATGAATCATGGTAGAAGTTGGAAAATTTGGTTTTGGCCTGAGCAAGTTCTCTGTCAAATATAAAATTATAAAGTGGATGTGTTCTCTTCAACTATGTGTTGGCTTTTCAAAGATTCTAATAATCTTCCCCTCAACATATTGGTCATGCCCAAGTATTGCATAGATGGGAGGTCTAGAAGGAGTCAACTGGTCTAAGGTTTATGATAATGGTCACAAACGGCAGGGCATCCCCATCAGCCTTACAAGCTTATCTCGTTGGATTGCACTAGTTGTGCCCAGGGGTGGTGAAAGGAAAGGGTACTGAGGAGCTGAGGTAGGAGGAAATTTTCCCTGCATCCTCCTCTCTCATCATGTCCCAGCACATGGGCCTCCTGAACAATCTCTTGTATCTACAGCTTGATAATGCCAAACTAACTGGTCTATGAGAATCCCGTCTATGCTCTTGCTGTGTCACCCAGGCTGGAGTGTAGTGGCGTGATCATGGCTCACTGATGCCTTGACCTCCTGGACTCAAGCGATCCTCACACCTCAGCCTTCTCATGCCAGATTCTTTTTCTTTACTTTTTCTCTCTCCCTTTTTTGTTTGCTTGTTTGTTTATTGTTTGTTTGTTAGAGACAGGGTCTCCTTATGTTTCCCAGACTGGTCTCAAACTCCTGAGCTCAAGCCATCCTCCTGCCTCCACCTCCCAAAGTGTTCACATTACAGGCAGAGCCACCACACCCAGCTACTATCACTATTTACTTACTCCTGAATTATTCCCAAACTATCTCCCAAATCTCTAAAGGACTAGAGAGAAATTAACCCACTTCTGTGGCTTGTACATACATAGTCATACTAATCCCACCTCTGTCTGCTCTCTTTAACTTTCTAGATATCACTGAAGATGAGGAGCCATGTCCCTGAGCAGCCACACACACTTTCCAACTATGGCCTGCACCCAACTTCCTCTTATTTGCTTCAGTTATTATGTGCACCTTTTGCATTTTGCCACTTAAAATGTTGTTCCAAATTGGGGATTTTGAGGATGAGTTACACAGTCTCTCTTTTCTGGGAACTTTGCTCCCTCCAATGTGATTCATATGACTGTGGAGGAAGGCTCCCAGCAGTCATGTTTGTTCCCTGGGATAGTACATGCTGGGCACAACTGTTAGCTCAGGGTGGGCACCTGACCCAATTAGGATAGTCAGAGTCCCTTCTCTTAAACTCTGTGAATAGCACGAAGAGATGGTCTCCTCAGCTGAAGGAACTTTCTTAGGCAGAAGACAAGGAAAACTTGTCAGCTATGTGGGCACCTTATTTTCTGCATATTGGCCAGGAAGCTCATAAAACTGGGCCTGAGGAATAGAGGGAGAAGACTGAAGTGACCATGCAGAGAAGAGAGAGAGAAAGAGAAAGAGAGGAAGACACTGGGCTCTTGTGTGCTTCTGGCACAGAAGAAGTGCTCAATAAATATCTGTTAAATGAACGCATGAACAAATGTGAGAATGACTCCAAACAGCTGTTCATACCCTGACTCCAAGATCTTCCTAAGGTCTGTGAGGAATGCATTATATTAAAATAACAATAAGCTTTCCATTTTAGTTAGGTCACTCTTTTCCTTTTATCCAAAAAACTAAAGAAGAAATATAGTTTGTTCCTATACATCCACTAAGGTCAAACTCAGCTAAAGAAATCAATGTGGTAACATTTACAAATCCCTTTCAATTTCAAGTCCATAAAATAGGCAATTTGCTTCTATATGACTTTACACATTAGCACCAAACATTCTGAAATTTGGCTTGAGAACATTTACCTACAGAGGAATCATACTGGGAAAATTACACACACACACACACACACACACACACACACACACACACAGAGTATATCCATCTTTATTATTTATGTAACCATTTGCTATCCCTTTCAAAAATAGAATGATATTGGTTAGAGGCAGTGTGGCACAGATCTTCTTCAAACTGAAGGCCTATAAAATGGCCATAGAATTGTCCTGTTTCTCTGATTAGATGTTTTAGGCATATTATAAGCATCATTCCCATCTTCTTGATATCCTATTATGTATAGGCCATACTGAGCATCACATGATAGCCTAGGACAGTGGTTTTCAATTTGGAATCATTTTGTCCCCAAGAGGACACTGGCAACATCTTGAAACATTTTTGCTTGTTGCAACCAGAGCAAGGAGGTGCTACTGGCACCTAGTGGGCAGAGGCCAGAGATGCTGCTAAACATCCTACCACTCACACACAGTACAGCCCTGAACAAAAAATTGTTTCCAAATGCAATAGTGCTAAAATTCAGAAATGTTGGTCCATGAACCACCCATCCTAAAGTCCTGGAATACAATTAAGCTAGGATAGGTGTACTGTTTGTGACAGGAACAGAGACTGACTGGCTGGTAGGACTTCCACAGAGTAGCTGAGGTGACATAACCATTAGCCAAGCACTTCAAAGAAATACAATAAGACCCCAAGGAACAACATAGCTAATAATATGTCCTCTACATAGATAACAGGAAAACCACCTGACAGACAGACAGACAGGCCATCACCAGTGCTTCTTCACAGAGATTCACTGAACCAGTTTCAACAAAGGTTTAAAGCTTCCTGAATCTTTCTCTCTACACAAAAAGCCACCACCACCACCAGAGAAAAAAGACTATTGTCAGCCACTTCTCTAACTTTGCTCTCACTCAAACACTCACAGAATATAATGCCCATTAGCAGTGGCATCTTCAAGCACAAAAGATGAATATAAGAGTGTCTGGGTATATTCCAGCTAATAATCTAGCAGAAAACAATGTCCAGCGGAGGGGAATTGTAGATGCAAGCATAATTCATACGCTCCTAAAGTATAAGCTTTAGAAAAATCCTGGATCTAATTACTAATATCATTGAGTGAAAATATTGCCAGAGTCTGCAGTATCTGTTCTGAATGAATTCCGTGTTGTTTAAAATCCAAGCACATTATTTAAAACTTTAGCATACCAACTTATGTTAATGACTGCATGTAACTTTAATTCAACCTGACAAACAGTTGGAAATAAAAGATAATTTAACAGCATTCTAATCAATAAACATTAATTATTTTTTCTTAGTTCTAGGCTGATTTTTTAGTGAATTAATGTAAACCCACCTACAAATGCATCTCACACAATGTCATCATATCATAAATCCATTTTATTAACCTGATAAATGTTTATCATCACAATTGCACTACAACACTAAAATAAACTAGGCCTTTCTTCATAGGCTCTGCATCAGCAATTTTCAAACCATAGGTCACAGAGCAATTGTTATGTATCTGCTAATCTATATTTGTGTGCAAAGCCCAGCCTTTGGAATGATGTCTCTCTTACGCTGATTTTTCCCCAAGCGTAGTTGCTGTTGTAATTAACAAAATAAACATTTTATTTAAAATTGTTGAATTAATACTAACATACCCTCCATTGATAGTTGGTCAAATCAATATTATTATCCACTGAGCAGACCATTTTTTGTTATTTTACAAATGAGTTCTTATCTTCAGAATGCTAAGAACCAGTATCCTGTGTGCTAGGAGAACTGAATTTCTGCTTATGTTCCTTGAATTTATGTAAAAAAAAAATGTCAGCTAACCATGGGATATTCCTTCTGATTCCACATTTGCTCACTGTGGCATTCATAGCACAGCTGTCCAAATCCACCTTGGAATTCATATTTTCCTCCAAGATCAAGGTTTAGTGTGCTTAGCTGTGGGCTTTGTTGATCCATTCCTCTTGAACTTCGTTTGGGCCCATAATTACATGCCCAATATAGAGAAAAATGTCAAGAAAGAAACAGATTTCAATTTCAAGCTTCAGAGGAGTTCTGATAATAAAAATGTGGTGAAAATGATGAAAACTACCTTGACTGATGTACTCTTGTTTTTAGGGACAATGTACTATATGGTGGCTGCGAGAAAGGATACGTGTCAATTCTGAGATTAGGCCTTTGCCAGGGGAAGTTGTCATTTTTCAAAAGGAAAAGCTCTTTTTGATGTAGGAAAAATGTCCAGCCATGCTACTTGCTATGCAAAAACAGTGGGATTGCTTTCTGCATGCCAGAAGCAGGGCAAAGGTACAACCCACCCACTGCCGGGGCCCATTAGCATCTTTTGTCATAATACATGGCAAATGGACCAGTAACTACCCACTGCCAATTAGAGTGATGATGAGCCAACCTAAAATAGGCAGGTGAGCAGACTAAGTGCCCCTGTGGTTTGCCAATTACCTAAATTATCTGCAGTAGTTTTAGTGCACAGCTACCATGAATACAAATACAAACCACTCTAGTATTCAGGGGAGTTAGGCACGGCTTGGTGTCAAAAAGCAGAGAGAAAATAAGCAGGATTTTCAGAAGCTGAGTTCTAACAATTGTGATATCCAGTTTCACCCAGATGAAATACTCTCCTGCATTTTGTTTGACAATTCTGTCTCCTCTAGGAAGGACTCCCAAAGCAATGAAGCATCAATTCTGTGCTCGATGTCACCAATCAATTGCACAAATCGCTCCCAGTGATTCTCACTAAATGGACATTGGAATGGATCTACAGCACTGAATGAAGAGTTAGTAGCAAAAGACCTCAACCAAATAAAACTACCTTTACCAGAAAAAAAAAAATCATTCATAGAGAGAAAACAAGAAAGAAAAAGCAAAAAAGAGACTTCCGAGTCCTGCCATTCCCTCAAATTATAAAGAAACATCATAAAAGAAATCAACAGTGTCCTTTGTTGCAAACACTCCAGAGCAATCATGACATCTGAGCAGTAGTCTTGTGAAAAGACTTCATCCTAGAACATCTACTTTGGTAACAGCTCCACTACACTATCAATGAAAACCACTTTCAATTTTCCATTGTTCTCACGTTTGCAGTCACTAGGAACAATGAGATAGCTCAGCACTATTTTAAAGGCACTACAACATTTTCTAATAAAAAATGATGCTAACTTATGGGTTTAACATTTTCCCATCTTTCAGAAAATTACACACGTACTTGCCTCCAAATTTGGCATTGGATGTGGATACACGATCTAATGCCATTATATTCATGTTCACTTAAACTTCTTAATAGGTGGGCATAGAGTAAGCGGTTTCAAAAGAACAGTGCTGTGCTCTCTGGATAACATGCATGGTGGCTGTGCTTAATGTTAATAGCAGCAGTCAGGAATCTGAGTTATATTGCTCCCGTATTGAACTAATATGTGATCTTTGACAAGTCACTTAATCTTTCATCTTTCTTAACTATAACGATAGTTTATCTAAATTATAATAGCAGATAATAATACCTGGCTTGGAGTAATGTGGTAAGACTTGATTAATTGTCATATGTGAAACACTTTAGGGTCTTTGAATAAGATGTATTACTAAAGTGCAAGGCATTAATATTATTCACCCATTAACAATGTTTTCCTGTGTAATGGTCCAATATACTATCAGTTTAAGATACATACGGGGATACTCTTAAGGTGTAGTAAGAGAATAAGCATTTTACCATTCTTTGCATACACTGATGTTGTACAAACCAGCCTACTTTATAGAATATTCAATATAGTTACTAAATTCCACACTGACTGTTTTATTATGCTAATTGATAATCTGGTTGCTCCAAAGATTAAAGAAAAATGAAATTAAACTGAAAAATCAAAGGGTAACAACTTTATAATGCCTCTTTAATTTAGCGAAATACAATTAAAGTCACACAGTGGTAGAATTGACTGTGAATACTAAGATGACTATAATTGACAAAGTAAATGTTACAGAGCCAAGCTGAATAAAAGCAAAGGAAAATGCCAATAAAATTCAGTGTCATGGGATATCTATGTAGGCTCACTAAAATAAACTATAAGACATACATAGATGTCACAGAAAAGGATGTTCTGAAGAATGCTTATGTCACTAGAAAAGCTTTTAGAATCAGATAAAAATGAACACATTTTAAAGTAACACAAACATTCATTGTTGTCCTTACTAGAGGAAAAACATGATGCTGCAAAAGAATTAGACTTTACTAACTAAGCTTATTTATTATTATTACTTGATATTTGTAAACGCATTGGACTCAATATTGCCTGCTTTAAATAAAAACATAGACAAAACATGCATGAGCACACGTGTATATTTGCACACACACACACACACACACACACGAGGTCTATGAGTGCAGTATACAATTTAAATGTCCAATTGAATAATAACTTCGATGAGTTTCCCTGATGAAGCTAGTAGGATTTGGCTTATTCTGTTATATAAGTTTACAATTAAAGTTCTTTACATCATTACAGCCTTAATGGAAAAAATGTGTACACTTAGATACTGTTGGCGGGGGTGGGTGGTATACTGATACAAAGTCATAGGTCAGCAATTGCATAATATCTTTAAAATTCTTATAAAATTCTTCTTCTGGGAATTTAGCATCCATAATGCTGTATTCTTGCATTCTGATTTTTTCACCAAAAATCTTGGAAGGACAGAGTAACCTTTACCAAAGGAAAACTATCTCTGGAGTAAGAGTAACTTTTAAATTCATACAAAAATGTATATATGTTTTGTTTTAGAAATAAACTTTTCCCCAAATATTTAACGAAAAGATGCTACGTCATTCTTACTCCTGCATCTGTCTGTAACTCTCAGCATGCCACAAAGATACAAAGATAGAAATTGTGAAAAATAGTATGAAGTGAATGAACAGGGGACAGTGATGGAGTACAGATAAATGGAAAATCCTTACTTTGGTACAATGGCATCTTTAAGAAACAGGGTGTGCAAGGGTTCAGAGGGGCAAGGGTTAACAAAGTTGATTTGAGACTTTTTAAAATAAATGTACATATTTACTTTTAATTAGCTTACTTATTATAGTAATGTGAGTTTTAAGAACACATATGTCATATTTTAGCAGAACTGACCATACCAGCTTTCTCTATGTGGTGAGGTTATGGATGATTTTTTAAAATAAACTGTCTCTCTTATTTGAATTTTTACAATGTTTGTACTACTTTTATGATTAGAAAAGGAAAAAAGCTATTAACATTTTTGGCAGAACACTGAATGTAGTTGCTTCCTGAAACACTGAAGATTGCTCTAAAAATTCCAATTTTTTTATCATCACTTCTAAAATCTCAGTACATCAAACTTATAAAATAAAAATAGAAAAATAATATTTATATTTATGAACACTAAAGTCCCAGAAGCACCTAAATATGTTTCATATATTTGAACAATACATCTATAGATTTCATGAAAAAAAATTAAGCAAAATTAGGGTCTCCTGAATGTATCACTGGTTGACATAAATAATTATATCATTATTTATAGTGAAATTTCGGGGAGGCTGCTCCCAACTAAAAATAATAAAACATTCTGGATTCAAGATGACACCTTTTTAAAGAGGCTATACATCTTCTTCTGAACCTGGGTGCCAGAAATAGCATTGAAATCATTGATAATGCAAAATTCCTCCTCCACAACTAAACAAGTTAATGTTCATCATGCTTGCCAAGGATATCAAAGAGAAAATAAATTCCTACTCTTCTCATAATATTTCTAGAAGGGAATCATTGTTAACAGAAATAATGCAAGGGAGTGGGACAATGACAAGTCAAGATTTATATGCTGATCTATTTATACACATTCCTGCTCAGTTGGATTTCTTCAAAGTCTAGCCTTCTCTGTAAAAGGTAGTCATATTAGCCACAATCACTCATTCACTATGGACCATTTAACCAAAAAACAACCATAGTAACTCCCTATAGATACATAAATGTAGCGAGCTACACACTAATTTTTTTCCCAAAAGTTTCAATCTCTCGTATTTTAAAATATATATGATGAATGTCTACTAAAGAAAGAAATAAAATTTACTCTTCTGTATATGGCATTGTACACTTTGTTGAATCAATATTGGGACATGTCATTTCTTAGAAATTGCTTTCTTGGTTACATTAGCTAGGATATAGTCTGGGTAGTGCTGTTATTTACCGAATTCAGATAAAATGAGAATGTATACAATTCTCTGGGAATATATTATAGTAATGGTTCTGTAAAATACATTATCAGGTAAATTGTTGAACAGCATTCTAGTAAGGCAATGTATTCTTATCTTCAACCATAATGTCTTTTTAAACAAAATCTTTCAACTTTCCAAGTATTCAACTCATTCTCTATTATTTTGATAATAAACATTATAGCATCTTTTATTAGAAACTGACCAGAGAAGAGTGTCTGCTTTTAGTGGACAGGGAAGTGCAAGTTTAAGAGGAAAGTATTCGAGTTACTCACTTGCATTCTATTTCTGGTTTCACCTCATACTGTCTAAGACCATGGGCAAATTACCTGGACACTAAATAGTTTTTCTAGTAAGATTCTCATGGTAATATCATGACAACTGAGTGAAATAATCCATCTAAAGCAGTTAACATAGTAACTAACATATACTAAGATTTCATATCTTAATTGTTATTAGAATTCATCTTCAAAATAATAATATTATAAAAAAGAACACTGCCATCTTGCAGACTTCATGGAAATTGCTATTAAAGAGACAGAAATAACAGTTGATTTTTTTTTTTACTATAGAAATATATTTCATTCTGTTTTACTTGCTGCACTGCTTTTTATTTAGGGTATCTTTTATTTCTAAGTTAAACACAAAACACGATAATCAAAATTATTGGACTTAAATAAATTTAAGATTCTTCTTCCACACATCTGAAGATATTTTCAATGAAAATGTTAGTTTTTGCCCTGAGGATGATAAAGAACTCTCTGACTAAATCTTTCACTTTTCACTAATTGTTTTAGATTCATCTAGAGGTTGAGGTATAAAACATACTGTCTTTCAGTAAATAAACAGTGCTGATTTATTGTCCATCATTAAAAAATGCACCATATATTCAGTAAAATAAACTGCCTTTTTTTTTTCTTTTTAAGAAATCAAAGTGTGGCATCATAGAAAGTATTTGGTCTTTGGTTCCAGTTTTTGGAAAAGAGTTCCTTAAATCCTTGGGACTTTCTGAGGAATTAAGGTGATAGGAGCATCTTTTGTTCTAAAGAGGCAACTCTTGGTGGGCCCCTAGATAGCTTCAGGATGGGAGCTGTCGCCAGAAAGACCAAGTCTTAACTAGAAGCTTGGAACTCTCAATCCCACCTCCAACTTCCAGGGAGGGGATAGGGGATGGAGATTGAGTTAATCACCATTAATTCCAGTGATGTAGTCATGGCTAGATAATAAAAACCTTCATAAAAACCCCTAAGTGATGGGTTTTGAGGACTTTTGGGTGGGTGAATGTATTCATGTGCCAGGAGGGTGGTGGACCCCAATCCATAGGACAAAGACTTCTGTAGCCAGGACCCTTCCAGCCCCTTCCAGCTCTATGTACCTCTTCATCTGGCTATTCATTTGTATCGTTTATAATAAATTAGTCAACATGAGTTAGGTGATTCCCTGAGTTTTATGAGCGGTTCTTGCAAATTATCAAATCTGAAGGTTGGGGGGAACCTTGACTTTGTATCCATGTTGGAAAGAAGTTCAGGTAACTTGGGGGTCTGGTACTTGCCACTAGTATCTGAAGGGAGGTCAGTCTTATGCCACTGAGTACTTCAACCTGTGGAGACTGACGCTGACTACAGTAGTTGGTTCTAGAATTGAATTGAATTGTAGGACACCCAGTTGGTGTCAGCATTGGTTGGTGTCAGGAGTGGAAAAAAACCTCTTATAAGCCCTTGGTTTTTTTCTCATAAATTAATCAGATTATTTCTCTTCGTTCTGAAGAGATTTTTTTCCCTTTTTTTTCTTAAATATGTTACTATTTCAATAGGAAATAACAGAAAAACTATTACTAAAGTTATTCATAGTTGTATAGTTTGGAACTGTCTTCAAAAGTCTTTTCAGAAACAAAAACGAAGCTCAAAATCCCAAATTCAGCTTGAGATATATACTATGCCTCTATATAGTACATCTGTCTTTTTCTTCAGTGGTGATTTATATCTACATTACACTTCAGTTACCATTTGAGTTTTTCCTTTTTCCTGAAACGTTAATATTTTTCACATTAGTTTACTAATATTATTATAGTATGACTTGAATTATGTATGAATATATATAGAAAAAGACACATAAGCTTTTTCTGCATGCATATAAAGGTAAGCAGAATTAACCCTGAAAGTTTTATATACATAACATTCAAAGGAAAACCTATTTTTATTATGTGCTATAATTGTGACTGTTACATTATAATGTTCAATGCCTATGGGGACAAAAATAGGACAACAAAAGGTTTATTTGATGTATATTGCTTGATTAATTTGCAGCAGTCATGGAAACAAATTTCTATTTACTAGGAATAATAATAATGTTGCAAACACCTATTTTCTGGTAGTTAAAAGTACAGGAGGAAAAAAAATGTCCATAATAAAAGCAAAAACTAAAACCAGAAAACAAGCAAAGGAAAGCAAGCAAATGATAAAATAAACATGAACAAACATACATTAATTTAGGGACTTCCTTTGCCCAAGAAAAGTCTTAAAAATGTGATTTATAGATTTGCAAAAACTCTTAAAGTAGAAGAGCTTACGTGAATCATTCAAATTATAATTCTGTATTTCAGAACTCAAGTTAAATGTTTATCTTAAACATTATTTAAAATATTACTTAAGATTTGGGCTTTTTCCCTTTATAACATGGCAGAGTTGTTTCATAACCTTATTGTTTAAAAATATTCGTAATTATTTATTTTTAAACTGTTTAATAGAATTGAAACTTCTCTTTTCTTTTTAATTCCTCCACAAACTCCAAATTAATAGCCCCTTCTGAAATATTATTGCCTCAACTGAACATATTATTTCAGAGAATTGCACTGGGACTGTACGAGTTTAGGCAAGTCACTCCCTCATGTAACCTTGATCTTATTTCTCGCTATAAGATCATATTAAATTTCTAGCAGCTGCATGATTTTGTTGGGGTTCAATGAAGAACCCAAGTTCTTTTCACTTTAACTGTTTGGTCAAATTTCTCTCATCGGGTACTCATGAGGTCGATATTTTAGCCCAAATGCAAACCTTTATATCTGTCTATAAGGCCTCACTTTACCGGGATCATTGACATCCTAATTTTATCATCTGTTAGATTTGACGTATTTTCCACTTTCATGTCATGTAAAAATATTTTAAAATGTACTACATTCTCATTCAATAAAGTCCTAAATTTCATCATTTAGTATTAATTGAAACCTTACAAATCACTTTTGTACATTTCAGTACTCTATAAAAATGTTTCCACTCACATACTATTTTCAAATATTGAACATAATAGCCAAGGCCATCTGAATCATCAGTAGGTTCTCTCCAATTTAGCCGTTCAATAAATCAACAATTTCTGAATATGGATGTCTATAATACACAACCAAAACCAAAAAAGGGAATGAGGTTGAGAGAACATAACTTGTTCCTAATGTATCTGTATCAATTTCTACCAACCATACATGTTATTCTAAGGACTAACAGACATACAACTTGATCCTCTACTCTAGAATATTAAAAATCAATATTAAACTTGAAAGACTGTACTCTCTAGAATTTATATCTCTATCCATTTTTTTAAACGAGACAATTTTTGATCACTTCTAGTCTGGGAACTCTTCTTTTCCCAGGATTTCTCCACAATTACAGGCAGTGGCTTTGAGATAAGGTCTACAAATTGTTTTAGAAATCTCAGAGATTTAAGATTCAAGGAATTGTTCAGAATTGCAGTGCAAAGGAATAACCAACTCATAAAATGTAGATTAACCAATAATATAATTTAGCAGGAATGGAAAGTCCTTGAACAGTAGTCAGAAGGCCTGGATTCTGGTCTAGGTTACTGCTTTAAAACTAAATGCCATGTATCATTTCAAAGCCTAGTATGTAGTAGATGTTTATTAAATGTTTGTTGAATAGGTGAAAACTAATTTATCTAAGTTTGGAGATAACTAGTTGACAGCATGTAAGTACTCCCTCACTATCTCAATCTATTTATTGGGCCTTAACACTCCTGCCATATTTATTCAGCCCTTGGTTATTAAAGATTATTCTCCTTAATTTCAGAAAGTCAAAAAATAAATTGATCATTGAATTAATATAATTTGAACTGCTTTCTCTGTGCCATCTGTGTGAAGAGTTGAGAAGCTGTATTTTTTCTATATTTTATATGAAAGAATATCTGGAGAATGAACTAGGAATAACCTCTTAAATATTGAATGAAAAAGTAATAGATGAATGAAAGCTAAACTTAAATCCAAATACTTTACAAAAAATTAATCAAAATGTGGCTGCATAGAACACCTTCATATTTGCCAGCACCTCTTGGACTAATATTGGAAAATTTCTCTTTTTCAGTGTAATAGAATCTGCAAACACTCAAGACTTGGGGTTATTAAAATACGTTGCTTGTAGAGTATAGTTCAAAAATGAATATGAAATTTTAAAGCTAATACATGATACACTAAATATCATAATATTCCAAACACAATACTCTATATAGATTTTCTTAATAGCATGGTGGAACTCCCAACAAATAATTGAACATGTGTCAGGTATTGCATTAGGTAGCAGAGATACAATGATGAAGACTTGGCATTGGAACGGTAACTGAGTTTAACCAGGGAGGAAAATTGAGCAAAATTAATATGAACATAATATGACAACTGTGATGGCTGAAGTGCTACAGATGCACCAGAAAGAGTAAATTAATGCCAACCAAGAGTCGTGTAGACAAATACAAGACTTGAAGAAAATATTGAGCTGAGTTTTAAGAGAAAAGTGAAAGTTGACCAACTAGAGGTATGGAAGGAAGGCATTCCAGACTAGAGAAAACAGAAGAAGAAATAACAACGTATACTCTGTCTAGGGTTAAGTGTAATTAGATGACTGGGAGAAAGTGATCTGAAATGAGCATATAAGTGTAGACTGAAGTCATATTATGAAGTCTGCACTATCCACAGGCATTTGAATTTTTTACCTTGTAAGCAGCAGGAATTCATAGAATATTTTTCAGCAGTGAAGAGACAATAACATAGTATGCAGTCTTAGTCCAATCCTGCTGCTATAACAAAATACCACAGATGGGGTAATTTATAAGAGATAGAAATTTATTTCTCACAGTGCTGGAGATGGAGATGTCCACGACCAAGGCTTGGCAGATTCAGTATCCGGTGAGGGCTGGCTCCCATTGCTTTAAAAGTGACTCCTTGTTGCTATGTCCTCACGTGGTGGAAAGGCAGAAGGGTAAAAGGGCCAGGCAGTTCTCTCAACCATCTGTTATAAAGGCATTAATCCCGTTCACCAGGGCAGAGCCCTGATGCCTTCATCACTTCCCCCAAAGGCCTTAAATACTATCACCTTGAGATCAAAGTTCCAACATGAGAAATTCAGGAACATATACAGTCAAACTACAGTCCATGCTTTAAAAAAATCATCCTAAACCTCATGTCAAGCATTCTCCTTAAGTAAATAAATAAATATGTTAATGAATAAAAGGGAAGTATTGAATATTTTCTAGTTTTCAGACCAGATAACTTGGTAGAAAAAAGGTGATGAAATTAACTGCTGTAGGGAGCAAGGAGGATATTGGATTTGAAGATGAAGTTAAATTTCATTTGGTTCAAAGTTGGTAGTGAGCTAGAAATCTGGAAAAAGAAAAGCTCTTAAGGGCCACATGCCAAGTTACCAATTTCCAGCCTCAATAGAGTAGACAAGGTGTGGTGGGAGGGATGGAGAGAGGGAGAGACAGAGGGAACCTGAGCTTTCTGTACTTCTTGCCAGGGGAGGGAAGTCATTTCTATTGGAATTGTTAGAGCAATCAACAATAATTTTTTTTTTTTTTTTTTTTTTTTTTGAGACGGAGTCTTGCTCTTTCACCCAGACCAGACTGCAGTGGCGCTATCTCTGCTAACTGCAACCTCCACCTCCTGGGTTCATGCCATTCTCCTGCCTCAGCCTCCCGAGTAGCGGGACTACAGACGCCTGCCACCGCGCCAGGCTAATTTTTTTGTATTTTTTAGTAGAGACGGGATTTCACCATGTTAGCCAGGATGGTCTCGATCTCCTGACCTCGTGATCCGCCCGCCTCGGCCTCCCAAAGTACTGGGATTACAGACGTGAGCCACCGTGCCTGGCCACAATCAACAATAATTTCAAGAGAGATGAGAACAAGCAATGACTGTACATGGCACTGAAAGTTAACTTGGGGTCCACAAGCTGTCACACTGTTCTCCTCACTTTAAGATTCAGAAACTGGTACAAACATTCTGAATCCATCCCAAAGATAGCATTTACATGTGTATATGTATGTGTGTGTGTGCAGTAGAATAGTTGGCTGAAATTTTTAAAAAATCATGATTCAGCACAATGAGGAGTTCACATGGAATTAAAAGACAAAATGTATCCATTTAATTAATAGTTACTTATTAAAGACCAGGGTGAGACAAATGAGGTAAGAGATCCTGCCCTTAAGGAGATATCAGTCTAGCAGAAGAGACAGGCAAGGCAAACAGAGCAGAAACATAACAATTAATGAAGGCTCACTCTATTGCTCATAATTTATATTCATTTATAATGGTTGTGCACTATAACCTCAGCTGCACATAGTCAAAAATTTGTCCTGTTCACCACCATATCTCAGGGCCCAGGAAGAGTCCCTGGTATATAGAATCCCCTCAGTAAATACTTACACTAATTGATGAGTATGCCGTGAAACAAGAATCATGATAACAATTTCAAAGATTAGAAAACTAATGCTAAAAAATGGTTGAGTAACTTGCTAAGAGTATGTAGCTAGTAAGTGGCAGAGTTAGAAAGTCAAAGCTACAAACATCTGTATAAGATTTCCTACTCAGTCACACATTTGCCTTTTAAATATCATCCACACATAAACACTCTGAAATGAATATGCAGAAGAAAAAAAGGTGTGGTCTTTCCTTAGTATGAGTCAATTTGTACAGCTGAAATAGGGAAAAATATTGTTATTCAATCCACCTAAAATGCCAGTGCCCTTAAAAACAGCGCTATTAGTAATGCAAATATGAAGTCCCCAGGATTGTGAAAAGCCTGCATAACCAAACAGCAGGTCTTATGAGACACTCCTGCTTCCAGAGCTCTGGCTTGGCTGCTCTCCATTTACTTATAAATGGCCAGGGCTGCAAACCTCTGAAGAGCTAAACATCTACAACTTGTGACAAAGATTCTCCAATGAGGAAGCACTGTGTACTGTGTATTCAAACTCTCCTACTTTTTAGGTACTCTTATCACTACACATTCAGTAGTAGTTGAGCATCTAAATGGCCTTTTAACTCAGGTCTGAATGAGACCTATAAAATATAGTCCTATCATTTCATTTTATTGGAAATAAATACATAGAATAAGATATATTTGTATGGTAGACTTATCCTTTCAAGCTGAACAAGATGAAAAATATACTTTCTTGAAATGGAAGTTTTCCAGGGCTCAAAAATATTTGGTCAGCATTTCTGGAAATCTATAGGAAACCAGTTATATTTATGCTGTATGAAAGTCTCATATTATAAAATGAGTTATAAATTAAACCAAAAATACTGAACACAGGTTGTCATCTCCCTTTTTCTTTTTCTCTCATTTATTTGTTTTATTAATAACCTCTTATTGCTAATGGCATACAGCACATTTGTGCAATATATCTTTCTATGATAAACATTGATTTTGAAGAAAGAAAAATCAAGTTAAATAAATGATACATGCAATAGCATTTTTTCTTGTTTACATTGTAAAGTCAGAGATACAATGTTTCTAATATTGATTTAAATGGGAATGAAAAATGTCTTCGTTTTCCTATTGGTCGATGATTCTTATTCTTATTGCCAGAATTAAGAATCCAAGGCCCATCCAAGACTAAAAAAGCAAAACTCCATGAAGAATATACATGAAACACACTTAGGATGATAATTTCTCAGTAAACAATCTGTTTGTAAAACACTAAAATGCATTATTATTCACACTCATTTTATTTTGGTTGTTAAATGGCATCATCTAGTGAGGCGAATGGTGTTATAAAAAGATAGATAGCAAATATTTTAGGCTTTGTGAGCCACTTATGGTCTCTATGATATATTCTTAATTTTCTTTAAAAAAAATTGTTTAAAAATGTGGAAAACATTCCTAGCTCTCGAGCTGGATCTGGCCAGTGGCCTTGAGTTTGCCAAAGCCTTCTTTTCTGTTCTAGTTTCATTTTCAGAAGGCAAACTCTTAACCATTTGTTGATGCTCTTAACTTGGTTGCATAGAGACAGAAATGTTTTCTGAAAAAGGAGAAAAATAAAACTTTCCAATTCAACTGTGTTTTTTTTTCTTTATAGTTGCATTCACCAAGATTTGTATATTAACAAGTCTAGACGATTTCAGGGCCCGCTCTGTGCCAGCAAAGGGTCTCAGAACTTCGCCAACACAATCTCATAGAGCATGAATATTCAGTTGCATGAAGACTCACTCCTAATAACACATGCAAATGAAGGCCTAGTTCATAGTGAACTACATGTAAATTGCTCCGTGTAAAAATCCACAAAGTCCTGCTGATCTGATTCTGTCCTTTCATTTGGCAAATGGCCATTAAGTGTCTGCACATCTCAGATACTATGTGAGGACCAGGGAATCCAATGGAAAGCAAACCTTGAAGGCCTTGCCCATACGGCCCTTGATGCAGAGAGAGAAAGATAGAAAATAAACATGTGTGCAACGGAGAAAATAAACAGGGCCGCCATGTGATGGACAGCAACAGTGTTTGGAGATGAGAGTCAATTGCTTTTTAAAATATAATGCTTATAGAGTGATTATTAACCTCAAATTCAGTAATCCCTCCCAGGCATACTCAACTCAGTTCAACAATATTCACTCAAATTGAGGTCCTACATGTGAAAAAAAAGATATATATTTTTTTCATTTTGAATAAATACATTCATTGCTTTTACTCTGGAGTGTGAAATATAAATAGGATAGTCAGAAAAGTGCTGATTTGCTTATAATACTAAATATTACATGAAAGTTACCAGCCTCTGATGTAAAATTTGTCAAGATGAAATAACAACTGTCATGGAACTTCAGGAACTCTTTCTAATAATCTCGTAATCTTCAAAATTTTCACAAAGAAACCTTGTCACTTGAGATCTTTTACAAAGAGATGTGATCTTTCACAAAGAGATCTTGTCAGTAAAAAAATAATAGCCAACAGAAAATGCTATTGAGAAAAATTTCATAAATTTTACCAAGACTATTATATGCATTTACCAATACATTACAAAACACTGAGAATAGTTAAAACAGTCCTTGAAAATAAATGCATTACATTTGCTATCTCTAATTTCACATCCTGTGTTTTTCACGTTCTTGCTAATCCTCAAAATACAATAACCTGTAGTATGTAGTATTAACAGATCTCCTCATAGTTATTGCAAATTAGCAAGTTCCCATAGCATTATATTTCATTCCCTTACTATTAAATACATTCAGATTATGCTATTTATTAGACTTGGCACTCATTCTAAACTGATTTATTTTGCTTTTCATGTCACTATTTTAAATTTATTTTAAATATAATCTTAATCAAAATAACAAGGTAGAGCACACATTTTTGTGCATTAAATACTGCCTTTGGGACTTTAGTGAGCTCTTGAGGTTACAAGCTAGATTTCAAGAAAGTTTTCATAATCCACATAAGAGGAAACAGTTGGAGAAAAGCCACCAAGATCAGGTTTTAAAATGTGACTCTTACAGAGAAAGCAAAATGATTAAGACAGTTTGGCAATGAGGAACAAAAGATTAGGGCAAGCCAGATCTTCTCAAATGCAATGAGGTTTAGAGAAGATGAGTGAATAGTTTTATTATTCACGTAATTTAGATTATTACTGTAAAGGACTGATATGAAATGGAGAAGTTTACAATAAAATCATGGAAATGTTTTTATCTTAAATATATTACACAGTAGGCCCATATAAATTATGGTTAGATACTAAATATAATGAAATGTAATACTTGCATTTTATTTTTAGTATATCATAGGATCTTCTTTTTTTCTTTCTTTCCCTTTTCATGAGAAGGAATTTCTCAGACTAGATCTTTTCTCTACCTTCACTCATTTATGTGACTGGTAATTCTTGGTTAGGAAATTGGGCACACTCAGCTCAGGCCCATCAGGGTTGTTTTATTTCTTTTGCTTTTTGTTCTTGGCAATCCATACTCGAGAAGCAGACCCTGCCCTCTCTTCTGTATGTTAGAATCGTAGGAAGGCAATGCCCAGTTGGAAGGTTCTTCGTGTTCCAGAGCTGTCTGTGACTGAGTGGGAAAATCAGTCGTATTCAGGGACGAAATATTAGGCACATTCTCCAATCAGTTATTTCACCACCATTCTGTCTCTTGTGTTCCAATTAGGTCTGTATTGGTAGAGGAAAATGTCATTTACTTGTTTCACCAAACCCCAGTAGTAGAGGGGGACCCAGTACATTCAATGTCAGGAAGGGTGGGTTCCAAGGCTGATTTTACCGTTAACCTGTTCTACCACTCCAGAAAAGGGCTGCTCTAACATCTTCAAATTTTATTTTGCCATAACAGTGAGGTTTGTCCTGGACAATCTCTCAAGTTCTTCCACACTGTTGATCAATAAAATTACCTAAAATGGTGTTTCAATCCACAAATAGTTATTAAAATTAAAAAGGCATTTTATAGAAATAAAATACAAGTATCATTAACTGGCTACTTACTGTTTCCTAGAACTACTCAGCCAAACATTTTTTATTCATTAGCTTGTTTTTAATTTTCACAATATTCCTTTGAGATATCATCCTTAACTCCTTTCTACAAATAAAGAATCTGCGTTTTAGGGATCAGACATCTATCCCAAGATTAGAAAGCATTTTAAATATAGATTTTGAATTCATCTAAGTTAGTGTGGCTTTAAAATTCACATGGTTACTTAGCAAATATCCTTATATCAAAATTTCTTATTATATCTTTTATATGTAATGTAAATGAATTCAATTATTCTGGCATTAGTCACACGATTTGTCCTTCAAAGCCTGTTATTTTTCTTCTATAGATTTATTTATACATACATATACTAAAATAGTAAAATAATTCACATATATAATATGATATATAATGTTAATATATACTACTGATTTTATACATTATACTATTGTTTAATATACATAAGTATATATGCTTTTTTACTTTTCTGTATCTTCATATTTTTAATCAACATTAAAAACTCTAAAATGTATCCCAACAAAATTCACAGATCGAAAAAATTGCAAAATAACTATACCTCCCAGTTACTATGAATGTGTTAAAGAAAGCATGATTAAGGTTTATATCATAGAAAAACACAACAGAGATGGAATAACAGAAAGAAAGTAGTGAAGGCTTTCTCATTATATTAATTTATCTTCCACGATGATTAAAATATCTTTATGTTTATATCTTTGCTTTTTTAAAAAAGAGACCTAGAATCCACAAAATGACTAAACCTTATAAAGTTGAAAAATCTATCAACACCTACTTTTTAGTAAATAACAATTAAATTTCATCCCATAATTTTCAGGTTTTGTATGAGATACTACTTTTCTTTTGCACTCCAAAGTCATTGAAGAATGTTAATATTTAATAAAGCAGTAAAATATAGTGCTTGAATATCCTTTATATCCTCACAAAAAGAGTGACTTCATTTATGTTTTCTTTTAAGTAAATCCACTTTGGATTTCAAAGGTAATGTAATCTGTAATTAAAATGCCTCACAAAAAGTGTTGTGGAGGGGGGCATCAACCTCCTAAAAAGTCATTATAGAATTATAGCCAATACAGCTGAATTATTTTGTAGAAAGACCCACTGTTAAAAAAATAAAATAAAAAACAAAAAACAGCATAAAGCAAACTAAAAGAATGAAGTTGATATCCCGGACTGCCATTTCAACACTGACGCTTGCTACTTATCAGCATCACGGCCAGATAGTGGACCTCTTCAGGTGTCAGTTTCCTCTCCATTGACCCACTCCATAGGGTCATTGTGAGGTAATTGATGCAAGCTTCCTGCAACATGCACAGAGCTCATTAAATCATAGCTATTATGTTTATTATGTTAAGGAGAATGTAATGTTGTGTTCTTGTATTTCCAAACAAATGCTAATAAAATCTCCTATTTCCCCCCAATATTAGGGAGCAATCAATAGCTTTATTGTTCAAACAAAACAATAACCTTTCCCATAAAGGAGTATCAACACATTCATAGTCTTCCTCGTGTCTTAAGTTCACATAACTCTTCCTATTATTGTGTTATAATGAAGTCACTCCTTAAAAAATAATAAAAAAAATACTATTATTGCTTAAAACTGAAGAACCAAACTTAGAAAGTATGATAGATGTGAAATCCTATAAACCTAACAGTTTAGTACATTATAATGAATTATGTCTAGATGTTCATGTGCTTAATAAATATTTTCAGAGTAATATTAGCTATGGTATGTTCCAAAATGCATTAAGCTGGTCATCATTGTAGAAGTAATGGTTATGTTTTTAATAGACCTATACACATTCACCCGTTTATTTTGGTTACTTTTATGGGCTAGTGTGAAGGGTTTTGGCATTTCAGGGCAATGAGAAGTTTTACACACACACACACACACACACACACAGAGGAAAACATGTGTTGATGTATAGTCATCACTGACCTGATTATGAAATATAGTGTTAGAGATTCAATAGGGGAATTGAAAGACTGATATTAGAAGGAAATATTACATTGTTGTGCTTCATTTCCCAGCACATAGATTGTCTGACTGTGTTCAGAGGATGCAACATATTTGAGATTCTACGTGTATTTCAAATATGCTGAAGCCTACACAATACCAGGCACACTTACAGCTTTCACTAAATAAGTAAACAGTCTGTAATGCTCCCTGTAACTTCTCTGATTGGAGAAAACCAAAAAGATAATATTTTCCACTAGTCTGAGACACAGAGGCATTTCAGAAATATGCACTATTTTATACAAAATCTATATGTAAAAAAATCATTTAAATGTCTTTGGAAAGAACATTTACAGTATGATCTTCTGAAATGAGCAGCACTATACTTTGGTGGCCCACTTCAGTTTTATTTGTTTTGTTTTCTCTACTTCCTTCTAACCATATATTCCAGTTGCCTGTCCACAAAATATATACCTAGCCTATGTTGAGGTATAATTTCTTTTTTTGCAGAACAAAGGTATTTATAATCCTAAACACCCCCTAAACAAATGCTTTTGGTATTTTATTTTTTCTGGGGGTATTTAAAAATAATATACTTTTTTTTGTACTTGTACAAAGTCAAGCAAATGCAATTATGGCCCCTCTGTTGTAGAAGAGTGCATTTAATTTATTAGGTAGCTTGTTTTGTACACATATTCTCCTGGAGCATCTCTGACTTTCTCAAATATTAGGTTACTATACGTTGCAATATTTGATATACCCTCCACTGTGCATCAATCCTCAGAGAGAGTGAAATCTTTTATTGGATTGGTTGAAAATCAAAGGCACATAGAAGCGATTTGTAATCTATAAAATGCTCTCTCTGCACCAGTGCCACCCACCAAAAAGCAACACAATAGGTAACTTAATGATTAGAGAAATAGTGATGATCTAAATCAAGTTACTCTTAATCTTTAACATTCAATGTGTGCATGTGTGGGCCTGCAGGGAATTTTGGAAAATGAGCAGAGACAGATCATTTTGTTAGAAGATCTTAATGCTAGATGAGAAAAGACATAATCTGCATAGTCAGATATACAGGGATGCCATTTCCAGACATTAGTGCATACAGCCAGCTTGCACCTTAGTTTTATCACCTGTAAAATAGGAATAATCATTTTTACTTCATAACATTGTTGAAAGATTAAATTTCATGCATGTGTAAAGCTCCTACCACATAAATCTTCCAGTACATCTTTGTCTTTTTATAAATATTAGTGGCATTTACTCTTCCTTTGTCTTCTCCATCATTTAAATTAATATCGGAAATCATTTACTGAGCACGTTATATGATAAAATAGTAGACACTGAAGAAGGTTGCCCTGAAGCAGCTCTAAGCCAGTGGGGAGATACTCATACAGCCCGTTCACTCACACGCACACACGGATACTCAATCAACAGCTCTTTTCTGTTAACAGCGTCATCATCATTCTTCCATTTTCTCTTTGCCCACAGACTGAACCCAGACTGGCCATTAATCATCAGAGCCCATCAGACCCACCTCCTTAACATCTTTTGCATCTATTTAACTCTTCATATTCTTCTGCTGGCCACTACCCTGCTTTGGGCTCATATTGGCTTCAGTAATGCAATTGTTTCTTAATAGACTTTTTCTTGCCACCACTATCTGATGCATACTTTGCATGACTACCTTGGTTATCATCATTAAAACAAATTTCATTTTTTCCCTACTTTCTAAACCCTGTAATTTCCTCATTGAAAACAAAGCCTATGTGTTCAGACCAGTAAAGACCTTGACCTCTTCCTACAACTGTATCTTCTAATAAGCAGTCAACCCATCCCAGGTCATAATGACAATAAATGTTCCTCAGGTGTGAGCTGCATCCTCTGGCCTTTCCTCTGTTTCTCAAGTTGGAATGATATACTTTCAATGACATATCCTTCCCTCACCACAAGATATTATCTTGTCAAACTTTATCCCAACCTTGTGATACTGATCTATCTTGTTGGCATGAATCCTTCTACCCCATATTATCATTTCTATATTATGACCTCCATTATGATAAACTCTCTTAGAGATATTTGTCTGCCCATATATCTCCTCCACCAGCAAAGTGAGGTCCTAAAGGGGAAAGACTGTCAGACTTAGCTATGGTTTTCTCAGGCCTTAGAATAATGTTTTAGTTAGAGAAGCTTTAAAACAGATCCACTCAAATGCAACTGGTTTCAGCTGTACTTAGGCAAATCGTGGATAGCAATTTATCTTGCTTTTCTCTCTCATTCATTTATATGTTGCATTTTTCAACTCTGTAACATCCTTCTCTAATCTTTGACTAGTGATATTCAATCCCATGCTCTCTTTTGTTTTAAACAGTTGGTTTCCTTTTAAATGGAGTCTATAGTCAATCAACTTCCCATATTTACTATAGAAGAGCCATGTAACCTGTCATTTGTCCAATTCATTGATGCAGGATAGGAGAAGAGTTGAATCCAGGCTTCCAGAACTCCCAGTGGAAATGGCCCATATTGACTGAATAAATGGAATACAGATAAGAATATGTCAGATGCCCACAAGAAGAAGATAACATCACCAGTTGGGATTCAAAAATAATTACCTACACAGGCCATGTGTGGTGGCTCACGCCTGTAATCCCAGCACTTCGGGAGGCCAAGGCAGGCAGATCATTTGAGGCCAGGAGTTCGAGACCAGCCTGGCCAACATGGTGAAACCCTGTCTCTACTAAAAATACAAAAATTAGCTGGGTGTGGTGGTGGGTGCCTGTAATTTAAGCTACTAGGGTGGCTGAGGCAGATAACCTGGGAGGCAGAGCCTGCACCTAGATTGCACCACTGCACTCCAGCCCGGGTGACAGAGTAAGACTCCATCTCAAAAAACAACAACAACAAAAAAAAAAACATAAGTAATCACCGACAATTTGGGTATTCTTTTCATCTATTGATACGTAACAACCCAAAATCTTAGTAGTGGTTTAAAACAATGACAGCACTTAATTTACTCACAAATATGAAATTTACTTTCCTCATAAATCTCTGGTTTAATTATATCAGCTGGGGTGGCTTCAAGTCTGGGGGCTGGAAACAAATGAAGTCTCATTCACTTACATGGCCGGTCAACTAGCACCTTGCCTGGGACGTTGGAAAAAGCACTATATCTGGCCTTCCCAAATGCTATGTGGCTTCCTTGCTGCATGGTGGCTGGATTCTAAGGGTAGGAATTCCAAGAAGAAGAGGTGGAAACAATAATGCCTTTTTTGACTTAGCCTCAGAAGTCATATAACATCATTTTTGCTATAGTAACTGGCCCCATTTAGATTTGAGGGGCAGGCACGTAGACTCCATCTTTTGGTGGAGGAATGTCAACATCACATTGTAAAAAAAACCTATGGAATGGGATATATTGGTGAGCAACATTTGGGAAATATAATACTCTACAATGAACTCAAGTATGACATCTGCAGGCATAATCTTTCTGTCTGCTGAGTAATATTCCCCACTGCATATTATGGAACATGTGTTGTTATGATAAAGGCAGAGAAGGGATTAGGATTAGTAAAAATGTTGCCCAGTATAGTAGGGTTTTACTCCCTGGGATTGAGATTAAGACATTTCATAACTTACTATAGATATTCTCAAGCTCTACTGTACCTATGAGTTAACTATGGCACTTGTTTAAAGATGCAGATTCCTGATACCCAGAGATTTTAAATCAATAGGTCTGACTTGGGTACACAGTACGTGACAAATACCCTCAGAAATTCTGAGTTAGTTAATCTAGCATCCACACTTTGAGAAATACTGATTTATTCTGCTATTTTAGTACATGAACAAAAGATAAAAAATAATACATTTGTATGAGTCTTTCCAATATACAACTAGTGTTTTGAAGGAGTAGGGTGGGAGGGAAATGACTATGCTGAATGCAAGCTGAATAACCAGCTATGCTGATATGTTTTATTTTCTCAGCCTTATTGCCTTGGTATTTAGAAGTAATTAACAGGTACTTGCCAAATGAGATATGGGATGTGTGAAAGACTAATTGTTGAATATGGGCAATCTCTATACATGTTTCTTCATTTCAAACTTTAAATCAACTTGGTATGTATTTTTCTTTTTTTTTTCTTTTTGAGACTGAGTCTCACTCTGTCACCCAGGCTGAGGTGCAGCGGCACAATCTTGGATCACTGCAACCTCCGCCTTCTTGGTTCAAGACATTCTCCTGCCTCAGCCTCCTGGTAGCTGGGATTACAGGCACCCACCATCACGCCCGGCTAATTTTTTTTTTTTCTTTCAGTAGAGATGGGATTTCATCCTGTTAGCCAGGCTGGACTTGAACTCCTGACCTCAGGCAATCCGCCCACCTTGGCCTCCCAAAGTGCTGGGATTATAGGCATGAGCCACTGAGCCTGGCCTTTGGTATGTATTTTTCATAAAAGGAAGCTGAGGTTTAGGAGGCAAAATTGTACACAGTAAAGAACTAAGTGGATGTACCACCAAGACTCAGTTTCTCTGACTCCAGAGATACTGTCTTTTTGTCCGTATACTTCAATGCTCAGCATCTTTGTATAAATCTGAAATTGGTCTCATATTCTGTATCATTTATGTGAATAATTTACTTAAATACAGACATCCTACAAGGACCACCCACAGACTCCCCCATCACTATGAACTAGAGAGTATTTGATAACACTTGCCATAAACACATTTCATTCTGAAGTCATCTCATCTCTGAAATGCAGCACTCAACACGAAGATTCAACCAAATACTTTGTGAAATGCTTTACAAGATAAAACGCTCCTCTTTGTGAAAAAGACTGGCACTACTTTTAGGTAACCCTGTTCCCACAACTGAAGATGAATTGAGTTGACCTTCTGTCTGAGCAAGAATATAAGTTTCTCTCTTAAACTTTCTCATTTCAGTAACCACTTCTCCTTCTTAACTGTAAGTTTTTCAGTTTAGCAAACAACATAGACTATCTGCACTGCAGGAAACTGTGAGAATTCAGTCATGAGTTAACTGCCTCCTAACACAGACCAAAGGCTCTTGTAAGACATATGATGTTGGAGGTAGTGTAATGGGCATGTTAACTATCCCTACTCCTAGTCTCCAGGCTCTAGCCCACTATCAACTTTAATCATCAGAAAGTGGAATACCTCGGCCATTTCCTCTTATCCCCTGCAGAAAGGGCTTCACTGAGCACAATTTAATGTTATGTTCTCAGCCAGTAAAGTGAATCAATACCAGAGCTGTCCATTTTAGCAGTATCTTTGTTTCTTGCAGACATCGTTATGTTATTCAGTACCTCTTAATCAAGGAACCACGTGATAAATTTTGTCTGAAATTTGGTCCCAGAAAGTAAGTTTGCTTCTACAGATAAACGTATTTATTTTATTTTGTCAGAGAAGAAAAAATTGTGTAAACCAATGTGTTTATCTTTTTGCGTTTCTTGCTTGGAAACTTAGAGCCATTTTAAGTGCCCAGCTGTAGTAACTGGCTTATACCAAAGGCCCATTAATCTTCTGGCTCCTTTTTAAAAATGTCTGATCATCTTACATTTTGATGTTCATTATTTTTAGGATTAAAAATAATTTTTTAGTATTTAAAAATGGATTATAAAATATTCAGGGTATAAAAATAAAGATAATTTAAAACATGTCCCAAAAGTTAATGGTTCCTTACTCCAGTATTTTGTGAATTTTCTTTCAATAAAAGTTGAATGTGATTTTCTGCTCAGTTCTGGTATGCAGGTATTAGAAACCCACAAAGTCTTTTCTATTCAAAATTACCCCTTTCAGCTCTTATCAACACATTAGGGAAATCATGTCATTGTCAAGTGTTGCTGTCAATCATTTGTCAGTTATCAAGATGACGGTGATGGTAAATAGTGTAGTCATGTCACATCTGGACCACTTTTAACCTCTTCATTTCTGTAGCCCAGATCACTCTGCCTTAATACAAAGATTATACTTGCCTCCGAATGTCTAGAAGAGAATTCTAGGTAAAAATGCATTAATAGTATCCTGACCTAGATTTTCATAATGGATTGATACAGGGCTAGAACTGCTTTACAGATTGTTAACCTAAACAAACATTTCTTTTAGTGAGTAAGAGAGCATAGAATTTAGTGAATAAAGAGAAAACCAGATGTAAAATGTTATGCTGAAATTTATCTGTATAAGCTAAAAAACAGATAACTCTGCTAATCCTCCTTACAAATTTGTGATAGCAATATTATAGTTAATAATAATTCGCCTACTTCTGTGTTTTTTTGTTTGTTTGTTTGTTTGTTTGTTTTTTGAGACGGAGTCTTGCTCTGTCGCCCAGGCTGGAGTGCAGTGGCACAATCTCGGCTCACTGCAAGCTCCGCCTCCCGGGTTCATGCCATTCTCCTGCCTCAGCCTCCCAAGTTGCTGGGACTACAGGCGCCCGCCACCACACCTAGCTAATTTTTTGTATTTTTAGTAGACGCGGGGTTTCAACATGTTAGCCAGGATGGTCTAGATCTCCTGACCTCATGATCCGCCCACCTCAGCCTCCCAAAGTGCTGGGATTACAGGCGTGAGCCACCACACCCGGCCTCGCCTACTTCTTTATTTCTTTTGTAACAAAGCCTGTATTTTAGTTCATCAGGTGCCTAAAATATTACAAATATTTAGCAAATGTATGATCTTGTCAGCTAGGTCACTTGAAAGTACTTTACTGTTCAATTATGTCCCATACGCATTTTAACATAATATACCCAAATTAAACAGGATAAAGAACTTCAGATTGTAAAGTTAAAGGAAGCAAAAGCTCCTTATAGGAGATGTTTTTACTGCTACCACGTACTATCTTTAAAGAAGGACAAATAGCTCTAATTTTCAGGCTACATAACTCCCCTCTCTGCCCCTGCCTCATACCCTACATGTGTTTTCAGAAAACAGTCCTTCTAGCTGTCACAGTACTAGAGTGAAAACTGGGTCCGTGTCTCTCCTAGACATATGAATGACTATGATTTATAAACGAGTAACTTCACTGGGCTTCCCATATTCTTGGTGGTCAAAAGGTGAACTGATTGCCTAATGCTTCAAATTGCTTAACAGAGCTTTACAAGGAAATGCTTCTCACAAACAGCCACGAAATGAACACACACAACACATACCCACTCATACATAGAGGAACTTAAATCTTACAATTTTTAAATAAAATATCTCCTTGAGAAGTATGTGGCCTTGGGGCATCTTCAATGTTTTCTTCTTATCTCCAGAAATACCAGACACATTAACTACAGAGGAATGAGGTGTTGCCCCTTAATAATAGTTACTACCACTTGAAGAATAAAGAACACTGTTTAGTTGCAAGTTCTCATTAACTGAAAATTAATTTATGTCAGTAAAGGTTGTATAAAGCAGACATTACATTTCCTTCCTAGTTTCACATAACTTCCATGCAAAGAGAAAGGATAAATGGCATGGAGAAAGCATTTTTTAATTAATTGGTTACTCTTTCCAAAAAAGACACCAAAAATGCTATGTTTGAGATATTCATAAAGCTCCATAAAGGTTTTTGGTTAACACGGGTAAATGAAATAATATTATTTATGTATGCTCTGGCTACCAAAAGGCTAACACCACCCTTAAAATTTGCTTTTTAAGGGATTAAGCTGCCTGAAACATAACCTAACATCACTTTGTTTAGCAAAGCGAAAATATGTGTTAAGAAACATTAGAATATGTGCTCTAGAAATTTATTATTAATAATATGCTGAGTAATATGAGTTTTATCATGAATATTAAAAATAACACTTAGAAAAGGTGAGCTACTTGAATCTATGGGGATCTTACATCTTTTAAAAATATGGATATTCTTCAGTTTTATTGCGTGTACTACTAGAGACAGTAATGTGCCTCTATCTCATTTCATTCTTGGAAGCGCAATATGAAACATGTACATACACCTCCTAGATCTATGAGAAGACCAAGTATCCAGCATCCACCTTCTCATTTTTTTCCTTATCCACTATGATATTAATAAGACTTATAAAAATACATTGTATTCATTTATCTTCAGTCATTCCCAACTACTAAGTTAGGTAAAGTAATTATTAAATTTAATGAAATATATTTCTTTTATACCTCATACTGAGAGGTGACAACGTGCTAGCAGCCCTCGCTAGCTCTCAGCGCCTCCTCTGCCTCCGGTCAGCTCTGGCTGCTCAAGGAGCCCTTCAGCCCACCCCTGCACTGTGGGGGCCCCTCTCTGGGGCTGGCCAAGGCCAGAGCTGGCTCTCTCTGCTGGCTGGGAGGTGTGGAGGGAGAGGCGTGGGCAGGAGCCAGGCTGCGCGTGGCGCTTGCCAGCAGTGCTGGTTCCGGGTGGGCGCCAGCTCTGCGGGCCCCACACTATGTGCCGCCAGCAGGCACCTGCTGGGCTTGATCAGGGACAAGCTCCCTGGGGGCTGCTGGAGTGCCTGGGCTAGGTGCTGCAAAGTCCCACCACAAGTGCCATTGAGAGGTGAAGCTAGGTGGGCTTCTGGGTCAGGTGGCGACTTGGAGAAATTTTCTGTCTAGCTAAAGTACTGTAAACGCACCAATCAGCACTCTGTGTCTAGCTAGAGGTTTGTAAAGGCACTAATCAGCACTCTGTGTCTAGCCAAAGGTTTGTAAACACACCAATCAGTGCTCTGTGTTTAGGTAATCTGGTGGGGACTTGGAGAACTTTTGTGTCTAGCTAAAGGATTGTAAACGCACCAATCAGCAGTCTGTATCTAGCTAAAGGATTGCAAACGCACCAGTCAGCACTCTGTCAAAACGCACCAATCAGCTCTCTGTAAAATGGACCAATCAGCTCTCTGTAAAATGGACCAATCAGCTCTCTGTAGAATGGACCAATCAGTAGGATGTGGGTGGGGCCAGATAAGGGAATAAAAACAGGCCACCCAAACCAGCAGCATCAACCCGGTGGGGTTCCCTTCTGTGTTGTGGGAGCTTTGTTTTTTTGCTCTTAGCAATAAATCTTGCTGCTGCTCACTCTTTGGGTCTGCACCACTTTTATGAGCTGTAACACTCACTGCAAAGGTTTGCAGCTTCACTCCTGAAGTCTGCGAGACCACAAACCCACCAGAAGGAAGAAACTCCAGACACATCTGAACATCTGAAGGAACAAACTCTGGACACGCCATCTTTAAGAACTCTAACGCTCACCATGAGAGTCCGTGGCTTCATTCTTAAAGTCAGCGAGACCAAGAGCCCACCAATTCCGGACACAATACTTAATGTAGATTGTTGGAGCTCAGAAAAAGATACCCCCAAAATATAGTGCTTTGGCATGTTGAATACTTGGAAGTAAAGGAAATTGGAAAACCTCAGAAACAGCCCCAGAACGCTGGCATGGTCTCTCTGACCTTCTAGTGGCTTCCTGTCTCTCACCCCTCAATCTTCTTTGAAGCAAGTCATAGAAATCAGAATTCCTTATCCCCGAGGCAGGTAATAGTGAAACTGCCTTGGCAAGAATTATGACGGGGAAAAAATTCTGACAGAAAAATTATGACAGTGAAAGAAATCTGACCTGACTCCATCTTGCTTCTAACCTCTAAGCTGTCCTTGTTCACTCCTGGGCATAGACCAGGCTGACTAAGAGAGAAATTTAGTTTAACTTTAAAACAAAGATAGGCTGGTGTCATGGCTTACATCTGTAATCCCAGAACTTTGGGAAGCCAAAGCAGAAGGATTGCTCAAGCCAAAGAGTTCAAACCAGCCTGGGTAAAATGATGAGACCCCATCTCTACAAAGAAAAAAATAAAAAATTAACTGGGCATGGGGGTATGTGCCTGTGGTCCCAGCTAGTCAGGAAGCTAAGGCAGGAAGATCACTTGAGCCCAGGTGGTTGAGGCTGCAATGAGCTGTGTTTGTGCCACTGCACTCCAGCCTGGGAAACAAAGCAAGTACCTGTCTCAAATACATACATGCATACATACATACATACGAAGATAATGACAGCCTCTTCCTGAAACTAATCTGTTACTTGCTCAGGGATCAAATCACCCTTGGAAAACTAACAAATTAGCCATGAGGTTAGACTTATGGCTCAGGAGTCATGTAGTCAGAGGCCACAAGATTCCTAACCTCCTCAATTGCTCCTATAGATAACATCACTCCTGTAAAACCTATGATTGCTGTTCAACATAATTATCAGAACTTGCCTTCTGATAGCCCAGCTGGTGCCACCTAGACCAGCAAACTGGACCAGCTGGTTTTGTGATCCTACCCGATAAATGAAGACAAAAAGAAGACAGCTTCAACCCCCTATGATTTCATCCCCAACCTAGCCAATCAGCATTCCTTATTACATAGCCCCTGCCTGCCAGATTATCCTTAAAAATATCCATAGTCCAAATTTGCGGGGAGACTCCTTTGTATAGTAATAAACTCCTGCCTGGTCACTTGGCCAGCCCTGGGACTATTATATTTTTTCTCTGTTGCGAAAACCTGCTGCTTTCGGTGAATTGGGTTTTCTGGACAATGAGCAAGAGGGACTCATCAGGTGATTACAATAGTAACTAGAAAACAAAACCTAGAAATATTACTTTAACCTTCTCCAGTCTATCTAGGAGCTTGCCATAAAGAAATTCACTGACCTATGCTTGTCTGATAGTAGATTATAAAAACTCCCATTCCAGAGAGATCCTCCCATATTTCCTGGAGGAAGAAATGTTACAGTGGAGAGGCAAAAAGAATCTGAGCAAAAGGCCTTTTAGAATGGTTTTCCTTCCCACTCAGTCTATTACCATTGGATCATACTCTTGTCCAATCACATTTCTACATGGCTATCCATGTTTCATTCAACCTAAGCAAAAAAAAAAAAAAAAAAAAAGTAGTTTTCCCTAAGTCTCTGGATCTTCATTTCTGAAGGCTTTACATGTCATGTAAAACTTTGACTAAATTTGTTATGCTTTTCTCTTGTTAATGTGTCTCTTGTTATAGGCATGTTGGCCATGAACTTTATCTTACAAGATCCATGCAAAGATCCACTCTGGTGAACATCATCTAACTTTTAGAAACGTATGCCCTCACTGCTAGGCTTAACATGACTACCGCTCAGGAAGCCTCTGAAACATAAACAGAGGTAGAGATCCCTTCATTTCTGCAAATTTGATGGAATTTATCATGGGAAAGAGAAGCTTTTCTGAAACAATGCTTAAGGTTTAGAATTAAAGGCATACAAATAAATCTTATTTTTAGAAATATGAAGCCAGAAAATATAACTATTTCTCAAAGAGAATTTCCCTTAGGCGTTAAAAGTTGATGATATAGAAATGACAAAGCATTATAAAAATCTTAGACATTAGAAGCAGGAAGAGACTATAAAGGTTCCTGATTATAAGGATGATTAACCTTCAGTAAGTACTCATCATGGGCTTGACGTGTTGAAAGTGCTTTCATATGAATATCTCCTTTAATATTTATAAGAAGGGTATTAAGAAAGTAGTACTATTGTCCCCATTGTACAGATGAGGAAAGTAAGGCTTACAGAGGATAAGAAACTTGCCCAAGTTCACACAGCCATCTTGAAAGGTGCTCGCAATGGCGCCCAGAGTTCCAGAGCCCAAGTTCCAGGCACTTTTTTTGGACTGGCTTTCTAACACAACCCCTTATTTTTATCAAGTAGAGTAGGGAAGTAAAACGTCCAGAGCCATTTCACCAGTTACCAGCATAATTAGAACTGAAATCAGGCCAGATTAGCACTTAAAAACATATTACTTCTTAAGGAGCTAGACAGATACCATTCTTTCTGTGTCATACAAAGCAGCAATGCCCCTGAAGCAGGAGTTTGGGGCTTTAGCATGTCATTTGGACTGGTCGACTTTCCCTTACTTTTCATTTTCTCTTCACCCATTTTCCTTATATCAAGTCTCATAAAATAACCCTGAGTAGATTACACTGGCCAAGTACAGCACTTCAAGGCTGGTCTGGTGTGTGTAAATTGCCTCTCAGTGGGTGGCTATTATATTTATATTGGTTTAAACTGTTTCCATTGCCAATCCATTATGCTGGAATTCCCCCTTGCTGAGGGCAGCTGTGTTATTCTTTTCTTTGACTGAAGCCCAAGAACTATCTGTGCAACTCCTTGGGAGCCAACCCTTTAAGAGTAAACATATTGAGTCATACAAGGCCACTCAGTATCCCACTGCCACTTGCTGAATCAGGAGCGTTCCCCTCTGGCCCCAACCAGTTCACGTTGCTCATTTTTCAAGAAGATAGAAATTGGAGTGGAGTGAGAAAGTGATGTGATGCCTATTTATGCAGAAAGTCAAAGGAATGTTCTGAAAATAACACTTGTACAAGTAACTGTTTCTCTAGAAGGCAAACACTTAGAGCATAACCACGACTGAGGGTCCAGATGGCCTCAGGTGTGTCCTGATGAGCACCCTTCAAATCAAATGCGACCCTGTGAGTGCCCCTTTCTGAACAAAATCTCCCAGCAAACACCTGTAACTATCTCAGGACTGAACATACATTCTTAAAATGAAAATTTCTTAGTCCAGGTTAGAGTCCAAAATCAGTGACTGGAAGTCAAGAACTAATTGAACATCTGTAATACAAGTTTCTGTGCCTCAGCTGGTGATATGATATAATTAGGAGGCAAGTTTACACATTTTATTGTTCCCTTGGGTACCAGGCTTATCACTACAAACTGATGACTGTTGATAAACCCACCCAGCTGTCCTGTAAATGTAGACCCTTGGTCGCAGGGAAAATAAGGGTGAAAATTTGGATATTTTAAACTTATTGACGTAACAGCAGAGAAAACCAAAAGCCTTTATCTGATGAAATGAGTCAGCTTCATGGTTCTTAATTAGGAATTCACATTTAAGAGTGGTAGTTGTAAGGACAAACGCAAATTAAAAGTAAGGTGCTTAATTCGGCCTGTTGAAAATGAGGAAAGAGCTCCTCTCTCCCTTTCTCTTTGAGCATTTGCATTTGAAAACTTGTAATTATAAGTACCTTCTCTTCTCTTTGAAATGTATGTAAATCCTTTTGAAAACCAGATAGGCCTTTTGTCAGCTTTAAGAGTCAGGATTGCCTTTCTCAAGGATTCAGGAGCCATCTCTTTGAAATGTAAACATCAAGGGGTATAGCACCCCTATCTCCAAGTTTCTCTGAGAGATTAGGAACCTAACTTCAGTGGGCACCTTGCTGCAAGTCACAAAATTACATCCTGCCACAAATATGGGAGAAGTTTGTTTTTTTCTCTGGGTAAAGTCAATTAACACAGACAGTCATCCTGGTAATGGTTGATTTGAGGATGAATTATGTAAGACAAATAGTGCTGTTAAATCTTTTTACTCATGGACTAGTTATTGTTTATATTGAAAGCATGTATGCAATGGGTCGTAACTGGTTGGCATATAGAGGGGTGAGATTTTGCAGTCTTTCAGCTGATTGTGATTAACATCACATCATGGTTTAATGCTAATTCAAAAGCAAAAGTGGGGTGGTTTTTGTTTCTGCTATCTTCGTGGAGAAAATTTCTGGATTGAGAGAAGATTGTGTTTTTAATTCTATTTCCTCAACATCATCAAATTTTGAAGGGAGAAAAAAGAATTTATATGGACTTTGGTGGCCATGCCTAACAGAGCAAGTTTTCCTTGATTCAGGAGACCTGAGTCCTCCCATCTGATATACCAAGCTGCACTGTTCAAACAAAACTCTTTCAGTTACAATCCCAGTCAAGCATGAAACGTTTGTTCTGCTGTTGTTTATATGTGCAACGTACTTTGAGTTCATTAAATTGGCATCACCTTGTTACAGTAAAGTCTCTAAAGCCAAACAAAACTAAAGAAAATAAAATCAGAGTTTTCAAATATTCTTGTGAAAAATGGAGAAATGTAAAGTTGAAAATTGTTTAAAGAAAATTTTAATTGCTACAAAGAAAATAAAATACCTAGGAATACAACTTACAAGGGACATGAAGGACCTCTTCTTCAAGGAGAACTACAAACCACTGCTCAAGGAAATAAGAGAGAACACAAACAAACGGAAAAACATTCCATGCTCATGGGTAGAAAGAATCAATATCATGAAAATGGCCATATTGTCCAAAGTAATTTATAGATTCAATGCTATTCCCATTAAGCTACCAATGACTTTCTTCTCAGAACTAGAAAAAACTACTTAAAATTTCATATGGAACCAAAAAAAAGAGCCCATATAGCCAAGACAATCCTAAGTAAAAAGAACAAACCTGGAGGCATCATGCTACCTGACTTCAAACTATACTACAAGGTTACAGTAACCAAAACAGCATGGTGTTGGTACCAAGACAGATATATAGACCAATGGAACAGAACAGAGGCCTCAGAAATAACACCACACATCTACAACCATCTGATCTTCAACAAAACAAGCAATGGGGAAAGGATTCCCTATTTAATAAACGGTGCTGGGAAAACTGACTAGCCATATGCAGAAAACTGAAACTGTACCCCTTCCTTACACCTTATAAAAAAATTAACTCAAGATGGATTAAAGACTTAAACATAGAACCTAAAACCATAAAAACCCTAGAAGAAAGCCTAGGCAATACCATTCAGAACATAGGTGTGGGCAAAGACTTCATGACTAAAACACCAAAAACAATTGCAACAAAAGCCATAATTGACAAATGGGATCTAATTAAACTAAAGAGCTTCTGAACAGCAAAAGAAACTATCATCAGAGTGAACAGGCAACCTACAGAATGTGAGAAAATTTTTGTAATCTATCTCACAAAGGGCTAATACCCAGAATCTACATGGAACTTAAACAAATTTACAAGAAAAAAAGTGAACAACCCCATCAAAAAGTGGGCAAAAAATATGAACAGACACTTCTCAAAAGAAGACATTTATGTGGCCAACAAACATATACAACAAACATATGAAAAAAAACTCATCATCACTGATCATTAGAGAAATGCAAATCAAAACCATTGTGAGATATTATCTCACTCCAGTTAGAATTGAGATCGATAAAAAGTCAGGAAACGACAGATGCTGGGGAGGATGTGGAGAAATAGAAACACTTTTACACTGTTGGTAGGAGTATAAATTAGTTCAACCAAACTGATCTTCCACACTGTGGAAGACAGTGTGGCGATTCCTCAAGGCTCTAGAACTAGAAATACCATTTGACCCAGCAATCCCATTACTGGGCATATACACAAAGAATTATAAATCATTCTACTATAAAGACACATGCACGCATATGTTTATTGCAGCACTATTCACAATAACAAAGACTTGGAACCAACCCATATGTCCATCAATGATAGACTGGATAAAGAAAATGTGGCACATATACACCAAAGAATACTATGCAGCCATAAAAAAGAATGAGCTCATGTCCTTTGCAAGGACATGGATGAAGCTGGAAACCATCATTCTCAGCAAACTAACACAGGAACAGAAAACCAAACACCACATGTTCTCACTCATAAGTGGGAGTTGAACAGTGAGAACACGTGAACACAGGGAGGGGAACATCACACACCAGGGCCTGTTGGGGGGTAGGAGGCAAGGGGAGGGAGAGCATTAGGACAAATATCTAATGCTTGCAGGGCTTAAAACCTAGATGACGTGTTGATGGGTGCAGCAAACCACCATGGCACATGTATACCTATGTAACAAACCTGCACATTCTGCACATGTATCCCAGAACTTAAAGTATAATAAATTTAATAAAATAGAAAATTTTAAGAAGGCAAAAATAATTTGTTTTATATATGAAATGTACATGTATAAAAACTTGTAATAAAGTGATATCTCAGCAGGGTGATTTATTTGGACTCAATTTTATTTCTTGCATTTAAAGTATTTCCCAGTAGTTCCCTAAATTTAGTAAATATTAGAATCATCTGGAAAGTTTGTTTCAATGTAGTTTCATTGGACCAATTCCTGATATTTTGTTTACTATATATGGAGTGGATTCCTGAAATTTCCTTGTGCACCCCAAGTGATCCATATGACCCAGAGACCCTCAGTTATTAATAAATGCAATAAATACATAACATGATAAATTCTAGCTTATGTTAGAACTAAAACAGACCTGGCCTCACTTTTGAATATAATAAAAGAATTATATAGTGAATTATTATTCTATTATTCAAGAAGACTGTTTAGTTATTACACTTTTTATATGCATAGTCAGAAAAGAAACATACTTACATTGATGTGTTTCAATATAATGTTGGGGCTCAGAACTGATACCCCAACCTATAGCATTTTGGCATGCTGAGCACTTTGAACTAAAAGAAATTAAAAGGCCTTAGAAGCTGCCTCTGAACCAATGACTTTCTAGCTTTCTCTTGTTTCTCTCCTACCACTCAGGCACAGGAGGGGCTTTCTCTGGAAGTTCCCTTATTTGACTGAGGGAAGTTCTTCCCAAAAAAAATGCAATTGAAACTCTCTCCCTAGGAATCTCATCAGATGACCATGAAAGATTAACCACCAGAGAAGAGAAAAGACTAAAAGTCTCCATCATGCCCAGACAGACTTTTCATCTGTTCTTCTGAGGGTAGCCCTGAGAGATTTCTAGGGAGACTTTATCTGCATAAGACAACCTTTGTTCACCGTAAACTTCCAGCCCTCACCTTCTTCCGTTGTCAACACCTCCGTCCAGATCTCAGGGGAAATTTGTCCTAGGCCGTTGACTGTTCTCCAGTACCACTCAGTTTCCAAAGACAATCATTCACAAGCTACTGTCTGCTCTTTGGGCCCATTCAATTCTATGAAAAATCTTTTACTACCTCTCAAAATTGCCTATATTTCACCACTTTTCTCCTATGAAGAAGGTGCTATTTAAGCTTCAGCCATCTGGCCCTTCCTTGAGTCTCATATTTTGTGTACTGCCCATGCATTTGCACATATATCAATTTGGATGCCTTTTCTCCTGTTAATCTGTCTATATTGTCAGTTTGTTTATAGACCCAAATTATTGAATCTTCAGAGGGAAAGTTAAACTTTCCTACAATAGCTAAAATAATAAAACAATGTAGAGCTATATTTAAAAGCTTTATATCAATTTGCAATACCAGAAACCAAGAATAAAGTGCACAAAATTACATTAAAATGAAAAAAAATTAGAGTTAAAATTTCATGCCAGAAGTTTTATGGAACAATAGAAACTTTATTTAACCACACTGGAAAAAAGAATTTGGCATCTGAAATGTCAAATGAGTATGTTTTACCATGTGGAGAGAAAGTTACCATTGCCCTGGAGAGGCACAGGTGGTACCTGGATAGTGTATGAAGCAGGGATTTCTGGGAGGCAAGTTCAATGGGAATTACTTTGGAAATTTTTCCTTAGGGGCACAAAATTTAAACTTCCGCCACAATGGAAAGATTAGCACTGTTGAAATTGAACTCCCTTGGTGAGAGCTGTAGCAGAACAGTATCTCCTGTTAAACCTGCTGCCGGATTCCAGCTAACACAATCTCAATTTCTTTGCTTTTTAAAGCCCCCCAAAGCTTTATAAAATGCGGCCGATACACTTTCTCTTATGACAAAGATCAGTACTGTCATATAGGAAAGTATTCCTGACTCTATCTCCATGATATTTCCAATATCAGCATCGCCTTCTTATAATATTTCAAGTCAGTGAAGTCTTTAGTCATAGAAATCATGCACTTCAGTATTCAACCTTACAAAATGATAGGACATTTTCCAAAACAAAACAAAAATGAAATACAGCATACATCCTATGTGTTGTAAAGCTGGTTTTCTATTTTTTTTAATTCTTCCCCTTTTCTCTGTTCATTTTTATGGCATTGTCCCTCTTCTGTCTCTTTTTTCCTGTGTTAATCTTTTATGTATTCTATTGAAACCACCTTTACAAAATTATGACTGAGACAGTGAAAGAGATCTAACCTAATTAGCTCCATCTTGCTTCTAACCTCCAAGCTGTCCTTGTTCCTTCCTGGGTGTAGGCTGAACTAACTTTGGGAGGAACTTAGTTTATAGTTTAAAACAAAGACAATAACAGCCTGTTTCTAAAACAAACCTCCTTCTTGCCTGGGGACTAGACTGCCTTTGTAGGACTAACAAATTAGCCACAAGTTAGAAATTATGGTTTAGGAGTCATGCAGCTAGAGGCTACTAGATTCTGACTCTCCCTAAACTGCTTCTGAGATCAGTGCTTGAGATCCCTTTCCTTGATGGATCAGCTTGCACCACCCAGATCATCTAAACTGGCTCTTCTGATCTTGTGGCCTCCACCCAGGAACTGACTCAGGGCAAGAGGACAGCTTCAACTTCCCATGATTTTATCTCCTACCTAACTAATCAGTACTCCTGGCTCACTGGCTTCTCCCTACTCACCAAGTTGTCCTTAAAAACTCTGATCCCTGAATGCTTGGGGAGACTGATTTGAGTAATAATAAAACTCCTGTCTCCTGCACAGCCAGCTCTGAGTGAATTACTCTTTCTGTATTGCAATTCTGTCTAGGTAGTGGGCTAGGTAAACCCACTGGGCAGTTACACTATCTTTGTCATTGTACAAATATTCATATGTGTCTTCTTTTTCTCAGTGAGTACATTGATTTATTTTCTTTCCTTGCTGGATTCTATTTTTCACCTTTGTTTTCCATTTAACTACGCAATAATTTCTTCTATACCAACTATGCAATAATTTCTTCTATACCTTCTGCTTTACACCACAACTTTCCTGATCCCCTTAATTTCACTTACTTCCACTCAGTTTTACACATTACTTATTTCCTCTCTGTTATGTGTTGAATTGAACTGTGTCCCCCAAAAAATTCATATGTTGAAGTCACTAGTAACTCTAAATAAATTTGACTGTATTTGGAGATAGGATCTTTAAAGATGTAATTAAGGTAACAGGAGGTCCTATGTTTGGGCCCTAATCCAATATGACTGGTGTCCTTATAAGAAGACAAGATTAAGACACAGTCAATACAGACTGAGGAACAACCATGTGAGGACCCAGCAAGAAGGAGGACATCTGCAAGCCAAGGAGAGAAACCTCTGAAGAAACCAGACCTGGACTTCCAGCCTCTAGAACTGTGAGAATATGCATTTCAATTGTTTAAGCCACCCAACCTGTGGTATTTTATTATGGCACCCCTAGAAAACCAATACAGCCTCTATTTCCATCTTTTCTCCTCTTTGCTTCTTTTTACTACACCTCATCCCTGTTTTTTGAATATTCAGAGCAGTAGGCATGCCCCAGCTCTCTTTCCTCCTCTTGTTTATTTGCATATCTTCTTATTTCTTGATCAACACATGGAATACACAAAAGTGCCTATTTTGCTGGAATCATTGTTCTTTGAGTGTTTCAACTTTCCTGTACCATAGATTCGTCATCTGTCAAATGGAGATAATAAAAGTATTAATCTCATATAGGCCCATTGCAATGATTTAATTTGTTAACCAATAAGATGCCTATAACAGTGTCTGGCACATAATAAACCCAAGTAAATATTGGTGGTGGTGGTGGTGGTGGTGATTATTTTTCTGTCATTCAATAAGTATCCACTGAGTGTTTATCCTGTGCCAGGAGCTGTTTTCATGGAGCTCAGTCAAGTGGGGAAAATAAGACACAAACTAACCAATAAATTAATAAATATCATCAGATTTTTATAAATGGTATGCAATACATTTTAAAAGGTGATGTGACACATAATTATGGGGTGGTTATTTTTGAGTGGTCAGGTGGCCTCTGTAGAAGTAACCCTAGCTCTAAGTAGAAAAAAATAAAAAGCCATCCAGGAAAGTCCCAGGGGGCAGTGGAGAGAGAAGCATGTGAGAGAGCAGGAATGGTTGGTATAAAGACCCTTAAGTGGGCACCAGTTTGGTGATTTTACAGAGCTGAGAGGAGTCTAATATGCTGCAGGATAGTAAGCATGAAGGTAGGTTACACAAAATGAGGTCAATTGAGGATCTATGGAGGGCCAGTTCATACCAGATTTTATAAGCCACTAAGGATTTAAGAGGTTAAGCAACCTGCTGATGTTAGCCCTACACACCATTTTCTAGAGAGAGCATAAGAGGCACTGCTAGACTCATGGGTGCCTGAAACCAGGGTTTCAATGCTTTCAGGGTCTTTCTCTTTCTTGCCTTCTCTTTACTGCTTCTTTCAGCATTGTTCTGCATCCTATCTTTATTTTCTTTCCTTCATTTTTCTCCTGAAATGAGAGGAATGATTCAAGGAGAATTCTACTTGGCCCAGCTTGGGCCTCAAGCCCATTACTGTGTTAAATTAAGTTTAGCCTAAAGCTGCCTCCTTTTAAGTGTGGCCTAAAGGTTTCTCCCTGCATAAGGAACTGTAACCTACCTGGATGTGTAAACAGCCTATAATCTACTCTTGTGTCAATCACTGATTTTCAGCCAAAGATAGTCTACTGTTCAAACCATGTTCAAATAAGGCAAAGGCCAAGCTGTAACCAATCCAGCTGTTTCTGAAACTCACTTCCATCTTTCGTACATCACTTTCTGTTTTTCTGTTCAGAAATCTTCTTCTACCACGTGGCCCTGATGGAATCGCTCTGAACCTATTCTGGTTTGGTGGCTGTCCAAACTGTGAATCATTCTTTGCTCAATTAAACTCTGTTAAATTTAATTTGTCTAAAGTTTTTCTTAACTGATCTGAGTGCATATTAATCACGTGGGAAGCATGTTTTAAATGCAAATTCAAAATTCTGCAATGTACATCTTTAACAGTAATTCTGATGTAGAAGGTCCAAAGCCCACAATTAGAGGCATCTTGTTGTATTTTGAGGTGACCTTAGAAAGTTTTGAAGTAGACGAAGGATTTTTTTTTTTTTTTTGGTTGAAGAGCTCTCTTGTGGAAACACTTAGCATGGATTTCACAGGATGAGACTGGACATAGAGAGGACCGATAGGAGACTGCTGAAATCATTCAAGTAGGAAACAATAAAAGTCTGAAGTAGGGCATTTTTGGCCAGAGATAGGAGAGAGTGAATTAAAGAGATATTAGGACTATTTGATCCCAGTGTGATGTAAAAAATGAGGTCAGGAGAGAGGCATGGGAGTCTGGCTGCAATCACTAGGTGGACCATTGTGCTGCTATTCATCAATACATGAAATACTAAAGGGAGAGGGAAAAATGAATGTTTGTCCATGCCAATGCAGAACAAGAGCATGCTATTTGAATAGGCTCTATTGTCAGTTTTTCCCAACCCATCTGCCATTTCTGGCCAGCAACAGTCATAATATAAGCCATTGTGATATTAAAAATGGAATGATTAAATAGAAATATCAAGCACTATTATTGCCTCAGAGATACTTAATACTCTGACCCATGAAATAGCTTTGAGACAGGGTCTCACACTATCATCCAAGCTGGAGTGGCACAACCATGGCTCACTACAGCCTTGGCTCAAGGGAGCCTCCTTCCTTAACCTCCCAAGTAGCTAGGACCACAGGCACATGCCACCATGCCTAATTAAAACCTTTTTTTTTTTTTTGTAGAGATGGGGTATGCTACGTTGCCCAGGCTAGTCTCAAACTCCTGACTTCAAGCACTCCTCCTGCCTTGATCTCTCAAAATGCTGGGATTACAGGCATAAACCACCATACCCAGCCATGTTTAATTCTTATTTCAAGTGGGAAAACCTTCTTATCAGAGTGACAGATAGTGTAATCCCTTCTTTCCTCGAAGTTTCCAAAGAACCCAACAAAAAGCTGATACCTGAGAAAACATGGCCACTAGAAAGACTTCAAACAAAAAGTATTCAAGTTGTGTAGGTAGAATTGCAGCAACATGCCCCTCCTGGGGTTACCATAAAAAGCTTTAGACTTGCTGGGAATTAATAAGAAGAACTCTAAAACCAGAAACAAACCTTACTGGGTCAAGAGCCTTTAATATGGGGACTGCGAGGGGCAAATATAAGAGGATCCAGCCACACCAACAACCAAACTGTCCCATATCATGCCAATGAACTTTTATTACTTGCTACTTTGCGACTATCTGGAGTAGGATGTAAGAATCCTGTGTATATAATATTGTTTCTACAAACTTAAGTACAAAAAGTATTGTTCTTATTATAGAATGAGGGCTCAGTCATTCCTTAGTCCTCTGCAGGAAATTCTCAGGTTTTGTAAATTAGAGATTCTGCACCTGGGCCCTGCTGGACTATTAAAATCAAGATGGGTACTCAGAATGAGCAAAACTGGAGAAGCAGCCACTCTTTAACAAGTCATATGTGTGTGGGCTGCACATTACTATAGCATATATTTCAGTAATAAATTACAGTAATGGAATAGGCATTGTTGAACTATTAATAAATTGCTTCCTTCTTTCCAACACCTTAAATAGCACGTAACAGAGGCTTCCCCTACTCTTGTCAAGAGTAACCGGGAAGAGAATGAAAACTATGCTGTCTCCCTCTGTGAGCTTTCTCTCTCTCGCTAGGATGGGATCTGAAACCAAACTTCTGGGATGCTATAGCTCAGATTCTTCCATGATTGCAAGAACTCCCTCCTAATGTTAAAAAATAATTGCTTTATAGTTTCATGTTTTTTTTCAATGTAACTAGTATCTCTGCTTGAATCTAAGCTGTGTTTATGCTAGGATTCAGAACCAAATTATACTTGAAATATATGTATTCATTTCATGGACTAGAATATATCATTTACTCTGACTGGCTTCCAGATACCTACCTAAATCTTTTAAGAATTCTCCAATAAGTTACATATTGAAACCTAAAAAAGAGATTATTTTCATGCCTGCTGGGCATCAAAGAGCTGAAGGATGGATTGCTTTGGTGCTCTCACAGAACTGGTGAGAACAGTGGCAGCAGCACCGGCCTTGGCAGTGTCCTAGTGCTTCCTGCCTTAGAGGCAGCTGTGGCATTACTGGTGCCTTTGAGATTTTGGCAGTGAGTCACAGTTGTGGGGATTAGCAGTCACAGGACACATTGTCTCAGTAAGGCGGAACTGGAGAGGAAGAAAATTATTGACTCTATCTAGCCACCCCTTCTCACTCTTCTGCATCAGCCCTTCCCCTGTCTCCAACCTCTAAACATTAGAGTGCAAGAGGACTTTAGTCTTTAGACCTTTTTTTCTTTATCAAAACTCATTACACAATATGGCCTCTACCTTGCCATATTGCCAATGATTCCCAAATTTGTACATCCAGTCTGGACTTTTTCCTGGATCTCCCAATTTGGATAGCCAGACAGCTATTGGACGTTTCCATCCGGATATCTAATAGGTATTTCAAAATTAACACATGCAAATCAGATTCTTCTTCTTTTCAAATCTCTTCTTTTCATACTCCTTTCATTCTTTAAAGTTGCAACTTCATTCTTTGACTTGTCTAGACCAAAAATCTCATAGTTGCCCTTTATTCCTCTTCTCATCCCACCCCATATTCAATACAGTAGCAAATCTCATTGCCTTTTTTTTTTTTAAGACAAGATCTCACCCTGTCACCCAGTTTGGAGTACAGTGGCATGATCATATCTCGCTGCAGCCTCAACCTCCTGGACTCAAGCCATCCTCCTGCCTCAGCCTCCCAAGTAGTTGGGACTCCAGGTGCACACCACTGCACCAGGCTGACTTTTTTAAAAAAACTTATTTGTAGAGATGGGGTCTCACAGTGCTACTCAAGTTGGTCTTGAATTTCCATCCTCAAGCAATCCTCCCACCTCAGCCTCCCAAAGAACAGGGATTACAGGTGTGAGCCACCCCACCCAGCTAAATTACCATAGTCTTTATGTTCAAAATATATCAGTATCCACATCATGGCCACTGCTACCACTTGGTTACAAAACTGTCTTCCCTGGACTGCATTAGCTTCCTTACTAGTCTACCAGCTTCTAACTTTGCCATCTTAAATTTGACTTTCAAGACCACAAGCCAGAGTGATACATACAAAACAAGATCAGACCTTGTTTCTCCATGGTTAAAATCCTCCAGTGGCTCCCTAATCATGTTCTAAGGCTCTACTCTGCACACTCACCTACGTCCTGCACGCCAGAACCCCTGCTCCATTTGGACATTATTGCTTTCCTCTCTGGCTCATACTGTCCTCTCCAGGCATATTGGCTCCTTGCTCATTCTGAAACACAGCAGGCTAATTCAACTCAAGGCTCTTTGAACTAGCTGCTGTCTGTTTGGAACATCCTTCTACAAAATATTCACATGGCTTTGTTCCACCATTTTCCTTAGCATCTACCCAAATGTCAGATGATAGAAAAGGTCTTCCTTGCATAAAACAGCAGCACTGCTCCCACCCTCACTTTTACTTTGCTTTTCTCCATCATATCTGTCACTGGCTGACTTACTACATGTTTAACTATTTATTCATGTGTTGTCCTTGAGCTGTGAAAGCTCCAAGATGTCAGAACATTCCTTCTTCATTGCTTATGTCCAGGGCCTAGGATAGTGCTGAGGTTATAGTGGGCTCTAAATATTGTGTTGAAAGAATAACCTGTGGAAATAGAACAGGGGTTCACAGACCTGTCTAATACTGAAATCAATGTGAGAAGTTACAGACATACATATTTCTAGGCCAAATCCCACACCTGCCAATTCAAGTTTTCTTGGGGTAGTATTGTAAAATCTGATTTTTAGATAGCTCGCAGGAGATTACAATAATCATTGAGACTTAAAGACTGTAAATTATAAAAATTAGTGCTCAGAGCTTTTGGGAAACAACTTCTGAGAACCCGTGAAACAACCTGGGAAGTATTTGAAGGGGCTGGAATTCCCAAAAGTGGATCGGCTAGAGTCAGAAAGATACTGGTTTTATAACTGTTATGATGACCCTGTTCTACCTCTGGGCTGCCCCAGCATGGAAAATGAGGGTTACAATGGAAAGTGAAAAATTCTGACTTAATATTTTGCTAAGAAACCTCAGGCTAGCCTCTTCCATCTTTCTCAAGAGACACCAGGACCACCCACAGCCAAAGGGAAAATACAGAAATGCTCCTGATTTGTACTTGCACAAAAGCAGAAGGTGAAGGAAAGCCTTGGCCTTCACATCCCTAAAGGTAAAGCCTGTGGGTTGTGTCCCATATGGGTCCAAGGTGCAGGGATTATTACTGGGCATGTAATGGATAGAACCCCAGAATGGAAGTCAGAGACCCAGGCTCTGGTGCCAGATCTGTTTCAAATCGGATTTGTGACTTGTAATACGTTACTGAATAGCTCTGGGCCTCAATTCTCTCCTCTGTAAACTAAGGTCCTCTCTTATTCCAAGGGCCCGATGAGTCAATGGCATAATCCCTTCCATTCAGCAACTTAAAAGAAGCACTCCTGAAGTTTTCACCCCTGAAAATGACAAAAAGAGGTTTCAGGAATAAGGGGAGTAAATGAAGGCAAAGTCAGAGGAACAGGAGCTACTTAGAGGTATCCAAGCCAACTGCTGTGGAATGGGATTCAGAACCTAGGAAAATAAATAAATGTTCACTTGTCCATACTCAGCCTCTCTCTCCTGGAAAACAGATAGAAAGAAAAAGGTCCATAAAATGCTTTGCTGTCACTTTGCCTTGAATTGATTAGGCCAACTGCATTAGGAGAGGACGTGTAGAGTCTGATGATATCCTTATCTACAGCAAGGAGAGCAAAAATGATGTTCAGTTTGAGAGTGTCTTAAGCACTTTAATTATAACACCAGTTTACTTTAATCCTAAAAATATCTGTTCTCCAGCTGAACTCTCAGACTGCACTGAAAACTACTTACTTTTCTCTTCTCCAAGCAGTCCAGAGGAACAGGAGTGCACTTTCACAGAGCTCCTCTGGGGCGGTGATGTGTACAAATGTATGCAGCAAGGTTCTTTTCAAGTAGATTAAGTGAAGGGAAAAGTTTAACAAGTGCTCAGCAATTCTGCTAGGATCTCACTTGCAAACAGCCATGAAAAAAAATTCTGTAGCAGGGAATGGGTTGCTGCTTACTGTCTGTTGCAGGGCACCTCAGAAGCAGCAAGGGAGACCACAGACTTGGCCAAGGATTGCTGTGTCTTAACTAGCTTCCCTGGGGACTGTTGCACCTGATATTATCTGGAAATTGGATGGAAAATGATGAGCTCATAACACTCCTTCACAGGTATATAGTGTTTTTCATATTCAGAACTCTTTAATGTTTCCCTTAGGAGCCTTGGGAGATAAGAGAAGAGTGATTATATCCTCAGTTTGTGAAAGGGAGAATCAAAGCTGAAGGGTCAAGTAATTTGCACAGAAAATAATTGGAGTCAGTGTCCAACCAACATCAGGCCTCAGGGATTCCTAGTATTGAAGCCATAGCTCAGAAAAAATGAGACCCAGAGCTTGGGTCTGAAAAGTTTATATCAAAGGAAACAAGGACCCAGGCATAACCTCGTAATTAAAAGTGGTTGGACAAAACCCAGTTATGGTGCAGAACAAAGCAGGCAGATTCATAACTAAAATGCCAAATAAGTGGCACTTCACTGAAAATTAAATTCATTTCTTAGAGCTTACTTCTCCAGGCGTATTGGCATTTGATGGACATTAGTTATGTATTGATAAGAAAGCACAGATTAGAATCAAGAAACCTCCAGATGCTTGAACTTATTTCTAAAGAATAGTTGAAAAATTTCAGGAGGAGCTAAGGTTAATTTGAGTTAATACAAACTTAAAAATAAACCTCCTTTCCATCATATCTACCTTTCTGATTGTTTCTTCTACTCAATTCTTTTTTTCCTCAGTGCTATTGGCAGAAAAAAGAAAATACAGAAGAAAACTAGATCTATCATCATTAGTTCAAAGGGTATAAGAAATTTACAGAATCTATTCCAAGAACTCTTATTTCTAGCTGTGGTAGAACTTACCATAAACAGGGATGTCTCCCTTCAGGCTTCTCTTGACCCTTGGTTAAAAAGAACACATTCAAATGAGTACTTCTAGATAAATAACTTAAGATTATACACACTATCTCTCTGATGACTGATGGGGCTTAAGAGAATGATGGCTCAGAGGTCAGATCACCTGTGTCTAATCCTGACTCTAGTATGAACTGTGTATCTTTAGGCAGCTAAGTCAATACTCATAGCTATTAAGCAGAGACAATACTTGAAATAGTTTATTGTTTTGTTATTTTTCTGAAAATTATATGAAATAATATGTATAAAGAAATTAGTACAGGAATTGATGGAAAGCCAATGTCCAACAAAGGTTAGCTTTAAAACAGAGCATTTTGACTTCCTCTTTCTAACAAATCACACGAATTTACTATCTTACAGTTTGTTAAGTTAGAAGTCCAATATAAGTCTCAACGGGCTAAAATAAATGCAGGGCTGCATTTCTTTCTGGAGGCTCTAGGGAAATCTATTTCTTTGCATTTTCCAGGTAGAGGCTGCCTGCCTTTCTTGGTTCATGGCCCTTTCCTCCATCTTCAGCATCAGTCATGTTTTATCTCTCTATGCCTTTCTTCTGTAGTCACATCCCCCTTACACTCTCTTCTTCCTTCTACTTTCATTTTTAAGGACACTTGTGATTACATTGAGCACATCTGCATAATTCAGGATACTCTCCCCAGTTTAATGTTAGTTTGCAATGATGGTGGGCTAAATAATGACGTCCCCAAGCCTATCTACATCCTCATCCTTGAAACCTGTAAATATTACCTTATGTGGAAAGAAAAGGACTTTTTGTAGTTGTGATTAAATTAAGGATCTTAAATGAGGAGATTATCCTGGATTATGAGTGGGCCGTAAATGTAATCACAAGTGTCCTTATGAAAGGGAGCCAAGAGATTATATGCACAGAAAATGAGAAGGCAATATGATCACAGAGGCAGAGATTGAAGTGATGCAGTCACAAGCCATCAAATGCTGGCAACAACCAGAAGCTGTAAGAAGCAAAGAACAGATTCTCCCATAGTGCCTTCAGAGGAAGGACAGGACTGCTGATATCTTGGTTCAGCCCAGTGAAACCGATTTCAGAGTTTTAGCCTCCAAAACAGTGAAACAATACATTTCTCTTGTTTCCAGGAACCAAGTTTATAGTAACTTCTAATAGTAGCCACAGGAAACTAATACAGTAATCTAATTCCATCTGTAATCTTAATTCTCCTCTGCCATGTAATAGAACATTGGCACAGGTTTCAGAGATTAGGACATAGACAACTCTGGAGGGGCATTATTCTGCCTACAGTACTCCTTTAGTCCATCAGCTTCATAACTATGCCCCTATAACTCACTCCATCTCCTTCCACATAACACGCTGCACTACGGCCTCTTTCCTTCAAACTCAACAGCTTCGTGGTTAAGAGTGTTTATTCCAGAGTGTATATACTTCAACACTTACTAGCTGTGTGACTGTGGAAAGTTACTTAACCTAATTTTCTCATCAATACAATGGCGATTTTAAATATATCACTTCTTAGGATGGCTGAACTGATTAAATGATATCATGTATGTAAGGTTTTGATTGTTTTGCGTATGATAATCTCTCAGTAGGGTCACATAATAATATCCTTTGAATGACCATCATCTTCACCAATTAGGAGGTAGAAGCAGCACTCATATGTCAATTTTCTATTACTCACTAATAGAAATAGTGGCTGAAACAATCATTTATTATTTCATGATTATGTGGGTCATCAATTTTGGCTGAGCTCATCGTGCCATTCTGCTGGTCTCACTTGAGTTCACTTATGGGGCAGCACTCAGCACAATGTTCTCATTCATATGCCCAGTGGTTGATGGTGCTGCCTATAGGTGTCTCATCCTCACAGAGACTAACCCCAGTCTCTTCACATGGCAGTCTCAGGCCTAGGCTCAAAACTCCCACATTGTCCCTTCTGCCATATTTTATTGGTCAAAGTAAGTCCCAAGGCCAATCTGAATTCAAACAAGAGGCAAGATATACTCCACCTCCAGATGGGAAGAATAGAAAAGTCATTTTTCAGAGGAGTGTACAATGAGTGATAAGAGGAACTTGGAACCATTTTTTTGCAATCCACCACAATGAGCTTTGGAAAGATAGTTCTAGATCGAAAATTGAGCAAATGCATGACTTTGGACTAATCTTGCAACCTTTAGGGCAACAACAGCATTTGAAGACCTATTATATACCAAATATTGTGCTTGAATCTGGAGACATTAAAAGATCCTGGGACATGCTCTACCCCTCAAGAAACTAGCCTGTAAAAACGGACAATATTTACTTTAAATAATTGATATGATGTCTAGCACAGTAGTTGACAGTACCTGGCTTATGGTAGGCACTCAGTAAATGAGAGCCATCATGATTATTCAATTTTCATGAGAATGTCCAGATTTCATTTATAAATGGGCATTGAATATATGTCCTCTATATTAGTCCACTCATGCTGCAAAAATCAAATACCACAAAAATAATAGAAATTCATTTACTGGGGTTCTGGAGGCTGAGTAGTCTAAGATCAAGATGTCAGCACGGTAGATTTTATTCTGAGGAATCTTCTCTTGGCTTGTCGGTGGCTGTCATCTCGTTTGTTTTGAGCTCACATGACCCCATCTTTGGGTAGGTGAAGGAAGAGAAGGCAAGCTCTCTGATATCTCCTCTCATAAGGGCACTAATCTCATCATGAGGGCTCCACCCTTGTGAACTCATCTAACCTATATTACCACCTAAAGCCACCATCTCCAAATACCATCCCATTTGGGCTCAGGGCTTCAACATATGAATTTTGTGGGAACATAAACATTCAATCCATAACACCATTCAAGGCCTTTCATCTTTCAGGCCCAGAAGGCAAAAAGCTTGCATGCATGCTCTCTGGTGGCCTGGAATTAATTTCATAGCAATGAATCAGAGCTATCTTTTAAGTAAACATTTATAATCAAAACTAGAAGTGTGCATTCAACCTCAGATTTGTTCTAGAAATACAATAGTATGCATAGGGTGCAATTACCAGAGCTATAAACACATAATGCACTAATTTAGTCTTAAACAAGGACAGGTGTTTAAATGCCTTTCACAGTCCAAGAAGTGGCAAAGCCTGGATAATAACTTCAGTCTCAGATACAGCTTATTTTTTTGTTCAAAGGCTTATTACAAATCCTGGGTGTCAGAACCAGGCAGTATGAAAATAGAACAGAACTGTGGGTCTGACCACCTGGCTTATAGACCTAGCATTAGCACTAACAAGCTCTTTGACCTAAAGTAAGCTATTTAACCTCTCATAGCCTCAGTCTCTGAGTGCACAATGAGATGGAGGGACTGGCTTAGTGTTTTTGTACTGTGTTCCATACTGCCCTGGGATAGCAAAGACCTGCAGCAGGGATGGGAGACATGAACAGCTTGGGAATCCCCAACATCCATCTCACCCCAGCGCCCCTCCCTTCTTTAAGCCAGCTCTAAGACAATTGAAGAAAAGGTCCGCTGTAGGAAACTATGTAAATAATGGACGTCAGTGAACTGGATCAGAGTCCCCAACTTTAAAGTGCTTACAGATAACCTGGGGATCTCATTAAAATTCAAATTTTGATTCAATAAATCTGGGATGGGGCATTTCTAAGATTGTCCCAGATGGTACAGATACTGTGTGTCCCCAGATCACACTCTGCTCAATAAGGGATCCAATTATAATACAAATTTTTAATCATTAATTTTTCAATTACTGAAGAAAAATATTTCTAGTTTACATGCATGGGTATCAAATGAGAGGAGCAAATGAAGCTTTGCAATCTTATGATTATTCCAACAGATCTCATATCAAAAATGCTTTTCCTCGGGAAAGAGCAGCCCTGAAATTACGTTTAGAGGGACAGGTACACCTGGATTGACTTAGGTGACTATTGTACGTGCCTCAACCTTCATGTGGAATTCAAAGCAAATCTTTTGAAGGGTTCAGTACAATTCTATTACCTTTTCCATTGTTCTTTTCATTTTCTCACTCCTCTGCACTGCCTGTTTCCAGGTGAGATGGGAAATAGAAGGACCAAAATACCAATAATAAGAAGGGATTTTCTTGCAGTATTTGCAGTCCAGCTGGAATTGGGAAGTAACAAAAAATCTCACAAGCAAAGCAAATCTTGAGGCCATCCAATTTGGCAGATTCCCGAGCGACAGACTAAGAATCTAATGGGAAGGATATCTAACATTTCAGGCCTCTATAGGTGCCCCATCCCTCATTTCAATACCAGAAATTTTCAGTCCCTAGAGCTCTGGTTCCCCAACAAGTTGGGTAATTAGCTTGCTATCTGCCCTGTCAGGGAACTAGTCTTAGCACTATTATGTTCAGAGGCACCAGCCTCCCTGAAGAACCACATTATTAGAGGTTGCAAAGATAATGCAGAGATGAATAGTCTGAAAAGCCACGTGAAAACTGCAAAGATGAATTAAATTACATTCCAGAGACTAAAGAATAAATTGGAAATGAGGCAATTTCTTATTCAAGAAGACTTCCTCCCAGTTCTCTCTGAACGTAAACATGCGGCTCTCTGTAGAGGATGGGGTCACCACTGCCTGGGGAAAGCAGCTTGAATTTTATTACCTTGGTGATCCCTGGCAGCATACACACTTCAGGAGGCACAAACCCTGCTCCCCTTTACTTTGTCTCATGTGCTGGTTTCTAGCTCTCATAACATTTTAATTAAATTTGGGCTTGTCTTTCTGTCTCACCTTACTCTCCGCATCAAAGGAGAGGCTTTTCACATGCCGCCTGGCTGGGGTCCCTGAAATTCTTGCATTCCAAAAGCAGGCTTCTTTGCCATACAAGGAGAGCGGCAATTAAATCAAAGCAGAGGTAACCTGCAGCTTCTATGAGAGATAGCTGCACACATAACTTCAATGTGACTTATATGTAAAGGTAATGAATTCTATAATGCAAACTCACATACAGGTCAAATAAAAAATGGCTTTGCATTAGATAGTACACTGAGTATTAGGTAGTTGTCACACAATAAATAATTCATCTTGCATAGCCACTTGCTATGTAAATGATAGTCTATGTATATTAACGCATTTAGCACTTAGAATAAAACGGACAGCTGGGCCAAATGAATCTCTCTCAGGACATATTACCATTACCATTCCCTAGTGAGTTTAGCTGTTCACTTCTAAGGTTGGTAATGAGGATATTAATTAAATAGGGCATGAGATTCATTTTGATAAAGCCAGAGTTACAAGAAAACAAGTGAGTAACTTTAATACACCTTGATGGTCTGGGCCATGGCACATATTTAGTTAACAGTAATGACTTGTAAATCAATTTGATTGGGAATCTGTGGCACTCAGGAAAACAACAAAAGTTAGCTATTTTCACTTGGAAAAAAATTCTGTTTACCTCCATTTTCTTTAAATGCCATTTGGTCACATGAAAAACACATCTAACTTTCTGGCTATTCTACAAGACGTCTTGGTTTCTTCAAAAGTAGCTACTAATGCATCTTCTGCATTAACACTTATTATGCATTTGGATACCACATCTATGGAAAAAGGTCATCTCCTCAAATTGCTTCATGATTAAATCACACAGAAAAAGAAATTTCCCAGTGATGCCTGAATTTTCAAATCTTTGTGAAATTCCAACCAAAATAATATTCCTTACTGGTGGTGTTGGACAACATCTCTCCCATCATATCTCTATTTATGCTGGATCGAGGTGCGTTTTGAGAATGTATTCAAACAATGTTTACCACCAGGACTTAGATGATTTACAGACTGAGGTGGCCCAAGTGGAGACAAAGTCTGGGGAAGAGTGTGGAGGAGGGGAGATGGCAGCTTCTGTGAAAGTATTCAACATAAGGAAAGCATTTCCTTCTTGGGAGCCACATTCAGTAGCAGGACCAAAGATGGAAGAGAAGAAGGAGAGAGGCGGTTTGCAGCAGCTTGCATCAGTCACAGCTCAACTAGAGAAGCTGAATAAGTAGGATTCAAATGAATTTATACAGACAATGAGCAATTTGGGGGGCCAGCTATTCAAATTCAAAGTCTGTAAGGTGATCAGTCAGGGAAGAAGGATTGCAAGCAGGCCAGAACCCCACAAACACAAGCTGCAGTGTGTTGTCCATAGGCACCAGTCAGGAAGGAAGATCCAGGAGAAAGAGAGAGTAACTGCATGTCCAGCTGCTGTGTTGAGTCCCTGAGCTCAGAGAAGGCTTAAGCCCTCTTTAAAGCCCTAGAATTAAGTAAGTCAGGCCCAACAATGATAGTATCCCTTTTGATTCACCTGAAGTAACTGACATGTGACTATAATCACATTGACAGAATTCCTTCACAGCAGCACCTAGATTAGTGTTTGACTGAGTAACAGGGAGAAGAGAGGTGTGAGTCATAAAATGGTCATCGCCGCTTCCTAAGTTATAGCCCACACTACCTAGAAACATAGTAGATATAGAATTTTAGGGACTGTAGTTCAGTCTAGCCAAGTTAACACAACAAAAGGCCATCACAGAGCTAATACTAAAACTTGTCTAGATTCATCAATGCTGAAAATGTGTATTGGTAATTATATAAATGGAAGAGTTGTGTTACTAAATGCCATAACATTCTGGAACTCAGACAGCTTTGAAATGGAACTCTCTCATGCATTTCCCTCATTGAGCATTATGCAAGAAGGACATTTTTCTTCTAACATTGTAAGAGTAATGGCAAGGGCTATAGCCACTTAGCTCCAGCTCTGTTGCCAATTAACTGGACTCCAGCTCAGGCAGAGTGATGGTAGCAGCAACAGCAACAGAAATGATTTGCCTCTTGGATTTGTTCCTCTGTGCAACTGATGAGATTGGAGGACTCAGCCTCAGTGGCAAGTGATAATGATGGATTCATAAGCATATGTTAGCATCAGTGGAATATCAAAGGTACATAGAAAGTAGACACCATAAAAGGCTGGAGATACTAGAGTCAATGATGTAGGAGACGGAAGCCATTAGAATTGGAGTATTAATGTAAATAGGACTACAATTGTACTCTTCAGCTACCAGCATCTCAGGTACTGATGTGGCGCCTGCATATCGTATTTATATACCAAGTTTCTGTGGACGTTCTAGGGCAGAGGTCACTATGACAGGGTAATACTATGCCAGCACCCATTCTAAGATCTGGAAGTCCAGAGCTGATGGACAGCAGTCAAAATGAGATTGTCAGAATGGGGATGCAACTAGAATTAGAACCTCAGAAGAGGTAGGTAAAGGAAACAAGACCTATGAAAGAAACACAGTCATTACAAAACCAAACTCGGAAGCAAAAAGATAGGAATAGAGAAGGAACTCAACAGCCAATAAACTAGTCTCTGAAGGTGACAGAAACTTTACTACACCTGGTAACACCTCCCTCTTTCCCTCTGACTTTGGCTACAAAGCAAACCTTAGCTTGCCTAATTCACCTGGGTCCTTTGTAGAATTCTAACCACAGCTCTCCATTAACCCCAGGTGTTCCTTATGTAAGGGGAAGTAAGTGTTCTTAGTGGAAATTTTAGAGACAAACAAGGGATAATAGAATAATCCTAATAGGAAATTAACCTTAACTCTAACTGTCATCACTTGAAAAAGGAATACCATTTGGCTAATTTAGTACGTTTGGAAAACTTCTCTCCATAACTTAAAATCAGCATAATGCTAACTTCCTTTCTATGATAGTGAGATGTTATATCATGGTTAATCGTAGATGTAAAACAAGAATAATAGAAACATACAATAAAAAAACAATTTATTGCTACATTATTAAAATGGGAATTAGAAATCTTAGAATTCTTTGCATTTCTTGGTAGGAGAATAGATAGGAGAGATAGAAAACCTAAAATATTTTTTAAATTATTAAAATGGAAGTTAGTAAAATTTCATTCTGAATTAAACAAATTTTTGTCTGTGATATCTATCTACCTATGTAACATGTATTTGTTATTCCTCTGGTACCTCATAGCTAGAGCTGTTAGCAGATTAGGAAAAAAGGGTGCAGCACCTATAATCATGGGGGAGATGAGGACAAAGAAAGTGAGAAGGCAAAATATGAGAAGTCCCATAGAGGAAGTAAGAAAAAGAGGATGAAAGGAGAATAGAAAGGATAGAAGAATTATAACATGGTTGAGGATATTTGCAGAGATCTCCACTGCATGTATGGATTGTTCCAAATGCCTGAAGCAGGAAACAGAGTCTAACAGAGAAGAAAGAGTAAAGAGGGGGAGAGAAATAACATGTAGCATGATTAAGACACCATACAATAAAACTAATATTAGTGAAAAAATAATGGGCTGCTTGCTGACCTCCTCAGACCTTGATTTAATTAGAAAAAAAGCTGAAGGAAGTTTCTTAGGTAGCACTGAATTCAGAAAAGGGGATGGGCTTTAGAGTTAAAATGTACTTCTGAGATCCTTCCCCCTTCTTCCCTCTAGTGGCAAAGATGAACCATCTCACCTCTAATGTCTAGGAAGCCCTTTCCTCTTAGAGTTCACTCCACTAGGTGTTGCCTATTTCCTGAGCTCTCAACCTCCCTCTCTCTACCACATATTCCCCTTCAATAGTCAAAACTTACTCCATCATTTCTGTCCTCCGTGTCCCCACAGCCCCTCCAGCTATTGCCGTATCTGTCTACTCTTTAGAAGGAGATCAGAGTGTTCTTTTGAAAAGTACATCCAGTCATGTTACTCTTTCAAAACCCTTCCAAGGCTTCCCACTGTATTCTCAACATCTTTAACATTTGATCTACAAATTGTTGCCCAGCCCAGCCCTTGCCTAGTCTCAGTCATTCACCATGCTTTAGCCATATCACCTTCTTTAAGCTCCTTGAACACACCCCGTGCCCAGTTCAGCCCTGCCTGCACTTGCTCTTCCCTCTGTCTGAAAGTTTTGCCTAGACCTTTCATAGGCCATTCTTTAACTTAAATGTGACATCCTCAAAGAGGCTCTCCCCTTGACTAGAAAGGAAATTATGTTAAATCACAGTAACCTCTCCTTCTATTATGACACTTTTAAATATATATATTCTGTGTAAAGAGTTGCTGGATGTCTACCTCTCCCACCAGAGTGTAACAACAGATACAGTACATTTTACTTACCTCACTCAGTATCTACATAAATAACTGTACTATTCATCCTAAAAGCAGATCTTGTAAGTACAGGGATAAGTGCTTCCACCCTTTATCGAGGAGTTCTTATGTTGTTAAACTTAGTGATACCTGGAAAATTCATCACTGATATCAAATATTTTCTGTAAAAGGCCAAATAGTAAATATTTGATGCTTTGCAGACCAAAAGGGCCCCGCTGCAACCATTCAGCTCTGCCTGTGGCGTGAAAGTTGTCATAGATGATACACAAATGAATGAGCATGGTTGTGTGCCAACAAAACTTTATTCATGAACACTGCAATTTGAATGTCATATAATTTTCAAATGTCACAAAATATTCCTCTTCTTTGGATTGTCTTTCAAATTTAAAATTATAAAAACTATTCTTATCTTGGGGCCATACAAAGGCAGGCAGAGGGCTGGATTTGGCTTGCGGCCTATCATTGGTTGAATCTGATCTGTTATAACCACTTAGTTTCCCAACCTTTCTCCCATCCTTTCTCCTAATTGCAAAAACAAACCAATAAATTACAATGATAAACACTGCTCCCTGGAGAGGAACCATAATCCAGTTATGGCCCCCTACCCCCATCCCCTGCTTGAATCCTTCCAGTGGATTTCCATTTCTCTTAATGTCAAAACTCCTCAACAGGCCCTAGGAAGCTGATTTGGGTTGGGCCCACACCCCCATCATTGCACTGGCCATATTAGATATCTTTCTCTATTCTCATCCTGCTCATGCTTGCTCAGCTTCCAGGCCTCCTCTGGAGGCCGCCCTCACATTTTCCACCCTGCCCTTCCCCAGCTAGTGATCACTACCTCCTAAGGGGAAACATCCTTGCAGGTGTGATGCTAGTGCCTATTCTATGCCCCCTGACACCTACTTTTACCTCATGAGGCAGACCCAGCAGGTTGCCTACCCAGCGGCCACTGCCTCCTATCTCCTCTTCCCTTTCTTTTACCTGGCAAGGCTCATCTTCCACCAAAAGGGCTAGAAACTCACTTCCCAGCCTTTTACATTACTAGGCTATGGCCATGTGATCCAATTGTGGCCAATGAGATTCACTAAGGAAAAGGTCTCCAATTTGCAGTTTTGTTGATATTTGTTCCTTATCCTTTAGCTTGAAAAATTAAATAGCACATAGCATGTATATAGTGATTTTTAATGTTTAGAGTATTATATATTATGTCATTTGAACTTTAGAATAACCACGTGAAACAAGGAGAAAAGATAAACATTTCCCCACTTCAAAATTAGGGAAGGGTACCCTGAATTGTTAAGTATCCTACACCAAATATTTCAACTAACAAGCGATGGAGTTAAGCTCATCTTCTGACTTTCAGCCCAAGGCTTTAGTTGGTCTCCCTTCCTCCTTCATGCTAACTGACTAATAGTGACATAAATTTAGTCATTCGTCTTTACTTGTTAAACACGTTTTCCTCTATAAGAAGAAACTGGCTGATACTCATTTATATGGAAAAAGAAAATAGTTTTTTTTGTTTGTTTGTTTTGTTTTTTTTTAAGTAGCAGATATAAAAGCAACACCAGTAGTAACGGAAATGTAGACTATTCTTCATGGTCAAAAGACACTATGTATTTTTAAAAAGCAAGAAAAAATTGTTTCTGAAACCCTGAGATTTAAAGGAATACATTTTGACAAGTTGGAAAGTCCATATAAAATTTTTGCATTTAGGAAAGATTTGTCTAACGAGTCAGCAAATGCTGAAACCATTGGAACACCAAAACTAGTTTTTGTTTCAATTCAGATATTAATTTTTGTGTCAGTTAAACTCTTAGGAGATCTACTTGAAGGCTGAAGTAAATATGGTCGTGCTCCACCCATGTTCCTTCTTCAGGGCCTTTGCACTCATTTCCTCACTTCTGCGAAGATCCCCTGCTAGCTCACAGCTGGGCCCTGGCTGAGAGTTGCTCTTAGCAGCCAGGAAACTTCCTCCTCCAGAGTTTGAGCCCTCCCCTGGGACAGCTGGTAGCCTATTACTGTTGGATGATGAGATACAAACGCCTGGCTCCTTCGCCTAATTCATGATAACTTTTAAGGTCACGTAAGCACCAGAGTTTCCTGTAGATTGTTTTTTTGCAATCTACAGTCTCAGTTGCAATCCAAATATGGAGGGAGGCAGTTCCACCTTTCTCACTTTTTTTTTTCTTTTTAAGATGGAGTCTCGCCCTGTCACCCAGGCTGGAGTGCAGTGGCGCAACCTCGGCTCACTGCAAGCTCTGCCTCCCGGGTTCACGCCATTCTCCTGCCTCAGCCTCCCGAGTAGCTGGGACTACAGGCTCCCGCCACCACACCTGGCTAATTTTTTTTTTGTATTTTTAGTAGAGACGGGGTTTCACCGTGTTACCCAGGATGGTCTCAATCTCCTGACGTCGTGATCCGCCCGCCTCGGCCTTCCAAAGTGCTGGGATTACAGGCTTGAGCCACTGCACCCGGCCTCTCACTTTTATGTAACAGTATATCTGAGAGTATTATCCATAAAACCTTTGGTATGCAATTGTGCACCTTTGACTATGTTTCCAGGAAACCCAATCCACGACCAAGGTTAATTCTGACAAAGCGGAGGGACGGAGGGAGAGAGAGAGAATTTTATCTACTTGGTTGAAATTTGTGTTTCTCAAAAGATGAATAAAACAATATGTGGGAACTGCTGAACTTAGCTTATTTCTGAATACATTTTGCAAAACAAAACTGGTTTCTAAAGTAGACAGTATGAAAGTGAGGAAAATATATCTTCTACTTCATATTTTAAATAGTCATTATTAAATTACTAATCCAGAAAAAAAGATAAATATAATCTTTCTTCTTAAAGGCCACAATAACAAATAACCTTAATTAAAACAAAATATATTAATAAAAACAAAAACACAAAGTGGCATAAAAAAACTGTACTAAACATATTTTTATAAAATATATTTTGTATTAGGACAAGAGGATCACACAATAGGACGTAAAACTAAACCAGAAAGGGTTAAGCCTAAGATTAGCTGAGATAAACAAAAGAATGATAAAGGAAACTATTGGGTTTTTTGTGGCTTTTATTTTCTCTACTAAGCTTGGAAAAAGCCAAAGATCATTGCAAGTTTCCTTTGCTTCTTCTCCTACATTTATGTAGTTCCTGAAACCTATTAGGTGCTTAATAAAAGGTAAGAAAAGAAGGAAGGAAGGGAAAGAGGGAAGGAGGGAGGGAGGGAGGAAGGAAGAAAGGGAAAATACTGTCATTTAAAAAGACGTCAAAGAGAGAATAACATTGAATTATATTTTATTTCCATATTTTTTATTTAGGAGAATAATACTTGATACAAAAAAAAGTGTTAAAGAAAAATTGAAATCCAAAATTTTAAAATAGTCATTTGTCTTTCAGAAATAGTTTTAAATTGTAACTCTATGACTCTGAGCTAGCTGCGTAAGAATATCTTATAAATCTTTTTATGAATGACCTGGTGATTATTAAAATTATAAAATTATTTACATTAATCAGAGTATCTTTAACTCTTTATTTAGCTAACTATCATCTATTCACTTATCCACCCAACTTGTTCATTGTTTAAACTATACTTTCTGTCTGGTATGCACCCTTCCTATTCCCGCTTTAGAATCTTTCAAAATAATGTCTACCCATCAGGACAAATCTTTACCTTTGTTGTTGTCTTCTATTTAATATGATGTCTTTCTATTTTTACTTAAATTTCCATTTTACTCAGTTTGTAGTATTGATATTGATGGTGGCAGCGGCCAGTCTGGAGCAGCCACTGCGGGGATGCCAGCTGCAGCGGGAGAGGCGTGGCCAGGGCTGTGTGCACCCCAGTGCTGGTGGGGGCCAGGAACAGGTGGGAGCCTTGCCTCCTACCAAGTTGGCAGGGCAGGAACCCCAGGCTCCCAGGCGCAGGTTCAGCCACCCAGCCTCGGCTCCAGATCTGGGCATCCCTACACTTTCAGGGGCCTGGGAAGCCCCCTGTCCCCATAGGCTCAGAAATGCCTGCTCCTGCTCCCTGGCCTCTCTCCTCTCCCCATGCCTGCTCCAGTGCAGAGCATAGTAGCCGTGGAGCCCAGCACTGTCACAATCCAACCAGGTGGGCACGTGCTCAGGGCAGTGCTGACACACCAGCACCCTGCTACCTTAGCCGTCTCCAGACTTTAGGCATCATTGAGCACAGGAGGGAAGCCAGGTGGCTGAGAGTGGCTCCAAGTGGGTCTGCAGGCACCCCTAGGGGCAAACAACCTGAGCTAGGTGGACAACGTGTTGAAAGTGGCAGGAGGCATGCAGCTTCCTAGGCAGGAAGGGGTGGGTCTCCACTGAAGCCCCACCTTCAGGCCAGTGGCAGCCTGATGCCTGGGCACTAGGCTACTGGTTCCAGCTGTCTGGAGTGAAAACTTGGTTGATGACTGTTCGGCCAATCAGATGGTGCTTTTTTCAGGCCTGCTTATGGCTGACCACAGACCAATCAGCATGCACTTCCTTTGTTCTGAGCACATAAAAACCCCAGCCTCAGCCAGCCTCACATACTTGCTGGGATGACCTGCCTGCAGAAAGGAGCTACCCACCATGGGTCTCCTCTCTGCTGAGAGCTGGACACTCACCAGAATGACCTGCCTGTGCAAAGGAGCTACCCACTACAGGTCTCCTGAGAGCTGTTCTGTTGTACAATGAAGTTCCTCTCTGCCTTGGTCACGCTCCAGTTGTTCATGTATCTTATTCTTCTTCTATGTAGGACAAGAACTCAGGACCTACCAAATGGTGGAACTGAAAGAGCTGTAACACAAACAGGGCTGAAACACACTCCCCCCCCTGCACCACCACATTGCAGGTGAGAAGAAGGAAAGAAGAGCTATGGCTCCTGTTGGAGCCCAGACCTCAGGGCCCCCCAGGCCAGGACTGTGACAAGCTGTAACATGCTCTTTGGGGCTCTGCAGTTCCTGGCATCTCTGAGCTTTCAGGCGCCATCATGTTCCTCCTGTCCAGATGCTGGTGCCTGCAGTGGAAGATGCTTGCAGTATCTCTGATCTAGTCACAGCCTCACACAGAGCTGGCACCTGGAGCTGCCTGCCCCACCACAGCTGGCGTACCTGGCTGTGTGCAGTGGCCAGACTCGGTGCTCTCTCGCTCACACAGCCCTTGCCACTCCATGCCTGGATCCAGGCTGGTAGCACGACCTTAGTGCAGCCTGCTGTGCTGAATGGGTAAAATGAGCCCTGTGGACAGAACAAGCCCAGTGGGTACAAGCAAATCCCAAACAGAGGCACTGCCGGCCACAGAGGTTTCCAGTTGCTGAAGTGACAACCTAAGGATCCCATGACAATATTTTATCTTGTCCCTTCACCCCAATGTCTGCATCTACCTCATTTTGCATCCTTAAAACATCTGAAAAAGGCTGATGCACATACTAGCATCTCAATTAATATATATTCATTATGTAAACAGGAAAAATATATGTGTGCCATTAAAATTTATATAAGAAATTCATCAGAGATTGAGATATGTCCTATGAACCAGTTCAGGCTTACATTAAAAAATTATTTTAAAAGAGATTCTTAAAATATTAATCCCAACATTTTCATACAGGCCACTAGTGAGAAAGAAATATCTTCTCCCTTTGAGAAATACATCTGTCTTAACTGAAGGTCAAATGCGATCTAAAGTTACTGAATATCCATCATCCAGCAAGAATAGTTGATTATTCTTGTTCCTATTTACACTGGTACTAAGGTTTATTTTTTGTTTCATTAAGACTATAAACTGGAATTAGTAATTGAAAGTAATAGGAGGAGGTGTTTGCTTCTTTTCTAATAAAGTGTAAGACCAAGAAATTCAAACTACCTACAAAATGCAAACAGATATTGGCCAACCTCTGGGCTATTTTATTTTATTTTATTTTTGGAAACAGAGTCTCACTCTGTGGTCCAGCCTGGAGTGCAGTGGTGCAATCTCGGCTCACAGCAACCTCCGCGTCCTAGGCTTAAGCAATTCTCCTGCTTCAGCCTCCCAAGTAGTTGGGACTACAGGCACACACCACCACACCTGGCTATTTGTGTGTGTGTGTATTTTTTATTTAGTAGAGACGGGGTTTCACCATGTTGGCCAGGCTGGTTTCAAACTCCTGACTTCAAGTGATCCACCCATCTCAGCCTCCTAGAAGGCTAGGATTACAGGCTTGAGCTACCATGGGCAGCCTGGGCTCTTTATTTAACAATAAACCTTAGAAACAATAAACCTTAAAAGAAAAATATATTAATTCAATAATTACTCATAGTTGAGATGTCATAGTCAGTTGGGTCTCTAGCAGAGATTTAGACTTAAAGGTCAAGAGCACAACATTTAGTCCATTTGAAACAATGATGTTCCAAATGATATCTTGATGACCTATAAGAGTTAATGCGTTTTCTAAGTAAGCACTTTAGACCATTGTTAGTGATAGAAACAACCCCAATAATGGATAGTTAGCAGAGCATAAAAATTTTAAAGGTGTGTGTCTTACTTGAAGCACTAACGGTTAATTAAGTGAGGATCTATTGAACTAGGAGAAGGAAGCTTTTCTTTAAAACAATATTAAGCACTAAATTGTTAGCATAAGATTACTAAACAATACCAGCAACTAATCGAAACCCCCAAACAATTTCCTGCTGAAATATCCAGCCCAGAAGAGCAGTTTCTCTGGCAGTTATGATTCTTCACAATGGAATTTATGAACTGGGGTCAGCACTTTGAATTATGCTAACCAGCAGCTGGGGCAGATTCACGATAATCTAAGAGCAAAGACCTCAGTGTAATAATTACTCTGACTTTTTAACATTTAGTGAATCCAAATAAAGGGCATTTAAAAATATGCAACATGTAAAGAAGACTGATGCTGGCAAAACAGTACAGTACAGAGTCAGTGAAGCCCAAATGTAAGAAACTTGACACAGTAAAAATTTACGCCATTCTACACTTCATGAGATCAAGGACCTTGTCCATTACGTTGCTGAGCCAATATTTCAGTCCCCTGTTTATTGAATTTTGTTATACTCTATGCTAGTAATATATTTCTCCCATTCATTTCTTGCTTTGCTTGCAATGTGTGACTTTCATTTATGCACTCCCTTTATCCATTTAAGTAGTGGGTTTTCGATAGGTTGTTGTGTGTTTCTTCTTTTCTTTTTTCATTTACTGTGTTTTTTATTAGTTTGGGTAAAATTTTATCTCTACTTTTATGAATCCTGTTCTTATTTCATTATTTCTAGAGTTTGCATTCTCTACCTCAATAGCTCACTCTTCCGACATCTTCTAAAGGCAGTTCTTATCAATATAGTTTCACTGAAGTCTAGTGATAATGTTTTATTAAATGTTACATTGAGGCTGAAATCCCCCACAGCAGGTAGCCCAGAATCATTACCAGTCTGAATATTTTCTGTACCAAGATGATAATGATAAACACACAGTCTCAGCTGGAGGCTTACCACTTATTACTTAATCCACAAGCCCCCTGCAGGTATATTTTGGCGTCTTCAAATGCCCACCCAAGGGTTGTACAAAAGCCTAAAGCTAAAATACATAAATAGTTTTTAAAAGGTCTTATTATACAACATAAGCTTTTTGCTTTAGAGAGATTGTTATCTTTCTAACAAGAATCCCAAAGTAACCTATTTGAAAAAAAAAAGTGTACATCACTAAGTGCCCCTTCTAAGTATTTTGAAAACTCTTCCTAAAATATTTTTCTTATTTCAACTAAGAACCAAATGAAATACTTCAAATTACCATTTAATGAAATGTTTAGATAAGGGCAACGAAAGAATTTTTAAAAGAATTGTCTCCAGACATCATAAATTCTGTAAGTCAAACTGGCTGAGCATTATTCAAGTCATAATGAGGACTGCACACCAGGCACAAAAGGCCAAAGGGCTTGAACATCACCCTAAGCAAAACAATGGAGAAGGCACAAATGTATATGAGAGGGAGGCATTTACAGTCTTAGCAGTACTACCTAAGTTCTTTTTCATAATGTCATGTGAACTTGCCAGGATTTACTTTTGTTTAAAAAAAATTGATAGGCAGATTGGTTTTCAGATCAAAATCAAGAGGTGAGAGAGTCTAACACACATGTCTAGGGCAAGCCATGCTGTTCTAGTTCTTCCCACTGATGCCAAGGCGGGTTTAAAGACAGCAATTGGCAAAGGGAAAAATTTAATCAACTGAGAATTGAAAAATAAATGCTTTCCCAATTTAAGTTCCATTTTTAGATGACTACAAGAAGGCTGTTTGAAAAATCGCCTTTTTAAGAGCTGAAGCTTTAATTTTCAAGTAAAATACTTATGCTGTTTTAGATATGGCTTGTTTTATAATGATAGCTAAGCCACAGGGAATCACCGGGGATGACCAAGCACTTGATGTAAATTGGAGGTGACCTGAGTAAGGATCTGATTGTACTCATTCATTCTTGCGGAAAATTCATTCCAAGGTACTATCACGTAGCTGGTACTATGCTAAAGGCGACGCATACCATAAGGAAAAATAAGATACAGTGCTTGTCCCCAAGGAATTGATGAACTAAAAGAGAAAAGTTTCATGTAAAAAAAAAAAGGATTAGATGTAACTACTTTACAAAATACTGAAAGAAACACGAGTTTGAAGAAAACTAAAGTTTCCTTTGACTGGAGTGACTGAGAATGGTCCAATGAATAGAAGAAATGGCATTTAATCTAGTTGTGACAGCATTAGTAAGAGGTTTTCTTTGGCTTTTTAAAATTTCTCATAACAAAAGAAATACATATTCATGGCAGAAACTTTAGAAAACATAAATGGGCAAAAGAAAGAAAACAAAAACTCTGACTCTCAAATATAACCACTGTTAACATTTTGGTGTACATGCTCAAAATATGAATATTTAGCTAACACATGTCATTTAAAATATCCTACCATTAACATTGATAGAATGGATATTATTTTCACGGAAATATGCCCGTGATCTATTGTTAAGTGAAGATAGCAGATTGTAGAATTGATTATACATTCATGCATATAAATACATAAATTGAATCCTATATGCTGTGGTAGAACAGATATGTGTTGTATTTTAAAATTTCTTATTTTTTTCTGTCTTTTTAGTGTGTATGTTTTTCTTTTCTAGGAGAAGAGCTTTGAAATGCATTTCTAACTGAGAGATTTTATGCCTCAGTTGAGTATAACAAAAATAAAATGGTAATCTCATTAATCATCATAAAGTTAATGAACAAATTCAACACTTAGGACAAACAGAGTTTACAATTTTAAGCGAGCAAGAATAGTCTATGACAAACATTCTTACAGTTGTGATTTCATGGAACAAACATATGTAGCCTCAATGTTATAAGTCAACAATTCATGAGGAAAAAAACTATTAAAGCAGAACTATGAATTTTACAGCCAAGTCCTTTATCTTTTTAGTAAACAGAAAGAAACTCAATTTTATCATGATAAAATACTATATATATATATAGATATATATGGTAATGAAATGCAAATATTCTTTAATCTTCTTCCTTATCTTTCTAAACAAAGGGTAATAGCCAAGTCTCTGCATTCTCAGAAACTCATAATATAAACAGATTATTAAAGCCAAATCTTTTCCACTGAGCACCATTTGAAAATTATGGCATATGGTTTCTACTATAATTTTAATCAAGATTGAATCAAAGTATTGAGACTTTATAATTTTCTATTTCCATACTGCATACTGTTGAATAATGTGGTGTTTTGTTTAACAATATAGCATAAACATCTATTTCTACCAAAGATTATTGTTGTGTTATTTTAATGTCTGCATTATAGTCTATTCTAGAGCTAAATCATACTGTAATTAACAATTACCTTATTAAGCATTGTAAATATTTCTAATTTTTCATTAGTATGATAATGCTTCTATGACTATACCATTATGAAATATTTTCCACATTCAAATATACATTTGTGCATTTTTTTCAAAATAGTCTTAGAAAATCACATAAAATGGGGAATTTTTGGAACAAAGAGTATGCCCATTTTAAAGGTTGCTCTTAAGTATTGCTCACTTTCCTAAAAGTTACATATATGTATACATTGTAAATCTCCTCAGCAGGGTATTATAGTGTCTTATTTTTCCATAATCTTTTAAACAGTGCATATTACCATTTTTCAAAATTATTTTCCAAGTTTGGGATAAAAAGTGACATTCAATTTTGTTTAAAATTGCACTTTATTTCTAGTGAGGCTTCGTAGTTTTTATAATATTGCAGCTCAGAAAAAAAAAAAAAGAAGACACCAGGTCATATGCAGTCTCTCTCCAGAGCCCAGACATGTAACTATCATGCTACCTAGCCTCGTAATGTAATATGCAGCCAGGTGAACAGCAAATACTCAATAAACAAAAGCTTTTAAAACAAAAAAACAAACAAAAAAAACCAAATATAATATTGCAGCTCAGAAAATGATACTCCAAAGTATGATGTTTTGGCATGCTGAATACTTTGATCTAAAGAACATTAGGAGGCCCCAGAACCAAGGTCTCTCTGACCTTTTCCTGCCCTCTTATCTCTTGCTCCTCTCTCTCCCAACAAAGAAGTCAAAGAAACTAGAACACTTTTTCCCCAAGGATGGTCATAGAAACCCTCTTTCCCAAAGCTAGTCATAAAATCCAGCAATATTACTCCAATCTTCCTCCACTTTTCTGTATAAGAGCTTACAATAAAGAAATTCTGGCCGGGTGCAGTGGCTCATGGGTTGTAATCCCAGCACTTTGGGAGGCCGTGGTGGGCAGATCACCTGAGGTCAGGAGTTCGAGACCAGCCTGGCCAACATGGTGAAACCTGTCTCTACTAAGACTACAAAAATTAGCCAGGCATGGTGGCCCATGCCTGTAATCCCAGCTGCTTGGGAGGCTTAGGCAGGAGAATCACTGGAACCTTGGAAGCAGAGGCTGCAATGAACCAAGATCGCGCCACTGCACTCCGGCCTGGGCAACAGAGTGAGAGCCCATCTCAAAAAACAAAAAAGAAATTTTCTGACCTACCTTGTTTGGTGGGAGATCATAAGGCTCATTCCAGAGGGGGTCCAGCCTTTTCTGAGATGTCACAGAGAGAGGCCAAAAATTGTCCAAACCGCTCCTGAGTTCTCCCACTCAGTTTATTACTACTGGATCATTTCCTTTTTGTCTAGTCACATCTCTACATATTTCTCCACTCTTTATCGAACATAGGAATAAAAATGACAATTTTTCTTTTGGGTCTTTAAGTCTTCATTCTGAAGTTTCCTATATCATGTAAAACTTTGATTAAATAAATGTTATGGTTTTCTCTTGTTAATCTGCCTTTTGTTATAGAAGTGTCAGCCATGACCCTTGTGATGGGGAGGGAGGAAAGGTATCACACCTTATTTTTGGCCATTTGCTTTTATATTTGATTTGCTTGCATTGGTAAATTGGATTACAGTTCCATCATATTCAGTTCCTCTGCCTAAGGTGATTTTCCTTGTTTGGTGGGTATACATGTGTGATGGTTTGCTTTATGTGTCAGCTTGACTGAGTTAAGGGATACCCAGACAGCTATTAAAACATGACTTTTAGATGTGCCTGCAAGGATGTTTCTGGAAGAGATTAGCATTTTGAATTAGTAGACTGAGTAAAGAAGATAATCCTCACCGATGTATCAGCCAATATATTAAGGACCTGGATAAAATAAAATGGCAGAAAATGTAAAGTTACCGCTCTCTTCTTAAGCTGAGACATCTGTCTGCTTCTGCCTTTGGACATTGAAGCTCCTGGTTCTTGGGCCTTCAGACCTCTAGGCTTACACCAGCACTCCTCACACCCCACTGCTGGTTTTCAGGCCTTTGGACTTGGACTGAATTATGCCACTAGCTTTCCTGGTTCTCCTGCTTGCAGGAAGCATATCATGGGCTTCTCAACCTCTATAACAACATGAGTCAATTTCCATAATAAATCTCATGTGTCTATATATATTCCATTGGATTTGTTTCTCTGGAGAACCCTGACTAATACAACATCCCACCTGTTGAACTCAGATATGGCCATGTGGATTGTTCTGCCAAAAAAGAACACTGAAATTAAAATAGCATACCTCTTAACTGAAATTATAAAAATTAGCGCTTTATTTGCATTTTCCCTTTTTTTCTGCCAGGATAATAATGGCTGCTAGGGAGAAGGTGCTCCTGAGAACTGCAACTGTCCCATAACTAACATATAATATCAGTAAGAACTGCATTTTTATTGTTGTGAGCCAGTGACAGTTTGGTATCACTTTTCTTAGCATAACTGGGGCTATTGCAAATAATTCAAAACTTGAACCAAAAGTAAATTATAATAACAAACCAACAAAATAAAAAATACGTGGCATTCACTGCAAGGCCAAGAAATGGTCAGAGGTTAAATTTTTATCAGAGCTGGATGGATAGTGATCCATGTTATACAATAGTGAAACTTTCAGTCATAACTTGGAAGGCAGATCATGATCCCAAAGAGTATGTTATTGGGTGAAGAACTTGGGAAACAGAATGTTAATAGCACAACTTGGTCACTATTTAATTCATTTGGCAAGATTCTTTAAAAAGGAAATGAATTTTAAAAAGCATTTACTTGTTTGCCACAGAGAAAAGAGAATCTAGAAATACTAAGATTATAGTGGTGGAAGATGCGACTAGTTCTCATCTCTATCCACAAAAAAATAAAACTGAGAAAACCTTTGAGTGACAAAGAATGATTAAATTACAGACTCATGGCAAGGCCCCAGTCAACACAGTTGAAACTGAATTAAGTGTTAGCACTCAGTCCAGTCAGATAAAAGATACTGAAGGTGTACCCTTCCAAATCCCAGCCTGATAAACTCAAGGTACCCACAATTAAGTGTAAAGTCAAGTTCAGAAAACACTGTGGATGTGAGTCCTGGCACATGGAGCTAAATGAAAGCAAATAAATAAGAATCTGACTACATTTTTTGCACTGAACTGTCAAAATCACCACCAATCTGGCCTCAAATAAATTGTGAGTAATTAAGATTAAAATGTCACCAGGATATGGAGCAGATTGAGAAAGTTTAAAGAAAACTTGTTTTGTTTTTTTGTTTTTGTTTTTGTTTTTGTTTTGGCAATCCCTATTGTCATTTTTAGAAATAGTAGAAGAGAATAAGAGAAAAGGGAGAGAACTTTCTAAAAGGAAGTGTCCAAGGTCACAGAGTACAATGGGTAGGGAGCTGCCCCCAGAAGGAGAATGAGGGCTTATACAGGAACATTCCTTATCTACAAGGTAAGGAAAATTGTGACATTGGTCCTGTGAGATTTCAGCTTTACTGCAGACAGATACCACTGTGTCTTTCCCTTTCTTCTCATTTCTCCATGGGAATTACACTTCTGCAGTGATGCTATCCCAGCTCCATCAGTGTGTGCATGTGGCAGACAGGGAAAATAATGTGTTGAGTTTACATGTCTCCAACTCAAGAGGAACCTTATTCAAAATGAATATAGAAAAAAAATGTGGCATCTCTCACAGACCTGAAGTTTAAGCTCAGTGTTTGATATGGTTTGGAATATTTGTCCTCTCCAAATCTCATGTTGAAATGAGATCCCCAGTGTTTGAGGCGGGACTTGTCGGAAGTGCTTGGGTCATGGGGGTGGATACCTCATGAACGGCTTGGTGCCTTCCGCTGGGTAATGAGTTACTGAAAGATCGGGTTGCTTAAAAAAGCCTGGCACCTCCTTCCTACTCCCTCTTGTCCCCTCTCTCACCATGTGACACATCTGCTCCCCCTTCAGCTTCCACCATGAGTGAAAGTTTCCTGAGGCCACACAGAAGCTGGGCAGATGCTGGTGCCATGCTTGTACAGCCTGCATAACTGTGAGCCAAATAAACCTTTTTTCTTTATAAATTACCCAGCCTCAGGTATTCCTTTAGAGCAGTGTAAAACAGACTAACAATGATGTTGTAATTGGATAATTATTGGGTTGTCTCCTTTGGGTGGAGGTGGCAGATTATATTACTGTTCATTCATATTTTATACCACTTAATGTGGTACTTTTCACTACAGGTAGATTATAAACTCCCACCCTCTGAACTTTAGGGATAGCCAAAAGACTTGCTTTCATCAATGAAATATGAGTGGCACTAATGTGTGTCACTTCACACAAATGCTTTCACAGTGAGCTCATGATTCAGATTCCTCTTTTCCTTCTGCTGCAATATTAGCAAGATTCTAGAAAGAGGGTGCATATTACCCTGGGTCCCTTAAAAACGATTATGGGGAGAGGGACTGTAGTTATCTCACAATGGATATGAACCATAATGAGAAATAAGCCTTTGCCTTTGTAAAAGAATCAGGTTGTATGATATTTGTTACCACAATGTCCTAATACATAGTTTTTAATTTTGCCCAATTTATTATATGTTTATATAAGATATATAGATATACATACACACATATATATAAAGATAAAAATTTAAGCATTTTTTGACAAAATGACAAATATGGTTCCATTTTGTCATTAGAATTTTTAAAAAGTATTTTAGCCTAGAAAAAATGCTCCGTTTTCATTAGTTCAACCTCTCCACTTTTTCTAGTCCAGGTAGAAAATGAGAGAGAGATAGAGAAAAGAAAACTGATAAATTTTACCTCACTGTCCAAGTATATATAAAAGTTATACATATTGCCCCTAAAACACTGTAGTCTTTTTAAAATTTCATTCTTTGTAGTCTTTTTAAAACTTTAATTCTTAAATTCTTCTAGGTAGTAGTCTGGTGAAGAAATAGAATGCTAACTTATTTAGTTGTCAAGTAATATTGAAAAGATATTGGAAAAAAAACCCTGAGTTTCTCCTATTCTCCACTCATCACCCAACACAGAACACCTCTAAGCCCTCTGTTCACAAAAATGCATGGGGATTTCTCCCTTCTGGCAATCAATCAGTCCATTCTACAGTGGACACCAGCTGGGTGTCCTCCAGTTCAATTCTGACATATCTACCTGGAGGCTGTTCGATTCCACAGGTTGAGGGCCCAGTCCTGCAAGTATGGCCTCACTTTGAATGCCAAGTGAAAGCCCCAGATTTGTGTTAAACCTGTGTTTCTGGCCAACCAGCTATAAATCAGGGTTCCCATGACCCCCCTCTTTGGGTTCAACTTGTCTGCTAGAGTGGCTCACAGAAATCAGGAAAACACTTTACCTACATTTATGTTTGTTGTAAAGGATATTACAAAGGATACAGATGAAGAGATGTGTAGGATAAGGAATATGGAAAGGGGCACAGAGCTTTCCTGCCTTCTTCTGGCACTCCACCCTCCAGAGACCTGTGCTGGTTCAGCAGTCAGGAGGCTTCCGGAAAACAGTTATTTTAAGATTGTATAAAGGCTTCATTATGTAGTTATGTAGTTATGATTGACTGGACATAGGTGATCATCTTAACTTCTGTCTCCTCTTCCCTCCCTGGAGGTTGGGAATGGGGCTGAAAATCCCAGTCCTCTAATCCTACTTTGCACCAGCTTGGTGACCAGCCCCTATTCTAAAGCTACGTAGGGGCTGCAAGCCATCAGACAATCATCAGCATACAAAAAGATACATATCACTTCAGAGATTTTAGGAGTTGTACAGCAGGATTAGCGGGCAAAGACTAAATATATATTTCACCATATCACAACTATTTATTAAATAATCTTATCTCCCTTCACTGATTTGAAATGCTATCGTTATCATATGCTATATTTCTATTTAACTTGCATTTCTGGATTTCTTGTTCTGTTCTATTTATCTGTCTTTTAAATACACAATATTTTAATGATTGTAAATGTACATATATTTCTATATTTTGTAATCGCAGACAGGCTCATTATGCCCATCATTACTCTGGTCCTTCAAAATTATATTGGTCATTCTCATTCATTGACTCTTATAAATTAACTTAATACATATTTTGTCAAGTTCCTTCCAAAATTCATCAAGAGAATAATTTCCTACCAATTCATAACTTGAGAGAATTGATATTTTTAAATATTGAGACTTCTTGTCAAGAAAGATGGATATCACATCACTAACTCATCCTTTTTTTTCTTAGTAAAGTTATCTATTTTTATGCTTATGGAAAGTTTTAAAATATTACTACAATTGGGATAATTTTATTCATTTTTTAAATTTTAATATTTATATTTTTACATCCAGCTTATTAGGACTTTATGTGTTTTAATTTTTGTCAAGTAAATATTCTTTATTTAATTAGACAGTTATATCATTTACAAATAATGATATTTTATCATTTTCTAAAACTGATATATAATTTTTCTTCTTTAATTGCATGACCAGATCTTTCTGCATAATGTTGAATAACAGATAGTGGATATCCTGGTGTTTATTTTAATTGTAGTATTTCTTATATCTCAATTTTCAAAGTAATAGGAACTATTGTTTTTTATGGGAACTCTTTTTGTGTTAAATAACTACCTCCCCCTAGTATGAGTTTTTAATCAGAAATGGATATTGAAAGTTTCAGCATTTGAAAGGACTATAAGATGACCATACTGTCAATAAATAAGGTAAGCATTTTAATTTTATCGAATAATTCCTAATGTATTTGAATTTCAGAAATAAGCCTATTTCTTAACACCTGACTTCCATTTCCTATATTTTATTTCGATTGTTTTATTTCATTACAATGAGAGCTCCATGAGGGCTAGAACTCACCACTATATGTCTAGTACAGTTTACAGTACCTTGTAGTTATTAATTACAGTACCAGTAATTAATTACAGTGCCAGTAATTATTATTAATCAATGGAGAACTACATACCTTTAAGTGAGAATGCTCTTTGTTTATGTTTTCTCTCATTGTCAAATTATGTCATTATACTAAAGGGATTTAAGGAACATTCCTGAATATGGCAGGTTAAATTGATACAGATGATTCTACTACTCTCCCTTCTGCTACAAAAATGAAAAAACAGTGGTTAAAACATAACTTTAAAACATTTCATTGCACATTTAAAAACACAAGAAAGAAAAAAAAGGACTATCTCTGGCTCTATGAATATGAAGAGGAAACAGAGATAGTGTGGTCAGCCTGAGAATAGATTACCTGGCACTCACAGGGCTTGTCATCATAGATGGAGGCTTTACTAGCTGTGAACTTGGTCCTAATGCCCCATGATATTAGGGGATGCGGCCTCAGGCCGATGGGAAGACAGATGTGGAGCCAAAACTGATCCATCTGTGTAAGCAAGGAGCTTACAAGAGGTATCTCTTCTGTTTAGATGTAAGGATTAGGTGAAGAGGCTGTTCTGTATTTAGAGCCTTGGGTGTGAGGTCCAAATTTATGATACCTTTTGTAATTTAGCTACTACAAGAAAGATTAATATTTTAAACTCTTCCAGGGCCAGTGGAAGCCCTGTTGTGAAAAGAGGTGTGAAAGGGTACCTTCAGAATATTGCTGAGCTGGTGCCTGCCCCATAGCTTACTAACTCCCACAGCAAAACCAAATCAACAACATCAAAATAAAGATTTACAGATCATGAGCTCCGAAGAGTAAAGCTACAATTTATATAAGAAACAAATTATAAGGTGGAAACAACAGATGCCACAAACAGGATAATTAGCACATGACAAACTTCAGATTTCAGAAAATTCTGAGACTAGCAAATAACTATGATTAAAATTAGAAAAATAAGGGAATTGAAGCTGTAATGAAGAATAGGACACTCCTAAGAAATTAAAGGGTAGATTTGTAAAATGGTCATATACAATTTCTAGAAATTGAAAAGATAGTTATTGATTCTTTTGGGGCTCAGAAAATGATTCCCCAAAGTATGGCACGTTGGCATGCTGAGTAATTTGGACTCAAGGAGATTGAAACGCCTTAGAAGCAGCCTGAGAAGCAGAGTCTCTCTCTCTCACCTTCTCCTGCCCTCCTGTCTCCTGCGCCTCTCTCTTCCCCAAGGCAAGCCATAGAAATAAGAATTCTTGTTTCTCAAGGTGGGTCATAGAAACCAGAACTCCTCTCCCCCAAAGCAAGCCATAAAACCGAGAAATATTACTCTAACCTTTCCCCATCTTTCTAAGAGATGTCCATAAATAAATTCTCAGACTTATCTTGTTTGATAGTAGATCATAAGACCCTCATTCCAGAGAGGTCCTGCCCCATACCCAAGAGGAAGGAACACTACACAGAAAGGACAAAAAAAAAAAAGTCTGAACAGATAGGCCTTACTAGGTTTCTTCCCTCAGTCTATTATCATTACTTTATACTCTTTTCGTCCAAACACACTTCTAACAAGGCTGTCCATTCTTCACTGAATCTAAGCATAAAAATGGACTGTTTTCCCTGGGTTTTAGGGTCTTTATTTCAAAAAGCTCCCTTCCAGGTCATGTGAAACTTTAATTAAATAAATAGATTATGCTTTTCTCTATTAACCTAACTTTTGTTATAGGAGTATCACCATGACCTTTATGATGCGGAGGAAAGTTATCACATCCTTTCTGCTCCTATAATTCTGGTCCCCATTCCAGAGCTTGCAGATAAGATCCTGAGACAACAAAGAGCCAGGAAAAAAAAAACATTTAAGGTCAGCTCTTTCAAATCTTTGCTCGTAGTGCCTGGTCAAGAATGGAAGGTAAAAATTTCTCCTTATCACGCCTGTAATCCTAGCACTTTGGGAGGCCAGGGTGGGTGGATCACTTGAGATTGGGAGTTCGAGACCAGCCTGACCAACATGGTGAAACCCTGTCTCTACTAAAAATACAAAATTAGCTGGGTGTGGTGGCATCACCTGTAATCTCAGCTACTTGGGAGGCTGAAGCAGGAGGATCACTTGAACCTAGGAGGTGGAGGTTGCAGTGAGCTGAGAGCACGCCATTGCACTCTAGCCTGGGCAACAATAGTGAAACTCTGGCTCAAAAAAAAAAAAAAATTCTCCTTAAACCTTCCCTTCTGTATTAGTCTGTATTCATGCTGCTGATAAAGACAAACCCAAGACTGGGCAATTTATAAAAGAAAGAGGTTTAATTGTATTTACAGTTCCACATGGCTGGGGAAGCCTCACAATCATGGTGGAAGGCAAGGAGAAGTAAGTCACATCTTACATGGATTGTAGCAGGCAAAGAGAGAGCTTGTGCAGGCAAACTCCCTTTTATTAAAACCATCAGATCTCATGAGACTCATTCGCTATCATGAGAAAAGCACGGGAAAGACCCGCCCCCATAATTCAGTCACCTCCCACCAGGTTCCTCCCACGACATGTGAGAATTTTGGGAGTTATAATTCAAGATGAGATTTGGGTGGAGACACACAGCCAAACGATATCATTCTGCCCCTAGCATGCCCAAATCTCATGTTCTCACATTTCAAAACCTACCATGCCTTCCCAACAGTCCCCCAACATCTCAGCTCGCTTTAGCATTAACTCAAAAGTCCATAGTCCAAAGTCTCATCCAAGACAAGGCAAATCCCTTCGGCCTATGAGCCTGTAAAATCAAAAGCAAGTTAGTTACTCCCTAGATACAATGGGGGTACAGGCATTGGGTAAATACAGCTATTTCAAATGGGAGAAATTGGCCAAAACAAATAAGCTACAGGTCCCTTGCAAGTCTGAAATCCAGTGGGGAAGTCAAATCTTAAAGCTCTGAAATGATCTCCTTTGATTCCCTGTCTCACATGCAGGTCACACTGATGCAAGAGATGGGTTCCCATGGTCTTGGGCAGCTCTGCCCCTGTGGCTTTACAGGGTACAGCCTCCCTCCTGGCTGCTTTCACGGGTTGGTGTTGGATGTCTGTGGCTTTTCCATATGAATGGTGCAAGCTGTCAGTGGATCTACCATTCTGGGGTCTGCAGGATGGTAGTCCTCTTCTCACAGCTCCACTAGGTGTGAGAAGTCGGTGATGCCCTAGTAGGGACTCTATGTGGGGGCTCTGACCCCATATTTCCCTTCCACACCACCCCAGCACAGTTTCTCCATGAGTACCCCACCCCTGCAGCAAAATTCTGCCTGGGCATCCAGTCATTTCCATACATCTTCTGAAATCTAGGCAGAGGTTCCCAAACCCCAATTCTTGACTTCTGTACACTCACAGGCTCAACACCATATGGAAGCTGCAAAGGCTTGGGGCTTGCATTCTCTGAAGCCATGGCCTGAGCTCTAAGTTGGACCCTTTCAGCCAAGATTGGAGCAGCTGGGACACAAGGCAGTAAGTCTCCAGGCTGCACACGGCACTGGAACCCTGGGATCGGCCCATGAAACCATTTTTTCCTAGGCCTCTGGGTCTGTGATGGGAGGGGCTGCTGTGAAGGCCTCTGACATTCCCTGCAGACATTTTCCCCATTGTCTTGGGGATTAACATTGTGGTTTCTTGTTATTATGAAAATTTCGGCAGCCATCTTAAATTTCTCCCCCGAAAATGGGTTTTTCTTTTCTATCACATTGTCAGCCTGCAAAATTTTAAAACTTTCATGCTCTGTTTCCCTTATAAAATTAAATGCCTTTAACAACACCCAAGTCACCTCTTGAATGCTTTGCTGCTGAGAAATTTCTTCCACAAGATACCCTAAATCATCTCTTTCAAGGTCAAATTTCCACAAATCTTTAGGTCAGAGGCAAAATATCACCAGTCTCTTTGCTAAAACCTAACAAGGGTTACCTTTGCTCCAGTTCCAAACAAGTTCCTCATCTCCATCAAAGACCACCTCGGCCTGGACCTTATTGTCCATATTGCTATCAGGCTTTTGGTCAAAGCCATTCAACAAGTCTCTAGGAGGTTCCAAACTTTTCCACATTTTCCTGTCTTCTTCTGAGCCCTCCAAACTGCTCCAACTTCTGCCTGTTACCCAGTTCCAAAGTCACTTCCACATTTTCAGGTATCTTTTCAGCAATGCCCCACTCTACTGGTACCAATTTACAGCATTAGTCCATTTTCACAATGCTGATAAAGACATACCTGAGACCGGGCAATTTACAAAAGAAAGAGCTTTAATTGGACTTATAGTTCCACATGGCTGGGGAAGCCCCACAATCATGGTGGAAGGCAAGGAGGAGCAAGTCACATCTTACATGGATGGCAGCAGGCAAAGAGAGAGCTTGTGCAGGTACATTCCCATTTTTTAAAACCATCAGATCTTGTGAGACTCATTCACTATCACAAGAACAGTGCAGGAAAGACCCACCCCCCCATAATTCAATCCCTCCCACCGGGTTCCTCCCATGACACATGGTAATTGTGGGAGTTACAATTCAAGATGATATTTGGGTAGGGACACAAAGCCAAACCATATCATCTTCCAAATTCAGGTTAGCAGGAGAAAATTATTTATATAAACTAGCTCTTGAGTTAAAAAAAATTTCACATATCCAGTTTCTGATTACAGGACATACATCCGGAAATTGATCTATTTGAATTATTTAGGTAATTTTTCAGGAAGAATTTATGGGCAGTATGATAAATAATTCTTTACACATCTAAAAACATTTGTGTGTGTACATGCATTCACGTGAATAATTGGACAATAAGTAGGATTATCAGGACCCAGTCTTTTATCTATAAAGACCCACTTCAGTTTCTCCTGAGCAAATTTTTCCAGGCTTTCTGTGCAGTTAACATGGCTATGTAACTAAGATTTGGGTATGGAACGTAGGTAAAAGTGTTACGTGTCACATCCATGCTTGCCCCCAAAAACCTCATGGGCTTCTCCCCCATTTTTCTTTCCCCATCTGCTGACTTTGAAAGGAGAGAACCCCAGAGACCTGGAGGAAGCTGAAGCACTAAAGAGCAGCCTGAATCTCTGCATAACCACAAGATTACTTGCTCAGAACTACCTACTGGGTGTTAATAAGCAAAAGGAACTTCATATACAGTAATGTATCTGTATTTTACATGCAGATATGTATGTATTATTTTACATACAGTATATAATACATGTATGTATTATTTTACATACAGTACTTTCACTGTGGTAAACCACTGAGATGGGGGGGTTTTGTAACCGCATCTTATGTTATTTACCATAACCAATCTAAAAGAGTTTCCTGGATTATCATGTTTCACACATTATATGTTAAAGCTATTCTTTCCCTTTATGATAAAGAGCTTTTAAAAATCTGGATGCTTGCTAAATTTTCTTATTATCTTTGAAATTTAGGATATGTGTAGGTATAAGTGGCTTGTCATTAATTCTCACTGAATTCGTTCCACATGGAGATTTAGCTTATGGTAGGCAAAATAGCCCTTCCAAAGACATCCACCTTCTAATTCCTGGAAACTTTGAGTATGTTATCTCTTGTGGCAAAAGGGAGTTTGTATGTGTGATTACATGAAGGACCTTGATGTAAGGGAATGGATTCTCCAAGTTGGTCCAATCTAATCACAGAGAGTGTTAAAATTGGAGAAGCGATATGACAGGAGAATCAGGGTCAGAGAGATGTATAGTTAGCTTTGAAGATGGAGGAAGGAGCCATAAGCCAAGGAAAGCAAGTAGCTTCTAGATGTTGGAAAGGGCAGAAATACATATTATCCATGCGAGTCTCTAGAAAGAAATACAGCCCAGCCAACATCTTGATTTAGCCCAGTGAGGCTAATGTTGGACTTCTAACCTACTGAACTCTGTAAGATAATAAATTTGTGTTCTTTTAAGCCACTACGTTTGTGGTAATTTCTTTTAACAGCAATAGAAAACTAACACATGGGTCTTCTGTCATCTCAGGAAGTTTTATTATATTTCTTTTACTGAAAATTCTATTGTCTTGTTCTAAAACTCAAATTACATATACATTAAATCTTATAGATGTTCTACATGACTCTTATTTCTCTAATTTTGTTCCATCAATTTGTTTTCTTTGAGTTCTGGACTTCAGGTGCACTAATTTTGTTTTACTGATATCGAAAATGCTATCCTTGGGCACAATTATTATTATTTTTTTTGGTTTAGCAATGAAACTAAATTTTTAGAACTAATGTTTTAAATCTTAAAACTGGTATCACTATATTGAGATCTTCTATTGTTAGTGAAAGATTTTTTTGATTCTCATGTAGAATCTCTACAAGCCCTAAAAAATTGTCTTCAATTTCCTGTAATAATTGTGATTCACTGGAGACCATATGTTCTGAATGCTCAAAATGGTTCTCCTCATTTGGACTGCTAAGTCTTTTAATATGCTTAGCTATTTTTTCTCTGCTAGCTCATTTCTATGGAAGTGGATATAATTATTATTTTCGATATTTAAAATAAATTAAAAATTAGAAAAATATGCTTGAGATATATCGTAATTTTTCTTTGCCTGAGTAGTAATGTGATATTTCCTACCTGGTGAGGTTGGAGTTGTAAGCAGCAGGAGGTGTCCGCAGGGGTATGGTACTTCATCCTTGTCTAAAACAAGTTTATTCTTTTGTCTCTCTTAGCAGATTGGAGTCAGCTGAACATCAAAGCCCTCTCCAGTGGCAACATGGCAGGAGCTCACCTAGGTATTGCTCAGTCCCCAGTCCTCAGTGCCTACATACAGTCAGTCCATTTCATTTTACTTTTGAAATCATAAGTGGCATTGCATGTAACTGCTATTATTTTGATTTCTAGATACTGGGGAGAGGACATTGCAGGGGTGGGAAACAGAATTATTTGCAGTAATGGACAGGCAATATATTGCCTTTGCAGTAATGGGCAGTACAGACCCTAGATTTGATTGGTATTGAAGTTTTATATCAGTACGTTGTATCTCAAAGTGCTATTTAAAAAGTTGTGACTGGCTGGGCGTGGTGGCTCATGCCTGTAATCTCAGCATTTTGGGAGGCCAAGGCGGACAGATCACTTGAGGTCAGGAGTATGAGACTAGCCTGTCCAATATGGCGAAACCCTGTCTCTACTAAAAATACAAAAATTACCCAGGGATGGTGGCACCTACCTGTAGTCCCAGCTACTTGGGAGGCTGAGGCAGGTGAATCGCTTGAACCCAGGAGGCAGAGGTTGCAGTGAGCCAAGATTGTGCCACCGCATTCCAGTCTGGGGGACAGAGTGAGACCTTGTCCCCAACACCGCCCCCCCCAAAAAAAATAAAAAATATTTTAAAATTAAAAAAAAACTGTGTTTTCTTTGTATTTCAGAGATACTAATTGTACTAATTATTGTTGGTTAAATAAGAGATAATATCAGTTAATAGAATGACATGTTAAGAAATACTTCTCATAATCAAATTACATGATTGGAGACCTGGACATTTCTGGATGGAAGAATAAGCACATGTAATAAACAGCACTGTAATAAATGCTTCTACAAATATTTTCTTATTTTTATTTACTTCTTTAAAAATTATATTAGATAAACATTATAATCTACATATTAAAGAGAAGATAATTGAAATGCAGAGGATTAAGTGTTGTCCAAGATACCAGTATAAATTAGCAGAGCCAGAATTAGAATTTGAACACAGACTGACCAACTCCAAATTTAGTTTTGAAATTGAAGTGCAAATATATATAGTGGTAAATCGTTTTAGGAGGACATGTGATTTCTGTGTATAAAGGAAACAGTACATATCTAAACTAAGAAATCCGTGTTCTAAATGGCATCAGTGGGTCCTGGCTGTTCCTGAACTCTCTATCAGAGTGTACTGTGAGGTTTCCTATATCATAGAAGTAATGTGATTGATCAAGAATCTTTTGCCTTTTTAATATAAATTACATTTCTGTGATTTTCATGATGTAATTGCTTCAGTGTATAGTTCTTTTTCATGCTAAATTTCACATTTCCTTGATGTGGTCAGTTTCCACAAATTCAAACCAGTGAAATTCAAATAGGATTACATTTCTTTCATCTAAATAATTTATCTTAAAAAAATGAATGTGAATATGGTGGATTAGAAATAGAAAGCATTGGATACGCAGAATCTGCTCTTGGCTTTCAGGAGTATGAAGGAAATTGCACAATAAATCAATTTTTATGGAAGCTATTGATTTGCAACATTTGCTGCTTTTAAAAATTAATAGCTGAAATAATGAACATTCAAAAAACTCTCTCCACCATCAGTTTGATTAATTTCTTGGTAGAAAGTACAGATGACAGATGTCATATTTGAAACTAGATTTTTCTACAGTTCAATCAGAGAAAATCCAGATAGAGACCACAACAGCCAATACAGTCTTGTAATTTTTTTTCCTTTAATTTGTGCAAAAGATTCCCTTGCATAGACTTGCCCTATCCAATAAAATGAAAGTTTAATTATTTGTATAAATATTATTGTAAATGCATAATAGTGCCTGCACAGTCCAAGTATCATCATTTTATATTAATATTGCATTACAGTAAAACTGGTAATAAAGTGCTGCTCTGAAAAAATTGTGCATGGGATTTCTAACATGGTGCACAGCCAGTAGACGAGTTTATTAAAGTTACTGAATTCTGTAGTGGAAGAAATGGAGTTACTTAAACTCTGCCCACAGAATCTGCAACAAAATTGAGACAATGAGATGGTTACAAGAAATTAGATGTCAAACTTTGCGATTTTTTATACCAATGTGAAATCCATGAGTAGCTTCAGCTTTCTGTAAACCATACATATCCAACCCAATTAGTTTCCAGTAAATCCATGCAAGCCCAGGAAAACAAGTGACAACATAATGCAGAAAGATCATGACAGAAAAACAAACCCAGATATGACTATGAAAACAGCAAAGCAAAATACCCACAGGGATCCTCACTGAGGCTGTTAAAGATTCTTGTATGCAGAGGGAATGACAAGGAAGCATGTAGTTTTCATTTGGATCTTATCAAAAGGATACTTTCATTCATTCACTATTATATAACCTTGAGTGGCAGACAACTACTTTCTAAACCCCTAAGCTTACACTGAAGTTGCTATTTTATAATGGAAAGCATTTTTAGAACATCTGGGTGGGTGTGTATTTTATTAAAGTTAGGCTAGTATGTCATTTGTTCCATGTGAATATGAAGCACAGTGATTGAGATCATGGGCTTTGGAGTCAGCCTGGATTTGCTTCTCAACTCTTCCATTTGCTGTATCAGTCTGCACAAGTTAATTAAGTTCTCTGAGTTTCTTCCTTTCTTAGAAGACTGATATAAAAAATAAATAAGGCTTTCCCAGTAAAGTATTTGCCAGAGGGTCTTGCTTAAAATGTACACAATAAATATTGGTTACTATAAAAAGGATTTATTTTAATTTGACTTGTATCTATATAACAAACTAATGCAAATATTTTGTCCTGTGTCAGGGGTTCACAAGACTACTATCAGGTTCAAGAATTCACTAGGACTCACAGAAGTCAGAAAAGCTATTATACTCATGGTATGTTTTACTGCAGAGAAAGGATACAGATTAAAATTGGCAAAAAAAAAAAAAAATCCTTATGGAAGGAGTCCAGGAGAAATCAGGCACGAGCTTCCAGTTGTCCTCTCTCAGTGAAATCACAGAAACAACACTTAGTTCTCCTAGAAACAACGTGTGACAACATGTACAAATTATTACCAACTAGGGAAGCTCACCTGAGCCTTAGGGTCCAGAGTTTTTGCTGGAGGTTAGCTACATGGGCATGGAACACCTAAATGACTGGCACTGACTACTCAATCTCCAGTCCCTCTAGATTTCAAGCAGATACAGTGTTCCCACGGCCCAGGTGAACAAAAACAGGCTTTCGTTATAAATCACGTTGTTAGCATAAACTATCTGGAACGGTCTAAGACCCAAGGTATACAGAGACACTCTTGAGGAAGATTATTCCAAAGGCTTAGAATTTATCTCCCAGAAGCGAGTCAATGGCCAATCATTTCTTTAGAATGCACAAGGTTTGAGCACCCCAAGCCTACTGAATGAACACTTTACTGTACTACTAATATATCAATATTACATGCCATGTGGATATTCATGTGCTTGAGCTCCCTCTTTCTCCTTGTTTCTTTCTCTCCACATGCCTGCACACACAAGCGTGCACACATACACACATGCACACACACACACGCACACACACACACAGACTTTTATATAGTTGCAAAATTTTGGAAATGAGCACAATTTAAGTCATCTAATCCCTATTTAGAAATATTTTCCAACTTGCCCCTGCAAATTTGCTCTCATCTTGGACTTTAGTCCTTCTAGTCATCAGTGTTATTATACTTCAAAACACTGTTGGACACTGAGCTACAGGAAAATGCCTTAACCCAAGAGAGCTAAAGAGCCTTAGTTGTAGGGGACACACACCTGAAGAGTGGCAATAGTTTACAATCTATCAACTCAGCAGATACAAGTGGCCTTCCAGGTGTTGATCAGTAGAGACTAAGTTTGAATAAGGTTGTACTCACAAGAGAGTGAGCAGAGGCCACACCCTGATGACAATGATGAATCTAGAATGAGAGATGGATGAAGGGTGGGTTTTTTTTTTGCAAGTCTGTGAAATGGTGCAAGCCACAAGGTGGACAGTTCCAAATTTACCTGAGATCAGAAAAGAAAAGGGAACATAAGGGATCCCTTTCTTTCTCCTTAATTCCCTCTCTTGAAAAAGTGGTGGATATAATAGAACCAAGCCCTTCTCAATTTTTTTAGGACCCAGCTCATAGCCGAGCTCTCAGAATTATTTACTGAGCAGAGTGCAAGACTTACATCAGGTTTTATTGAGGTTCTCCAGCTCAAAAAGTGACCCTATTGCAGTGTCTATGACTCCAAATATAGTGTGAACCTTGAATATTGTGCTTCATGAAAGCAGGTAATAAAGTACAGTGATTTTAGATAGTTTGGTAAATTATGTGCTAAGGAGAGGGTTAACGCCTGATAGCAAATTTGTTAAAACTCAGACTTTGTACCTCCACCTCTTTTTCCTCCTCCTTTTACAAGTTTGCTTGAGAAATTGCCATGTTATTTGTAGTAGGCTGAATAAGGGACACTTAAATGGATATCAAGTCCTAATCCTGGAGCCTAGAGCCTTTGCAGATGTGATCAAATTAAAGATCTTGAGATGAAAAGTCTATGGGTTGAATTGTAGCCCATGAAAATTCATATGTTGAAGTCCCAGTACCTCATAATATGAACTTATTTGAAAATAGGGTTCTTGCAGATGTAATTAGTTAAGATAAAATTATACTGGAATAAGTATGGTAGGCCCCTAATCCCATATGACTGATGACCTTATTGAAGAGAGACATGAACACAAGGAGAACGTTGTGTGAAATTGGGTGATGCATCTACAAGCCAGGAAACTCCAAATGTTGCCAGCCAACCCCCAGAAGCAAAGAGGCATGGAACAGAGTCTCCCTCAGGGCCTTCAGAAGGATTCAACCCTGCTGACACCTTGATCTCAGACTTCTAGCCTTTAGGACTATGACACAGTAACTTTGTTGTTTAAGACATCTAGTGTGCAGTACTTTCTATGAAAGCCTTAGGAAACTAATACAGGAAGCTTTTCTTGGATTATCCTGGTCAGCCCAGAGAAAATCAGGGAAATTTTAAATAGAAGAAGAAAAAACACAGGCAGAAGAGGAGGAGTTGATGTGACCATGAAAGCCAATTAATGTGGCCACAAATCAAGAAATGCTGGCAGCCACCCAAAGCTAGAAGAGGCAATGGATGGATTTTCCCATAGAGTCTCTGCAAGGAACACAGCTTTGCCATCAACATGATTTCAACCCAGTAATACCGATTTTGGACTTCTGGCTTCTAGAGCTGTGAGATAATAATTTTTTGTTGTTTTCAGCTACCAAATTTGTGGTAATTTGAGATAATAATCTTTTTGTTGTTTTAAGCTACCAAATATGTGGTAATTTATTACAGCTGTGACAGGAAATGAATTAATTTTATATTCACTTAAGATAAGACCTATGAATCCTTCTTATGTTTTCTGGAATAGAACCTCTGAATATAGCTATGACAAGGGGCATTACAGTGTCAAAGGGCATTACAGGGCGTTGTATCAGTGCTTGATTAAGGTTTCATCTACACTGCCAAATACATACTTACCTATTTAAAATACTGTCTTGTACAGGAATCAAATAACAGCAGCTATGAGGTGAAAGATATTAAGGATATTTTATCCTATGATACCAATATAAAATATTTTGAATGACTTTAACTAATTTGGTTACTAGAAAGATGTGAACAGTTAAATAAATAATAAGTAATGGTCACTGAGAAACAGCATAGATTTGTTAGCATGTATTTATTTATTTATTTTTTTTGCCAAAGTTAGTAGACAATAAGCTTTCAGAAATACGTTGGGTCTGGCATGGCTCGATTAGGGCATTTGAACAAAGCTAGGGAAAAATGGGCTGGATTTTAAATGATAACATGGTAAATACATTGTAAAATGGAAATGGATCTATAATTAATTAGCAGATCAGACTTAAAGTGTATGAAATATAGATTAATGTCATAGGAAAAGGAAGTTTCAGATAATGTGTGCAGGCATTTATGGGTATTTTCGATAAACTAGGGACTATTCTAAATGGCCCTATTTACACATCATTTATTCCCCAATCTCCTCAGAATTTCTCCTTGGCTAAAATTTTCCTAAGGTTATTCTCACCCTTATTCCTTCCTTTATTCTACTTTCTCTGCAGCTTACTATTTCTTCTCATTTATTAGGCAGATGTCGAGGTAACTAATTCCAGGTCTCTGCTGTTCAAAACAATAGCCATTAGCCACATGTGGCTATTGCGCACTTGAAATGTGGCTAGTTAAAATTGAAATTGCTGCAAATGTAAAATGCATACTGAATTTTGAAGACAATATAAAAATGTAAAAAAAGCTCATTAATAATTTCTTATCTTGACATGTTGAAATGATAATATTTTAGGTATTCTATGTCAATAAAATATGTTCAGATAATTTTACCTAATAAATGTGGCTGCTAAATATTTAAAATGACAGATGAAGCTCATATTTATGGCTTGCATTATAATGCTATAAGACAGCACTGCTCCAGGTAAATGTTAGGGGCCTAATCGTTGTATCATAAACAAGAAATTTTGCCAAACAAAAGGTAATCTTTTCCAAAATTTTGGTGCCACTAACAGGACCAGAAGTAGATACAGAAACTGGTGGTATGAAATTATTTTTTCTTCTAACCAATAACAAAAGACACTTAATCATGTTATTGAACTTGTTGGAGGCAGTTGTGTGATCATTGAGAGCAACCATCCCCCTCTTCCCAATGTCCTTCCAATCATGTTCTTTGGAGTTGATCTGTCCCACCTCTGGATGATATCTCAAGTGATTCTCAAAGCTTTGTTGGCCACTTTCAGGAAGAACAATCTCATTTCAAAAATTTAAAAATCTCATCAGATCTAACATTACAGTTTAATCTATTATACAATTTAAATTCCCTTTGTCCAGCTGGGGCTTGTCCCAGCTGTGCCCCTGCAAAGAGTGAGGAGAGCACAGTCTTCTTGCTCTTCAACTCCCTCCTCCTCACTGCTGTTGTCCCTTCCAAAGCATTGGGTTAAGGGGAGGAGAGGTGTCAGAGGGAAGAAAATCCCAAATGCCACTTGACTGGCATAACTGACACATGGTTCCAGGGCCCAGCGAGCAGCAGATGAACAGTTGTCCTTTCTCTCCATGCCTTTGCTGGATGCCACTGAGATCCTTCTGCTGCAGGCCCAACCATGGCTCATGTGAGGCAAGCAACATGGCCTCTGGCTGGCCTTTGTCACAAGTGTCCATGGTCTCCCAGCAGTCTGTCTATAGCCGGGTCTTTCATCCTTGCACCCCTTCTTGGTGTGAGTCCCTATTGAGACAGCCATAGGTGGGCTCCTTTTGATGGTGGAATGTACATCCATTTCTGGAAAAGGTGACACATTTTCCCCATCCTTTTCTCTCTTTTTTTCTCTTTACTCTGTCACCGTATAGTCTGTCCCTGCTGTTAGACAGTCATCAGTCCCTCTATGTCCCCAAACTCTAGGGAGCATACAGCAAGCATTGCAAGTAATTTTCTCCATATACCCCCCTTTTTTGTCTTGAGATGGTGCACATTCTCCTAAACTCTATAAGTGGCTGAAAGGCAAAATGCCATAATACGCTAATAACTTTTTGCAACAGAATTTAGGCTTTCTTTATTAGTGGGGGGTATGATACAAGGTGATAACAAATCGAACACCAAACTTCCGTAGCTTAAAAAAGAAATTTATATATCTTCCCCATAACAGTCCTGGATGGGGTTTAAAGAAGTGGTTAGCTCTCCTTCAGCTGATCATTCAGGTGCTTGCAGCTACACAGGCCCTCTAGGGCCTCATAATCAGATGTATCCAGACAGGGAAAATGAGGACACAGAGAGACACATTCGCCCTCTGGGAACCCCCAGTCTGGAAGTAGCACAAATCTCTTCTGCTCCCCTTCGATTGGCCACACCTACCTGCATGAGAACCTAAGAAATGCATTCCATACATGCGCCCAGCTACAGTTCTCTCTATAAAAGGAAAGGACAGATTTTGTTTTACAACTAGAGGTCTCTGCCATGATCTCCAGTATCTCCATTCTTCCATGAATCTTTCCCTCCTCCTTATATAGCCTGGAAGAAATAAGGTGATGGGCTAATGCTGCGAAGAATTGTTTCACAGTGCCTTGAAGCATGCCCTGAAGAGGGTTTGTGTTGCTCATTTAGGATGTGAAATCCTAATCCTCAGTAAAAACTGAAACCAAGTGTACCCTTATAACCCTCTATTACTCAATCATTGATTGACTACCCATTCTACAACACACACTTTGTGTATTCCATCTCATTTATTCCTACAATTGTTTGACATAGGTATTAGGCTCAGAGAGGTTATTTAACTTATCTTTTACTTAATTGAAACAGGCAGTACAAAGAGGAGCTGAAATTCAGCCTCAAGTTTTCTGATGATAAACTTTGTTGATAAACTACCTCCTGGCTATCCGTTTCAATCCTGACATTTTATAATATTTACTTTGTCTATGTTAGCCATTTTTAATTTTTTTAAATTCTTATAGCAAAGATATAAACCAAAGCAATATATTTGTAGTATATAAATACAGTATATGCAATATTTTATACAGTATACATGCATATATATACTGCAATTATAATCAGCATATATGCAGATATATACTGACTGATTATAACTGAAGAAATAGAGAAAAAATTCTATTTGTGAAAACTAAGATTTTCAAAATTCAATACCCCTTCATAATAAAAACCATCAACAAACTAGACATCAAAGGAACATACTTCCAAATAATAAGCACCATCTGTCACAAATGCACAGCCAACATCATACTGAATGGGCAAAAGCTGGAAACATTCCCCTTGAGAACTGGAAAAAGAAAAGGATGCCCACTCTCACCAGTCCTATTCAACATAATACTGGAAGTCCTATCCAGAGCAATCAGGCAAGATAAAGAAATAAAAAGCATCTCAATAGGAAACGAAGTCAAATTATCTCTTTGCTCATATGATTCTATACCTTGAAAACCCTAAAGATTCCGCTAAAAAGCTCCCAGTATCAACAAATAACTCCAGTAAAGTTTCAGGATACAAAAACAATGTACAAAACTCAGGGAGCAAAGGCTAAAAAAATTCCTATTGGGTACTATTCTCACTACCTGGGTGATGGGATCAATCTTACTCCAAACCTCAGCATCATGCAATATACCCATGTCACAAAACAAACCTGTATATGCATGCCTTGAATCTAAAATAAAAGCTGAATTTTTAAAAATATATATATTTTGTATCAAAAATATGTTTCTTCAAAATTGTTCACTATCCACATAATATGTCAACATTCATTATCAAAAGAGAAGTATGCTATATGGAAAGAATTATTCTGAAAATAAAATTTGTCAATCAAAAATTAAGCCAGCTAAATCTGTATTTAAAAAAAAAAAAAACTTGCCCATACAATTTCTAACATATTCAAACATTTACAAAATTTTAGGGGACAAAGTAATACCATCCTTGAATGATTTTGATTTTTAAAAGAATATTAGTCAGATTTCAGTTACAAAATAGCTGGAAAAGCTGGGGGGGACAGATTCTAAACTGAGCTTCAAGGAACCATTCCTAGAGCACTCATACAAAGTCTACAGAAGAACTGCTGTCTCTGGCATTATCTGGATACTGGGGGTTCTTGAGGGACCAGCACAACGACTGCCAGGACAACGCCTTGTACTGTGTGATCTGAGCCAGCAGAATAGATGCCCAGGTTTCCACACCTTGACACCCATGGGTTTAGAGGATGAGCACTTGAACCTCTGCTATGGCTGCTACCCAAAACCTCCACAAAGGCACTTGTCAGCGGAAACAGCAAATGCAGCAGAAGCATGCCTGCTGTCCTGTGACACTGATGTCTCCCTTTCACATTTTTCCCAAGTCCCCTGTTCAGTGAAAGCTCGATTATGTTCAGAAGCCAAGCTATAAAAGAGTATTGCTTTAGCCTTTGGCCTGTATAAAATTATGCTGCAAGGAGTGGGAATAAAGTTGAGTGAATCAATCCACTGTGCTACCACAGGTTGGAAGGCAGTTGGGGCAAACAATCAGGTTGTGAGAATAAAAATTGGTATGAATACTTTTTGACCAGTATTAATGCGGAAAAAAGAAGGATAAATCATTACTAGATAATTTACAAGCGGGCAGTGGTATTCTGATTGTGTGATTTAAATGTGCAATCTTTCTTCAAATGAAAATATTACTCTTTTTAAAAAAGTCTTGACATGACAAATAAGGAGCTATCCAATGACTTCAATTACAGCTGTTTTCACAAGGACCTTTGAACGGGTTGTGCTATGACTCATTATTTTTTTCCATTTCAAGAACGATAATTAATTGTATTCATTTGTGTATGCTTTTGTCTGGGCGAATAATAATTTTTTTTCAGCAAGTCTGTTTCCCTTCATTTGACTACATGTTAGGCACAGAGGTATTTCTTTTAATCTTAGCCACAATTTTTAAAGGTAGGAAATAGTAGTGTTATTTTATAGCTAAGAAATTGAGGCTCAGGAAGGTTCAGTCATTTGTCTGGAGTCATACCACTAGGAAAAAAGTCAGAGCTAGGATTCAGACCTGGGTAGCTTGACTCCTCTTTTGTATTATCCTTGTTAGTATTAGGAGATTGTCACTCACTTGGTGCTGTACTGTGTATTTAACAACTGCTCTCTATTTTCTTTATGCCAGCCTTCCACATAAGCAGAGTTGCAGGTCATTGTCATAATGCGACATCTCAGCTAGTTCTTTCAGCTACTGAGGAAGAAGGACAGGGTTCAGTCATTCTATGAAGGAGATGATTAGAGAGAGTGGTAAATATAAAAGAGCTCAGAGAGGGTTTCTGCAATGATAGTATAGTCAGATAGATAACTGCAATCTAGAAAAACCAAGGCTGCCTGTACAAAACATGGAAGAGGGGTGAGTGAAGGGTAGGAAGGGAGAATAAAACACTCATGAAGCTGCTGTAGCTGATGTCAACAGAAATTCAGCCCAGGTGGCTAGGAAAGGAGGAAGTGAAATGGAACAAGGAGGAAAGAACTCCTATGCAGAATAGAGCTGTCATTCATAGCTAAGTAGATGCATAAGCCAGTCATATGGGTAATTTTGGCTGGGTGAGCTTGTTAAACAGTAGAGAAACTCGATAGTGGAAAAGATTATTAAATCATGAGTTTGAATACTTAGGGACTAATAATAATAAATAACAAAAATTTATAATATCTCATGTTGCACATAAAACTATAGTTTCATTAAAATCTGTATGTAAATTCCTGAAGAAAACAATTTGTATTAAGATAAGGTAAATAACTGTATATTAAATGAAGCCTAATTCAGCTGATTTTAAAACTGCTTAGAATTCAGAATAAAAGTGATGTGTCATCAAACCTACAGAGATTTTAAAGTATATTATAACAGGGATACATAGATAGATAATCTGGCAAAATTGTGGATTTAATCTTTCCATGTTGATACCCTGGCATTGTGACAACAATGGACAATGTAAATAAGGGGAATCTTGACCTGGTATGGTCAATGTATTTTAAGTAATTAATTTCCAGTGATTTTTTTTTCTGACAACTTGTTCACTTATTCAACAAATATTTATTGAGCATTTATGTAAGACACTCCTAAATCAATCAAAATAATCTAGTCAGAAATGCACACAGATTTAGTTACTGACTTTGCTTTGAAAAAAGGATTTTCAGGAACTCTTGACTTTTATAACATCTTAGTGTATACATGTAATAAAAAATCAGAAGTGTATATTGGTGTGATAATATAAACTTTTCAGGGACAAATGCCTCTTCACATTCAACATTCCAAATGCTCTTTCAAGGTAGAGAGACCTGATCATTTTTGCCTTTGTATTTTTGTTCAGTATTATTAATGCAAATAAAATTATATTACACTCTAAGCCAGTCTATGTGCATATAAAGCCCAAGAGGTCTACATGTAGAGTATTTTCCCTACAGATAATGTGAAATATTTTAATGGAGTTTAACTCTTGATTCAATGCATGGAGAATTTGTTTTTAAAAAATTGAACAGCTATTCATTTTTATCATTAAACAATTATTTTAAAGTCATTTCATGACACTATTATTCAGATATTTCAGAAAACTTTCAACTACACTTCCATTTTAAATAATTTTCCATTTTAAATAATTTATAATCACAAGTAATATCAATCAGTATTTCAAGTTTTATATCACCTCTGATATCAGATTAATAAAATAAATTTTCTAATGACCTATCTTTTTAATAGGTGCCTAATTTTATTGGTTTATGAACTAATAACTGATAACTGTAGTCTCCTAATTATTAGAGAAAAATAGTGAGTCCAAATTGCTGTACCTAAACACAAAAGTTTCTGGTTATGAACTGAAAGCTAACCAAGACATAAACTGAAAAGTTATGGACAGTGAATCTATCTGTAGGGCATTATTACTGCATCCCTAAAGGTCTCATCTGTATGAATCCAAACATCTTTCCAAACCATAATGAGACACAGTGTAAGTCTCTTCAGGGTCATGTTTAACACTCTGTGCCTATGGAAATCACAAGATTATCTGCAACACTGCTCAGTTTCTTTCTGTTTCTAGGTGAATTAATTCTGCTCTATTGCACAGTTGAGCATCTAAGTGATTTCTAAAACAATAAATATGATGATCCACAGGCTCTGAGAGGCTGACTTCAACTTTCCTGAAACTTAGAAAAACAGTGTATATTAATCCTAAGGGTAAAAATTCACCAGATATTTATTGAAATGAAAAAAAATGCTTAACGTATTTGCAAATACTGCTGTATGCCCTGCTGACTCAGGACCTGGGTCAACAATATTCTATGAATTTGGAGACGAAAGAGTTAGCCATCTACAAAGCATCATTTGGCCTTTACTCTTAGGTAGTTTAATGTTAATAAATGAAAATGTGGAAACTGTGTTTATATCAATAATGAGGTAGAGACAGGAAGTAAATAAGAGAGGAAAGTTCTATCCTATCCTGTAAATAAAATACCAACAATTGTATTGATAGAGAAATATTGAAACAGGAAAGAACTCTACTTTCTTTACTTACTATGAGAAACATGTTATATTCAGGCAGTTGTAGCAAGCAGTTTGTAGAGAACCAAATTATTTGATTTAAAGTGATTATTTAAGCAACAGAACATGCATCAGGAAAAAAACATATCTATACATACACATACATAGAGTAGATATGTTCAGCTAAGTAATAAAAACACAGAAAGACTACATTATTTTAATAGATGACCATAATTCTATACTGGATCAGTATGTGAAGGAGAAAAGCTATCAATAACAACCATAGCATAAGAAAAATATGTTAATAATTAGTTTTATAGTCACTGATAAATTACCTAAATGAAAAATCTTAAATGACAGAAATAGCCTGCATGACAAGTAAGAAGAATTTTATTTGTATTTAATGTCATGTAATTAAACATATTATTCATGAAAGATTCCAGATGGACAGAAGTGAAGACTGAAGTAATTTCCAGAGAGACAAGATACAGTTCATCAGGTAGCATATTCCTGTGGCTGTGACTGAAATCACAACACTGTTCCTTCTTGTAATATGTGCTATACAAATATCTGTTTTCTCATCATGAGATTCAAACTAATGCTAACAGCTTTTTTCCAGCAGATGGTCTGAGGATAAACAGATGAAATGTTCTCTAAATAATGTTAACAGGTTAAATCTATTAAACTTATAGCTATAGTCAAGTTAGTTAAAACTAATACTTTTATTTATTGATTAATTATTCATTTTTAATGTAAGGTCTAAGTTCTTACAGAAAACTATTTTGAAATGTTTTCATTTTCTTTTGATTGTCTACCTGATTATTTTTCAACCCACTAATATTTCTGGCATGTTGAGTTTATAGAGAAGGTTTATAGAGAAAGTAGTAGTGACTAATGACCTTGATTTGAAAGGTCAGGGTGATACGGTGGAAGAGCACTAGACATAGAGCACATATTTCAAATTTTCACTCTGATATCTTTTATACAATTTCAAGAAAGTTTTAAATCTTTCAGAGTTAGTCTTCTTTTCTGCAAAACAGGAGTGACAACAGCTGCTTCATAGAGTTGCTGTGAATTAACTAGTCCATGTACCAAATAAGCCCTGGTTGCATCATGTATGGTACTTGAATTTGAAGATAAGCCAACATAGTCAAGTCATTAGCCATTGTCAGCAAATGCAGATAGGGGTTTGAATTGTTTGTCCTAAAAAGTTATGTTTTAATATTCATATGTGGACAATTTAGAAAACATCTCTCCTTTTCTTTTCTCCCTTCTCTATTGATCTTGTGGTGAAATATTAATTTTAAAAGTCTATGATAAAAATAGTAAATCAAAATACAACTAACTTTTAAGTAAATTGCTATTTCAGAGAACACTTCATATTTACATTAAGTTCTTATCTGGCAAAGTATTCTAGTTTAGATTGCTATGTGTGAGCATAACTCTTCAAAAGCCCGGGGAAAGTGAGGCATAAAAAGTATGGTCCAATAGTTTTTATTCTTGTTTATCAAAGAGTTTATTCAGAATTGAATCAATTATCATTATGAACTTTCTGATCAGTACTAGCCTCAGGTTAATTTGTAAACTTTTGAATTCATATTTAAATGTTTTCACAATGACAGATGATATAAAGTTATTAATTTCATGTGGGAAAATGTGAAAATTTTGAGGGCACAGATTGCATCTTGTGACTGTGTGTGTGTGTGTGTATGCATATTTTCTCCCATTTCCATTTCACAAAAGAACAAGTATGAAAATATAGGCCAATGGTCTTAAATTCATTAAAAAAAAAACAGACAATAGTGGGGATTGAGTGATGATGTCTCAAAAAAAAAATCCTCTGTTCCAAATCCTTAAATCCTTTTGCCTGTACCACCCTAAGAACCACCCAACTGATGTCTTTATTTCCAATCTCCATGTGAGTGTCTGTCCCCCTGGCAGGAACACTTTTAAACTGACACACAAAGCAAATGCCTGTGCAGCCACCACTTGGGCTATGAGCTCCACTAAGGCAGAGGCAAAGATTTTTTAGTCATTCTTTGTCTTATTATTATTCTAACATTGACTCGTTGTACACATGAATTGAAGTTATCCCTGAATGCACCATCTGCCCACATGCTCTTTACTGTTTCCTCAGCCTGAAATGTCTTTAATTTCTTCTCAAACTGGCAAACTCTTAGATATTTTTGAAGGCCAGTTTCCACACCTCCTCTTCCATGCAACTTTTCTGATACTCTCACATGCTTAGAATGGAACTGATCACTACTCCCTTCTTTGTGCACTCATTGTAGTTTCTACCTATCTTCAAATACTGTTTCTATTTATGTATGTAATAATATTTTAAATTATTTCAGTACCTCTCATGAGCCAGTCATACTCAATCTCAACATAAGTGGACTAAAGGGTCCACTTTATAACAACAGAAATCTGAAATCAGAGGCTGAACAGGGTATGTCATAAAATCTAAACCCTTTCCTCTGTGATTTGACTTGTGTTAAATATTATAGCAGGGGTGTCTCACCTTATAATGTAGAAGTCTAATTTATTGATATAAACATTGGGGCAAACACACGGTTCTAGGAAATTTTCCTGATGCCAAGATAACAGGAGCTCCAACTGAAGACTCTCCCAGTGGAAATAGGTATGTATTTTATGACATAACAAAATATACCAAGAGCCCACACAAAGGCAACATCACCAGGTAAGACCTACAAATTGGGTGAAAATTTTCTATTTATAGGCTCACTTCTGTTTCTTATCATACCATTTCAGCTTTTATGATGGGGGTAAGGTGTTACAATAGTACAGAACTGATAGGAAAATAGCTTTTGGAAAATGGGTCAAAAAAGGGCACTGTAACCCATATTTTTTTGTCAAAATTACTCATTTAAACTTTGCCTGAAACATATTGCCTAGTCTTATGTTGTTAGCAAATATCCTACAGCCCCTAAAATATCCTAAGATTATCCAAGCTAAAGACAACTCCAGGGAGCATGGAGTTCTAAAACACATTCATGTTCACAATCATTCCAGGAAGTATATCATATTATCTCCATTTTATAGATAGGAAAAGCTGAGATGATATGAGATTAGTGTGGATTACTGATTAGAACCAAAGCTTTAATACATATGTTTAGTTCAAATCCTGTCTTCTTTCCAACTTTTTGGTCATTCATTCAAATGCATATTGTGTTCTGTCAGATGTGAAACACTGGGGTAGACTCCAGGGATGCAATTGTGAACCCTCTTGTGCAGTTCTTACCTGTATGAAGAGTTTATAATCTAGCATGAGATATAGATAATAGTCAGGTAAAAAAACAAAATGTACAACATTATAAATTGTGCTACCAAGGAAAAAATTAAAACCAATGGCAAAGGTAGAGAATAACAGTGCAGATCCTAATTTACAATCTTGTACAGGGAGGGCCTCAATAAGCAGATGTTATTTAAGCTGAGACTCAAAGGATGAAAAAGAGTCAGGCATATGAAGGGCAAAGAGAGAACACCACAGGCAGGGAAAACAGTCTAGGAAAAGACCCTGAGCAGGGGAAGAACTGGCCTGGTTATGAGACCTGAGAAAAGCCAGTGTGGTTGAAGCACAGTTAGTACATGAGAAAGGGCAATAAAAGAGCCTAGAGAAGGATGGAGGAGTCGGGTCACCAGTGGACCTGCAGGCTATGAATATCAGACACTTTTGGAGCCCCAGTTTATATCCTCTGGGCAGATGCTTCTCAAACTTTTATATGCATGTAAATCACCTGGGTATCTAGTTAAAACGTAGATTCTGGTTTGCTAGTTCTAAGGTGAGCTGAAGGTTATGCATTTCTTTTTTTGAGGCGGAGTCTCACTCTGTTGCCCAGGCAGCTCACTGCAACCTCCACCTCCCAGGCTTAAGTGATTCTCCTGCCTCAGCCAACGGAGTAGCTGGGATTACAGGTGCCCACCACCATACCTGGCTAATTTTTTTGTATTTTTAGTAGAGACAGTATTTCACCATGTTGGCCAGGCTGGTCTCGAACTCCTGACCTCAAGTGATTCATCCACCTTGGCCTCCCAAAGTGCTGGATTACAGGCATCAGCCACCGTGCCCAGCTAGATTCTACATTTTCAACAAGCTCCTGAGTGATACAGATGCTGCTGGGCTCTGGACCTCACATTGAGTAGCAAGGTTCTAGGGCCCACCTTTTATACTCTGGTTGTTGCTGTGGCAGCCAGTTGCATACAGCTGTAGCACACATTTGTTTTTAGTCCTAAGACTTTGGAACTTAGGTGCTGCTACCCATTGCAGCCGGATCCATTTAGCCAATTTGATGCACACACAAACTTGGAAGTGAGAGGACATTAACATCCCTTGAGACAATCCTTAACCAATGGGGACAGAGCCAATGCATTTAATTTTCTCCTCTGCCCACCTTCAAGGGCGTTTTCCACACTGCTACTATGAGCAACACAGTAGGATGGAGGCTCAGTTGTCCACAATGGTAACCAGCTCAGTAGCATATCCTTGTTTTTTCTGTCATTCCTTTTCTGTTACACTTGTCTCAGTTTCTCACTATTCTCTGGGGTCACTGCCCAAAATAAACTTCTTGTATGCAAAACCTCATCTCAGTTTTGGCTTCCTGGAATAAACAAGCTAGGATGTCATGGTCCTAAGTTAGTGGTGGCATAGCTCTCATGTTTGGAACATTTATTAACTTGTAATATCCTTGGAGTGAAAGGTACAGCCTTATTTAATCTTTGTATACTTTGAAATTAGAGTAATACTGATTACCTGGAGGAGCTCAACAAAAGTTGCACAATTCAAAATAATTTATTCTAAGTTCATTCAAATTAGTCAAAGAATTTTTACAAACTGTTCAAGAAAATTGCAAGGCAGAAATATAAGAGAAATAGCATAGTATAAAGGTCTAAAGAGCAGGGACTCTGGAGTCAGAATGACTGGGTTTGATGCCTGCTCTGCTACCTTCTAGCTGTGTGACCTCAGGCATGGCGTGTGATTCTCCTGAGCTGCAATTTCTTCATATGTAAAATGCAGATGATGATATTGGCACCTACTTCACTATGAGTGAAGTATACCATTTAAGGCACTGCTGTAGCGCTTTAATGAGTTAATGTATTTAAAGCATTAGAACAGTGCGTGGCCCATAATAAACACCATATATGTGTGTGTTAAAGTGTAATATGTGATTTTAAGGAACTCAAGAGAAATCTGAGAGTAGTTCCCCATGCTGGTTTTTAAACTAATACTACTGTATAAAAATCAACTAAGGCACTGGCTAAAGACAGATTCCAAAGAGCCATCCTGGACTCATTAAAAGATTTTATAGGCATAGGATGGGAATTCTATACTTTTAGTAAATCTCCTCAGTGATTCTGTGCATAGACAAAATATACACTAGTTGACCAATTTTCTATTTTAGAGTTTTTTAAAGTAACTATGGTACCAAGGATATATATACATAATACAAGGTAAACACAAAAGGTGAATTAAATTTTTAAAAAATTTGATCATTTTTTAATTTCATTAATTTACTTATTTATTCATTTATGCTACAAATACTTGATTGTTATTTTTAGTGAATGTTTATCCTTTGTTATTATTGACTGGGTAAATTGTTATCCTTGTTCTCAAAGTATTTACAGCTTTTGTTGATGCTCACTGAAATTCTGTAGAGCAAATAATTCTGGTATTAGCTTATAGCACTATATGTATAGTTCAGAGAGGCTGATCAATTTGCCCACAATCACACAGCCTGTAATGTGACAGTATTACCATAAGAATCTTGATCTTTGCACCCAGAATCTCTATTATTTTCATTGTCTCATTCCATATGCCAGATTGCATATTAAAAAGAACAAAAATAAACTTGAGTTTTTCTATACTTAAATTCCAAATGTTAAATGCTGGTTTATACAAATTCTACTTTATATGTTAATGAGAGTTGTTAGCTTTGGAAAATGCTTCCTTGATGTGAAATAGAACATAAAATACAAACCTAGTTTGGATATGCAAACACAGTTTCATTTTTTAAGGGGCAATAATGGCCTGTAATCGAACTACAGCCTGTTAGGTAAATAAATGATTTTCTTGTTAGTTGGAAGTTTAAACATAGACTAATTCATTAATTTGTAAATTATTCTCTCAGTTTCAACAAGCCCGCATTGTCATTGCCTGTGTTTATGTAAATGTGGTCATGAGGGAGGGTTGGGCCACGGGCATGTTACTGGGAAGTTCAGGTGATCATGCGCCTCTGTTCTACATGCACAAAACTCTAGAAATGGGGGTGAGGTAGCTACCTAGTCTGGATCAAAAGAAGGATGACTAGATTAACCACCACCTTACGAGAGGCATTTACTACACGACAGCTAAGTTCCTGGAAATCCGGTCCTTTTATTTCTAAGTTCTTCCTTATTTTTTATGATGAGAATTCTCACTCTCAGAGGCACTGGGATTGTCCTGTATGAATTTGTGTACATCTGTCAGCTCCTGAATATGTTACTCTTCAACAACTTACATAATTGCAAATGGACACATCAGAGCATTAAATTCACATTATGCATAAAAAATCAACATTAAAATACCATAAGGTACCTGGCAATTATTAGACGAGATAAAAAATGAAAATAACATCCAGCTTAGAATGTTAAAATACTAATTATTTTCAAGTGGTATGCTTGGGTTATTACTACTTTTAAACTTTTTCTGCATATGAGTCCCCAACTTGAAAACGTAACAAACATTTAACTATTTTATAAGAGCACAGTAATGTCAGTGGACAAGAGCTTCGATATACTGGCCAGGCATATTCATATCCTCTTATTAAGTGAGGAATAATTTTATTTTGGACATTTTGAACATCTCATGGGCAGTGACAGAAAAAGAAGCTGTTCATCCCCTAAAAACAAAAACAAACACACAATAAAACCTGTCTTAGAACCAGAGTGAGAGTAGACACACTAAAATTTAATAACTGGAAAAGCAAGCAGACTGAATGCAATCTTTTTATTAACTTGTCTAACTTCAATTATTCTAATTAGGTTCCACGTGCCTAAATATATTTGAATAGTGACTGCCAATTTCTCAAAATCCTCTTTTTTCAAGGTGGCCAAGATGTTTCCAAGCCGTTACCTTCTGTGAGAGCTCTATCCAAGCTAAGCATCCTTGCAGCCAGGAGAACAGAGAAGACAGCTCAGTTTAGTTTCTCTCAATTGGCTTTGACTTCATTCACAGGAAAATGAGACAATATTAAAAACAACAGAAGCAGAGATGGGTCCAAAAGGAATTAATAAAGTGGCATTTATGCTGGATGGTTATATTTACCAATGCCATGAAGGATTAGCACATAATTGTTTATAACTTTATACTCTTTATGATAGAAAAAATTTTCCGACTTTACACAAAGTGATCACTCTTTATCTACCTGAAGTTATGATAAGTAATCTGTTTATGGAGTAAAACTTGCTGCTCTTTTCTTTGAAAGTGGTTGTTTTCATCTAAAAAATGGCTCTTGAATTTTATGTAAAATAAGGGTACTGCTTTGTCCCTATAAACTTGATTCACATGAGCTTTTTTATGGGCCTCTATGTTCATAGTCAAGGAGCAAGACCTATTTGGTGGGAGACACTGACATTTTGATTATAGGAAGAAGGAAACAGCAATAATTTTTCAGGAGCTGGGCAGATTATAAAAGATAGAAAATGCGACCCAGGCTGATACTATAACACCTCTAAAACACAGATGGTTGGCAGAGCTCTGATAAAAGTACAAAGACTGAATAAATCAAATGCCCACCATTGTGAACCAGCAAGCAAATGGAACCATTCTTCCTCCATTCTGTTCCTTGTTCTATATAAGCACAAATAACATGGCCTCAGGCAAGATGAAGAAGCTGAGCGTGATAACCTCCCAAACTTGCCTATAACATTTTCAAATTTAGTAAAACACTATCATAACAGCTTTCCTGTTAGATATATACAAATTGCCTAAAGCACCAAATAAGCATTCTGACTACCTGTATATTTACTCTATCATCACAACTCTGATTTTTTTTTAATGTAGGACATGTAGATTCTAGATATTAATGATTGTTGATGTTTTCAAGTCATCATTGAAGGTGTCATCAAGGAAAGTCTACCGCACAGGCATTCAAATGAGATATATCGATTCTTTCTTTAAAATAAGGAACCAAATAACTAATAACTATGTGTTAAGGTTTCCTGAAGACAATGGTGGAACCATTTCATCCTTTGAAATATTCTGAAAAAAAATTTCATTATGTGTACTTCCAAGTGTCTTCAGAATCCATTATTATCTGTAAACCTCACTTTATCAGGTAGTCCAAATATCAGAGACAAGCAGCCAATAAATCATCACAGTTAAAAGTGTGCTTTTTTTAAAGTTATACAGGCTGACATCCTAATTCTAGCACTATCATTTACTGTGAATATAAGCAACTTAGTTAATATCTCTAGGCCTCAGTTTCTGTGAAATGTAAATAATATTACTATCTATCTTATATATTTGTGTGAAGAGTAAATGAAATATTGCAAGGAAAGCATAACATATAAAAAGTCATAGCAAGCCCTTGATAAATATTAATTATTATAGTAACAAGTATTATTATTAGCTAGTTCATACATATGAACTATGTTTTTTTCATCACAAACTATGTGTGTTAAAATACCAAAAATTTTACCCTACTTAAGTTAGGATTTTCCAGTTAATTTTATCAAATAGGCTTGGTGTAGAATGAGGGGAGCCTCTAATTGAAGTGGGGTTGTTGTTCTGTAAATGGGGGAGTCAGCCCCCTTTATGGGGGTCTTTAAGAATCATTCCAACACGACCACAGAAATTACACTCAGAAAGGCATATGAAATTTAAAAATGTATTATATTCACAGGTTCTAGAAACAGGAGGTATTGCATACCATGCAGGAGGACATACGGGCAGAGCTCCCAGGGATGGGGCTCAACCAAGCAGGTAGAGAAGTGAGAGAGAGGGACAGAGAAAGGGAAGGGGAGAGGGAGAGGGTCACTTGGCAAATGCTGTTAATAGGGGATTTTACTGTGCATTTGAATGTCATGAGGTCATATTCAGGAGAGGGCAGGAAGGGAAACTTGTGGCAGGGAGAAGCATTATTACACAGGTACCCCTAGTTACCTGGGGGGGTGTTCACAGCCTGTTTGTGGGGATGTTGAAGCATCAGGAAAATATAAACTTTAAACAATTTATAACAATTGTACTCCAGGCCTAGCTGCAGGAACCACTAGATAAATTTTAAAAGAATAAGATGATAAAGATAATGGACAATAAATCTCTTATTTTCTATTCCTTCCTGCTAATAAATTACTATACACAATTCCATGGGGACCAGGCTACCATAGTTCCTTATAGCACAAAATCAGGTGGCATTCCTATTTCCAGACAGGCACTGCTCTCCTTCTTCTCTACCACATTTACCCGCCATGTTGAATATGGTATACTTTGACTGGTTTTTGTCCTGGTTTCCTGGAACAGAACTTCAAAAACCCCTTACATTTTCTGAATGATAGAAATGTCTTTGTTATGCTAAGGAGGCTTCTCTGGGTGTGCCTCTTGAAAGCTTCAGGATGGGAGCTGGTGACCAGAGAGACCAAACACATGATTAAAGGTTTGGGACATTTCAGATGGCTGACCTCCAAGGAGGGAGGAGAGGCTAGAGATGGAGTTCAACCAGGTGGCCAATAATTTAACCAATCATACCTATTTAATGAAACCCCAATCAAAACTCTGGGAAAGGAAGCTCCGTGGCTTCCTAGTTGGTCAATATATCAATGTATGAGGAGGGTGATATGTACTGATTCCACGAGTAGAAGGCACAGAAGCTCTGCATCCCAGACCGTACTCTATTGTATCCTTCACATAAAACTCTAATCATAAGTATACAATCACTTTCCTGAGATCTGTTAGTCATTCCAGTGATTTATCAAACCTGATGGGATCATGGGAATCACAAAATTTGTAGCCAGTTGGTCAGAAGTGTAGGTGACCTAGGCATACCCTGAGAATTGGGGCTGGTGTCTAAAGTGAGGAAAGTCTCATGGAAGACTTCACTTTTAACTATGGAGTCTATGCCAGTTCCAAGTAGTTAATGTCAGAACTGAATTGCCATATATTCAGCTGGTGTTGGAACAGTTGGAGGTGAAACAGAGTAAATGGGAGTATTTAATAAGATTAAACTTCTAAAAAGTTCTAAAGGAAAATGACTTGAATAAAAAACGATGGAAATGTACAACTATAAAAGCAAAAAATAAGAGCTCACAATACATTTATTCTTTCTAAAATATTAACACAAATAATGAATCAAATAAGTAAGTGGATTACATTTCACAATTTGTATGACTAAGAACTTGGAAGATTTTCAAATTATAGAAAAGATAAATGTCTCTTCTATCAATGGAAAAAGAAGAGAAACAGTTTCTTTTACATGAGATAAATATAACCCAAAATATGCTGTGGCTGGACTTCACTTAATTGATGAAGTATAAGAGAAGAGAACCCATTTGAACATAAATGTGACACTTCATATAGTCTCACTGGTGCCACGTAGGATTAGTAAAATGAGAGTACGTTTCTTTTTCTAAGGTAATCACACACACACACACACACACACACACACACACACACTCCACTTGATATTCTAGTTAATAATATGTGTATGATCATAATATAAATGCAGCTTATTGGTGGCTTCCAATTTTTAGGATTAATCAGCACACATGCAGTGCTCAATGTAGTGGCATGTTAGAGTTTCTTAGATATCTTATTACAAAAACTGTAATTCAAAATGTCAACACGAGATTCTGATTTAATTTGTCTCGAGTGAAGCCTGGCATCAACTTCTTTTTTAACATCCCCAGCTCTTTTTTTAATATCCGGCTAATTAACATGCAGCCAAGGTTCAGAACTACTGAAATATCATGGGAAACCTACTTGTAGCTACAGAACAAAAATGTAAAAGTTCTAAACCCTGATGAAGCAACAAAAAGCAATGGCATAGCTGACAGAGGTATGGGTTAGCAGTAGAGAAAGTGATGGACAGAACATAAATTCAGTAGTGTACTCATCATGGTAAGAGTCAATAATGTAAATTTAAAGTAGATAAAGAAATGGAAGTTGAAGTATATTATTTAAAGTTATAAGTAAAATCACTAGAAGTTTTGAAAAACAACAAGTGGGATGGTTAATCTAATGTATCAACTTGACTAGGCCACCCAGTGCTCATGTACTTGGTCAAACAACCTGGATGTTTCTGTGAGGGTATATTTGGAAGACGGTAATACATGAATCAGTAGACTGAGTGAAGCTGATTGTTCTCCCTAATATGGATAGCCGTTGTCCATGGCCGTTGTCCAATCAGTTGAAAGTCTGAATATAACAAAAAGGCAGAGTAAGAGGGAACTCCATCTGCCTGACTGCCTTGAGCTGAGACATTGGTCTTTTCCTGCCTTCAAACTTGATCTGAAACATTGGCTCTTCTTGGGTCTCAAGCCTGCTGGCATTTGGACTGGAACTCTATCATTGGCTCTCCTGGGTCTTCACCTTGCCAACTACAGTTATGACTTCTCAGCCTCTACAATCATGTGAGCTATTTCCTTATTGTCTGTCTGACTATTTATCTGTCTGTCTGTCTATGTATCCTGTCTCTGGAGAACCATGACTAATACAATGGGCTAATTAAGAAACTCTGTAAGTAATAGGTTGGTAAAAGAGGTGGGAGGTAGACTAAGTGCCTAGAATTAATTAATCAAGAAATACAGGTATAGGCACTTCAGAATTATGTTTGTATTCAACAGAAAACTAAATAGGTAATAAAAACATGGCCACCCTGGAAAATAATCCTGGGGAGATGGGGGATGGAGGTAAATTTCATTTTACACCTTCTGTAGAGTGTAATTATTTTTAAATAAGGTACATATGCTTCATTTAAAATTATTTTATTAAAACAGTCTTTCCTAGAGCTGCTGTCTAATTTTACAATTAGAGGTCATTTGAAAATTCTGTGATATAAAATAGGGAAAAAGATGTAAAAAAGATGTAAAGTCATGCACTCTCTCTCTGTCTCTGTCTCTCTCTCTCTCTCTCTCTCTCTCTCTCTCTCTCTCTCTCTCTATATATATATATATATATATATATATATATATATATATATATATATATATATATGTTTAGACTGAGTCTCACTCTGTCACCAGGCTGGAGTGCAGTGGTGCCATCTTGGCTCACTGCAACCTCCACCTCCCGAGTTCAAGCGATTCTCCTGCCACAGCCTCCCGAGTAGCTGGGACTACAGGCACCTGCCACCACACCCAGGTAATTTCTGTACTTTTAGTAGCATGTTGGCCAGGATGGTCTCAATCTCTTGACCTCATGATCTGCCTGCCTCAGCCTCCCACGTGCTGGGATTACAGGTATGAGCCACCGTGCCTGGCCATCATGCACAATATTATATCAACCTTTTCTTTTGATAGCAAAGATCAGAGCTTAACTATCACCTGCTTCTCTTTAATTCACCAAGTTATTACGATACTCAGTTATTCAATTAACCTGTACCAAGAAATATATATTATAATTATTTTATGACATTTGTTCTAACTTATTTTAGAAAAGCCATGTAAATACTAGATAGGCTTAATAAGTAAGACAGCAGCATATTTTGCTAAAGATTTTCATAAAGGGGTTGTTAAAGAAATCAATACTCCTTCATTTGTCTATTTGTTTATATAAAATTCCTATAAGTCAAATATAAACTTTTTTCTAGAATAAGATTGTACATTGTTCACTCTTTCTCTGTTAGTTATTATAGTTGGAAAATACTGCTTGTCTATAAGAGAAAGAGCACTTTTTGAAATGTCGTACCTTTGAGGTGACAAGTACTTCAGAGTACTGAGAACATAGTATATCCTCAATTGATATAGATTGAAGTCCTTTCAAAGCAGACAATTCCTAAGGCTATTATAAATAGCTCACATCTGAAATGATATAAATCTTAATGTAATTTTTAAAGTACTGCCTTTGCTGGTCATTATTTTTATTGTTAATAATAGTAACTTATAGTTGCATAGAATATTATAAAATGTTCACAAAGAACTTTCAAATATATTATCTTAGGTACTCTCACAAATAACTTACAAAACTTATATTATATTTTCATTATAGAAATAAAACTGAGATTTTGCACAATTTTCTAGAATCTATAGGTTTTAATGAGAATTAAACAGAATTAACAGAAATCTAAGCCAGTTTTTCTGCCTCCCATGCCATCACCTATTCCAGCCCACACTTCTCTTCCTACCTTGTTAGCTTGAAAGAAATAATTTATTTTGCAACTCATTGCAACAATGGTGTACAGACCATTGAGTTGTTTAACCAAAGGAAGATAATACCATGTTATCTATTCTCATTAAGCATGTAAAATGTAGCAGTTGTATCCATCTCAGAATGATATGAAAAGGCAAAATGACAACCTAATCTTCTATTTGTATAGGAATATTCAACTTTCTTAGATTGAGTGTAAGGTAATTTGCCTTACATCAATTAGAAATACATTTCAGTACAACAAATATTAATTTGTAATTGCTGAGAATAAACAAAGCAATCAGCTAAGTGTGTTTTGTGGAGGACTGTCCTGTGCTTCTTAGTTCCTCACCCATTAAAGTTGAAGCATCCAGTGGTTGGGTGATCACAATTTCAAGGTTGAATTGCAAAATGAGCATTAAAAATAATTTCAGCTGCATTGGTTGTGACAGCCAAAGCTTTTATTTTCAGGAGCTAAAATTTAAGTAAGTTAAATTCTAGAATCTTCCCTTTAAATATTGAGAATCAGAGGCTGGCAACCCAAGAGAAGAGCATTTTTTAAATAATATAGATTGAGAAAGATACCAGATACAAATATTTGCTGCTTCATCTATCCTGTGAGGAGGTTAAAAAACTCTTTTTGGGATGAGTGGGGAGCAAAATTTGTGGGAAGAAGGTGGTCAGGAGAGAGAGGGAAGCAAGAAGTTTGTGATTTGTGATGTGAGTGTGAGGCCTTTCTCTCTTCCTTCTTCTTGGACTCAAAACCTCAAGATGGTGGAAAGACAGAAAATAAAACCCAAATCTCAGAGGCAGAGGTGGCTTCCTCTCAACTGTTCCTTTATGGGAATCACCTTCAATAAGAGCCAAAATGGAAGTCTGGTCAACACAGGTTGATGAATGGGCTCCTAAGAGAAGATAACTAGCCACAAGTTAAACCAGCAGCTGAGACAACAGCACAGGCTATCTGGAAGAAGAGAGACAATATATAAGCCTCACCTGCCCCTTGGGAGAAACAGGAGAGGAAAAAATCCTGAATTCAAATACTTACATAACATATTCAGTATTATGGTGTTTTTAAAAATATGTATTTTTCTCAGCCATCAGGAATAATAATACTAAGTGATTCAACAGCAAAATGAATTGAGTTATAGAAAATAAAGAAGATTGCATTTCTATACACTGAGAGTGGAAATAAACCATGTGACTTTATAAATGGAAGATACAGTAAAATGAGTTGAGGTAGATAGCTAAGGAAAAGGCTGAGGAGAAAAGTTAATATTAAAAAATGTTTTCTACAGAGTATGGAACATCAAATCCAGAATTTAAATATGAAGGAGTTGAAAGTCTCTATGTGGGTCAGGTGCGGGTAGTTCAGGCTTATAATCCCAACACTTTGGGAGCCAAAGGCAGTCAGATTACTTGAGCCCACGAGTTCGAGACAAGCCTGGGCAACATGGTGAAACCCTGTCACTACAGAAAATAAAAAAATTAGTGGGGTGTGGTGGCTGGTGCCTGTGGTCCCTTTCACTCCAGAGGCTGAGGTGGGAGGGTAGCTTGAGCCAGGGAGGCAGAGGTTGCAGTGAGCCGAGATTGTACCACTGTACTTCAGCCTGGGGAATAGAGTGAGACCCTGTCTCAAACAAAATGAAACAAAACAAAACAAACTAACAAAAAAACCCACAGAAGTCTCTATGTGTATAAACCAGTGAATAGCAATGTAAGTTTCTAGTTGAATTTCTTGTTAGAATTCAAAAATTGTTACACTCTCATATCTTTGTGAAATAAGCTGTATTATAACATTAGCTTGGTAATTCCTTTTTTTAAAAATTATACTTTAAGTTCTGGGATACATGTGCAGAACATGCAGGTTTGTCACATAGATATACACGTGCCATGGTGGTTTGCTGTACCCATCAACCTGTCATCTACATTAGGTATTTCTCCTAATGCTATCCCTCCCCTATCCCCCCACCCTCTGACCGGCCACAATGTGTGATGTTCCCCTTCCTGTGTCCATGCGTTCTCATTGTTCAACTCCCACTTATGAGTGAGAACATGCAGTGTTTGGTTTTCTGGTAATTCCTATTTTTTAAAAAAATGGTTTTCAAGTTTAATAGTAATGTTTTTCATTTTAAAACTTTTCATTCTCAGAATGTTTCTCTCTCTGTGAGTTTAACAGCACAGAGATCAACTTGGGTTAAAACTTTTGAGAAAGTACCTACATCTCTAGTGTTGTCTCCTACTTTTCTTCCTTTAGCTTATTTGAGAACAGCCACACTTAAAGCTGCAGTTCTGTGAAGAGACTCTTGCCTTTAAAGCCTTAGCATGGCTGTTCCTTCAGCCTGGAATGGATCCTAACCTCCCTCACCTCTTGCAAGTCCTTGCTCAGACCATGCTTTGTCCATGAAGCCTACTCACCACTCCATTTAATACAGTGACCCAACCACCCACCTGGCACTGCCATTCCCTCACCCTGCCCCACTTGCCTGCTTTCAACACTGTTCATCACCTTCTACATACTAAGTAATTTAACTATTCTTTAGGCTACCCATGCTGAATACAAGTTGAGATGGGCAGGATTCTTTGTCTTTTTATTCACTGATATATCTCAAGCACTGGAACAGCAATTTGCACTTAAAGTAGGAGCTCAATAAATATGTATTGGATGAAAGAATGTCAACGCTTCACATCCAGCCTCAAATACTTCTTACATATCATTTCATCTTCTGTTTCTCTCCTTTCATATAAGAAGAGAGAGCTGTTCTCTCAAGTTCTGAAGATCCAAGGGTCCATCTTGCAGTAACTGTCCTAATTTCTAGACATATTATTTCACACCCCTGAGCCCCCAATTCAGAGCATAGGTTCTAAGAGTCTGTGCTTTCCGTCTCAATCCACCTTATGTTTTTCCTTAAGAAAGTGCATTTATGTATTAGTCTCCATTATCCCGTTGCATCACTTGCACAAACACTGAGCACTGATCACAAATTAATGAAATTCCCCAAGATCCCCAGACTGTCTTGCCCATTTTCATTTCACACCTTTTAAAACTCTCATGTCCCCTACTCCCACCTTGGTCTCTTGGTGGTCCATCCCCAGTAATCAGTTCTCTTTGATCTGCACCTTCTGGTTGACAGGTTTGTCCCCTCCACCCAACTATTTGCACAGCTCAGAGAGGCCCCTTCATCCTTTATTTTATAGGGAGCAGCCTGCAAGATGTACGTTCATAATCCAGTGTCAACAGCGGTCATCCATAACCCCATCTCTTTGTTCCTAGAAACTCTAAAATCAATTTCTTTCATGGTCTCTAACACTGCCAACTAATAAACGATACATTCATGACTAAAGGAATTTTGCTTAGTTTGCAGCCATGAGGCAAGTTAAAAAATAATTTTGAGAAAGCAATTGTCTTTAAAATGTTATTAATTAATCTTAAAATTTTAATGCTTTAAATCTTGACTTGTAGAAGAAATTTTTACTTCAGCCTGAGAACTCCATGCTCATTTTCTCTTGTCCTATAACCACTGACGACTATGAGTTATTTTAAAAAATCTAAATTCCAACTTTTCACGTACTTAAATGTAGTCTCCATTCCCACTTCTTTTCTATACCCTCAATAATTTCACTTCTGGGGACCTTTCCTCTCTGGTCCCATCTTTCAGCTGCTTAATAATCCTTCTAACTTTTCTTGACCCCATGCTGCAGAGTTTCATCATGATCATTTCAACTTTGCAACTACTCTTCAGCCACTTCTGATGGCAGAAAAGTAATTTTTTTTTTCACAAGAAGGCAATATATCAGATACCTACATTAAGGTGAGGTGCATATAAAAAGTGTTTTTTCTTTAAGAAAATGTCTGAAATGGCCTTGAAAATAAGAACAGAAATTATATCAGGGCACCACACTTTATAGAATCTGTAATATGAATCTGTTAAATGAAATGAATCAAATCATACATATATATAGTATAGTATATTATATATTTGCCCTCACACCACACAGATATTTATACACATACATTAAGAGGAAATAAGGAGAGAAAAGAGGGGCGGGGGGACCTAGGTTACATTCTTCATTAAAACATGATATCCTCATGCTATACATGGCGAAGAATTTTTAAAAAATGAATGAGTAGGATGAGGGAAGAGCAGGGCTTTGGAGTTGTAATTTATTTTTGAGACAGAAGGATAATTGTGCTCTCTAGCCCTGTAAATCTCAGTCTTAGTTGAGTTACAGGCAAGTACTGACAGGACAAACTGAATAGTTGAATTCACGCAGTAGAAATGATAAGAAAGACATTTGAATAAGGAACTATTAAGTTCAAAGATTTGAGAAAACTAACATGGCAGTGTGCTGGCTCAAACATACAATCAAACCCATGAGCTTCTACAAAACACAATTTCTTGGTTGTTACTTGACTATTTTTCATACTGATAGATGTTTTGCCCTTGGGGTGCACTACTTTGCACATAAAGAATGATTCTGCTTTGTTCCCATTAGTTTGAAAGACAAGACAGTGACACTGTGCTGAACAGAGTCCAGCGTGCACACTGTTTTCAGAACAAACCCACTTTCAAAAGGCCTATTCCGACGATAAAGAAACAGATGATTTTTTGTGTGTCTGAATTTGTGATCCCTGCAGTATGAGGGGAAAGACATCGAATGTGTCCCCTGAATAACAATGAAGTATTGGAAAGCAATGACATTCTAATCGCTGCTTCAAATGTCAGTGCAAGGATGCTATGGGTAGCAGCCCCAGTACATAAGTTAACGGCTTTACTGTAAAACCACAAGGGAGCAATTAATGGGAAGCTGTTACTAACCTTCATGCATTCCATTGCTCAAGTGTCTAGAGAAAAGGTCTAATTATAGTTATAACCTTTCCCAATGGGCCATGAATGACTCTCCAAATATAGGATGTTGTGTAAGAAAAACTATGAAGACACAGAACTGACATATAATTGAATTTCCTAATACGATGCACCCATAGTAGAACAACAGACAACAAATCATGTTGGTAACTTGATTTTCATCAATTTCTCATTAAAATGAAAGTATTAAACTCTGTGAAAATGTATGTGATTAGGGAAAATGGATTTGTCAAATATGTAAAACTTCATGTGTATGACATAGTAGACACAGTATCAGAATATATTATATTTTAACAAAAAGCATAACTATTTAGAAACCAAGTACTGTATTTGAAGGAAGAACTAGGATCAGTATGTAAGACTTACTGTTCCATTAAGCAATATGATTAAAGGGAACCTGGTTTACGAAGTAGTTTTGTTTCACAAAAAGTTCAATAATCAGAAAAAACAAGAAAACATTTGCTTATAACAGAGAAAAAGTAAAAAGTGCACTATCAGCCAGGCTTGGTGGCTTATACCCATAAGACTAGCACTTTGGGAGGCCAAAGTGGGAGAATTGCTTGAGTCCAGGAGTTCAAGATCAGCCTGCACAAAAGAGCAAGACCCTATCTCTATAGAAAATTTAAAAATTAGCCAGCTCTGGTGGTGCTTGCCTGTAATCCCAGCTACTCGGGAGACAGAGAGGAGGATCACTTGAGCCTGGGAGGTTGAGGCTGCAGTGAGCTGTGATCATGCAACTGCACTCCAGCCTGGGCAACAGAGTGAGACCCTGTCTCAAAAAAATAAAATGCAATATCACTTTTTGTTAGCCACACATATCAAAAAGATGACATAGGGAAGATTTTTTTTTTTTTGACAGGGTTTTGCTTTGTCACCCAGGCTGGAGTGCTGGAGCAAGATTATAGCACTCTCCTGCCTTGAATTCCAGAGCTCAAGCCATCATCCTGCCTCAGCCTCTCAAGTAGCTGGGACTACAGGCACACCACCACACCTGACTAATTTTTAAATTTTTTGTAGAGATGGATCTTGCCATCTTCCCCAGGCTGGTGGTCTTGAACTCTTGGGCTCAAGCAATCCTCCTGCCTAGGCCCCCAAAGTGCTGGGATTACAGGCATGAGTCACTATGCCAAGCCAAGATAGCTCTTGCAGTGTGGAAACAGATACTAATATAAAGTCAAGAAGCCCTGTTCATTTAAAAATATTCATTGAGTTCTTTGTGCAAGGCAACTATATTGAGAAAGATAACAAACTCACTACCTTCAAGAGACATACAATGTATGTAGAGATTTAAGACAATGCTAAGTAAACGTATAAAGCAAAGATGTAGTGGGAACTGTATGAGTCGCTGGTAAATCAAATGACACCAAGAGGAAGTTCTGTGAGTTCAGAAGAGACTGTAGCTCCACAAGAGTTACAGTCAGGTGATCAAAGAGGCTTTCTGGAAAAACTGAGGACAGGTGGCTTTGCTGAGCATTCAGTGAGGGACAAGCTATTACCTGGGCATTCCTTACTTGTTATTTTCCTTGAATATTAGAAGGAATAATTATAAACTCCTCATTTCACTCAAAGAAAAATCTATAGACCTTACAGCGGCCAAAAATGCCTGAATAATCGATGCCTTTCTTCCTTTCTCCCTCCTCTCCTTTTTCCCTCTCCTCTTCTCCCCTTTTACTACTTTCATCTTTGCTCACTCTCCTTCAGCCACATTGGCCTCACCTGCAAACACTCCAGACACTCCCACCACACTGTCTTAGGACATTTGCACAGGCACTTCACTATGCCTGACCTGCTCTTCAATCAGACATATGCATGGCCACTCCCTGTGCTTTCCCAATATAACATTCCATAACCATTCTCTTTAAAGTTGCAACCAGTATGCTCAAAACTCCCCTGTTCTAATGTTTTTTTCCATAGCACATATTGCCTTCTAGTGTGTGTGTGTGTGTGTGTGTGTGTGTGTGTGTGTGTGTAGACTTTATTTTAATTATTGTTAATTTTTTTTCTCTTTCTTACAATGATATAAGCTTCATGTGGACTAAAATCTTTGTTTTGCTCATTGATGTATCTCAAATCCCTGGAACAATTCCTGGCACAGGATAAGTACTTAGTAAACATTTATTGAATTGAAAATTTGAAAGAAGAGTTTTTAATAAATACATTTTAAATTGTAGGTCCAAGCTTACAAAAATTAATAATATATTTTCCCAACTTATGAAACAATCTATTTTCTCTTTTTCATATGGATAATATGGAGCCATCATTACCTATTTTTAAATTTGCTTTCAAACACATTTAATTTCAATCTCTTTCTTTTTTTACTTCTGAAAAGTGTTAGCATAATTGTGGTTATTTTAAAACGTATTTTGGCATTAAGACTGACAGGAAATGGCACATGGGTAAATATTTGTAAATGCTTTCTCTGTTTTACTTTAAATTCTTCAAGTCACTTTCGCAAATATAAACCATGTCAAAAATTTGGGAATAAGAGTGCTTTGAGAACAATTTGAAAAATATATGACAACATAAATCTTTTCTGAATTCTTCATTAAGTTTTAAAAATGCAATTACATTAGAAGAGTAGTATTACATTGGTATCATCAATGTAGTTTTAGTAAATTTTATTTACATTTTAATAATAAATTTATAGTAACTTTAGTTTGTAAACAGTTTAGGCAGAAATAAGCTTTTCGACTTTTTCTTCTTTTAGATTATATATACACATATTAAATATTATATAATATATATATATACATGCATACACATACATGTTTTTTGTTTCTTTGTCTGTTTCATGAATGTCTGCTGTACTTTACCCAAAAGGAACCTACCTGATAAGTAATATAATAATTATGGGGATATATCCATTAAACTAAGTGGAATTATGGTTAAATACTAAGGAAACAAAATTTCAAATGTGAAATGTAGGGATTGGACTGTTTCACCAATATAAGACAACAATGAACAGTGTTATAATGCTTTGTGTTTCAACTATTTAAAACATTGTCTGGATGGCTGTAGTTAATCAATAAACTCTTGTTAAGTAAGTTAATGAAAGCTGTTTCATTTATATAAAGTGCTTTTATTAAGATGGTTAGTTCACTTGCCTTTTATATCAGAAAATGGAAATAAATTGTATCAAGAAGTTAGACTCACTTCATATTCATTTATTAATTTTTAAAAATATTTACTGATCACCTATTATGTTTCAGATGATTTGCTGTAGATAAGATAAAGTAGGCTGAGCAAGTAGTAAGAATACTGGAAAAGAGGTTGAGTTTTATGGGACCATATTTTTAATGGTAAAACAAGACACTTTGTGTAAACAGAAATATCAAACAGTATTATATCCTTCAGAATCTCAAAATCCATTTAAAGGTATAAATTTAAAAACAAATGATTATAATGCAAGGCAATAACAATAATGTAGAAAGAAGAAATGAAGACTTTCGCTCAGTAAAACACAAGCTTATCTGTGCCATTCTGTCTGTGGTTCTGTCCTGTTCCATTGTTCTGTTTAATGTTTATCCTTACACCAATAACACACTGTTTTGATGACTTCTACAACTTTGTTTTCCTTTTTCAAAATTATTTTGACCATTCTAAGTCTTCTCAGTTTCCACATATATTTTAAAATCATTGCCAATTTCTACAAGAAAAAAACTTACTGGAATTCTGATTGTGATTTTTGATAGATACTTAGAACAATTTGAAGGAAATTGACAAAAAATAATATTGGGTACCAACCTATGAATTCTCCATTTATTTAGATTTTATTTCTTTCAGCAATGTTTTGTAACTTGCAGTGTACAGGCTTTGCACAAATTATGTCCTAAATATATTCCCAAGTACTTCATATTTTCAATGCTATTGCAAATGGTACTTTAAAAATTTCAATGCTTTATTGTTAGTTGGCAGTATTAATATATAGAGATACAATTGATTTTCTAAATATATATTACTACTGTATCCTTGCAATTTTGTAAATTCCATTCTTAGTTCTGACAGAATTTTTGTAGATTCTTCGAAATTTTTCATATTTTGTGTAGAATTAGTATTATTTTTTCCTTAAATGCTTGGTAGAATTCACCAATGAAGTTATTTGGGCCTGAAGTTAGAGAAACGCTTTTGACTACAAATTTAGTTTTCTTTATAGATAGAGAGCTATTTGGTTTTTCTATTTCTTACTGAGTGGCATTAATAGTTTTCACCTTTCAACAAGTTTTCCTTTACATACATGTTCTCAAATGTATAGGTATACATTTTATAATAATATTTATTATCATTTTAATATCTGTAGGGTCTATAGTGATGCCCTCTCATTTATTCCTGATATTGATAATTTGGGTCTTCCCTAAATTACCTTAGTTGATCTTCAAATAATATTACATTACTTTAAACAAGAACTCAATGGTGTCTTTTCACCTTGATTCTTTCGTCTTCTGTGTTTACATATTTTAATTCTATATGTGTTTAAATCCTGCTATTTTTAGTTTAGCCAGCCAATTATCTTTTAAAGCAATTTTAAAACTTAAAAAATCTTTTATATTTAGATGTACTTTTATCATTCTAGGTGCTCTTTATTTGTATGGATCTAAAATTTGTCTGTACATTTCCTCTACCTGAATAATTTCTTTTAAAATACCTTGTAGTACATGTGTGCTAATGATGAATTCTCTCAGTTTTTGTTTGTCTTAAAATGTTTTTTATTTTGCCTTCACTTTTGAAATATCTTTTTGCTGAACATAGAATTCTGAGAAAACAGTTTTTTTGTTTGTTTGTTATATTATCTTAAAGATATTGCACCACTGTTTTCTGCCACGTAAAGACTGTGATGAGAAATCTGCTCTTAGTTTTTGGGTTTCTTTTATTTGACACATCTTTTTCAGCTGGCTACCTTCAGAATTATCTCTTTATCTTTAGTTTTCAGCACTGTATTAGTTTTCTAGGGTTGTATTAGTTTTCTAGGGTATACCACAAAGTATACCACAGACTAGGAGGCTTAAACTACAGAAATTTGTTAGCTTACAGTTCTGGAAGCTAGAAGTATGAGATCAAGGTGTCAGTAGAGTTGGTTCCTCTGAAGGCCTGAATGGAAAGATCTGTTCTAGGCCTTACTGCTTCCTTGCAAATGGCCATCTTCCTCTGTGTCTTCACATCATCTTCCTTCTGTACCTCTGTATCAATTTCTTTTCCTTATAAGGAGACCAATCATATTGAATTAGTGCACACCCTAATGACCACACCTTAATTTAACTATGTCTAAACACCCTACTTCCAAGGATACAGTTGCATTCTGAGGTACTAGAGTTAAGACTTCAACATATACATTTTGTGGAGGATATAATTCAGCCCATAATAAGAATTCTGATGACGATATGCCAAGGTACATTCTTTTCTAAGCTTCTTGATTCTGTGATTAATTATCTTGCATTAATTTTAGTGAATTGTTGGCTATATCCTAATATTTCTAGTGCCTTAATTTCTCTCTTTTCTCCTTCAGTGATTCCACTTTCTTTTATGTGAGATCACTGTGTATTTTCCAACACCTTTTGGATGCTTTCTCTTATGCTTTTTTCCCCCTCTTTTTTTTCACTTTGGATACTTTCTATCAATGTATTTAAGGTTACTGATGTTTCCCCTCTTCTGTGTTCAGTCTGCTGATAAGTCCATTGAAGGACTTCTTCATCTCTGACAGCACAGTTTTTATTTCTAACATTTCTACTTGACAAATACAGTTTGTCTCTGGCTGCTGAAATTTCCCAGACTCAGCCTTTAACTATTCATCAGAATTTTAATTGTTTGCTCTGATTTTCACATGTATATAACTGTCACCTCTTCCTCCTTGGTCTGCCAAAGGCTGAAGAGTCTATGCGTGCTACTCTTCTCCAGGGAACTTACAGAATTTGGTTCATCTACTATTCTTTCAGCTTCAACTCTATAGTTACTCAAAGAAGTGATGATTTTAAACATTACGTAGCTTTTTACTCAGTGTTAGGAAGGAAATGGCATTCTCTGTGGCTTCTACCTCTACCCTAAATAAAAGTGAATTCATTGTACCCAGGTTTGAAAGGAACACTGGAAAACTGTAATTCACCCAGAAAAGAAGAAGACGGAACAATAGGGATTCTTGTAGTTCCCTCTAGTTCCACTTCAACCCCTAGGCTGTGCCACAAAACTAGCCTCCATATTGGTTTCTAATTTCTACTTCTACCCCAATCTACTTGGCAAATACAAGTTGAAATAATTTCCTTTTAAAAATTACATCATATTTTTTTCTTGCATTGCTTAAAATTCCTCAGTGGTCTCTTATTGAACATCAGATAAAATGTGAAATTATAACTATGGTCTACATAGCCTTGCCTCAACTTTTCATGCGCATGTTTCAATCTCCTCTTTTGTAATTTTCCTTCCACAGTTTCCTTCTGTGTTTGGCTTATCTTGGGCCATTTCCTACCTTAGACTCTCTCTTGATGCTTTGTCTTTTCTCTAATACAGTAAGCCCAACTACCTAATCATCTACTCCCACACACACACACACACACACACACATACCCCACAGAAATAGAGAGAGATTTCTTGTGACTTGTTCCTTCTCATTTCACCTCATCTCATTCTTCACATCTCAGTCAAAAGCCAGGGAAGCCCTTTTTGACCACCTTTTCTCTCTGGTAACATTATTCTCCATAAATGTATATTGTTTCTTCATGACATTTACCAAAATATACAGATGGTCTCTGACGTACAGTGGTTTGACTTACAATTTTTTGACTTATGGTGAGTTTATCAGGATGTAATATCATCAAAAGTCAAAAATCATCTGTATTTTTAAAATGGCGAATAGGGAGGCAGGACTATATTGCAGCTCCCATTCGGGTGGACAGAGCAGTGTGTGGAGACTCACGTCATAAACTTTTGCTCCAAGTACTACTGCAGGAGTATAACAGGAAAGCCGAGAGAATCCAAAGACCCTTTGAAGGAAGTGGATTGCTCCTGCAGGACCCAGGAGAGAGCCCAAATACTTGAGTGCCCAAACTGTGAAAGTGGGAAAGGGGGATTGTCCTCCCCTGAACACACACCCTTACTGGGGAATCTGAAGGACCAGATCACAGAAGAAGGATTTGACTTTACCTGGAACTGAGACAATTTAGAGTGCTGAGCAAAGTACAAGGGTAAAGGAAGCAGCAGAAAAAGCCCTGTGTGCCTTCTGGGTCCCCAGGGAAGCCATTTATGCCTTGTCTCACAGGGGTCCTTGGGGAGGGCTGCCAGAGGAATTGGGAAAAGATCACAGGGAAAAGGAAACCTCCAGCTGAGCTTTGTAACAATTCCAACCAAACATGAAGTTTCCTGGCCAGAACTTGGGGGAGGGCATGAATCTTGGGGGAGACTTGACAAGTGAGAAGTGAGACTTGACAACTGAGAAGGTGCAGAAGCACTGTTTTCTTCCTCAGCTTGGAGGCTGGTAACCTGGGGCAAGTTCTCCACCCTGCTGGCCCACTGCCTGGACACAATCTTGGTGCGGTTGTGGTTGAGGGACAGGGTGGAAATGAGAGCAGCCTTTTGGGTTGCACAGGAGCTGGGTGAGGCCTGTAACTGCTGGCTTTCCCCCTCTTCCCTGACAACTTGCATGAAACAGCAGAGGCAGCCGTAGCCCTCCTGAAAACCTAACTTCATAGACCTAGGAACTATACTCGCATCTCCCACAGCAGCTGCAGCAAGCCCAACGAGAATCTGAGCTCAGACACACCAAACCCTGCCCCCACCTGATAGTCCTTCCCTACTCACCCTGGTAGCTGAAAACAAAGGTCATATTCTCTTGGCAGTTCTAGGGCCCCACCTACGACCTGAACTTCCCCTATAGTACCACAGTTGATGTTCTCTTGAAAGCACCACCTCCTGGCAGGAGGCCAATCAGCACAAAATTAGTGCATTAAACAACTACAACTAAGGACCCTTACAGAGTCCATTTCATCCCCTGCCACCTTCAGCAGAGCAGGTGCTGGTATCCACAGCTGAGAGACCTGAAGACAATTTACATCACAGGACTCTGTGTAGACACCCACCAGTACTAGCCTAGAGTCTGGTAGCCCTGTTGTGTGGCTAGATCCAGAAGAGAAATAACAATCAGTACAGTTCAGCTCTCAAGAAGCCATATCCCTAGGAAAAGGGAGAGAGTACTACATCAATGGAACACCCCATGGGACAAAAGAATCAACAGCAGACTTGAGCCCCAGATTCTTCCTCTAATAGAGTCTACCCAAATGAGAAGGAACCAGAAAAACAATTCTGGTAATATGACAAAACAAGTTTCTTTAACATCCCCCAAAATCACGCTAGCTCACCAGCAGTGGATCCAAACCAAGAAGAAATTCTTGAATTGCCAGAAAAAGAATGCAGAAAGTCAAGTATTAAGCTAATCAAGGAGGTACCAGAAAAAGGTGAAATCCAGCTTAATGAAATAAAAAAAATGATACAGGATGTCAATGGAAAAATTTTCAGTGAAATAGATAGCACAAATAAAAAACAATCACAACTTCAGGAAATAAAGGACACACTTAGAGAAATGCAAAATATAGTGGAAAGTCTCAGCAATAGAATCAAACAAGCAGAAGAAAGAATTTCAGAGCTCAAAGACAAGGTTTTTGAAATAACCCAATCCAACGAAGACAAAGACAAAAGAATTTTAAAAAATTAACGAAACTTCCAAGAAGTTTGGAATTATGTTAAACAACCAAACCTAAGAATAACTGCTATTCCCAAGGAAGAAGAGATATCTAAAAGTTTGGAAAACATATTTAGGGGAATAATTGAGGAAAACTTTCCTGGCCTTGCTAGAGATATAGACATCCAAATACAAGAAGCTCAAAAAACACCTGAGAAATTCACTGCAAAAAGTAATCACCTAGGTACATAGTCATCAGGTTATCTAAAGTCAAGATGAAGGAAAGAATCTTAAGAGCTGCAAGGCAAAAACACCAGGTAACCTGTAAAGGGAAACCTAGAAGGTACTGGGGCTCAATCTTCAGCCTCCTTAAACAAAACAATTATCAGCCAAGAATTTTGTATCCAGCAAAACTAAGCTTCATGAATGAAGGAAAACTACAGCCTTTTTCAGACAAATGCTGAGAGAATTTGCCACTACCAAGCCAGAACTACAAGAACTGCTAAAAGGAGCTCTAGATCTTGAAACAAATCCTGGAAACACATCAAAACAGAACCCCTTTAAAGCATGAATCTCACAGGACCTATAAAACAAGAATACAATAAATAAATAAAAACCAAGGTACTCAGGAAACAAATAGCATAATGAATGGAATAGTATATCACATCTCAATACTAATGTTGAATGTAAATAGCCTAAATGTTCCACTTCAAATATACAGAATTGCAGAATGGATAAGAATTCTCCAACCAAGTGTATGCTGCCTTTGAGAGACTCACCTAACACTTAAGGACTCACATAAACTTAAAGTAAAGAGGTGGAAAAGGACATTCCTTTCAAAAGGACAGCAAAAGTTAGCAGGAGTAGCTATTCTTATATTAAAAAAACAAACTTTAAAGCAACAGCATGAAGGGTTGTTGAATTTTGTCAAAGGCTTTTTCTGCATCTATTGAGAGAATCATGTGGTTTTTGTCTTTGGCTCTGTTTATATGCTGGATTACATTTATTGATTTGCGTATATTGAACCAGCCTTGCATCCCAGGGATGAAGCCCACTTGATCATGGTGGATAAGCTTTTTGATGTGCTGCTAGATTCATTTTGCCAGTATTTTATTGAGGATGTTTGCATCAATGTTCATCAAGGATATTGGTCTAAAATTCTCTTATTTGGTTGTGTCTCTGCCCGGCTTTGGTATCAGAATGATGCTGGCCTCATAAAATGAGTTAGGGAGGATTCCCTCTTTTTCTATTGATTGGAATAGTTTCAGAAGGAATGGTACCAGTTCCTCCTTGTACCTCTGGTAGAATTCAGCTGTGAATCTATCTGGTCCTGGACTCTTTTTGGTTGGTAAACTATTGATTATTGCCACAATTTCAGCTCCTGTTATTGGTCTATTCAGAGATTCAACTTCTTCCTGGTTTAGTCTTGGGAGAGTGTATGTGTCGAGGAATTTATCCATTTCTTCTAGTTTTTCTAGTTTATTTGCGTAGAGGTGTTTGTAGTATTCTCTGATGGTAGTTTGTATTTCTGTGGGATCGGTGGTGATATCCCGCTAAAAACTCTCAATAAATTAGGTATTGATGGGACGTATTTCAAAATAATAAGAGCTATCTATGACAAACCCACAGCCAATATCATACTGAATGGGCAAAAACTGGAAGCATTCCCTTTGAAAACTGACAGAAGACAGGGATGCCCTCTCTCACCACTCCTATTCAACATAGTGTTGGAAGTTCTGGCCAGGGCAATTAGGCAGAAGAAGGAAATAAAGGATATTCAATTAGGAAAAGAGGAAGTCAAATTGTCCCTGTTTGCAGACGACATGATTGTATATCTAGAAAACCCCATTGTCTCAGCCCAAAATCTCCTTAAGCTGATAAGCAACTTCAGCAAAGTCTCAGGATACAAAATCAATGTACAAAAATCACAAGCATTCTTATACACCAACAACAGACAAACAGATAACCAAATCATGAGTGAACTCCTATTCACAATTGCTTCAAAGAGAATAAAATACCTAGGAATCCAACTTACAAGGGATGTGAAGGAGCTCTTCAAGGAGAACTACAAACCACTGCTCAAGGAAATAAAAGAGGATACAAACAAATGGAAGAACATTCCATGCTCATGTGTAGGAAGAATCAATATCGTGAAAATGGCCATACTGCCCAAGGTAATTTACAGATTCAATGCCATCCCCATCAAGCTACCAATGACTTTCTTCACAGAATTGGAAAAACTACTTTGAAGTTCATATGGAACCAAAAAAGAGCCCGCATCACCAAGGCAATCCTAAGCCAAAAGAACAAAGCTGGAGGCATCACACTACCTGACTTCAAACTATACTACAAGGCTACAGTAACCAAAACAGCATGGTACTGGTACCAAAACAGAGATATAGATCAATGGAACAGAACAGAGCCCTCAGAAATAACGCTGCATATCTACAACTATCTGATCTTTGACAAACTTGAGAAAAACAAGCAATGGGGAAAGGATTCCCTATTTAATAAATGGTGCTGGGAAAACTGGCTAGCCATATGTAGAAAGCTGAAACTGGATCCCTTCCTTACACCTTATACAAAAATCAATTCAAGATGGATTAAAGACTTAAACGTTAGACCTAAAACCATCAAAACCCTAGAAGAAAACCTAGGCATTACCATTCAGGACATAGGCATGGGCAAGGACTTCATGTCCAAAACACCAAAAGCAATGGCAACAAAAGCCAAAATTGACAAATGGGATCTAATTGAACTAAAGAGCTTCTTCTTCACAGCAAAAGAAACTACCTTCAGAGTGAACAGGCAACCTACAAAATGGGAGAAAATTTTCGCAACCTACTCATCTGACAAAGGGCTAATATCCAGAATCTACAATGAACTCAAACAAATTTACAAGAAAAAAACAAACAACCCCATCAAAAAGTGGGCGAAGGACATGAACAGACACTTCTCAAAAGAAGACATTTATGCAGCCAAAAAACACATGAAAAAATGCTCATCATCACTGGCCATCAGAGAAATGCAAATCAAAACCACAATGAGATACCATCTCACACCAGTTAGAATGGCCATCATTAAAAAGTCAGGAAACAACAGGTGCTGGAGAGGATGTGGAGAAATAGGAACACTTTTACACTGTTGGTGGGACTGTAAACTACTTCAACCATTGTGGAAGTCAGTGTGGCGATTCCTCAGGGATCTAGAACTAGAAATACCATTTGACCCAGCCATCCCATTACTGGGTATATACCCAAAGGACTATAAATCATGCTGCTATAAAGACACATGCACATGTATGTTTATTGTGGCATTATTCACAATAGCAAAGACTTGGAACCAACCCAAATGTCCAACAATGATAGATTGGATTAAGAAAACGTGGCACATATACACCACGGAATACTATGCAGCCATAAAAAATGATGAGTTCACGTCCTTTGTAGGGACATGGATGAAACTGGAAATCATCATTCTCAGTAAACTATCGCAAGAACAAAAAACCAAACACCGCATATTCTCACTTATAGGTGGGAATTGAACAATGAGATCACATGGACACAGGAAGGGGAATATCACACTCTGGGGACTGTTGTGGGGTTGGGGGAGGGGGGAGGGATAGCATTGGGAGATATACCTAATGCTAGATGATGAGTTAGTGGGTGCAGCACACCAGCATGGCACATGTATACATATGTAACTAACCTGCACAATGTGCACATGTACCCTAAAACTTAAAGTATAATAAAAAAAAAAAGCAACAGCAGTTAAAAAAGACAAAGAGGGATATTATATAATGATAAAAGGCCTTGTCTAACAGGAAAATATCAGAATTCGAAATATATATGGACCTAACACTGGAGCTCCCAAATTTATAAAACAATTACTACTAGACCTAAGAAATGAGTTAGACAGCAATACAATAATAGTGAGGGACTTCAATACTCCACTGACAGCACTAGACAGGTCATCAAGACAGAAAGTCAACAAAGAAACAATGGATTTAAACTACACCCTAGAACAAATTGACTTAACAGATGTTGTCGGAACACTCTACCCAGCAACTGCAGAATACACATTCTATTCATCAGTGCATTGAACTCTCTAAAAGATAGAACATATGATAGGCCACAAAACAAGTCTCAATACATTTAAGAAAATGGAAATTATATCAAGTACTCTCTCAGACCACAGTGAAGCGAAATTGGAAATCAACTCCAAAAAGAACCTTCAAAACCATGCAAATACATGGAAATTATATAACCTGCTCCTGAATGATCATTGGGTCAACAATGAAATCAAGATGGAAATTTAAAAAAATTCTTTGAACTGAATGATAATAGTGACCCAACTTATCAAAACCTCTGTAATACAGCAAGGGCAGTGCTAAGAGGAAAGTTCATAGCTTTAAATGCCTACATCAGAAAGTCTGAAAAAGCACAAAAAGACAATTTAAGGTCATACCTCAAGGAACTAGAGAAACAAGAACAAACCAAACCCAAACCCAAACCCAGCAGAAGAAAAGAAATAACCAAGATCAGAGCAGAACTAAATGGAATTGAAACAAAAAATTACAAAAGATAAATGAAAAAAAAGCTATTTTTTAAAAAAGATAAAAAAAAATTGATAGACCATTAGCAAGATTAACCAAGAAAAGAAGACAGAAGAGCCAAATAATCTCAACTAGAAATGAAATGGGAGATATTACAACTGATACCACAGAAATACAAAACATAATTCAAGGCTACTGTGGCTACTATGAACACCTTTACACTCATAAACTAGAAAACCTAGAAGAGATAGATTAATTCCTGGAAATATACAACCCCCCTAGCTTAAATCAAGAAGAATTAGAAATCCTGAATAGACCAATAACAAGAAGTGAGATTGAAATAGTAATTAAAAACTTACAAAAAAAAAAGTCCAGAACTAGTTAGATACACAGCTGACTTCTATCAGACATTCAAAGAAAAATTGGTACCAATCCTTTTGACACAATTCCACGGATAGAGAAACAGGGAGTCCTCCCTAAATCATTCTATGAAGCCAGTATCACCCTAATATCAAAACCAGGAAAGGACATAACAAAAAAGAAAACTACACACAAATATCCTTGATGAACATAGATGCAAAAATCCTTAACAAAATACTAGCTAACTGAATCCAACAACATATCAAAAAGATAATCCACCATGATCAAGTGTGTTTCATACCAGGGATGCAGGGATGATTTAACATATGCAAGTCAATAAATGTGATATACATATAAAGAGAATTAAAAACAAAAATCACATTATCATCTCAATAGATGCAGAAAATGCATTTGACAATATCCAGCATTGCTTTGTGATTAAAACCCACAGTAAAACCAGCACACAAGGAACATACCTCAATGTAATAGAAGTCATCTATGACAAACCCACAGCCAACATAATACTGAATGGGGAAAAGTTGAAAGCATTCCCTCTGAGAACTGGAACAAGACAAGGACGCCCACTCTTACCACTTCTGTTCAGCATAGTACTGGAAGTCCTAGCCAGAGCAATCAGACAAGAGAAAGAAATAAGGGTACCCAAATTGGTAAAGAAGATGTCAAACTCACTGTTTTCTGATATGATCATATACCTAGAAAATCCTGAAGACTCCTCCAAAAAGCTCTTAGAACTGATAAATGAATTCAGTAAAGTTTCAGGATACAAAATTAATGTACACGTATCAGTAGCTCTGCTATGAGAAGCTGTGTGTAGGAGAATGAAACTGGATCCTCATCTCTCACCTGATATAAAAATAAACTCAAGATGGATCAAGGACTTACATCTAGGACCTGAAAACATAAAAATTCTACAAGATAACATCAGAAAAACCCTTCTGGATATTGGCTTAGGCAAAGACTTCATGACCAAGTACCCAAAAGCAAATGCAACAAAAACAAAGATAAATAGATAGGATTTAATTAAACAAAAGAGCTTCTGCACAGCAAAAGAAACAGACGACAGAGTAAACAGACAACCCACAGAGTGGGAGAAAATCTTCACAATCTATACATCCGATAAAGGACTAACATATCTAGAATCTACAAGGAACACATAAAACTTAGCAAGAAAAATACAAATAATCCCATCAAAAACTAGGCTAAGGACATGAATAGATAATTCTCAAAAGAAGATATACAAATGGCCAACAAACTAATTATCAGGGAAATACGAATCAAAACCACAATGGATACCACCTCACTCCTGCAAGAATGGCCATAATCAAAAAATTTTAAAAAGTAGATGTTGGTGTGGATACGGTGAAAAGCAAACACTTCTACACGGCTGGTGGAAATGTAAACTAGTACAACCACTATGGAAAACAGTGTGGAGATTCCTTAAAGAACTAAAAGTAGAACTAACATTTGATTCAGCAGTCCCACTAATGGGTATCTACCCAGAGGATAACAAGCCATTATACAAAGAAGATTTTTGCACATGCATGTTTATAAAAGCAGAATTTGCAATTGCAAAAATATGGAACCAGCCCAAATGCCCATCAATCAATGAGTGGATAAAGAAACTTATATATATATCCATACAGATATATGATGGAATAAATGAGATATATGAATATATATGATATACATTTCATACATATATATGATAGAATACTACTCAGCCATGAAAAGGAACAAATTAATGCCATTTGCAGCAACCTGGATGGGACTGGAGACTATTATTCTTAGTAAAGTAACTCAGGAATGGAAAACCAAATATTCTATGTTCTCACTCATAAGTGGGAGCTAAGTTATGAGGATGCAAAGGCATAAGAATGATACAACGGACTTTGGGGACTCAGGAGAAAGGGTGGGAGGTGGGTGAGGGATAAAAGACTACAAATTGGGTTCAGTGTTTGCTGCTTGGGTGATGGGTGCACCAAAATCTCACAAGTCACCACTAAAGCACTTATTCATGTAACCAAATACCACCTGTTCCCCAAAAACCTACGGAATTTTTTTTTTTTTTTTGAGACAGAGTCTCACCTTGTTGCCCAGGCTGCAGTGCAGTGGTGCGATCTAGACTAACTGCAACCCCCACCTCCCAGGTTCAAACGATTCTCCTGCCTCAGCCTCCAAAGTAGCTGGGATTACAGATACCTGCCACCACTCCCAGCTAATTTTTGTTTTTTGTTTTTTTTAGCAGAGACAGGGTTTGACCATATTGGCCAGGCTGGTCTCAAACTCCTGACCTCGTGATCTGCCCGCCTTGGCCTCCCAAAGTGCTGGGATTATGGGCATGCGCCACCACACCCGGCCCAATTTTTTTTAAAGTATGTATATTTGTATGGGGCTTTGCTTGCTTACTTTTTCGTTCGTTTATGGCCTTTTTCCTCCATTACACTGCAATCTCCATACGGACAGGGACCACTTATGTCTTGTTGACCAGAGCCTATGCTGCACCTAACACAGTGCTCAGCATACCACACATCCAACAAATATTTTCAAATGTATATAAAACTTATGTTACCTGATCATTATATATAATTATAGCTGGTATCTTATTGTACATTAGTTATAATATAATGAATTACTATATTATATATTATGTGTATGCGTTCAATACTTAGTATAAAATATTTAGATTAACTATATATGTATGAGTATAGAGGAGAATTTTAGACAAAGCTTCAACCTTATGATGGAATAGAATCTACAAAGGTAAACCCTCAGAATCCAGGAAAGCTAGCACTTAAATTACCTAAAGAAGTTTCTAACCATTTCTTAAAAATAGAAAACAGAAAATATTTATGTAAAAAAACATGCAGGTGAATATAATTTTCTGGGAAAAAATATCCAGGGATAAAAATGAAAGTCAGTTTGCAACCTCCAATTTCATAAAAATCTGTTCTTTGGGGATTGTTCAAATTCTTTTTGCAGAATCAAGTAGCTCAGTTATTTTGAGTAAGCATATGTACCTCTAAGTGGTCATTCAAACTGAATTGCCTGAGTCTTTTAGAGTTTAGTGCTTACTAAATGTTATATATAACTAGAAAGAAATGGATAGTAAAATTGCAGAGACTCACCAAATTATTAACATTTTATCCTACTGTGAGCAAGAAAATAGTATCAAGTATATTTATATAAAGTAGAACTATGTCTCAAAATATATAAGTCATCTACATGCCTGAAGTATGCTCAGGGATATACTGAAAACTTGGTTTAGTTTCTGTTGACATATAAAATATAAGATTAAAATAATGGTGACTGATATCTAAACACAATTCATTAACAAGTGGCCCTATGCCCTAAAGGATCTTATGTCTGCAATTTATTCTTTGGCACCTCTTAAAATCTTCCAATAAATAGAAATTTAAAATAAAACCCACATTAAAAACACCTTAGAACTTTACTTTTCCAGTAATGAAATGAATAAGCATGTGAGAATCTACCTCCAAAGGACTTCTTTCTTCACAAAAAGCTGAGAGTGAAAAAATGTACTGGCTCAGAAGACCTTCTGGAAAAGCCTAGCCTCAGTGACCATATAACATAATATGAGGCACATCTTACCCATGACCTAATTTTGACTTAGCTATTGAAATTACATCATCAAAAATAATAACAATAAAATATTTAAGTGGTATCTGTAATACAATATTTTTTAAATTATTAGAACATTTGAACAGCAGATAAAAGTCACTTTTTATAATGAACTAATAATCATATGCTATTCTTTTAACTTTAAAAATATATCAACATCATAACTCAACAAAAACAAAAAACAAACAACACTATTTTAAAAATGAGCAAAGGACTTGAGAAGACATTCCTCCAAAGAAGATATAGAAATGGCCAATAAGCACATGGAAAACATGCTCAACATCACTAATCATTAGGAAAGTGCAAATCAAAATGAGATGTCACACTGAGATAATATTTCACACCCATTAGGATGGCAATTTAAAAAAATACAGAAAATAACAAATATTGGCGAGGATATGAAGAAATTGGAACACTTGTGCACTACAGGTAGAAATGTAAAATGGTGCAGCCACTATGGAAAAGAGTATGGCTGTTCCTCAAAAAATTAAAACTAGAATTATGATATGACCCAACAATTTCACTTTGGGGTATATATTCAAAATTTGAAAGCAGAATCTCAAACAGATGTTTGTATACCCATGTTCATACAGCATTATTCACAATAACTGAAAGTGGGAGTAACCCAATTTATCAACAGATGGACAGATAAACAAAATGGAGTATATGCATACAAGGGAATATTATTTAGCCTTAAAAAGGAAAGAAATTCCAAAATATGCTATGATATTAATGTATCTTGAGAATATTACGCTAAGTGAAGTAAGCCAGTAACAAAAGGACAAATGCTGTTTGATTTTACTTATATAATCTACCTAGAGTGGTCACATTCGTAGAAAGTATTATGGTGGCTACCATTTGTGAAGGGGGAGGAATAATGGAGAGTTATTGTTTAATGAATGCAGAGTTTCAGTTTTGCAAGATGAAAAAAGTTATGTGGTTGGATCATGGTGATGGTAGCACAATAATGGAATGCACTTAGTGGCAATTAATGTGCACTTTAAAATGGTTAAAGGATAAATGCATGTGTTTTTTATAATATAAAAAAATAAAAAGCACAAAACACACGTGTATATATATATATATATATATAAACATCTTTTATACAAACTCTTACAGCTTATCTAAATTTTAAGATGAAGAATGTGTCTCTTTTACTCACCATCCTATCGCCGATTTTCAGCACACGTTACACATGCGATAAATATTTGTCATTGAATTTGAAAACTGAGTGGGTCCTCATATGACACTTCTGAGAGTTAGAGCATTTGTCATCACTAGGACTTAAAACATGTTGGCACTACTACATGCCCAGTCATTCACTACCATCAAGAGCTGTCAGAGACATAGCAATAGAACTTTCTGGTTCTACATTGTTGCTTCTCTATTTCAGGCAATTGCACACAAATCAAGAGAGACAATCAAAGGCTGTGGTGATCTCTGTGGTAACCTACATTTAGAACTACGATGAAGCCTGTCATGTCAGTATTCACAAGTGAGCCATCCATAAATAGGACAGTTCTTTAGGGTGTCACACAGTAATCCTATCAGTTTAAGCTTGTCAGGACCTTCAGAAATCAAGTTACTAGTTACAAATGGGGAAGAAAGAAACTAAGAAGAAGTGACAAAGAAGGACAAGATAATTATAAAAGAGAAGGAAAGTGTCAGCAAGGCAGAAAGGTAAAAATCGAATGAAACTAATATTTAAAGAACATCTAAGTTTTGGGAGTATGCTAGGCATTTTTCTATATACCATCTCATTTAATCCTCATCAGGAACCCAGCCAATTATAACCAACATTTTTACTCATAAGAAAACCGATATTCAGAGAAGTAAAGAGGAAAGAACAGCTTTTAGAGGACAGGTCCAGGAAATGGACACAAGTAATAATGGTGTAAATTAGCATTCCTCCACAATCATGTAAACAGTTCCACTTCACAGGTCGTGGTCAGAGAAGTAAAAGGACTTTGCAGATTTAAAGAGGCTGTGGAAGAGGGATTTTTAATGATGCCCTCACTGTTTAAAAGCAGTAAATGCCTTTCACTTGTACCTGTATTCAGTGACCATAATGATAAAAATAACTGTACCCAGCATACATGTTTAGACCTGCAGAAAGAGCACCCTAAGCAGTCAGGATAATAATCTATAATCTCTGCCTATGTACAGTTGGAAAGTGTAGTGCAAGCCTTTTTGCAGAAACTTGGTTGTTATGGGGTAACTCAATCTTTAAACATTTTTAAACAAGTCCTTGAAATATGTTTGATTATTCAATAATTCTGTTCATGGTAAGATTTCAGTTATTTTTCCATCTTTCATTCATTCCAAGTTTAGTTTGTCTCTCCTCTTCCTACTTCTCTTCCCACTCAATTCTCTGTACTTTTCTTTTATGGAAGTAACAACTTCTTTAACTTTATAGAACTCTAGCCACTTTTCCCTTACAGAGGAAGCAGCAGGCAGCTTTACCACCAAGTGAGGTGGAAATTTTATATGTCAAACGGGCTGGTGGGAGAAGCCCCTGGAGCCAGAAGAAGATGAATGATGCCTCTCTGTGTGCATTGCTTTGCTTCACAGCAGCTCATGGAGTAAGAGTTCATTTTCTTCAGGGGCATTGCTACAAAGCAAACTTTTGGAACATTCTTAAGTGTTCAAGTCAAACCTCAGTCTTCCAGCAAGTCTCTCTCAGGAGCAGAGAGGTAAGTTTAGGCCATGTCAAGCAGAAAACTGACTTTGAAGTATTTCTCACTTACCTTCCCTCCATGTCCTTATTTGTCTTTTTTGAAGTGGAAAGTAAAAGGGAATGGTCAACAGTGTGACTATTACATGAGGGCTTGGAGAAAGAAGGCATTTCACAGAAGAGACACTGCTGTTATGCAAAGCAGAAAATCCGAGGCCTAGAGGTCACAGACACAGACCCACTCCCCATTCTACCCAGCCCTCTTCAATGATCTGGAATAATATACACGGTCTTGAACCTGCCTCAGTTTCCCTTTTGGATGGGGAGAAGGGATATGTTTAATTTTCTAAAATACTTGGCATGTACTTGGCGGAGATTACAGAATGATTAATTAGATGATATCACCAGAAAACACTATCTTCCTACCTCATATTGATACATATTTGAGTGAGCATATTTGAGACAGTATCTTGGGTTTTCATGAAATCTTAGAGTTTTAGAACTTTTAAATTTTAATAATCTAGACGGTAGGTGTGATAGAGGCAGTAAATGGCTTTTAAAGGTAAATTGATTTTTTTCCTCCCATCTGAAAAACACGAATTTCATTTGTCCTGGTCAAATGTGATTGTCATTTTTAATTTGTCACAGGGATCTGAAATAATGTTCTTTGCATACAATTGTGCAATGTCAATGCCCGATACTTTAATACATTTTATTCAAAATCTCCTTTAAAGTTTCTATCTTACCTCAACATATTATAAAAGGCTAGAGATATATATGATTTTATGAAAACCTTATCTATAAAGCATATAATCTTGGAAGAAATGTATTAATTAAAATAATAATGGAATAGTATTTAATGTGACACTAACAAAATATATTTTTAAAGTTACTATCATGTAATAATTTGATTAAGCTACTTAATCTATAAATTACCATAGTAATTAAGATATAAAATATGTGCATTAGTCTTTTAGAACTGCTATAACAAATGATCACAAATTTAGTGGCTTAAAACAACACAAATTTTACAGCTCTGTGCTTACAAGTCCAACAAAGATCTCACTGGACTAAGATCAAGGTGATGGCCAGGCTGTGTTCCTTTCTGGAGGTTCTTGGGGAGAATCTGTTTTCTTGACCTTCCCCAGTTTCTAGGGGCTACCTGCATTCCTGAGATCATATAATTTTTATTTTCAAAGTCAGCAACCGTGGGTCCAGTTCCTCTCACATTACCATCCCTTTGGTTCTCTTCTGTCTCTTACCACTTTTAAATAGCCATGTGATTAGATTGGACTCACCCAAGTAATACATGATAATTTCCCTATCTCAAGGTATCTCAAGGTCAGAAGATTAGCAACCTTAATTGTATCTGCAATTCTAATCCCCTTTTGCCATTTACAGGTTCCAAGTATTAGAATGTGGACATATGTCATTATGACATATGTCATACCAGTCATACCAGTCATAGTATGAAATTATTTATAGCAGAATATGATAGCTTATTATCATCTCAGGTCTAATGTACTGTTTATATATCTAAGATATTGGGTTAAATAACACATAACATATCAGATTATGCATTCCATGCATTATTATATATCTATCTTTATTTATTTGAATTATGCAGCATTATAAGTACATTTCTCCTACATAGCCCAACCAAGATAATAACTCCTCATGCTGTATTTAACAGTGGGGTTATAAAAAAGTATAAGGGAAAGAGAATTTAGAAGTAGTAAGTTATCAGTTTTGAAGGGCTGGCTGAAAATCAGTTTTGCTACCTGACTGAAATCACTGATGGGGAGTGAACCAGATGTCACACAATTTGGGACAAATTTCAACTTTGCCACACATGCCAAACCTGAGCTCCATGATAATCTCGTCAGGACCAACTGACACCAAAGGCTGGAAATGGTGCCAGGATTGAGTCTGAACCCAGACTCAAAATTTGTGTTTTGTGGTGTCTCGAGTCTCAGATTAGATTTGGTCTCTAGAATGCGGTGATGCTTAAGTGCCACTTTTTACACACTGAACATCAAAGGGAGCGACAACATTTACCAAACACCCACCATGTGTCTTACACTTCTCATAAGAGGTACATAGGCTATCACTATTAATACAAACTATGTGACATTTTATTTGTGTGCATAATTTCATCCTCTCCACATCCCTCAAGGTAGACATCTTTGTTTCCATTATAACAATTAGGAAGCGAAAGCTTAGTGAGTCGTGAAGTTGGAATGTGAATACTGGCCTTCTGGATCTTAAAGTCATATTCCTTTCCTTACATCCTACTGAGTCTCAACTCCAAAATCATGACACAGCAATATATAAACCAAAGGTGAAGTTACTTATACATTTAAATTGCACTTAATATAATTTTTGAAAAACAGTTAACTTCAAATAATATAGTTCTCAGGTTCATGTAACCGAAAATTTCCAGAATGACTCAAAAGTTGATCTCATTTCTATTTTAATTCTGGCCTCTATGAGGGGATGTGTAGTGGCCAAACAATGCCATGACATGTTTACATCCTAATCTCTGCAACCCATAACTATGTTATGTTACATGTCACAAGAGAATTAAGGTTACAGTTGGAATTAGGTTGCTAATCAGAGATTACATCAGATCATTTGGGAGTGCAAGATGTAGTCACAATCACTTTAAAAGGGAAAGAGGGAGGCAGCAGTGTCAGAAGCAGGACAAGGCTTGATTGGCCATTGCTGGCTTTGAAGATGAAAGGGATTCAGGAGCCACGGAATGTGGGAAGCTTCTAGAAGCTGGAAAGGGCAAGGAAACAGATTCTCCCCTAGAACTTCCAGGAAAGAATGTAGCCCTGATGACACTTGGATTCTAGCTCAGCGAGAGCCAAACTGGTCTGTTAATCTCCAGAACTGAAAAATAATAAAGTTGTGTTAAGTCAATAAGGGTTTGCAGCAATTTGTTACAGCAGCAATAGGAAGCTAACATAGTGGGTACTAATTTAGCCCATTCACTGACAAAAGAACCAGTCACCCTCCATAGAGGGGCTCTGGGGATTTGCTCACTATTCCCATGGCCTAAACTTCATCTTTGAGGAAAAGAAGTGGTTCCAGACCCAGTGGAGAGAAGAAAGCAGAAATGTAAGAACACCTGTTAGTCTCCTTGGGAGTTAAAAAGAAAAAAAAAAAGTCACTTTAATTTTTTGGCTATTATAATGTAGTAACTTGTCTAGCCTTTTTGATTTATATATTATTCTCAATATGGACAATATATTGTTTCCATTCTGCGTAATCCAAGAAGGATGAATATTAAAACATTACTAAAATATTATTTAAAGCTGATTGTTCCAGCTTCAGTGTTCCACCTAACTTTCAGACATTCAGAAATGCTAGACTTCCAGTTTTCATGCTTTAGTTTATCAGATGTAACTTGGGAAAGATGTTAACAGTAAAATGCTGGGCTCTATCGCCCAAGAAACTAAAAAGCAAAAATCCAACTCAGGGTCTTTCTCCCTCCACTTTTATATAAAGGGTACATCTTCTCTCCTTAGGGATATCTTGAATTATTTCTTTTTATATTATCTTAAAGAAATGCATTTTTTAGGAAAAATCATACTCTAAGTAGAAAAAGGATAGCTGAGCCATGACTACATGTAAAACCTTGGAAGAGAGATGCTATAGACTGTTCTTATCTTAATACCAACATTAGAATTAAGTAAGTATAAAGCATCAAAGCCTAAACGCCAAGCTTCAACCATTCAGGAAGAGGCTCATTTTGTGGTGAATTATAGGAGAAAATAATTGAAGATGAAAAAGGGTGGCAGTTTTAAAACAAAAGAAGAGTTAATCAAAATGGGGGAAAATAACCTCCCGGTGGAGATGTATCTGGCATTGCTAACAAATACCTCCACAGCCCTGATTTCCCTTGTGGTGATCTCTGACTGCTACGCCTGGGCAGCTGAACAAAAGTGGACAGCAATAATTAGATTCTGATGAGTGAAGGACCCACACGAAGACCAATGTTTCTGGAGGAGTTAATGAAAGGAGAGGAAATCGCCAGATTTTACAAAGGATATAAAATGGACTCAGAGCTTCCAAGAGTTTTCTAAACAACTTACTTCTTCCTACTCACCTAACAGCACATGTAGAAGGGGAAAATTTCTAGCACACAGGAAATTGATCACAACTGGAGAGTTTTAATATGCCCACACTTCCAGTAGTAAGATTCAGGGTCACCCAGAGCTATTATTCAAAGTCAGTATCAGACCATTTAATTTTCTGCTTCAGTTCCTTTCTGCTTCTCCCCCTCCCACCCCAGCCTAATGGCCATACACCATCATCTCTTTTTTGCTGTCCTTCCGCCTCTTTTAACCACTGTTTGTGCTCTGAATGGAGTTTTATGACTGACATCTCCAGGTACTCTATCTATTCTCCTTAATGAAACCCTGGTTATAGTGAGTGCTAATAGCTCAACAAGCATTTTATAGCCCTTTTAAAGAAAATGTGTAGAGTGGATGTGGATGTACTCAGCACTCAGCTTGGTAAATAGAAAATGGGACATGGGCAGTGTCTTTATAGCCATGAATGATTTGTGGTAACTTTCATGTCAGCTGTTTTTCTCTTTTGTCCCTTACTGGAAGCCCTAGAATCCATTTTAAGTTAATTCCAAAAGCTAAGTCTGAAACAAATTGTATAGTGACAGGTGAAAAATGTAAGTGGAAAAATGCTGCCTGGGGCTATATAGTATGCCAGTGTGTTAATCCACTTGGATAAAAGGCAGTGTAACATGTCTGGAGATATACCCATTTCCCTTTAAATGCTTGGGCACTTCTCTGTTCACTTCTCTTGATAATCATATCCTGATTCATTTGATATTAAAACAATTGCTTTATAAACTTCATTCACCATTTTCTCTTACTTTACACACATTCATATTTCCAAGTTAAGAGAGTTCATTTCTTTTCTGTCATTTCTTTTGCTTTTCCATTGATTCTGTTTCTGTTTTAGCATCTGTATCTAAGGATCAAACTTGTTGGTTTAGAGGTGAACAGACACAGGTATATGCAGTAACTGAACTAATAACACAACCAGATGTTCCTGCTATTAGTTCAGCAGCTGTCTCTTGCTCCATTCATCCTGGTGGGAAAACTAATAAACCTTACAAGTTAAAAAAAAAATAGAAAGGGAAAAAAGGGAAAAAGGAACGTGATTTTAGAGCTACTATTCTGTGAAGAGATTGGATAAAGAATGGTTGCGTATCAAAAAATCGTCCATTTATATAGTGAAATCCACTGGCTCTCAATTTCAAGGACAAGGTGACACCTAAAAGGGAACTGGTTGTGTGCTCCTCAAATGCAGAGCCACTTTCAGAATTCTAAATTTTGGGGGGGCTTTTCAGTCCTGTGAGTAGCTTTTCAACTGCAAACAATTGACTCATTTCAACACAAATCACGAAAGAACATGACATTGAAGTAAGTAGTTGATCCCATGATATATCTATCATTTTGTATCAAGTAAAACTCAGTTAAGGACAAGCATTCAAGTACAGATGTCAACTAATGAAGGACGAATTGAGATTGTGAGCCTCACAGTCAAGATTATATTTAAAATGATGACATCAATTATTAACTTAGGATGGTTTAGGCTACTTGGATTTTTTTTTAATGACAGATTTAAGATTATTCCTTAGCACTATGCTATTTCAATAGCAACTATAGAGTATGTTAATGTACATTTGAATCAAAGCAATTATTTGTTTGACATGTTAACATCATAACTGACTAATAACTACCATTTATTGAATGCCTAATAATTCATTTAACTCTCACAAAAACTTGATGAGGTGGGTGTGCCCATCTCCATTTTAACAGAAGAAGAAACTGTGGCTCAGAAAGTTGAAATAACTGGGACTCAGTTACAGGACAGTAAGTGGCAGGGCTGGGATTCCAACCTAATTCTCTAATATTCAAGAGCCTGTGCTCCCTCTCTTCTGCTATTGGATCTCCCAGTAGAGTATTGTTAAGTGTAGAATTGTGTCTCCCAAAAGAAGTTATGTCAGAGTACTAACATTTAGTATCTCATTTGGTGAGCTTGTTTAAACATCATCCCTTTAAAGAGGTCATCTAATTAAGATTAGGTCATTAGCTAGGGCTGTAATCCAGCATGGTTAGTGTCCTTATGATATAAGGACAAGACAGGTCCACAGGGAGAACGCCACATGAAGATAAAGGCAGAGGTTGGAATGATGTGTCTATGAGCCGATAAACTCCACAGATTCTCCCCAGCAGCCCTCAGAAGGAACCAAAACTATTAACACCTTGATCTCAGACTTCTAGCTCCAGAATTGTGAAACAATACATTGGTTGTTTAAACCACCCAGTTTTTGGTACTTTGTTATAGAAGCCCTATGTACTAATACATAAACATAAATACAATATATAATATGTAAAATATAAATATATAATATAGTGTAATGTGTTCTTTACATTATTTTTACTTATATAGCACATATTTTCTATTATTTTTCTTCTAATAAACTTGTGAGTTTTAGAAATTAATGTGTCATCAATGATAGACTGGATAAAGAAAATGTGGCACATATATACCATGGAATACTATGCAGTCATAAAAAGGATGAGTTCATGTCCTTTGCAGGGACATGGATGAAGCTCGAAAGCATCATTCTCAGCAAACTAACACAAGGACAGAAAACCAAACACCACATGTTCCCACTCATAAGTGAGAGTTGAACAATGAGAACACATGGACACAGGGAGGAGAACATCACACACCGAGACCTTTTGGTGGTAGGGACTAGAGGAGGAGAAATACCTAATGTAGATGATGGGTTGATGGGTGCAGCAAGCCACCATGGCATGTGTATGGCTATGTAACGAACCTGCATGTTCTGCACATGTATCCCAGAACTTAAAGTATAATAAAAAAAGAAATTATTGTGTCAATTAAAAAATCTAAAGAAAATAAGAAGCTAAGAAAAAAGTGAATAAAACATGGAAATACAAGGAAAGAATGAAACACAATAAAGACCAATTAGTTGGAGTAACTCTAACAGCTCTAGGATATGAACTCCACCTTCCTCCCACTGAAAAAGTACAGCAATGCAAGTACAGAAGTTGATTTCTTGGTCAGTAACTGTACCATGTAGGTGGAAAGGTCAACATAGCAAGCCTTTCTCCATGCACTTATTTAGGGTACCAGATTGATAAAGGCTCTGCTCTCCTCAATCTGTGGACTTCTAAGATAGGTCTGGGGTTAGCTGGAGAGAAAAATAGAATGAAAGAGTGCTCATGGAAGGTGTGCTGAGGCTAGACCTGGAAGTGTAGCACATCACTTCCACTTACATTCTAGTTATCAGGCCACCCTTAATTGCAAGGGAGCTTTGGATGTGCTGTTTATGTGTCCTGGAAGAAGAGGAGAACATGGATTTTGGTGAACAGATAGCTGTTTCTGACACAAACAAACAGGCACTTGCTTGTTCCTAGAAATCCAAATTCATTTCCCTAGTCTATTCCATCTCACTTGCTGTTAGGTGACAGAGTTTTCCCTCCCTCCTCAAACTCCACCATTTCCCCCCCAGGTCTTATTTTGTGCTGATGATTTTGTTTCCTACCACCATAATTTCCACTGCCATATCTGCCAACTGATCAGGCTCCCTGCCCACACACTCAGGCTTCAATCTGTTATTCTGGATGATCTCTCCAAAACTCTAAGACAAACCTTCTGGTTCTTCCTTCATGTAGCTACAACCCATCACTTCCTGCCCACTCAATTACATGATTCCAATAATTGTCTCCTTTCACTACAGACTCATCAAATTTTTCCTCTCTGTGGAATCATACCCATCATCAATCAAACATAAAATAATTCCCACTAAAAGGTCCATTTAATGCCTCATTTTTCCACTTTCCTTTATGGGAGTGCTCAGAAGAGTTACTTATTTTGCACACTCCTAATCCATTTTATCCACCCACTTTTAAATTTACTCTAATAATTCTTACCACTGTACAGAAATAGCTCTCATCAAAGCAAAAAAATGAACTTGTATTCCTATTAGCAATAGTCAAATTTCAGTCCTTGTCTTACTCAGTAGTATTTGACAACCTTCATTAGCATTTCCTTTTTGAAATGCCTTTTTTTTTTTACTTGATTTCTAGAATGACACCTGCTGGCTCTCAACCTCCTTAGTTACTCCTCATCTGCCCTCTAAATGTCGGAGAGCCATGTCTAAATCCTTATTCCCTTATTTCTCCCCTATCTAAGTAGTATGTCCTGGTCTCATGACTTTAAATTCATCCACGTACTGGTATTTTTCAAATTTATGTTTCTAGCTCAGAACTCCCCTCTGAACTTCAAGTTCATACATTTAACTGCCTGCTTGGCATTCTCAACTGGAAATCTAATTGAATCTCAAACTTAACACATGTCTAAAAATGAATTCCTAGTTCTCATCATCCTCCAAACAGAAAAATAAGCATTCCTTGCTTCACAATCTTCATCTCAGTAAATGAGAAGCCCATTCTTCCAACTGCTTGGGCCAAAGAGGAGTCTGATTTTTCTTACTCTTATCCTATGTTTGGAAAATCTTCTTGGTTCTACCTTCAAAAGACATGCAGAGCTTTTTCTCACCACTACTACTTCACCACCCCAATCTAAGCTGTCATTATCTCCCACTCACCTGTATTACTAAAAGACTTTCCTAATTGCTTTCCCTATTTCTAACTTTTCTCCCCAGCAATCTGTTCTGAAAGGAGCAGCCAGAGTAATCCAATTAAAATGTAAGTCAGATCATGACACTTCTCTTCTTCAAAGTTCCACACTGACTTCAAATCTCACTGATATGAAGAGTTAGCCATTATATAAGCTAACAAGAGCCTCATGCTCTACACACATAGTGCACCTGTACCCTTCTCTGACATCATCTCCCTCTCTCACACATGCTCGACTCAGGCTATATAGCCTTATTCTGAATCCTTGAACAGGAACATTCCAAGCAGGCTCCTGCATCAAGCCATTTGCACTTGCTGATTCCTTAGCATGGAATTATTTTCCCCAGATACCTACATGGCTTGTGCCTTAATTTCTTTAAGGTTTCTACTCAAATGTCACCTTTCAGTGAGGCTTTTTTAACCTCCCTATACAAATATCAATTCTCAACCACACCAGCATTCTTTACACCTTTCATCTTGCTTTCTATTTCACTGTGGCACTTATTTTTCACCACCTGAGATACCATATATTTTTATATATTACCCCCAAAAGCAGGGACCATGTCTTTTTCTTTAACTTCTAGTTTCCATGACAACTATGTGACACAATGACAATAGCTATATTCTTTGACAAATTTTGATGGACTCTCTATGATGAAATTCACAATTTATACCTTTTCATTTCAGACCACACCTCTGGAAGGTGTGGGTACTGGGAGGAGAAAGCAAGAAGTTGCAATAGTAACAAGTAGTAAACAGAATTTACTAGAAGACAGAATTAACCTATCAGTAATACGATATAATATAAAAAATTCAGCCTTTAAAATTGAGTTTATTGTATAAATATTCTTTATACATAATAAATGACAAATTCTTGTAATTAATTGCAAGCAAATTAAAATCTTAACATAGAATGTAATTTTATAACAATCAAGATCTCCTTCTAGAACAAATTATATCAATGAAACCCAAAAATTTTCTCTACAGATAAAGTTTTAATTATTAATATTGCAATATAATATATATTTTACTTCCCATAATTAAAGAGAACTCACTTGCAATAAAACGATTTTATTTGTAAAAGTATTTTAATACAGAAACACACTTATTACATAACATTAAACTTGCTATAATGATTGTCCCTGAAAGAATATTATTCACATTAATAAAATATTACACAGAAATGTAAAGTGAAGCCCTTTTTAAGCAATCAAAAACTGTATGTAGTGCAAAGTCTAATTTAAAGTCTGAAAATTCCAAAAACCAGAATGCCTCTTCTCCTCCAGAGGATCACAACTACTCACCAGCAAGGGAATAAAACTGGACAGAAAATGAGTTTGATGAATTGACAGAAGTAGGCTGCAGAAGGTGAGTAATAACAAACTCCTCTGAGTTAAAGGAGGATGTTCTAACCCAATGCAAGGAAGCTAAGAACCTTGAAAAAAGGTTAGATGGGTTGCTGACTAGAATAACCATTTTAGAGAAGAAGACAAATGACCTAATGGAGCTCAAAAACACGGAACGAGAACTTTGTGAAGCATACACAAGTATCAATAGCCGAATCGATCTAGCAGAAGAAAGGATATCAGAGATTGAAGATCAAGTCAATGAAATAAAGCAAGAAGACAAGCTTAGAGAAAAAAGAGTGAAAAGAAATGAACAAAGCCTCTAAGAAATATGGGACTATGTGAAAAGACCAAATCTATGTTTGATTGGTGTACCTGAAAGTCACAGGGAGAATGGAACCAAGTTGGAAAACACTCTGCAGGATATTATCCAGGAAAACTTCTGCAAGCTAGCAAGGCAGGACAACTTTCAAATTCAGGAAATACAGAGAACATCACAAAGATATTCCTCGAGAAAAGCAATCCCAAGACACGTAATCATCAGATTCAACAAGGTTGAAATGAAGGAAAAAATGTTAAGGGCAGCCAGAGAGAAAGGTCGGGTTACCCACAAAGGAAAGAACATCAGACTAACAGTGGATCTTTCGGCAGAAATTCTACAAGCCAGAAGAGAGTGGGGGCCAATATTCAAAATTCTTAAAGAAAAGAATTTTCAACCCAGAATTTCATATCCAGCCAAACTAAGCTTCATAAGCAAAGGAGAAATAAAATCCTTTACAGACAACCAAATGCTGAGAGATTTTTGTCACCACCAGGCCTGCCTTACAAGAGCTCCTGAAGGAAGCACTAAACATGGAAAGAAAAACTAGTACCAGCCACTGCAAAAACATACCAAATTGTAAAGACCATCGATGCTATCGAGAAACTGCATCAACTAAAGAGCAAAATAACCAGCTGGCATCATAATGATAGGATCTAATTTCCACATAACAATGTTAACCTTAAATGTAAGTGGGCTAAATACCCCAATTAAAAGACACAGACTGACAAATTGGATGAAGGGTCAAGACCCGTCAGTGTGCTGCATTCAGGAGACCCATCTCATATGCAAAGACACATGTAGGCTCAAAATATAGGGATGGAGGAAGATTTACCAAGGAAATGGAAAGCAAAAAAAAAAAAAAAAAACCAGGGTTTGCAATCCTAGTCTCTGATAAAACAGACTTTAAACCAGCAAAGATCAAAAGAGACAAAGAAGGGCACTACATAATGGTAAAGGGATCAATGCAACAAGAAGAGCTAACTATCCTAAATATATATGCACCCCATACAGGAGCACCCAGATTCATAAAGCAAGTTCTTAGAGGCCTACAAAGAGACTTAGACTCCCACACAATAATAGTGAGAGATTTTAACAACCCACTATCAATATTAGACAGATCGACAAGACAGAAAATTCACAAGGATATCCAGGACTTGAACTCAGCTCTGGACCAAGCAGACCTAATAGACATCTGCAGAACTCTCCACCCCAAATCAAAAGAATATACATTCTTCTCAGTACCACATCTCACTCATCATAAAATTGACCACATAATTGGAAGTAAAACACTATTCAGCAAATGCAAAAGAACAGAAATCATAAAAAACTGTCTCTCAGACTGCAGTGCAATCAAATTAGAACTCAGGAATAAGAAACGCACTCAAAACCGCACAACTACATGGAAACTGAACAACTTGCTCCTGAATGGTTACTGGGTAAATAATGAAAGTAAGGCAGAAATAAGGATGTTCTTTGAAACCAATGAGAACAAAGACACAACACACCAGCATCTTTGGGACACATTTAAAGCACTGTGTAGAGGGAAATTTGTAGCATTAAATGCCCACAAGAGAAAGCAGGAAAGATCTAAAATCCACAGCCTAACATCACAATTAAAAGAACTAGAGAAGAAAGAGCTAACAAATTCAAAAGCTAGCAGAAGACAAGAAATAACTAAGATCAGAGCAAAACTTCAGGAGATAGAGACATGAAAAACCCTTCAAAAAAAAAATCAATGATACCAGGAGCTGGTTTTTTGAAAAGATCAACAAAATAAATAGACCACTAGCCAGATTAATAAAGAAGAAGAGAGAGAAGACTCAAATAGATGCAATAAAAAATGATAAAACGGATATCACCACCAATCCCACCAAAGTACAAACTACCAACAGAGAATATTATAAACACCTCTACACAAATAAACTAGGAAATCTTGAAGAAATGGAGAAATTCCTGGACACATACACCCTCCCAAGACTAAAGCAGGAAGAAGTCGAATCCCTGAATAGACCAATAACAAGTTCGGAAATTGAGGTAGTAATTAATAGCTGACCAACCAAAAAAAGTCCAGGACCAGATGGATTCACAGCTGAACTCTACCAGAGGTACAAAGAGGAGCTGGTACCATTCCTTTTGAAACTATTCCAAACAATAGAAAAAGAGGGAATCCTCCCTAACTCTTTTTATGAGTTTAGCATCATCGTGACACCAAAACCTGGCAGAGACACACAAAAAGAAAATTTCAGGCCAGTATCCCTGATGAACATTTATGTGAAAATCCTCAATAAAACACTGGCAAACCAAATCCAGCAGCACATCAAAAAGCTTATCCACCACAATCAAGTCAGCTTCATCCATGGGATGCAAGTCTTGTTCAACATATGCAAATCAATAAACACAATCCATCACATAAATAGAACCAATGACAAAAACCACATGATTATCTCAATAGATGCAGAAAAGGCCTTCAACAAAATTCAACATCACTTCATGCTAAAAATTCTCAATAATCTAGGTATTGATGGAACGTATCTTAAAATAATAAGAGCTATTTATGAAAAACCCACAGCCAATATCATACTGAATGGGCAAAAACTGAAAGGATTCCCTTTGAAAACAAGCACAAGACAAGGATGCCCTCTCTCACCACTCTTATTCAACATAGTATTGGAAGTTCTGGCCAGGGCAATCAGGCAAGACAAAGAAATAAAGGGTATTCAATTAGGAAAAAAGGAAGTCAAATTGTCCCGGTTTGCCAATGACATGATTGTATATTTAGAAAACCCCATCATCTCAGCCAAGTCTCCTTAAGCTGATAAGCAACTTCACCAAAATCTCAGGATACAAAATCAATGTGCAAAAATCACAAGCATTCCTATACACCAATAACAGACAAACCGAGAGCCAAGTCATGAGTGAGCTCCCATTCACAATTGCTACAAAGAGAATAAAATACCTAGGAATACAACTTACAAGGGATATGAAGGACCTCTTCATGGAGAACTATAAACCACTGCTCAAGGAAATAAGAGTGGACACAAACAAATGGAAAAACATTCCCTGCTCATGGATAGGAAGAATTAATATCATCAAAATGGCTATACTACCCAAAGTAATGTATAGATTCAATGCTATACCCAACAAGCTACCATTAACTTTCTTCAAAGAATTGGAAAAAACTACTTTAAATTTCAAATGGAACCAAAAAAGAGCCCACATAGCCAAGACAATCCTAATCAAAAAGAACAAAGCTGGAAGACTCACGCTACCTGACTTCAAACTATACTACAAGGCTACAGTAACAAAAACAGCATGGTACTCATACCAAAACAGATATATAGACCAATGGAACAGAACAGAGGCCTCAGAAATAACACACACATCTACAACCACCTGATCTTTGACAAACCTGAAAAAAACAAGCAATGGGGAAAGGAGTCCCTATTTAATAAATGGTGTGGGGAAAACTGGCCAGCCATATGCAGAAAGCTGAAACTGGATCCCTTCCTTACACCTTATACAAAAATTAACTCAAGTTTGATTAAAGACTTAAATGTAAGACCTAAAACCATAAAAACCCTAGAAGAAAACCCAGGCAATACCATTCAGGACATAGGCATGGGCAAAGACTTCATGACTAAAACACCAAAATGAATTGCAACAAAAGCCAAAATACACAAATGGGATCTCATTAAACTAAAGAGCTTCTGCACAGCAAAATAAACTGTCTTCAGAGTAAACAGGAAACCTACAGAATGGGAGAAAACTTTTGCAATCTATCCATCTGACAAATGGCTAATATCCAGAATCTACAAAGAACTTAAACAAATTTAGAAGAAAAAAACAACCCCATCAAAAAGTGGGTGAAGGATATGAACAGACACTTCTCAAAAGAAGACATGTATGCAGCCAACAAACATATGAAAAAATGCTCATCATCACTGGTCATTAGAGAAATGCAAATCAAAACCACTGTGAGATACCATCTCACACCAGTTAGAATGGTGATCACTAAAAAGTCAGGAAACAACAGATGCTGGAGAGGATGTGGAGAAATAGGAACACTTTCACACTTTTGGTGGGAGTATAAATTAGTTCAAACATTGTGGAAGACAGTGTGGTGATTCCTCAAGGATCTAGAACTATAAATACCATTTGACCCAGCAATCCCATTAGTGGGTATCTATCCAAAGGATTACAAATCATTCTACTATAAAGACACATGCACACATACGTTTATTGTGGCACTGTTCACAATAGCAAAGACTTGGAACCAACCCAAATGTCCATCAATGATAGACTGGGTAAAGAAAATGTGGCACATATACACCATGGAATACTATGCAGCCATAAAAAAGGATGGCTTCATGTCCTTTGCAGGGACATGGATGAAGCTGGGAACCATAATTCTCAGCAAACAAACACAAGAACAGAAAATCAAACACCACATGTTCTTACTCATAAGTGGGAGTTGAACAATGAGAACACGTGGACACAGGGTGGGGAACATCACACACCAGGGCTTGTTGTGGGGTAGGGGTTATGGGGGGATCTTACAGGATGGGTCTATAGGTGCAGCAAACCACCATGGCACATGTATACCTATGAAATAAACCTACACGTTCTGCACATGTATCCCGTTTTTATGTTTGTTTGTTTGTTTTGAATAAAGAAAAAAATTACTAACAGAGGACATATAGCTTTTGGGGTAATCAGTTACATTTCCTTTGTATTTACTTTTTTTAACTTTTATTTTAGGTTCAGAGTTACATGTACAGGTTCGCTATATAGGTAAATTATGTGTTGCAAGGGTTTAATGTACAACTTATTTCATCGCCCAGGTAATAAGCACAGTATCCCATAGGTAGTTTTTTTGATCTTCTCCCTCCCCCAACACTCCACCGAGTATGCCCCAGTGTCTGTTGTTCCCTTCTTTGAGTGCATATGTACTCAATGTTTAGTTTCCACTTGTAAGTGAGAACATGCAGTATTTGGTTTTCTGTTCCTGCATTAGTTGGCTTAGGATAATGACCTCCAGCTTCATCCACATTGCTGCAAAGGACATAATCTCATTGATTTTTATGCCTGCATAGTATTCCATGGTGTATATGTATCACATTTTCTTTATTCTTTGTACCACTGATAGGCATTTAGTTGATTCCATATCTTTGCTATTATGAATAGTGCTGCAACAAACATATGTGTGGATAAGTCTTTATGGTAGAACAATTAATATTCCTTTGGGTTTATGCCCAGTAATGGGATTACTAGGTCAAATGGTAATTCTGTTTTTAAGTTCTTTGAGAAATCACCAAACTTCTTTCCACAATGGCTGAACTAATTTACATTCCCATTACAGTGCACAGCATTCCCTTTTCTCCACAACCTTGCTAGCATGATAGTTTTTTTTTTACTTTTTAATAACAGCCATTCTGACTGGTGTAAGATGGCATCTCATTTTGAAAGGAAATGAAGCACAGCAACAAAACAAGAAAATTTTGTAGTTTTAGGAAGTACGCTCAAATCTAGCATGAGATATTTCTTAATTCTATTTATGACACTAAGATTCATGAAAAATTGACTTTGACAGTGACTCAACAGTCGGATGATGCATTCCTTCATTCCACAGTCATTTATTGAATGTCTTCAATTTGTCAGGCCCGTGCAAAGCTATGTGTGTACAGCAATAAAAGACATCAGGAGATTCTGAACTAGTGAAAGCACTGGGAAACCAGCAAGGAGGTTCAATGTCATCTGATGAGTATTACGACAGAGGTTTCTGCAGATGCACTTATCCAGTCTTCAAGAGGTGAAAAAGGATTCAGGTACAGCCTTGCAAAAATCTCATTCTGATAGAATTATCCATAATTGGTCAGATGAGTGGCAAAATAGAATGTTGTTTTCTGTATGTTAATTCGACTATGATAGTTGTATAATAGTTATCTCTAAGGTCCAGTATAGGTCTGTGTGATCTAAAAGCTCTTTAATAAAGTCAAAATGCAATGAGTTTTTGGAGGAGAGAGAAAAACAGAAAAGCCAATATCCAAATTTGGGATGTGCTTGGAAGAATGAGGTAGGATTTTGACAGGTAGCAATGAGATAGAATATTTCTTGAAAAGGAACACTCTGCATAATTATTCAATGGCACTGAAGAATGGAGCATGACAGTAACCAAAACAGCATGGTACTGGTTCAAAAACAGACACATAGATCAAGATAACAGAATAGAGAAGCCAGACATAAAGCCGCACACCTACAACCAACCAATCTTCATCAAGGGTGACAAAAATGAGCAATAAGAAAGTACTTCCTATTCAATAAATGCTGCTGGGATAGCTGGCTAATCATATGCAGAAAATGAAACTGGACACCTACCTATCATTGTTAGGGTGGCAGAGATCCAAGTTCCCTCGAGTTGCGAGCACTGTATCTGTACAGGTCCACACAACTTCAGCTCTTCACCTCCTCTGAAGAGAGAATTCGACTGAGGGTCATAAAGCAGAAAAAGAGGCCGAGGGAAGTTTCAGATCAGGTATGAAAGTTTATTAAAAAGCTTTAGAACAGTAAAGAAGGGAAGGAAAGGGAAGGAAAGGAAAGGAAAGAAAAGAAAAAAGAAAAGAAAAGAAAAGAAAAGGAAAAGAAAAGAAAAGAGAAAAGAAAAGAGAAAAGAAAAGAAAAGAAAAGAAAAGAAAAGAAAAGAAAAGAAAAGAAAAGAAAAGGAAAGAACAACTTGGAAGAGGCCCAAGCCAGTGACTTGAGAAACTAAGTGCCGAGCTTGACCTCTTGACTTGGGGTTTTATAGGTTGGCATACATCCGGGATCTTGCATTACCTCTTCCCACTCCTGAGATCTTACTGGGAAGCTGTTGATCAGTTTCAGGTGTTTTCTATCTAGTAGGAGACGGTTGTTCCCTGGCGCCAGCTGTGACCAATTATTACTTTAGAGAACCAGTTAACAACCACCTGACCATCACCTGATGGTTGCCCAACTGTCCTGGTGTGTGTGTACGGGGAGCCCTCTCCTGTCCTGCTCGTACCTGACTAGCTACCCACTATAACATCATCATATACTAAAATTAATGCAAGATGGATTAAAGACTTAAATGTAAGACCTAAAACCATAAAAAAAAAAAATCCTGTGAAGCACCCTTCTGGATATGAGCCTTGACAAACAATTTGTAGTTAATTTTATGGGCAGTGAGATTTACTGAATGGAAGTAAATATTCCAAGATTTTCTTTAGAAAATAGAATTTTAAAACGTGTGTCCAACTCACACATTTTTATTTCTATTTTCCTAGAAGAAATGATTAATGAATTTGCTCACAAACTAGGCGCTAAATGTGGTGTTATAGAAGGATACTAGAAGTAATCCCTGACCTCAAGTAGTTTGTTATCTAGTTAGGGAACAAGCCACAAATACATGATTGATTAAAGAAAGAGTTAAAAATACAAGGCATTTTTATACAGATACAAATCTTCTATACAATTAATTGGCAAGGACATTAAGTGTCTCTAAATATTATGTTTTAAAGGAAACATTCTAGAAAAGCTTTAAAATAGCAGATGGTCCAATCTTGCTGAATATTGTAAATTATTCTAGAATTTTTTCATAACCAGAACCATAAGAAGATAAGTTTAGATTAGTTAACTTCCATTTCCATTTACTTTCATAAGTGAAGTAATCAAAAAAAAGAGAGAAACTAATATTGTCACATTTCAACTGTTTGGAATTTTATTGAAGTTATTGAACTTAATATTCATGACAATATAATAAGCATAGTATACCCATTTTTCATTTTAAACAATTGAGGTTTGGACTGATTGAGTTATTTATCACTGATGATGCAGATGGAAAATGCAAGGATTCAAAATCAGGTCAGACACTGAAGCCCTTTTTTGAAGGGAAAGGAGGCCAAAAATATTTATTTGAATGTAGTTTCTGCTACGTGGGTCTTTGCAGCAGCAGATGAAAGGAGATTTGATTTTAGCTGATGTAACGTAACTCCACAAAAAGTCTCAGCAACTTTGCTCTAAAATCTTCTCCTTTGTAGCAAATAATATTTACGTGTGTACAATGCTAACTACATTTTCCAACCCATAGGAAAAGTACATTTTATAGCATTATACAACTCATATTAGAAATAATTTCATTTATTGTGTATTAAGAACATAGTAAAGCCCACATTTGTTCTTTATATGTTATAATTGTAACTTTTGGAGTTTAGATATCTGCCAAAGCATTTATTTTGAATTCCCAAATGTAATTTTACTATAGTATTTCAGCATTTGTGAGTTTCATATACTTTAAAGTTGCTTAGTTTGATGCTATCTGTGGAATAGCTTTCCATTTCAAAACACATCAATCTGTCTTCAATTTTATCATCTGGCTACTTATCAGTGCTGTTTTAATAATGTTAATATTTAACTCCGTACATGCATTTTACTCTAAACAGTGTCTTCCAATTCCAAGTTTTTCTTCTATTTACCAATTTCCTTCTATTTAGAAAAAAAAATTGAAACTTAGTAAAAGTCAAAACCCTTTTAGTACAATATATTTTTGCACATAATAACTAGAATAAGTGGGAACAGGGGAGTGAAAAATAATTTTTTTGCTTGTTATACATTTATATAGAAGCATAAAATATAGATACCATAATTTAATATGAGGGGAAAAAGAAACCAGATTTTCTTTGCAGCTTATTTGTTTAATATCCCCAGAGCAAATCAGGTAGCTTGCACTCTGACTTTCAGACAATTATAACAATGGTACTATACTTCCAGAAGCAAAGGCAAAAACAATAAACATCCATTACAATTGCTCCTCCTTCAAAGTTTCCCTTTTTTGGTAAAAATCAATTACACAATAAAAGCAAGAACAGTTTCACAAAGCCAATAATCTGGAAACACCATTCGGAGGCTCTCTGGGTGTCTCTAGCACGAGAATCCTACTTTCTTCACCTAGTGATGGTAGTACTTAGGTTTCAAGGTTGTAGTGAGCACTAGAGGTAATATCTGTAAAGTATCTGACACAAAAACCAGCTTGTGGCAGATATTCATGTAGCATCTGCTATTACCCTTTCTCTTAATATCCTATATATTATTATGGAAGAATAGGTCCTGCTACTTCAACTCAGGTTGACAATATAGGGGCATTTCTTTTACTGCTTAATTTTAGGACTCCTTGACTGGCCAATCCAGATCAAAAGGAAGGCCAGGGCTTTCCTGATGCCTTTACCCTAGGGAGACATAAAAGCAAGTGCACATACCACCACCACAACCAGCCAGAGGCCCCCAGGTTAGATTACTCATCTAAGTACTTGGCCCTGGATTCCTCATCATGCAAAGGATACTAGTTACTGCTGCTAGATTAGCAATAGATGCATTTTCCCCCATGGCTGCTGCTATTGCCAGCACATAGCAACACCATGTTCCAGAACGGCTAAACACCTGCAACAGCTGCCCTGGGGTGAAGAGTGAGGGTGAGGCCAGAACGAGCCTGTCATCAGAACTTAATTCAGCTAAGGGGAGTGCTAAGGCAAAAAAGCTGTTTGGGGTCTGCAATAACACATCCTATGCGATAAGTAGTGAGAGTGGGGCACCACTAATTCCACCTCAAACAGTGACAACCTAGTGATAATTATACAGTTGATAAAATAAAAGCCAGTCTCTTTAACTGCTTGTATTATAGCTTCTTAAAAATAATAATGTTTAGCAAACAGTATGATTTGCTCATCAGTATGCATGATGGAAAGATCAGAAACTCCAGAGTTAGCCCGAGTTGGAACCTAGCTCAGTTGTGCCTGGCTGCATGACCTTGGACAAATAGCCTGACTTTTTTGAACGTTATTTTTCTAAAAATGTATAAAATTGGAATTGAATGTGTATTTACACATACACGTGTGTGTGTGTTAGAGATAATAAATATACTTCCTGGCTCACAAGTCTTCCATAAGTAATCACTCTTATATTGTTATTTTTTTCCAAGCAGCAGTTTTTTTCTCTGAAAAATGGATATAATAACGTCTATTGTAAAGCATGTTATGAGGATTAGAAATAGCGTTATAAACCAGCTGGAAAATAGGTAATGCTCAACAAATGGTAAATATGCATATATTGGGGATAGAGGAGAAAGAATTTAAACAGTAATTTAAAAAAAAATTAAAGGCCCTATCAGAGTTCCTGTAGCTTCACTCCTTCATAATATAAAACAGTGCTCTTCAGTAGAAATATAATGCAAGACACACATCTAATTTTAAATTTTCTAGTGGTCACATTAACAAAAATATAAACAGATAAAATTAATTTAATTATATAGCTTATTTAACCCAGTATAGATTAAGAGTGAGGATAAAGCCTAACCAAAAATATTTATTTTAATATAAGCAATATAAAATATTATTTGCAAGATAGTTTATGTTTTCTTCCAAAAAAATATCAAAATCTGGTGTGTATTTTACACATAGAATACACACCAATTTAGAGAAGCTATACCTCAAGTTCTTTTTTTTTTCTTTCTTTTTTTAGGGGGAAACAGAGTCTCACTCTGTCATCCAGGCTGGAGTGCAGTGGTGCAATCCTGGCTCACCGCAACCTCCGCCTCCTGGGTTCAAGCAATTCTCCTGCCTCAGCCTCCTGAGTAGCTGAGACTACAGGCACGTACCACAGTGCCTGGCTATTTTTTTTAAATATATTTTTAGTAGAGACAGGGGTTTCACCATGTTGGCCAGGCTGGTCTCAAACTCCTGACCTCAGTTGATCCACCCACCTCAGCCTCCCAATGTGCTGAGGTTACAGGCATGAACCACTGCATCTGGCTATGCTTCAAGTTTTTAATGTGCTAGTGGCTACGAAATTGAAGAGCACCGATATTGTTACTTGACATTCATCTAAACATTCAGCTCCAGAATCAAGCCTGTTCTCAGACAAGAGAAATTTGGAATCCCAGGTTAAATGTCTTCAGTGTCTTGGCAGAGTCAGTCTTCTTGTTAGATTGGTTTTTGTCCTGTCTCAAATTCTATCAAGTTTCTTTTGCTCAGATATCACCTTGTACCTCAGTCTCCCCAGGACTGCAGGGCTTGCCAGAGTAGAAGGCAACAGAGCTGAGCCATAGTCCCACTGCTGATCCACTCACGACCTTCCTTGACTCTCTACAAATCCTTGCACTACCAGATAATTGTTTAGATGCACTCCCTACATATCTCTATCCTGTGTAAGAGCCCACCTCAGGGATATTTTCTTAAAGATAAGCATCACATCCTGATCTATAAATGGACACTGTCTTATAGCAAGAAAAGATACAATAACCATGTAGTCAGAGAGCACAAGGGAAGTCTGTAAAAACAGTACAAAGGAGGACTATTACAAAAGTACAACATGATGGTAGAGGGGTGGTTCAAAGCACTGTAAGGGTAGAATTCCAACAGCTGTCCTGTAAACTGAACAGCTATAGTCTTGCTTGGGACATAGACGAACCAGAATGCATGGTTAAGATTTAGAAATTATGGCAAGAGAGATAAAATAAGCCTAGGAACACTGGCAGGCTAGTGGGAAGGTAGAGCCCCCATGCATGCATGTCCAGAGAGGTTGAGAATTGCTCGACACCAGGGGCTGTCACTCACATAGACTCTAATATGAATGACATCTGATAGAATTGTGCAGTACACAACCAGTACACTTGTAACTGGCAGCCCTCTGAGGAGTTAGATGAAGAGAATTAAATTGCTCTACATAGCAAAGTAAAACTAATTTATTTGGGGAAGGTGGGATATTGAAGAATAAGAAGTGGTGAGGGAATCCACTCAAAGACTTTTGTCAGTGTTGGAGAATGACAGATTTGGACAGTGGCCTCTGTAGGGTGATGAGATGTAGAAAAGGATTATGTAGGAAGGGAGAAATGAAATACAGGGTATAAATTAAGGTAGAGTAAAAGCAGAGAATTGGAACGTAGACGACTAGGTAAAGTGTAAATCCCTCCATAATCCTCAATGATATTGTGGTAGAGTCTGGGTTTCTCAATATAAGCAAGATGTGTGTTTGAGTGTGTTCTAATTAAATATTAAATATTCAGATTCCTTGAGCAAACTAGAGGCTTAGGCAGATGATCTCATGGACTAGTCGACCAATCATACGTTGATTGACCATTAGCTATGGAGACTTAATAAGCATTTGCAGAATAAATGAATTATGGTCCGGATTAGACAATTGACTTCTAAACTTGGCTGCTTATTAGAATTACCTAGAAAACTTCTTAAAAATAGATATATTGGCCTGGACTGTGGAGATTCTAAACATGTAGGTAGGGGCTGAGCTCTAAAATTTGTACTTTTAAAAGATTCTCAAGAATTTCTGAATCAGTGGATCTACTTGGGAACAGCTGGGCCCAGGTGCAATTCAAGAATCTTTTTTTCCCTAAGGCTCCGTGTCTCTGAGTAAAGTCAGATCACCGTAGGCAGCACTGAGAGTAGTTGGTATAACCCATAATGCTTCAAAGACGTCCTGGGAGAATCAGCTGCCTCAGTCCATTCTCAGAGATCACAAAAGTATCTTCATTACAGATATTGGTATAACAATGTGGAAAAACCCAGGATTTTTCTCGGGTTGGTCCCTAAAGTAAGAGTCGAATGAGATCCAAAGTCAACCTCCCATGCATTCAGTAAAAAAGTAGATATGGCTACCTAAGATCATATTTCCATTATCAATTTCTATTGATTAATAAAGGAATAGCCCACATTTGAATATGTCTTATACATTACAGAACAAAAGAAGTAAGAGTTTCATGTTCTCTTATATTTTACTTTTTTTCTGCTTCTCAAGAAGAGGAAAAGCTAGATATAATAGAAAAGAAAAATTCTCAACTATTTTTACAATTTTCTTTGTGAAATGAAAGATGAATAAATACATTTTATTTATGTCTATTTATCCCTCTGAGCTTAAACTAATCCTGAAGGGTTTGAGCAAAGAGCCAGCAACGCTAATGTGCTGGACCAACAGGTGATTTTAATTTACTTGCTATAAAATGTTGAGAAGGACTGATGCTAACTCCATTCTCATTAATTCATCTACAGTCTCCTTTCCTGGAGTGAAAGTTGCAGATTACACAGATAGGATTCAGAATGAAAGGCTGAATGGAGCAGAATATAGAATGTCAGCTTTTTGTTGACACTATTGGGATGCTCTCCCATTGGATCCCAGACGTCAAAAATCCTTCAGTCTACAGAAATCATAAAATAATATTGTGAGAAAATTTATGTGGTTTCCAACATTTTCCCTGCTAAAGAAAGATAAAATTTATTAGCTCTTTCTTGAACATTTATAAATAGCTAAACTTTATTCTGAAATCTGCAAAGCTTAAAATATAAACTGCCTCATACTATGAAATAGGTGTCAACAACAATATGTTCCTATCAAGCTGCCCATGTCTACTAATCTTTGCTAGCAAAAATTTATTTCATAAACAATTATTTATTTCCTATTATATTCAGGATACTGTATTATTTACTACTGGGGACAAGAATGAAGATACTATGCTTTCTGTCATGCTCAAGCACTCCAAAAGAGGTAATATCCTGAAGAAAACACAGAGAAAATTCCAACAGTTGAGAGTTTTCTGTCTCTACTTTATCTCCTAGATGTGGTCTAATCTCTCTCCTCCTTTCTCTTGCTAAGGTGTCACATAAAAAGCAGTCTTAGGTGTATGTGCTACCCAAGTTGGGAGTAGAGAACCCATTCTAAGAAACAGGAGAATTGTAAGGTTTAAAGAAGCGTGCAGCTTTAGAGTTCATGAAGAAAAACCCCAGTGCTGCTAAATGTAAGATCACAGTTAGCCACACTACACCACTGGTAAAATACCATGCATTAAAAACCATGCTGAATGCTGTCCTAAGTCCTCAACTCAAGTGTCTATCTCAACAGAATATATCATTGTTATCTGCTTGCCCAAATTGAAGGAATATTCTTTAGTGATTATGAACAAGGACCAGTGTGTTAGAGAGACTGAGTTCAAGTCTTGGCGTTGCTTCTTACTAGTTACGTGACACTGCTCAAGGGCTTACCCTCTCTGAGCTTTAGTCTCTCATTTCTAAAATGGAGATGATAATAACTACTCTAAAAATTGAGACCTAGATGAAATGATGACTCTAATATATCTGCAGAGACTCTGGTAATCAATTGGGTAATCAACCAATATACAGTGGCTAATCTTCCTATTATGGGTGTTTTTACCATGTTTTCCATGTTTATGCCAACCTGTTCCTGCCAAGCACCAGAGTAAGTTCTCAGCTTCAACCAACTCTTTATTTCTAGCCTTGACACAAGAGCATTGGTCTCCATCCTTGCCCTGGTGGCTATGATAATAACCTTTGCTGCAGAGATATTCTGATTTCAATACTAGTTGTGAATCCACATCTTTTGTGCAAACTCTGCTGCAGTGATAACCATCCCCAGACTGTCAGGGCTAATCAGAGAAGTCTGTATTGTCATAACAATTACAATGCAAAAGGAGATATAAGCATTAGAATCAGTAAAGAAAGAGTTGACAAGTCAGTTTGGGGTATATAAAGAAGGCTTCTTGGAGGCAATGGCATTAAAACTTTCTTTCACATGGCTCAGTTAGAAGAACTGTATATCAGGACACAGGTAGTGATATTAGCAAAAGTGCTAAAGCATAAACATATGAAACATGCCATTAGAAGTAGGTGGTACTATCTGTTTTGTTCAGAAAGTCTTTTGAAAACACAGTCCTTAATCCTTTACCAGAAACCTTTGAGATCAGATATGTTTTGGAGTTCGGAATTTTTCAGATTTTAGAAAGGGAATTCAGTTCATATGCTATATATTAAAACACACCTTGTGGGATCTAGGCAGCACCTAGTAATCAAATAAGTGGTATTTCTATAGCAACATGAAAGTTATTCACACTAAGTGACAGACATAAAAACAAATGGTGTCATATCAGCTGATATCAGGTTTGGCCACCAAATGAGTTATGAAAGAACATTGAGTGTTCAGAACTTTTGAGATTTCTGAACTGTGGATAAATTATTTGGAGGCCTGCAGAGGGAGATGCAGCATGAAAGATGAATTAGGAGCGTATCATAAGAGGGCTGAACACCTGGCTAGGGAGTCAGCTTTTTTGTTCAGAAGCTGATCGGGCATCCCAACAAATAACTTTGCACATTCACTTTTTCGTGATTTTAGTGTCTTTTTTGAAAACGTAATTGCTATTTCTACTATGTCTTATTACATAAACTTTTTCTCTTAGCTTTTTTCTAATGGGTTAATCTATCAATCAAGTCCCTCTTTTTCTTCTGTGACATGCAACAGAACTACCCTAAACTGTAGCTTAACTATAACTCTTTGTATTATTATTTTTCAATTTACCTATAGTAAAATTGATTCCTTGTAGTATATATCAGTTTTATGTGTTTTAGCACATGTAGAGATTGGTATAACTACCATAATGAGGATACAAAACAGCTCCATCATCCCCCGAAGTCTCCCTAGTGTTCTGACTGTATTTTAAACTAAGCGTCATTAGGAATCATGTGAGGGGTCCACATTGTTGTCCCCTTGTATCCCTCAGTGGTAGTTGTGGATTCCAGCTAGAATTGACAGGTGTTGCCTGGATGCATGTGATCACTGTTCCTTTAATGTAGTGAGCTCACTTCCTAAAGCTTGCTATCCACTAGGCCATGAGTTATTCAAAGGTTTACATGAATTAAAATTTTTTTGCATCAATCCCCATTGATTTTTTCGAAATACTAACGCAGTTTTGTTTAGGTGGAACTTCCCGTGTGATTCTTCTAGCTCCCTAGGTTTGTTTCTATGTAGCTTCCCCAACACACTTTCCTAACTATGTACGTTTTACCCTCGGATATAGCCTCTACATGGGAATAATTGATTTGGATTCAACCCATGCAATTAAAATAAGTAACACATTCTTTTAGAATGAGAGGATGTTTAATCTACACCTTAAGTTGTCAAGTAAGTAGGGTAAATGTTATCTGTATTAAAGATATGAAATGGATGTCTGATTGCTCTGTGGGTCTGCAGGTTCAAGAGAAAAAGTCAAACATGGAAATAGTGAGCTGCTTGATGCTGTGCCTTAGCTGTTTAAGGTTTCAAATCACTTAGAAATAAAACAAAGGGCCTCATTTTTGCATTCCTAAATTTATTGTGCTCTAGTCTCACACGTTTCAGTTCCAAGGCTGCTCTTTGCCAGTCTGGTTCATCTTTGCAGCTCTTTTCTCTCATCACATATAGTGCACATTTTAGGAAATGGGTTAAATATAAACTTTAGAAACAAAGGTGCCCAGCTCAACCTTGTGAAGTTTTGGGAAATACAAACAATTCAAACAAAAGTACAACTTAGAAGCTCCAGTCCAAAAAAAAAAAAAAAGTGTGAGAATTTGGGAAGATTAATCGCTTTCCTCCTTCATATAAATAGGTTCAGGCTTCGAGTGCTCGCTTTTCTTTTCTGATATAGTTAAAAATAAATCAAGGAAGAAAACATTCAGTGAATTTTTGAATTTCTGTGGGAGGGTTTGTGAAGGAGTTCTTTCATGGAAGGACAGCAGAAAGGTAGGCAGAGTTTGAATGAACTTATATCTGGTAAGTTTTCAAGGTTTTATTTCCCCAAAGCAGGACAAAATGATACCAGAACTGTATGTTCTCTACCAGTAGAGTTCTTGTCATAGATTTTATTATAACAAAAAGAACACATATTTTATAGGTTGTGAAATTATCCAGTTTCACCTCTACAAGGCAACTGGGAGAGGAGTTTACAGGTGGAAGGGATATCACAAATGAATACTGAACTGGAAACCACACAATTAATTCAATAATTGTTTTTTACGAAGTGCTTGCTGAAATGACTGCTAGATTAAATGAGCCCCAGTAGTGCGGTAGAGTTAGCAATGTCATCTCTAACAAGGGGAAGAATGTAAATCTTATAACAGTGTACAGATGTTTTTACTGAGTATCTCTAATCCAAAAGTTCCGACAAAATGAGGCCACCTTAGAATTGTGCAATGGCAGTCTCTGCATAGCAACAGCTCCCTACAAATAGTAAATCCTCATTAATCCCTTTGGAATTCATTGTAATGACACTAATCATGTCGAGCTCATTGGGTATTAATATAAATGTTGTATGTAACCCCATGGGAATCCAGAACAAAACTCTTCAAATATCCTGTATCCATTCTCCATAACAAGAAAACTTGAGTTGCAGCCTAAGTTCCTGATTATGGTGAATAAATATTTCATTCATTTTAATAGCACAGACTGAATTCAATTCATTTATACCAATGTAGGTGAAACATATGAACAAGACATGATTAGCAATTCATCGTCTTTCAGTGGACTTAAGAAAACAAAATAATTCAACACTAATTCCAAGTCAAGCCCCTGGTTATTCTGTCCTCCCTTCTAAAGCACCAGAATAATACTTCTGGCAATACAATACACGGTAAGGGGTCTTTCAGAGGAGACTCTGAGAGCATAAAACAAGAAAGATGCATTGTTCCTTCAGTGATAAAACTTACCTTGAATCCTAGTCCTGCGAGTGACTGGGAATGGCCTCCCCCAGAGCTGCTATAAGCCTTGCCCAATGGTTGCCCACAGCTGAAATAATTGCCTTTCTTTTCTTTGGGCTGCCCTGAGATTTCTGAGCATAGTGGAGTAACTCAAGACAACTTGGGGGTAAAGTCTTTAAGAAATAGAGAAGATTCACAAAGAGAAATATGGAGAAAGAAAGCAACTTTCCTACATGCATGTCCAGGAGCAATACCTCAGAGAAGCTGTAATCTGCTGAAAATCTTTTGAGGTGGCTAGATTTTGAAAACCTCAATTATGTTATGGTCTCCAGTCATATTTGCATAGCTATTGCAGATAACAGCTATATCATCCCAGCCACCCTCTGTGGAAAAAATCTCAAATGCCCACTATGCTGCATTTAGGGATATTAACTTGTGGCACTCAACCTTGCTAAAGAGAATTCTCTAAATTCCTTGATTTGACTTCAATAAATTTTGACTGGGGCGAGAGATCTATTCCACAGTAAGCATCTTGACCAATGCACCGCTTAAATTTACAGATTTATCCTATCTTAACACAAAAGTAGAGAAGTGTTATATAAGAGCCCTGACAGGAAAGTGGATACTGGAAGTCTGAGTCACAAAAGACAGGCCTAAAGCACTCTATTAGATTGATAAAATGAACTGAAATCTCTGGGTGGACACTTTTGCACTGCACCCACAATATTATTCTTGATTTGCTAGGAAGAAAGCAATTTATTCTGTCATTTTCTGGGGACTTAGAGCTAATTGGCCTTTCATAGTTATGTGATTCTGCAAATGAGCATAAAAGTGAGAGCTGACAAAAATTCAAACAGGAAATCTGAATCTGCCTATTTTCATAAGTATCTTATAATGATTTGTAGAAAGGGACGAGATTTTGATTAGAATAGCAAATTTCTTCATGCAAAGGGAAGTGCTCCAAATTACCCATCACTGTAACAAACAGAAAAATTGCTCTTCATTCAGGCTCCTGGATGAAAGAAAACAAATGTTCTTTTCTGACTCCCACCGAAGCCAGTCCCCTCCAGACCATCCACGCAGCCAGTCAGCACTGTCATTGGTGGGCATTCCTCAGAGGCTATGACCTCTTCTAGCTCACCAGTTCTTTTTTGCTTTTCTACCCCAATCCACTAGAAAAGACATGCATAATACATCACATCTTAGAGAGCAACGAGACAGTGTGTCTACAAATGCAACAGCAGGAGAAAAGAAATACAAAGAAAAATAACTGAAACCTCCATACAACCTTAATAGAAAAGAAGCTGGAAAAGATTAAGTTCAACATACCAAAAAAAAAAAAAAAAAGTCTTTAAGGCCTGCAAGGAATGTTAAGGTATTTTCACAGTGTCTGGCACAGATGACAGAATGAACACCATGGAGGGAAATGGAAGAAAAGCAAACAAAAGACAACAGGAAGCACCATTTCTCATGCACAAAATATACAGGGTGAATTTGCTGAGGCAAACAGACTGCGGTCATTAACGAAATTGAATTGAGCCAGACTCAAGTTTGCCTTTCAGATTTTTTGGATGGAAGTAAATTTTACCTTCCCACGCCCCCCGGACCCCACCCCCTGCCCTTCCCTCTCCCCTCCGTTCTTTTCTTTTTCTCTCCCTTTCCTGACCCTCCTTTCTCCTCCTATTCCCTCCTCTCCCCTTCCCTCGCCACCTCTTCTATTCCCTCTTCTCCTCCCTTCCTCTCTCCACTCCTCGCCTCCTCTGTTCTCAATCTCTCTCTCTTTCTCTGACTAACCACCTGCTCTGTCCCTAGCTATCCACGTGGCAAAATTTACCTGAAAAGCTGTAGGTCAAGCAGGCCAATCTGGAATTTACTCTATGTGGTCATACATTTTGTAGAACTTTACAACACTGGGTAAAAACTTACGTTTCAAAAAAGCAGCTCTCCTGACTGCCACTTCTTTTGCCATACTGAGGTACTAAATCTCCCTTTTTCCCTGAGCTTGAGCTTTCAAAGTTATTTTCCACTCTGATGATTACAGACAGCTCGACAGACAAAGAAAAAGGGGATTTTAAAATAGGCAGTCACTACTAATATGTACTTTGCTCTTTTTGACCAGGAAAAAGAAGCCCAGGTGTCATTTTGCCATTTCTTAATCATCAATGTCAAAAAAAAAAAAAAAGAAAAGAAAAGAAAGAAAGAAAGAAAACCACTTCTGGAAATTCAGACATAAAAATGCATTTATACTGAATAGATCAGCAAGAAAATAAGGTGCTAAATCTTGGTCACAAACAGTGCTCTGTGTTCCTACAGGAAAATGGGGGATTAAAACAAGAGAATGATTATAATCACAAAATTTTGAATTTGTAGTAAGAATTAAAAATGAGAAATATGTTTAAAATAAGTTTCCTGTTACAGAATGTATGTTCTGAGAATTGATTCACAGTCAGTAGCTCAGTATCATCCCTTGCAGAACTTTCAGTCTCTGTCAGCTCTTCTGTGTTCCAAAAGATCTACTTCTCCATTGGTTTCCATTGTTATATTTTAAATTGTGGGTCTGCTACTTCTGTCTCTTTCTTTCTTCACTTTACATTGGGCTTGTCATAATTAAAGATCTAAAAATTCCCCAAAACAAAGTTAAGGTGTATTCTATATTATCTTATTTGAGGATATCACAGGGAAATGTTGACCTCAGGTGATTTGAAATGCCACTGGTATCCACTTCAGGGGCAAATAGAAAAATAAAATAGGTTACCATGGGTTCATATTTAGTGAACTACTTTCACTGTCATTCACCTTTTCTCAAAAGCATGTCATATACCTTTTAAGTGTGTTATTAAAAACATAATGTTCTTAAGCATAGTTTTAAAATATTAATAGCTACTCTTTATTGAATGCCTACTTTGTACTAGACTGTATGCTTTGTGCTTTACCAAAATAATATCTCTTATTTATAAGTTCTCTGAAGATTCTTTGTATCTATTGTCTTTTTACATGAAGAGAAAGTGAGGCTCACAACGATTGCATATTGGCTAAGGTTCCCCACCAGAACTGCTCCCCCAGCGAGGGGTGGCTGGCATCAAAAGCTCTCTAGGTCCTAAATTGACACTCTTTCTCTTTCCCCTATACAATGTCATCTTTCCACTGTTAGTTTCCTAGGAACCAATTAATCTTCAAAATAAAGGACAGTTAATGAATTTATTCCTTGTGAGATAATCGTAGAAGGTTTCAAATGACTATTCTGAGATATCCCATAAACAAGTCAGCAAGAACCAGGAGGCAATACAGATTCAATAACTGGTGAACAGGATCCTGGTCTAGAAACAATCATAAAAGATTTATTGATGACCTAAAGCATCTCCAGCATTGGCTTTAGTGATGTGAGGAGTATGAGGTGAGGTATCTGTCAATGAGGAGCTTAAACTCTATGAGGTAAAACTACTTTAACACGGATATGAAGAGAGAGCATAGACTATAGTAATGCCTAAAATAGCTGGCCATGTCAGAAAATAAGAGGATTCATACATTTATGAATTGACATATCTGTAAGCATCCAAAAACATTTTTCTGATATTCATTGTTTGATGGCATTCTAAACTGTATTACACACTTCCCTGACTTCATAAACATAGCTTATTGTACAGAATTTTCCCTTTCCTCGATGACTCAGGATCATCACTCTGCATTTCAATCACCGTACTGTGGGGTGGCAGCATGGTTCCTCCAGGAGTTGTTGAGCCCTGAGAAACCACCTTCCTGGACACTCAGTGGCCTCAGACATTAGACGTAACACTTTTCTACCCACACTGTATAGGGTTTTACATTCTTCCTCCTGTTCAGATGCCATCTCTTGCTGCTCTCATGGCGACTTTGCTAATTTTCTTTTTCTTTTTTTTTTTTTTTTTTTTTTTGAGATGGAGTCTTTCTCTGTCAGCCAGGCTGGAGTGCAGTGCATGATCTCAGCTCGCTGCAACCTCCACTTCCCAGGTTCAAGCGATCCTCCTGCCTCAGCTTCCCGAGTAGGTGGGACTACAGGCAGCGCCACCATGCCTGGCTAATTTTTGTATTTTTACTAGATGAGTTTTCGCCATGTTGGTCAGACTGGTCTCAAACTCCTGACCTCAGGTGATCCACCCACCTCTGCCTCCCAAAGTGTTGGGATTACAGGTGGGAGCCACTGCGCCAGCCTTTGCTCATTCTTATCTGCTGTCCCCTGGATAAGCAATGCCTTTCATGACTGCATCTCTGGCTTGCTTGTTTAGCTTCTAGTTCTGTGGGGTTTTTTTTTTTTTCTACTATTAATGTCATTTTCTGCAATACTATTCCAGCAATTCACAAGTCCACATAGCTCCTAAACACAATATGCCATTTCATGCTTCTGTGGCTATGCATTGAATGTCTTTTCTTTTACTTTTCTACATAAAAAAAAAAAAAACAACAAATATCATTGTCAGTCTTCAAGCCTGGGAGAAATAAGAATCTCCAGAGAAGTCTCCCTGTAGGTACCATTTTCTAAATCCAAGATAGAAATCATCAGATGCATTTCTGGACAACCCCAGAACTGTGTATATAGTTATGACTCAACATATCATATTGTATAGAAGGTAATCGTTATGTTTATAAATTTGTTCTCCCTGCTAAAATGTAAGCCCTTTAAAGGTCTTATCCACTTTTGGATGCCCAGCACTTAACTCATGGTGTGGTATATAGTAGGTGTTCAATAAACTGCACATGTAATAAGTCCTGCCTTGATTTTTACACAACCATGAACCTTTTTTCTAGCATCAAGCAACTCAACTAAGTGCTGTGAGATTTTCCTCACATCTCTGGATGAAGGACATGTTATTTACAATTAACTATATGCTACAGAAAACAAATACATTACAATAGGCTTTCAGTACAGGGAGAAATCTCATCAAGCAGAGTACCCAGAGAGGCTTCAGGGAAGAAGTGACACTTGAATTTGGCCCCTTCAGTCGATGTGCACAGATACCTGGGGCAGTCCTGGTGGCAAATGGGTTGTTTATGGAGCTTGTGTAAAGTAAATAACTGTTTATCTCCATAAGGATGCTATATTGCCTTGTTGGTCTATTAAAAATAAATAAAGTGTCTATCATAATGATATAGTTTCTCTGTCTTTAGCTGAGTCCCTTAGATTTACTGAAAGGTTGGCACAGGGCCACCAAACTCACCCAGAAATGAGCCGAAGCAGAGGTATAAAGGAAATCAGCAGTGGGAGAAAAGAATGTTGAGGTCCTATGCAAAAGCTGGGATCCTTGCCCCTGATGCCCATCGGGAAGCAGGGAAGTGTTCTAATTTCTTTCCAAGCAGCTCTCATGCCCCTGGTGGTAAGACTGAGATGCAGGGATATGACTCCTTTTTGGCTACATTACTCCTAGAAAGTGATTGACAGACAATGCAAGAAATACGAATCTGACTTTGGCCTTGACATCTTGCCAACCTCTCAACTGCTAGCCAATGTATATCTTTTAGTAAACTGTATTTTTTTTTTTAGAAGTGGAAAACTTCCATTTACTTTTCTCAGTAAATTTTCCTATGAACTCAAACTTCACAATATTACAAAATAAACCAGTGGCCATTTTCAATTGGTTTAAAAAATATAGAAGAAAGAAATATAAATATTTTGTTTTTCTTTATCTAACCTTGACTCCAGCCTTCTTCCTCAGTGCAATTTTCTGTTATAATATGCAGCATTTGAAGAAGTCTTTAACGACACAGAAGCCTCAAAAAAATTATATGAACTGAAAAGCAGTTCATCAAAAAGGACAGTCAAAAAGTCCACTGCAGTAGGTTATAAACGAATTCCCATCAGTAAAGGTGCAAACATAAAAACCACTTATGTAAAGCACTCACCAAAAGCAGGAGATCTTGGAAATGCATGTTACAATACGCAAAGCAATTTGTTTTGTGTATATATGCCAATGTGTCATACAAAATGAAACCACAAACCACATTTCTAAGTGATCCATTTCATAAAGTCATGCTATTTGGGATTTTAATGCCTCCTTCTTTTAATCTTTATATAAGATGATTTCCACAGTATTAAATGCCAGGGCATCATCTAACATTTTGTTTACTTTATCCCATTTTAGTGATACATTAGCTCTGTGTAACTGACTTGCAGTGGCTTTCATTTGGAACAAACTGAAAAATGCTCTTCTTTTAAGCCTCCCTCCTTCAAATTCCTTTTCTACATTTCCTTCCGAGGCAGAGACTCTCCACGCCTTCTTGATCAAGACAGACAACCTAATGGCTGAGTGGGCTTTAATTTCTAAGTTTCTAGCATTCAAAATTGATTTGCATTGTCATATGGAATTATTTAGTATTCAGTATAAAATACTATTGCTTTCTCTCCTTTTTTCCTTCCCTTTTCTAGACAACCAACTGCTGGGAAATTATTGTCAAAGTCTTGAAATGATTTCCCAATGACTGCTTGTTAGTACAATACGATTTCTCACTCAGCTCTGGTCTCTCTTCAGTCCTCTTCTGGGGATCAGCGAATCCTGTACATCTGCAGCACACACTGCACACAGGCAGTGTGGAGACACCCTCCACACACACAGCTCTCTCCTCCTCTCTGTAGTGGCACTTACGGGTGTCTCAGTGAGTGAACAGGCGATGAGGAGACAGATGTAAAAAGGCAAAAGTAAAAGAGGAAGGCTGTGAATTTAAAAAGAAAAAGGAAAATGATCTTTACGGATTTTGAGGACTTATTCATTGATAAACATTAACCACAAGCGTTAAGTTCAACCTCCTCTGAGCGCCTCCTCTATGCAAAACCGTATGTCTGACATTGGAGGCTGGAGGGGGCAAATGGCACCTTTGCCTCCAAGTTGCCCGCAGTGCAGTCAGTCAGAGGGATGGACAAGTGGGCAACCAATTCAAGGCAGGCAGGCTAAAATGAGTCCTATGGAGATACGGGCTATGCAGTGATTCATTCTGACTCAAGGTACGAAGATGGAGAGGAATGTTGGAGCTGGTCTCATTTCAATGTTGGAGCTGGTCTCATTTCAACAGACAGAAGAGTTGAGGATAGGAAAGAGAAAGGTGGACAGATCATAGAGAGAAAGAAGGAAATGAACCATAGGTGAAAAGAGAAAAAGGAATAGAAAAAAAAAATGTAACAGAATGGCAAGAAGCAGGGCCAGATTTAATTTCGAGAGAATTAACCCGGGAAATACTTGTAACTCAGGAGGCTGTGGATCTAAGGACTTTCTTTTAAGTGCCAAAGGCATAAACTAATCTATTTAATTAGAAAAATATGCTTGTATTGCACTCTGAGTAATTTCCCAGAGGAAAAACTTGTTTCTTTTACAGTTAAAGTTTTTGTTTAAAGCCTCTCTCCCCCCACTCCCCTTGCTCTACCACAGAACCCACAGCTTTTCAGCAGGTGCTCGCTCCTATGAAATTATTGTCAACCGGGATGTGAACACGACCCTTCCAAGAGCTCACGTTTGTTTTTTCGGTACTGAAATAGAAACACATTAACCTAGATATCCCTGAGCCTTCCAGCAGGTACTTTATAATAATAAAGAAAAAAATTCAAAAGGCATTTCTTCATTGACTTGCCGAATCTTCACAATAGCAAATAATTCAAAGAGTAATATGATATATCTTACTATCTTACCAAGCAGTAAAAATATTTAAAATAAAGCAGAACATCCCCAGTTAATTCAACATCTTCTTTCAATGTGTTTGTGGTCCCAGAATGTTCTCTCTTATAGCAGTAAGGCAAGGTACTTAGTCTTTCTTGTACCTATATTAAAAGGAAAATAGATTCTGTGGCCTGCAAATTGAAACAAGATAAGCTGCTTTTTGCATGCCACACAGTAAGGGCTGCAAATAGAAATTTAAATACTTTATCACAATTTTGCCCCTGAATAAGGAAATTCAAACATATTAATTGAACCAACACAACAATTAATTCAAATAAGATTAAAGTGCTCTAAATATGCTTCTTGCATGTTCAATGAAAAGATTAAAAGGATACATGCTCAATTCTAACCTATTTCTCTCTAGTCTTGTACTACTAGCTCTGCGTACATTTACATATACGGAACAGTCTCAGATAATAAATATGAAATTGGGGAAGATAAATTCAAAATGAAGATATTTATATGAGAATGAAACAAAGCAAGTGAAAGATGTAAAGGATGAGATAGAAAAGGAATTAAGAATACTGCTGAAACCTTGCAAATATTAACTCTTTGTAGTTGAGAAACGTTTTAAAATCTTTGTAGTGGTACTATGTACAATTAATAAAATTTTTCAAAGCTGGCTTAACTGGCATCCTTCTTTCTTTTAATCTAAAAACAGAAATGGGAAATTTGGAACATAGTGTACTATTATCTAAAATCTGCTTTTAGGCTCAAGAAACTTTATTTCCTAGAGACACTGCATACACAGTCAAGCCCATAACATTATTAAATACTGCGACCAACAATTCATTTCAGGTAGGTTTCCTCACATAGAAGCGACCTGAATTTGAACCTGTGTTCTGGTGGCTAAAGGCAATGTATGCCATTATAAATAAAGGATGGAGTTTAAATCTCAAGGAAAGCTTTCTTAATATCTATGTTTGCACAGAATACTAAATACTTCAGCATACTTTCATGAACACCTATGATTTATGGTTTCAGAAACGTGTATGTAATTGTTCTGTTTTATAAGTTAGGTGAATGCATGTACCATAATTCTTTACACATTTTGTATACATACGTGTAAGTAACTTAAAAATTCAATGAATGTATTTCTAAAGGTTAACAAAGGTGTGATGAAAGCTTTATTTTTATTTGCCTTTACTATCATTTATTGCTTCATGCAAACCATAAAACCATCCTTATAACTAACAACTAGATCTGTTAAGATGATCTTACCTTAGGAATTATACAAACACAACTTGCAAATTATTTTTATATCAAATCAGTTCTGGTTTGAAACGGTTTCCCCGATTACTAAAAGGCATGCTCACATAAAAGGATTGATAGCCCGCCAACGTGCTGCCCTGTGTTTTTTCCTGGAAAACTCAGAATAGGATCTGTCAGGTATATCCGCTAGCGTAACAAACATGTCACCCAGATTTGCATTGGGAATTAAAACATTCTGTAGCCTGACAAAAAGCTGTGTGTTTTTAGCAACCGTGATGAGAAGAAGGCATTGCAATACCTAGACATTGCAAGTTAAAGGTCTCTCATCAGACAGCTTGAAAAAGCACTACAATCCCATGATGGAGCCTCCCTGAGTGGCAAGCCATGTTACAAAGACCCTCAGCTGCATCCCCAACCCAGTTGACCAGGCAAGTCTTCTATATCTTGAAAACCTGACATTGTCTTTTATTCTTTTTTTATTTATTGGTTTTTTTTTTATTCTTACATTTATACTTCAGTTACACTGGAACCATGAATGTGAGGAAATGCACGTTTGGAAGGTGAGAAATGTTTTTTGTTATTAAAGCTCAACTCACATATTCTCTAGCATCAAATGCGAAACAATAATATTTATAAAATAATACTGTGGTCATTATGCAAGTAGTAAATAATATGAAGAAGCTTACAGGACAGTACTGTAAAACTTACCCCATTATTTTCATAAAAAGAATTGCATTGCTAATTTAAGTAAGGAGTAGGGCTGAGAATTTTCCCATTTATATAATACATCCTTCATAATCTGCCTTAAAAATTTTACTATTTTAGTGCATTTCTTAGTTTTAAATGAATACCCAGCAAATCTTTCTAACAATATTTTATACACATCAAAATGGATCTGCACATATTGTAATCATGGATATGTGATAACTAAAAGGAAATCTCCTCTGCATAAAATAGAAGAATTACTGTAATTAACTCAGTTTTGTTTGAAATGGCACAGGTTTTGGTTGTTTTTCAGGTCATTAGTGAAAGATAGGAATCAATTTATTACAGGTTCATAAAGGCAGTCTTTTTAGAAATATTACCTATCTCTTAACTCTGTGTGTAATTTGGCCTTGTCATTAACTCCACAAGTCATTATAAGACTTTCCTGTAAGAAAAATGTGACCAAATAAAGTGCTCATCACAAATAGATTAAATTTAACTTATATTAATAAAAAACAGATTGTCCAGCAAATGTTCTAATAACTTTACATTTTAAAGCACAATTTACATTATGGTTATTTATTAAAAGGGTTCCTTTTATAGAGCAAGTGTAACTGACATGCTAGATTACACTCTGATACGTGAAATACAGTTTCCACCTAAATATCTCTACTCTTAACATGATGAGGGGCAATGAACCATCACTAAGAAATATTAGTACTAGCATTATACATTTCTATAAAACAAAAAATGACACATATTATAAAATTGCACAGGCTACTACTCTTAAACCAGAATTTAACACTTTTTTTGCCCACTTTTTTAATATAACACTATAATTTTCATTTATTCCTTAATAGTGCTTATTGATATGCTAAATATGAGTGCATTGTTAAAATTCAGAAGCCGAGCATATTTGCCTTCTATACTAATGAGCAAAAATTGAAGGTATTCTCTGTGCCAGAAACTTACTTTCATGATTTTAATCTTTCCCTACAACCCTGGGGGTAGAAATTTACTGTCCCATTTTCAGATGAGTAAATGAGGCTACAGAAGTTAAGTAACACATCCAAAGTCACACAGCTAATAGTGATAAGTTCAACATTTGAACACAGACCTGACTGGTGCCAAATGTGATTGCTAATGCGTGTTAACAATTTTATAGCTAATTCTATTCATTACTGATTTTCCAAAACATAAGTAAATTGAAAAGTGGCTTTACAAATGAACATTCTTTGGTCTCCTATAGAAGTGTTTTCTTCTGCATCATCCTTACTTAATATACAAGAACTAAAAACGTTCTCACCATCACCAGAGCCCTGAGAGTACCCACTAAAGCATATAAGACTCAGTACAGTGGCCCTCCATATCTGTGGGTTCTGTATCCATGTATTCAACCAGTTATGGATCAAAAATATTCTGAAAAAATTAAAATAGAACAATAAAAATAATACAAATATTAAAATGCAGTATAACAACTGTTTGCATAGCATTTACACTGTATTAGATATTATAGGTAATCTAGAGATGATTTAACCTATACCGAAGGATGTGCATAGGTTACATGCAAATACCACACTGTCTTCAACGTTGCAGATTTTGGTATCCTAGAGGGTACTGAAATCAGTCCCTAGGGATACCAAAGGAGGACTGTACTGCCCCCTCTGAAGGGTAGAGGAAGAGGACAAAACACCCCTGGGTTTCATCTTGCCATAGGAAGCTGTGTTTTATACTTAGCCTGCCCAGAGCGGGTACTTTTTGGCAGTCCACGCTAAGTCATCATTTTTATAAGCCATGGCCCCAAATGTCATCAATACTTTTTGATTATTTTCTATAACAGGATTTAGGAATTGTCAAACATTTTATTTTCTTTTTGATTTACAGTTTTCTTTTCTCTCAAGCAGAACAAATAAGATACAGGAGATGGGGAAGTCAGTTGCTGCTAGACCAGTGTTTGGAGAGATGTGATTCAGTTCAGTCAGTTTAATTCAACACTCATTTATTGGTGGGAGTTACCAAGTTGATGGGTCTTAGAAAGAGGAAGAGTTGGCCGGCTACAGTGGCTCACGCCTGTGATTCCAGCACTTTGGGAGGCCAAGGCGGGCAGATCCCGAGGTCAAGAGATCCAGACCATCCTGGCCAAAATGGTGAAACCCCGTCTCTACTAAAGATACAAAATTTAGCTGGGCGTGGTGGCACACACCTGTAATCCCAGCTACTGGGGAGGCTGAGGCAGGAGTAATCACTTGAACCCTGGAGGTGCAGTTTGCAGTGAGCCAAGATCACGCCACTGCACTCCAGTCTGGCGACACAGCAAGACTCCGCAAAAAAAAAGAAAACAAAAAAGAGGAAGTGATTCAGGATCTTTAGAGAAAAAGACAGATGACGGGAAAGATGAATAGTGAATTGTCATTCTAGAGGAGAGAATAAACTGAGAGGTGTTAAGAGCTGCTATACCTAGTCTTGGGATATTGTTCTTCTTCTCTCAGGGAGATGTTCTGTGCAAGGGAGATGGGGAAGAGTTTCGTGCCAAGGGAAAAGCTAAAAGTTACATTTTTAATGACACACTTCTCTTGCCTTTCATTTTTTAATGCTTTTTTTGAATTACTGAAAATCTAGTGTTTAAAATATATATTCCGTATTTATTAATTCAAACAGAAAATTATTCTCAAAAATACGTTGACCTTTTTAAAATTTTACCTAAATCTTCTCACTTATAAATAGTAGATAGCTGTACCAGTTTAATATACTCTCATTCTGAATTTCATTTTCTCATTTCTCTGCGAACTAGGTCTAGTGACTTACCTTCTGGGAGTTTTGATATTTTCTTAAGATCTCTTATAAAGAAATTGTATCCGTAATAGGATTTCTGTAAGAATTAAGTGAGGCAGTGTAAATAAAACCCTTAGCACAGGGTCTGGCATTTGATAAGGTCTTAATAAGTTGTGACATCACTGTTTGGGTTTGTTGGTTGGCTTGTTTGCTCTCTCATCAAGCATAATATATCCAAAATGCCTGCAAGAAATCTGACCATATGATGTTTTAAATCAATGACTTAGCTTCATTTTCACTTTTCTTTCCTCAAGTGAACTTTCTTGTTATTGAAGGATTCTCCCCGGGGCCTGAAAACTTAAGAGAAGGAATAACTCCTCCTTTCTCAGGTTCAGTCCCAAGGTGCAAGACTACTTGCGCCAGCAGCGTGTGTCAGCAAGACAGCAGAAGCAGGAAGAGAGCTGGCCCAAAGACAGGTACCCCCTGAAGACCCAGAGAGAGGCCATCAGGGTACCGCGTAGCAGTTACATCAGACTGAGACATTTCCTGTTTACAGGAGACTATAAAACCCCTGCCCCATCCTCGTTTGGTGCTGATGCCATTTTAGGCCTCAGCCCGTCTGCACCCAGGCGCTCATTAAAACAGCGTGTTGCTCCACATCACATTGTGTTGTTTGTTGGCACGCTCTCTGGGTTCGAACTGATACAAGAGCCTTGCAGTTATTTACATGAGTCTTGTTTTTTCATAAAAAATGTGACTGAAAGCCACCATCTAAAAGCCCTAAAGCTGATGAATAAAACCAAAAAAAGTACATCTTCCTAATGTTAGTACACAATCACCCTTGCTTCAAATTGATCTCTTTAGTTTCAAACTTTGTTTAAGAAATGTCAAAGGCTATCATGTCAGGCCAAAATTATATACTAAAATTATTATACATTTCATTTTTGAAAAAGCCCTACTGCGAAAGAAAAATCACTGGGATTTTTAGAAAACAATCACAACAAGTTTCTTTCTGCCTTCTTCCTTTCCCAGCGAAAATGAGAAAACAGTATCATTATATAAAGAAAAGAGACAGAATTCATAGATTGATGGGCTCTGAAGAACAAAAGATAGCTAACAGTTAAAGATAACTCAAATAGTGGGCTTTGATGTTCTTTTTCAGCTGTCCTATTAAATACTTTTTCTTTTTTCACATTCCAATTGTGCCAAATATGAAAAGCTCATATACAAAAGAAACAATAAAATGCTTGTTAATCTAATAACAGAATGCCAAGAACAGAAAACCTATCCCACCACAAAGTATAATTGAGATTGCCTATACCACAGACAGTTTATGATCAGAAACCTTGAAGAAAAAAAAGCCATCAATAGAAATGATGCTTCCACTGTGAGCTCATGGTCACAGCAAGGCTAAAAGACCAGGGACATAAAGCCCCATTCATTGTACTTCCCAGGGGTCACCAAACATCCCAGTTTGCCTGTGAGAGTCCCGATTTATGCCTTTAATCTGGTGTAATTATTATTAGAGTACCTTTAACTCCAAAAGCATCCTAGTTTGGACAATAAATTATATAGTTGCCCTGGGTTTACCCCTACTCCCTTTCCCTTCCTTCTCTCTCTCGTCACAAAACTAAGAACAAGCTATTTTAACTCTTCAGGGCATGTGAGAAAGAAGAAAAAAATTATGTTTTTTAAGCTCAGCTTTTCATTGGACCACCATTCATTTTCTTAAAGCAGAGCAGATTTCTAGTCTGAATTATCTTTGACACGGTCCCATTTACCTGTGAAACATTTAGGGTAGAATTTCCCTCTATCTTTCCCCACCACCTTCTCTCCCTTACGAATTTCTGCCTAACTCTTTGGCATAATGTTCAGTCAGCTTATTGAATTCTACTTGAAATTTTCAAGAATTATACCTCAAATGAGGACTCCTTAATATAATTGCTGTTTCTTTAAAATAAAAAATCAGATGTTCAACTTAGGTTATACAGCCAAGAATAGCAGTTCATATCAGCTGCAAGAAAGACTGAGCACCTTACAGCAAGAGCCCCTTAATCAAAAAGCAATCTTTTGGGATGAGTTAGTAGTACTTTGCCTCTGGCGCTAACCAGTTCCCCTACTTTCATTGTATATTTCCACAGGAGTCTAATGATGAAATACATTAGATTTTCTCACAGGTGAAGTAGAAACACACTCAAAGCATTGCCTTTCTAGGGTCACATGGTGCTTCTAAAAACAAGGGGAGGAGGTCAGGAGCAGTAACAGCATCCAAACCAACAATGTATTCTACAAGTAAAAGCCTTGAAGAGGAAAGGGAGAAATTCCCCTTTCACAGGAATATTTATACGAAATTCGCTATGTGCAATATTGCAAAGAAGAGAAACACAAAACGATTTGGTTTGGTGATGAGCAGGACTAGGGGAGTAAATCTTCGTTTCTAAATAAAAAGCTTACCATTTAGTCATGAGGATATCCTTGACCCTTATCCAGAAAAGCTTCACAGCTGCAAGGAAAAAAAATAGAATTCATTTGAGGAAAAATGTTCTGGTATTGGGGAATAAAGATTTATACCTATCCAGTGGGCTTTATCTGCTCTAGATCTACAAAGACACAGCATTATATAGTGGGTAAAAATATAAGACGGTGTAAGTCTTCATTATTTGCCCACAGAGGACACAGATTGCATTTAATTGAATTATTTTATTTGTATTTTATTTATTTTCACGTATGCATACAAACTTACATACAATGCACATATCCATACATACACAAATAAGATGTTTGCTCTCTTTAACGTATACATAAACATGAGTACCTTCACACACACCACTGTTTCATAAAACATGTGGCAGACATAGCATCTTTCTTTCCCAATTCATGGTCTCCTGACCTCCCAACAGGGCAGGGCTCCAAGAACAAGACAGGTGGTAATATCTTAGATTTGCCTTGCCTTCGAGACAGCTTCTTTGACTTCCACTGAGCTCTGAAATTAGCCTCCAGTCAAACATGTAAAAGCAAATTATGAATCAGGGTAAAAAAGCTATATAAATATGCCATATTTGTTTTTTGTATTGTTTTGTTTGGTTGTTTTGTATTGTTTTTAACCTTCACTGATTCGGGCGAGGTAATTAAGTACTTTGACATGAAAGATCTCCTGCTGGGTGATAGGCTACATGGGGAAGGGAAATTAGACAAAAGGTGTTGAGTAATAACCACAAATGACTTTATAGCCCATTCTGTTTGAATGTCAATAGAACTCACAAAGCAAGATTTGCAGAAGATAATCAGCAATGACTCCCCCAAGTATAATCAGGAAATGAATATAATTAGCCATTTGTAAGCCAAGAGGTCTGCCACTATGATTTCGTATTCAGTGCAATATATATATATATATATATATATATATATATATATATATATATATATATATGATGGACAGTGACCTAAAAGCTCAAAATAATAACAGGCATTTATTATCTTTACAACATTTATCAGTATTGAATTAATTTGGCAGATTCTTAATGAATTTTCCAAAGTATATGCATCACATATCATTGTATATATTATTGTAAGCTGTTTCTAAGCTTTTGAGGAATGAGGGGTGGTGAAAACAATAAATAATAAATATAACCACACATTGTGTAAATAATGGTTGTATAAATAAAAGTTATATTGGAAACATATAGTCTATCATCCTTTACACGTCACAAGATGATAAAAACTGTGTTTGTATTTGTTCCCACGTAAAATATTCACTTAGAAGAACACATTGAAAGAGAAGCTGATAAGAAACAACAATTGTTTTATACAAAATTAATTTAGTTGCAATGGCTTTTGCCCATATACCCAAGCTAATGAGCTTAATCAAACAAGGCACTTCTAAAAATGGAGTAATGTGTTTGAAATTACAAAACTCGGCCTTCCAAATTTAGATATGGATTTTTTAAAGGACTTTTTAAAAAATTCTAAGTTATAATCGATAAGAAAAGATACATCAAAAATCATGACATATTTCCTAAAGGAGGCTGTCTATATATTATCAATATGCCTAAATAACAGGAAAAAAATGCAGTCACTGACAGATTTTTTTTTAAACGCAATCACTTTGCCCACATGACATTTACCATATTACAATTCCTGGGCGTGCTGAGCATTAGAAAACCCTGGGTAAGCCACCTTGATGGTTATTAAGATACAACGCTAAAGAAAAATATTTTGCAACAGGGGGTACTAATAAAATAGCCAACAGCATAAGAAATGTATCAAAATGAGAAATAATAAAAAGACAGCAACTGTGTTCAGGCTGCACACTTCTTATTTTGTAGCTAAAACATTGCTGAGTTACAGTAATCTGTTCCTTGAAAGTCCAAGGGTTTAAGCCAAGTAAACGATATAATTTCAAATGTTATTCAATGTAATTTAACAAATAAGTGTTGTACGTCTAAAATGTGCCCAGTTATATTCAGAGAAACCCCAAAGATATCAATTCTAACATGAAAGTCATCATTCAAGCCAAGGGTTCTAGATATTTGCAAAAAGAAACCATCAGGAAAAAAGTATGCAAATATTTTATGTAAAAGCAGTCACTGATATTTAATTACAAGTCATCTTCTATCACCAAATTTAAAAGTCATTGCTATATATTAGGCTATTCTAAATGTTATGGTATTCTGGAGTTTCATCTGGGACCAGATTTTCCCTAGTTAAAAAAGAAATATATTAAACCTCCTGTAGGACAATCACCTTAGCTAACCATTCTTATTCTTTCTCACCACTCTGCAGGGGACCAATCCCAAACTCTTATTTTTGTTCATCTACTTAAAGGCAGCGTCACATCAGTTAGTTTTCATAGTGACCCAAGTGGGGAAAAGACCCAAAACCAATGAGTTTCCTTCAGAAATTTCAGCCAGTACCTACTCCCTTTGGACAAAGAAAAGATTCTTTTAGGAGTTGAATCGGAGAATCTGTAATGTTGAGGTGCAGGAGAATGACATTAGGTAGGGATAATAAGTCCTCTGCTCTCCATGCAATCGTTTTTTGTGCCCCGCCTTTCTGTAGTTTTTCCCCTACTTTTACTTTTTACACTTCTTTGATTTTAAAGTGGATTCTCTGGAGAATTCCATGTGTCTGCAGGGATCTGGAGGGCTGGCTTTGCTAAGCCATTTGAATTCTATTTGCATGACAGACTAGATATAGTCTTGAAAAAGATTTTATTCTTGGAAAGGGAGCATCGAGCCACAAAAATTTTGTCCAAAGCCAATACTTTGGGGTCAGAAGTGAGGCTTTTATTTATTTTTCTCCTGACTAGAGCAGGAGAAGAATCCACTGCCCAGATGCCCCTGCATTCTGAAGAGAGGGATCAGCTAACCAAAAAACTTTCAGAGCTATTTCCCCTGAGAGAAAGTGAGAGCATACATCTTCTCTGATTGGTGGCATATGCCGTAGATGGCAGCAGGAACAGTGGGGAAAGCCATCATTCAAAATTAATGTTGCAGCAGGCTCAAGCAGGGGATAAAAGGGATGAGCAGCAATCCAATTCATTTCAGCAGCCTTTATTCAGTGCCGAGGCCTGTGCTAGGTCTAGCCCAGAGACGGTGGCTTCAGTCAGTCCAACAGCACTAGCATATGAATTACAACCACAGCTTCCCCTGCAGACTTTAGCAGTGACAGCTCATGGGCTTTGCCCCTCAGTGAGCAGAAGCCAGAGAGGATGCAGCACCACGGCTGAGGGTAAAACAAGAAAAGAGAAGTGACAAATGCGAGTCCCCCACTGGGAAGCCCCAGGATGATGGAAGATGAGCTTCAAGCAGAAGCCCTGGCAGGTAGAAGCCCCACATTATGAGTCTATGTGTTTCTCTCCTCCAAGAAACCTCAGCTTACTCTCTTTTGTCTGTGTTAATTTTCCTCCCTTTTGGTTTAATGATGCATAGCACCTCCCTCATCATACTGTATCTTAATTGTGTCACTTATGTGTCCATTGTCCCACTAGGCTATGATTTGTTTATTCAATTTAGGGGTGGTCAGTGGAAGTTGGCACACCAGTGCTTAGCATAGCCACTGATAGATAATCATTTGACAAATGTTTGTTGAATTAATCAGTGACTCAACAAGCAAAACAGCAACTTTCCTTGGAAAATATCTCCATTTACACAGGATTGTCATTCATTTAATTTCATATCTTTACTAACCGTGACCTCCTGGGCCTCTCAGTGGAGAAAGTGAGGTCCAGGATTAGGGAACAGAAGAAAAGATTGAGAAAAAAAAAAAAAAACCCTACACTGCATCTTCCCTGGACCTGGTTTGCCCCCTTTTTTAAAGTTAAGATGGTCATATTGTTTGTCTAAGTTTGTAAAGGGGAGGGAAGAGGACCTGCAGGATGTTAGTGCAGAGGGTACCAGCAGAGATGCAAAAATGTGCATGAAAGTGCCAGTGTTTATCACATGGGACTCTGACAGCCCACAAATGCCTGTGATTTTATGTGTTTCTCTGTCTTAAGAGAGAGAACTGTTGTCTTCCTTAATGTCTTGAAGATTTTTCTCTAGGTAAATATTTATTCTAGATGTGGAAAGCAGTTAAGCATACCACAGTCTCACATATACACCCCACCCCACCCCCACCCTTTTAAATAAACATTCTCATATGAGGCTGCTGGATGCAGGGGATGCCCCATCTTGATGGGGCTGAAATCAGATTTACTCTCATTTCCCTCACAGACCGCTAACCAAATACATGATCCATGTCATTTTTTAACTGCACCATGTTAAATTATTTGGCAGGATCGCATCAAACATGAAATTTGTATCTCTGTGTCATTAGAAATGATACTAATTATGCATCTGCCCATAATGATAAATTATTACACCCAATGCCCAGGGTAGATCTGCCTAATACTATATGAGACACTTGGCTTTGCTGAACCTTTTGATATTCAAATACTTTAAATATGCCATATTATTTAAGTTCTTGGGCGAGGGAAGCATCAGGTAACAACTAAAATAATCTTAGCCCAGGTTTCAACATTTTGGGGGCAGAGGTAGCAGAGAGCTTATAGGATGAGTTGAGACTCTCAACAAAAGACTCTACAAATAACAACAATTAAAAATCAAAGGCTGTAGCTTATATAGCTTAGTTTCTTTGATCACACTCACACAGGGAGCTAATGGCAGTCTTAGTGCAATTTTGTCAAATAAAAAGATAATATGGTATAACAACCATATTATCACAGGAACCTGTGACTTACTTGGACTGAAATCTCATCCCCTGCCTGGACTTCCTGCCAATTGAGTTGAGGCAGGTCCCTTCACATCTTGGCCCTCAATTACCACTTCTGTAAAATGGAATTGATGTTCATACCTCACTGATTATTAGTCAAATATGGCATGTGAAAAACATCAGAAAATACGAAGACCTCCACAAATGTTACATACAATTAATACATTTATGTCACTGTCGTATTCTAGGTAGATTTTAATGTATGTTTTAAGGCAGCTAAATTAGCAAATACAACATGCATGCCATTTAAAAGACAAAATATCTGGACAGTGGACTGCATTTTTCATGTTTTATGTTTCATCTTGATGTTTTGGCACTTTGGAGTCAGAATAATTTTTTTCTTCCCCATGTATTTCATTTCTGTGAAAGTTGCCAGGGTTTGGGGTAACTATAATAAGTCAGATTAACTCTTCTCTTTTTCAATTCAATTAATGTTTCCATTGAAAAACCAAGGTGCAATTACACATTTCTCTGTCAGGGAATTCTACCCATGTGCAAGGTAATGATGAGGTGGCGTGGTGATAGGGCGTTACTTCGGAGGAACTGTCCTGGAAATAATGAAAGAATGCATCGAGCATGGCAGAAAATCAGGGCATCAACTATAGATGGAAAGAGGAACTTGTTAAAAATATGGAACTCTCAGGAGAAAAGAGAAAACAATTCAGGCTTATGTTCCTGACAGATATGCATATAAAGTATAACTGTCCTTCATTGTAGAATATTAAGCTGCTAAGATGTCAGTTTCTGTAGGTAAAAGCTCCGAGTGAACACTTGAATGATATTCTTTTGGGGGTAGCTTTGAGTTGCTGTTTACATTCTGCTGTCATTTGGGGCTCCATCTCTTCTCCTCCTAGGGTGTGTGCCACATTTGTTCACAGGACAAACTCACAAGCCAGGCCGTGTGTTGGTGGCTGTTTCCCAGCCTTCTGTAGCTGTTGCACTTCACCTCTTGCTTCTGGGACTTCCTAGGGGTTCACGCTTTCTCCTATGATTTGTGCTTCCCCTCATTTTAAGCAAGTCATGGGTCCTCCACAAAGCAGAAGCTCAAGTATTTGATAAACGAGTAAGTGAATGAATGAGTAAAAGAGTTATGCTGACATCAAATAGGACTTCTTAGCAGTTGGATGGCAGGAAGCATGATTTCTGAACAGGTACATCTCAATTCATGGTGATCCTCTCTTGTATTTCAATAATATTGAAATATTATGCTTTACTTCCTAAAAACAACTAAATAGATATAAAAGTTAAAATAAATTAGGCTTTTTAAAATGTCACCTCTTTGTCATTTCCTCCTTTGATAATCTGACAGGGTCTCAAAGTATTGTCAGTGAGGTTAAGATGCTCATTCCAAAGAGCAGAAGAGTTCAGAGAATTCTTCTTTTACCCCATTCCAGCCTCTAGAAAAAGAAAAAGCCTTACTTGCAAGTTTATAGAATAGGGATCGGCAAACAAACTACTGGCCACAGAGGCCAAATCTAGCCTGCAGCCTATTTTTGTGTGACTCTCAAGCTAAGAATGGGTTTTACATTTTTAAATGGTAACATGTGGAAAGTGTAAGAAATTTAACTTTCAGCATCCATACATAAAGTTCTATTGGAACAAAGGCACGCCCATTCATTTTTGGATTTTCTATGGCTTCTTCTGTGCTACAATAGCAGAGGTGCAATTGTGACAGACACTGGATGGCCTGCAATCCTAAAATATTTAATGTCTGGCTCATTACAGAAAACGTTTGCCAACCTGTGTTCTGGAATATGGTGTCATTCAATAGCTTACATGTTGGCATTCTCTACAAACAATGTGTTTGTTTAATAATTATGCATATAAGCAAAGTCAGCTTCTGTCTATATAAGGTTATTTCAGGAGCCCTGGTATTCGGAAAAACCCCCGTGATAAGGAAAAAGCTATTATTATAGATCTATTTCTTTTTACTTTAGGGGAAGTAACATGGAGCCCAGCTCTAGCTTATGTGGTGCTTTTGTGCAAATTAGGCACAGGCATGTTCTATGGGCAGTGAATTTAGAAAAAGTAACCCATGCCCCCATGCAAATCCAAACCTGTCCCAAGGTGCAGAGCTACGTGAAGTGAGTGTAAACTAGATTTTATTCTCCACTCACTTCTTGGCCTGATGTGTTTACGCAGTACACAAAGGTCAAAACCATAAGCAGTGGCCCTGGGTATCCATAAAACCTTATCAGAAGATATTAACGCTTCTTTTTTTTTTTTTCTTTGAGACAGAGTCTCGCTCTGTCACCCAGGCTGGAGTGCAATGGCACAATCTCGGCTCACTGCAACCTCTGCCTCCCAGGTCCATGCGATTCTCCTGCCTCAGACTCCTGAGTAGTTGGGATTACAGGCACCCATCGCCACGCCTGGCTAAGTTTTGTATTTTTAGTAGAGACAGGGTTTTACCATGTTGGTCAGGATGGTCTTGAACTCCTGACCTCAGGTGATCCTCCCGCCTCAGCCTCCCAAAGTGCTGGGATTACAGGTGTGAGCCATTGCGCCCGGCCTTAACACTTCTAATGTGATGAAATTTATCATTATTTCATAAAGCTGTTTGTTGTATACATAAAAAGATTTTAGTGGAGAAATGGCAGAGAAATCATGAATATAGAAGGGGCTTTCAGATTCTAGCACAAAGCAGGTTTGTGGATAGAATTTAGAATAAAAACCTGTCACTCTCCATCATTTTGCCAAGTACCAACAAATACTGAATGTCCAGCTACACCAACTGCATCTAAAGAACACATTAGATTTTTGCTGTGTTTTTTAAGAACTAGGATCTTTTAGAAATCAACACTAAGGCAAAATGTTGTGAATACATGATTTGATCTTTCAGTTCAGCCAAATGGCTTATGAGACAAATGGCTATGATCTAGATCTTTTCAGTAGAACCTGGTGAGAATTGTCAATCAGAGTAGTACAGAAGAGCAAGACCCACTCTCCCACTGTTGAACGAAAACAAGAAAGTTGGCAGGTCAAAAGATTATCATAATATAGAGCCTTTTAAATTACAGTGGAGACTACAGACCTGGCCATTTGCTTTCCATCCAATCAATAATAAACCAGTTCTCCTTTCCCAAAGTAAGACTGGTTTTCTGTGTTAGCCTTGAAACAAAAACACAATTCTGGGCGAGATGTCCAAGACAGCACTCACAGCCTGGCCCTGGGCAGCATGTAACACGCCCTCACCAGGTTCAGTCAAATTTTTGCAAACTCACTTCTTTCCATAAACAAACAGCTTATTGCAGTTAATGAAAAGAATGCCTGATCCAAGCAAAATAAAAGCAATGTAGGTCTCTCAGTAACTTCTGTTGCTGGGCTGCTATCCATATCACCTCTTTGCCCCCTTAGAGCCAGATAAACCTCTGTTGGTTACAACTGGCAAATCATGAAAAAACAGTGGTTATAATACACAAGTGGTCAATGAGGCAGCCTTTAAGGAAAAACACTGTTGATAAGATAAACAGCTTGTGATGTCCTTAATTATAATATTTCATACTCATTTAGCCATCTCCACATCACAGAGCTTACAAAGTGGCTTTCAAACAGGAAATAAGACTCCTTCCCACCAGCCCAGAGGCCTAATTATAAAATAGCAACCTACTTTTTCTGTAGTGAATACAGGGCTCTTTTTTTTTTTTTTTCCTCCAACAGAATTTATTGAGCTCATTTCCAGGCTGCTTATGAAGTGATTTGAAATGAGGCAACATTAAAGCATTCCACAAATCCCTTGTACTTAGTCATCCTGACACTTTATTTGAACTCAGAGTATTGATATGGAATAACTGTAGCAGCCCCACTCTTCTGACTCTATTATCTGACAGGAGGTCTGGAATCCAAAAAATGGTATATCATCAAACGTTCTTAATCATCACAATAATTCGTAGAAGAGAACCAGGTATAATTTGGGCAACACCAGAGGGGCTTGGCTGCTAGAAACAAGGAGAGTGCGGTATGTGTTAGCCTGGAGGAACAGAGCCACATTAATCAGTCAGTGAAAGGACCGAAGGCAGTGTATGTACGTGTGTATTTTAAGAAAAATTGACAGACAGGCTTCAAAGCAGCAAAAGCACTGAACTCCCTGCATGCTATTAGTTCGACTCTAACTTCTGTTCTCTTGCAATCCAAGAGGCAGTTATAGACTGACCCTCACTGGGTTATCACTGAGGCTAATACAGCATAGTTAAAAACTTTATCTGCAAAAGTTTCGAAGAGGGGAAAAAATCTCTGAAGGAGGACACAAAAGTCTATGGAAGTTGACTATCTGTTATGTTAAAATGTGGCTCATTTTTGCCTTTCATTGCCTCTTTCCCAACTTCCTGAATGAGTAATGAATCAGAGTCTAAAGAAATGTCTCCTGTTGAAGAAGAATTATGTTTTATATCACACGAGGTCCTACATGTATCCTGATGTGCAGTCTGCCTTAGAAAAAACATCAAGTTTTTAGATAAAAGATTCATTGAGGAAAGGGTATATGTGTACCTGTGTGCATATGTGTGTGTGTCCATGTGGGTGAAGGGGAAAAAAATCCAGCCTGTAAGATTAATGAATCTCAAATGCAGTTCTCTCCTTAGAGTCAGGCTATGTCTTTTCAGTTATAACTACTACTAATTCTTGGAACATTTCTTTCTGAAATCCACAGTCCAGTAGCTGTACTTATACATTAACTGGTTGTTTCATCAAGTAAGCATTGAAAGACACCAGAGCAGTGGGAAGAATTTCAAGTTTCTGTATTTCAGGCTTTGAGGTAGTGGTGCACTGTGGCAATAAGTTCAAGGGGAGTCCTATTTAAATAGAATACCAGAATACATAGTGTCTTCTGTTACCCATGAGATCTCAACCTTGATCACTAAAATTCCAAACAAAATCCCTTAGATATGAACTGAATACATGTCCCTCAAATGACTTCCTTTGGGAAAGTTATTAATCAACATCTTTTAAGAAAGTATTAAAGAATGGAGGGTACCTGCTGTAACATTTTCTCAGAAGAAAGAGGAGTCCCCTTACCAAGCACAATTTCCATTATGCACATATTTACTGAATGATTCCTACCTATAAGGTGTGGGACTAGGTTCTGTAGATCTTTTTTTAAGCAAATCCTATGAACTTACATCTAGAAGAACTTCTCTGGACTCACAGCTGTAGAACTGGAAGACACCAACATGGGATTTAGCACCTGCCACAGATAAACTCCCAGACGATCATCCCCATCATGTGAATAGCATTAGTATGTAACATGTGATCCTATCAATAATTCTGAGACACTGCGCCTGGAAAAAAGAATTCTTTGTCTAAATTTGTTTCCAAAAGCTCATCTCATTCAGTCTTTTTAACACCCTCGTGTCATAAGTGTTAAAATGTTCAACATTCATAACCTGCAGTTCTACCCATCATCACCCATCCACTAGTGCACACGTCTCCGATCTCAACATCACTCAGAACCCCTGTTTCTCCAAGAATTTGAATTATCTACACTTCTCCCACTCTGCCACTCCTACCAGACTTAATATTTGTCATCACATTCTTTGCTGCTTTAATCACTTACTTTTCTCCTAATTTACTATTTCTAATTCTGTTTTTTAATACTCTATCAAAACTCAATCTCATACATAGCCATACATGTCAGGCATAAAGTAATTGGAGGCAGTGTGGTACAGTGGTTACAAACAGGGGCTCTGGACTCAACGCGCCTGAGTCAACCTCTATCTCCACCACTAAAATTAACTCTGTCAGGTCTTGACCATGTGGCTTGATTTCTATGTCTCAGTCTCTTCATGAGCAGGAAGGTAACAAACACCTCAGTGTGACAGACATTGTGGTAGACACTAGGATTCAATGTGGAATCTAATGAAGAATTTTAAGTAGATGGATGATATGAGCAGATATATCCTAGCTTCTTCCGTGACCAGCTATAGGACTTTCAGCAAATTTATTAATCTCTCTATGCTTGAGTTTTGTCAATTTTAAAATAGAGATAATAATAGTACCTCCCTCATAGGATTGCTGAGATCTAATGAAATAATAAAAAGCTACAAATAAATCTTAGCTATTAGTAGTAGTAACATATGTCCATGATATAATTTTTGTACCACTGCAAATATCTTAGAAAAGCAGCCTACATTCTCTAATTTTAATTACCTGTCACCAACTCATTTATTGAACTTTAGCAATCTGGTTTTCACCATGAATTCATTCATAAAAATATTTACTATATAGTTCATGTATGTGAGGCCCCTAGTAGGTGATGGTGACATAGTGAAGAAAACAGATACAATCTCCAACCTCCCACTCCTCACTGATCATCTCCTCAAAACTGGCATTTCTAATAGTCACCCTCCCTTCCTTCTTGGCCTCCAATAAAATATTTTAAAAAATTGAACAGCCTATCTCCATGAAAATATCAAATCTTTCATTCTTTGGCATCCATAATACTAATATTTTTATTCTTTAATTTATCTGACCCTTCCTTCTAGCCCCTTTCAAGAGCCCCACTTTCTCACAACCTCTTAATACAATAATACCTATCCCTCTGTCTCTGTAGTATCTTTCTCATCTAAGACCGTCATTCTCAGGACTACTACTATTACTCCCTTGCAAATGATTCTTCATCCTCTAATCACTTGATCTTCCACTTCTCTGATTTCATTTAATGTTTCTTGTCATTAAATGGGGTGCCCTCTCAACCAGTGGAGTGCCCTCCCAACTCCTCAAAGTCAACATACTCTAAGGCTAATTTATCATCTTTTATAAGCACCAGTTTCCTCTCCTAAATTTTCTAATTTTGTCATGTATGCCTGAGATTTAAACTTCTAAGCCATATTTCATTGTCTTTACTTAATGCATCATCTTCATTCTTAAATTGTAAATTTTAAAGATTCTTAAACTTAAAATCCCAAAGATTCTATTGCTATATCTTTTGCACCTGTCTGATTTTTTTTTTTTTAATTAACTTCGCTGGGTACAGTGGCTCACATCTGTAATCCAAGCACTTTGGGAGGCTGAGGCAGGAGGATCACTTCAGCCCAGGAATCGAGACCAGCCTAACAACATAACAAGACCCCATTTCTACAAAAACATACAAAAAAATTTTAGGAGGGCTTGGTGGCAAGTCCCTTTAGTCCCAGCTACTCAGGAGGCTACTCTCTGATTTCATTTAATGTTTCTTGTCATTAAGTGGGGTGCCCTCCCAACTCCTCAAAGTCAACATATGCTAAAGCTAATTTATCATCTTTTATAAGCACCAATTTCCTCTCCTAAATTTTCTAATTTTGTCATATATGCCTGAGATTTAAACTTCTAAGCCATATTTCATTCGTTCTTAATGCCTCATCTTCATTCTTAAAGTGTAAATTTCAAAGATTCTTAAACTTAAAATCCCAAAGATTCTATTGCTATGTCTTTTGCACCTACCTGATTTTTTTTTTTTTTTTTTTTTTTTTTTTTTTTTTTTTTTTTGAGACGGAGTCTCGCTGTCACCCAGGCTGGAGTGCAGTGGCGCGATCTCGGCTCACTGCAGGCTCTGCCCCCTGGGGTTCACGCCATTCTCCTGCCTCAGCCTCCCTTGTAGCTGGGACTACAGGCGCCCGCCACCTCGCCCGGCTAATTTTTTGTATTTTTAGTAGAGACGGGGTTTCACTGTGTTAACCAGGATGGTCTCCATCTCCTGGCCTCGTGATCCGCCCGCCTCGGCCTTCCAAAGTACTGGGATTACAGGTGTGAGCCACCGCGCCCGGCCTGATTTTTTTTTTTTTTTTTAATTATACTTGGCTGGGTACAGTGGCTCACATCTGTAATTCAAGTACTTTGGGAGGCTGAGGCAGGAGGATCACTTCAGCCCAGGAATTCAAGACCAGCCTAACAACATAACAAGACCCCATCTCTATAAAAACATACAAAAAAAATTTAGCAGGGCTTGGTGGCAAGTCCCTGTAGTCCCAGCTACTCAGGAGGCTAAGGTGAAAGGATTGCTTGAGCCCGGGAGTTTCATGTTGCAGAGAGCAATGATTGCACCACTGCGTTCCAGCCTGGGTGAGAGAAAGAGACCCAGTTAATTACCTGGTTCAGATCCTTCTTTATCTCTCACCTGAATATTGTACTAGTCTTCTAACTATCCTATACCACAACCATCATTCTATTTGTTTCTTGGTCTGTCACACAAACTGCTGCAAGGTTAAATCTTCCCCAAGTTCTACTTTGGCATTTGTACTGCCTTTTCTAAAATCTTTCAGGTCTTTCCCATTACACAACAAATAAAGTCAACACTTGTAAGCCTAATATTAATGCCCTCTCTACTTGGGCCACATGCTGCCTTCAAAAATAAGGCCATACATTGTATAACTCATTAGAGTTTGAGAAGCATTTTATACTTATCTTAATCTAATTCTTACAAAATGTCTTCTGATGTAGATATTATATAACATAAAAGCCCTATTTTATTAATAAATCACAAAAACTCTACAGATGAGGAAACTAAGAATCAAATATATTTTATATTTGCTTAAGTTACATAAGCACTTCTGAACCAGGACATAACCAAATTTGATGAGAGGACATTGATCTAATGACACAATATGTTTTACCTTCACAAACAACAATAATAATACCTCTTATTATTCTCTTTGATGAATCACAGGAGAAAGAATATCAAAAGCCATGAAAAGAAATCGATTTAAAAAATGAAAACCCAGTGAACCTGAATTTAGATTTGGATTTTTATTAATTTTCTATGTAAGCCTATTAACAATGCTATGCTTTATTATATTTGACTCTAAGACAGTTTTGTAATTCCTGAAACACATTTTCTTCACAATGAAATAATGAAAAATCATGAAATTATATCCATTTTAAATATTTAATTCTAAAGCATGTAGTTATTTCATTTGAGGCATCAAAGCATTTTTAATAATCATTAGGTATCTGAATCATTCCTGCTTCTACATATAGACAATGGTAAGGTCCAGTACCCTCTTCAAGGTCAAATACGGTATCATTCATTGTCAGATGAAAAGTCCAAACTCTCAGCTCACACACCCAGGTAACATTTTCATTTCAAAGTAATCTATAGAATACCTTTGGTTGAGAAGAAAAGGGGGGAAATTTCTTAATATCAATTCACATTTTATGTTTCTAAATAAAACATCCATATATTTTGTATAGGTACAGAAGACAGAGTTAACAGCTCAAACCATCACCATATAATTTTAAGAGCAATTATAATAAGTCTTGGGACTTCTATTGAAATTAAATCTTTTAGTACCCAAATCTATATTCCTCACCATTCACTGCTTTCAGAAAGAAAGAAAGAGAGGGAAGGAGGGAGGGAAGCACAGAAGAAGGAAGGAAGGAAGGAAGGAAGGAAGGAAGGAAGGAAGAAACGGAGGAAGGAAAGAAGGAAGGAAGGAAAGAAATTAAGGATGCAGGGAGGGAGGGATGGAGGGGAAAGCAGCATTAACTGAGCAATTGCCATGGCAACACAAAATGTGCAATCATCAATTGCTCATTGCTACAATGGGGAAGGGGCTACATTCTCAGCTTTGTCGTTAACAGAGTCAAGCAAAGAAATTTTGAAGAAGCAATAAAAGCCACTACAGCTACTCTATTCAGGATCAACTGATCGTGTTCCAGTTAAACACTCTATAAAATTTTTTTTCAGATCAGAAATGGGGTTCAGGAAAATTCCTCCCCAGCTGTTTTCTGCTGATAACTTAGGAGCAGTGGGAGAAAACTATACCTATGTCCTCCAGGAATTCTTGACCGCTAACTAGTTCATGCAACACTGAATACAGAATTTTAAAAATGATGTTAGTTTCAAAATATTTTAAGCATTTTTTGTTCTTTGGCCATAAAGACATTGCCTTCATAAAGACTCACATTGGCATATTGGCATGTTGTTAGCTACAATTTGAAAAAACAAATCTGTCCCATAAGTGGAAGGGAAACTAAAAATGAATAAATAATAAATTTTACACAAAGATAACAGAGGCTTTAATAAGAGGAATATAGATCACATTCATTGAGATATGTGCTTGTATTAGGTTTACTACCAGGTATTACTCATTATATTCAATATGAATGCCTGTACTTGATGATACTGTGTAAGTCAACCACATGGTAATTTACTTAAATTTATTAAGAAACAGAACATACTCATGACTTATAGAATTTCTCCTGGTACTTAGTATATACTTAATAAATCTAGGGTTTTTTTTCCTTTCATCCATGTCTTTTGCAAATTTGAAGTACAAGTCAATCCATGGCTCAAATTTTTGCTCTTTAGATCAAAGATTAAACTTTGATAACTTATTATTTTTCTAATCACCTCACACAGAGCTGGTGGCAAAATAAATAATCCTTATTTCCCACCATTTCTCACAGACTTTACTTCTCACCTATTAGCCTGTCCACCACCATTTTGAGCCAGATGTATGTCAAAGTGATTTTTTCCTGATTAGTTGAAAACTAGAAATATTAATTATATAGGCAACCTAAGCCATTGAAAGAACACACAGAAACCTTTCTTTAACTGGATATAGAAATCAAAGCTAATAAAATTCTGCATCTAAAGAATCTTTAAACTTTTTGTTTTAAAACTAGTTCGTTGCCCAGTTTGAAATATGGGTCTGCCAACATTTACAGTTACAATGCATAATTTTTAAAATGAGACATGTTCTGATAGAAACATTATTCCAGTTTGACACAAGAGCTAACAAGACTTCAGTCCAACTGTGACATTCCTTACCACAGTTGAAAGAAAATAATGTTTGCATTCAAAATACTTTCTTTGTTGTTCACAGCTACAGCATAGACTCAGAATGCATTTTCTATTAGTACTCTTTATTCCCCAAAGTTTTTCTACTCAGAGAAGCTAGAGTCAAGTATATAGATTTCAGCTTTTGGTACATAGGTTTCTTCCATCTGGTAATATATAGCCATACTTAAGACATAAGCAACATCCATCAAACAGACATAGGAGTGAATGTTTCACAATGTCCAACACTTACTGTATACTGATAAACCATAGCAGTTAACCTGAGCTTTTCATGAGTCTAAACACGAACCATGAACATTTTATTAAATATTATTACATTTATAATTTAATGTGCATAGATGTACACATGTACTTTTTTAATATATAAAATTATTAATGGAAAATTTGATATACTGGAAAATATACTGAACAACTATTAGAAATATTTTTCTAATTTTAGCAGTTTTAAAGAATGTGAACTATGTTGCTAAGAGCTAAGAAATATGGAATTACATAATAATTATCAATAGAGGTATTAAGTAGTTTTTTAAATTAGTGGTTTAAAAATCTATCTACACAGACAGGCCATCAGCAGGATTAATATGGTGGAATGTCCTCCTGGCAAAGAATCAACAGCTGAGTGAATAAAGGCAGGTCCTTGGGGAGCGCAATGTCACCACAAAGATGTTGAGATAAACAGATGTCGCTAGCATTATGGAATTGTATGTTTTTCTATCCCGACCTCCATGTGTATTTTCAACTTATTGGGGTCAGCATAGAGGAAAATGCTTGCCCACTATAGTTTTTATAAGGAATAGAAGTGGGAACAGCAAAAGAGAGATTGTGAGTTTAGCAGATATAATAGAATTTGGAGGTAGAATGATAAATGCAAAGGCAATTTTTATTTCTGACAATGATAAATCACACATTGAGCAGGTTCTGTCCAGAATTACTGCAGTGCCTGAACCAGTGACCCATTCACTGCCTACCTATCAGAATAAAGATCACTTTCAATTCCTTCATTTTCTTTTCCCAGGTAATCTTTCTTAAAGTTTTCAACCCTATACAACCACTCATAGTTTGTTAAATTCCACTATTCTTTTCCAAGTCTGAGCCATTCCACATTTGGTCTAGAATGTGGTTGGGAACACCAGTGAAACGAATTCAGACAGCCTTCACACTGTAGCAGGCCCAGGTCCCAGAAGGGCACACTCAGCACAGTCCATAATGAGAAGCTATAAGCCAAGGCCTCTCTATCTGCAGCAAAGAGCTCTGCATCATCTTCTCCCTCAGTGCACCACAAGCCTCTGCACACATACTTCCAGGAAGAGAAGGAGGAAGGAGAAGCAGGCAAGGGAAAGAAATATGACTCTTCTCATATATCAGTAGGTCATTTTGTTTATGACACAAAACTCTTGAGTACTGGGAGTCAAAAACCTCAGTTCTTTGGAGGAAACCGCAATGGCAGCTTCACTGGCTACAGTAATGGCATTGCCTAAGACACTTAAGTAACCACGTTTCACTCTTTTTTACTACCTTCTCATCAGTTCTCCAAAACTCACTCCACCAAAACCTCAATCGCTATTTAGTCAAACTCACTTCTTCAACTTGCAGAAGTAGAAAAAATATATTGGCAGAAGGAGGGGGAATTGAATAGCAGGGCTCACATTTAAACTCAGCTGGTAGAGGCCTCTCTTTAATAGAGGCACACTGAGGATGGAGGGGTACTTTCTAGGAATATGTATAGAGCCCGTCCTTTGTTCAATGACTAAACCACTTACAACATGAAAACTTCAACATAACTAAATATGCTGAAGAAAACAGTGTGTCATTTTAGAAGAGGAACTACTGCAGATTAGACGGAGGGGTTTTGATGTCAAACTGACCTGGGTTCCGATGCCACCTCCTGCATTTATGAGCTATGTACACTCTTGGATACATAACCTAACCAAGTCTATAAGATGAAAATAATGGAATTGAACTCATTGAAGGATTTCATTAAATAAATATAAAGTGATTAGCCCAATTTCTGGTAACTATTGTCAATCAAAGAAGAACAGGAAGAAATATAGTAATAAAGTAAGGGTTTAATACAGGTATTTAAATTGGAAATGCATGTTGAGTGAGTTGTCATTAATTAGTTAAGCATTTCCCTCTCTGAAATGTGTATATCCTAACTGAGTATGTGGAATATGGGCTTAGTCAAATCAAATCAAACTATGTAATTCAGGTCATCTGAATTTTTATTGCCTGTCATTTTCAATCATGTTTTATAGCAGAAGCCTCGAGAAGAGCCCTCTTCCTCCCTGGGCAGCATATAACTCTCAGAACACTGAGCCATCTAACAGGGTGGCCTCACTCACATAGCCTGAACTCTGCCTTAAAGACAGATTACATGACACTTGTAGGCCTGATGCCATGGATGTTATGTTTATACAAAGTGCAAGGGCATTTTCTCTTCTACCAACTAAATTTATGTGCCCTACCCGTTTTTCCCCATAACATTTAAAATATGGCAAAGTATAGCTAAGAAAAGGAGATTAGGCTAAATGCAAACCCTCGTCATGGTCTCCACATAGTCTGCTTCTGTAATTATCACTGTCTACGTTTGTTCTCTGATGCAAAAAAGAAATTTTTCTCTCTTCTATCTTTGAAACAATTATGCAAACAAAGACTGGTTTGCTGTGTACTACCAAGTCCCTTTACATGTGGTCTACACAGTGCCCAGACTGCTGACAGCCTCTGCGTACGGACCTCGGTGTGTTTATTTTGACATTCTCTCAAGGGCCAAGAGAAACAGCAGGGTGATTCCTACATTTCTCCCTGTGCTCCCACCCCACAAGTCAGCTCTATATTTTTGATGATAACATCTCCATCAGCTGTAAGACCTAAAAAAAAAAAAAGATTTTTTTCCTACTTCCTTCCTGGTTTAATGTTCCTATTTTGAGATCTGGAGTTTGTATGACCCCTCTCCTACCTTATCACACTTCAGTAGCAGGAAGCTCCCGCTAAAGTCTCCCTCCCCCCTGAGCTTGGGGCAGAAGTCCAATGGCTATGCTATATTTATTACTAGTCCTTAATGTGTTCTAAATGTTAATGAAATGGGAAATGCCCTTAGCCATCTCCAAATCTAGTATTTCATACTAGTTTCTCAGGATTGGCAGAATTTGCCAGCTCTGCAAGACAACCTTGCCAAATTTGGAAAGACTTAGGACTTAGAATTATTGATTTCTTCAATAGCAAATGTATGCAGGGCTCATTGCTTATAAATAAGTTTTAAATGGTAATGGTGAAGGGTTTTTAAAAGATAAAACCAGGAAATGCATGTAACTAACTTGGGATCAGAATACACAGACCTAAATCCCTTGCCCAGAGTGTAGCCCTGACCAGGGATCTCTGATAGATTTATAGCTCTGTATTCACCGAGGATTTTGTTGTTGTTGTTGTTGTTCATTTGTTTTGCACAAGAAAGCCACTCACTGAGAATCTCAGCAATTAAAAGCAAAAGTTTATTTTTTCCCTGTTGTAAAGGAGGGATGACAATTTCTTCTCATATTTTACTTCTTTATTCTTTAATCAACCTGTCTTATATATCTCAGGTAATAAAACACTATTTCTTTGACAATAGTATTGTGCATTTTAATAAGATTTATTTTAATGTATTAATTGGGCAATGTTATAAATAGATATTCTAATTCTGATGGAGGGGGATCAACCATGATAGCTTAGAAAAAGCAGAAAGAAGTAGTTCAGGAATAATATTCATAAAGGAGACTGTGACAAAATGTACATGGGTTTCTGCAACAACTCAACATTTACAAACGAGAGTAGTATAAAAAAACCAAATAAAACCTTGCAAATACAAGAGCCCTAAGATGGCATTTGTCATTACTGTATGCCTCAAGACTGATACAATCTGGAGAAATTCCTTTATCTATTTTCTTCCAAGCTGTGAGGTTTTCATTGCACAGTACTGTCTTGGTTTGTTTTGTGTTGCTGTAACAGAATATCTAAGACTGGGTAATTTATAAGCAATAGAAGACTTTTGGCTCATGCTTCTGGAAGCTGGAAAGTCCAAAAACTTGGCACTGGCAAAGGCCTTCATGCTGCATCATCCTATGGCAGAAAGTGGATGGGCTAGAGAGCACAAGAGCAAGGAAGAGCCAAACTCACTTCTATAACAACCACTCTTGCAATATTGGCATTAATTAGACCCCTCATGGCCTAATTACCTCTTATGGGCCCTACCTTTTATTACCATCACAATGGCAATTACATTTCAACATGAGTTTTGGAAGGGACACCGAAACTATAGCAAACATATATCTATGCCCGCCACCCTCAGATATCTTGATGGTGATGTAAGGAATGTATTTTCTGCAAGTAAGTACATCAGCACTTAAAGGATCCCCATAGGTGATTCAAAGAAACCTGGTACCTCACAGAAGACAGTTTAATAACCGCTATGTCTATATAATTTTCCCTTCTTTCAGAAAGCATAAAGCATAGAGCCCAGGTCAAGAAAAGGCAACTGAGAGAAGGTAAGTTTCTCATTATGGCCCTTAGCTCTTCAAAGAAGGTCAAAAATATGAGTGAATAAATATTTAAAGACTCCACAGTATCAAGAGAGCCAAGAAAAACTTAACTACTAACTGTAATAGAAACACAAATAATATTCTGCTGAAATAACTCACAGGTTAATGACAGCTCCAAAGAAAGAATTTGCCAACTTTATTGAATTTTGATGTATTATTGCCAGAATCACCTGCTACTGTAAAAAAAACTCACTTCACAGGACAGAGTGGGTTGTGTGTTAAAGGAATTGAGTGCCCACAGCGCATAAACAACAAAGTTTGGCAAGGCCTAATCCCCCTGTTTAATCATGGGTGCAAAAGTAATGAGTGGCACAAAAATAAATGCAAAAGTGATGGTTGGTACCAAAAAGAAAGAAGGCAGGAGATACTGACTAAATGTCAGCAAGTAGAAACATTACAATACTCAAAACAATATATTAAGGACGTTATAATTTATAGACTAAATTGAGTGAGTAAACTATAGCCTGGAGGCCAAATATGACTACTACCTATTCTGTAAATAAAGTTTGATTGAACACAGCCAAACCCATTTGTTTATGCTTTGTCTATGCTGCTTTCACACTATAACAACAGAGTTAGTTGTGAAGAACCATACAGCCCAAAAAGTCTAAAATGTTTGCATCTGACCTTTTGCAGAAAAAGTTGCTGACCCCTAGACTAGATAAAAGAGGGATGAGTGGCTGACATTGCCCAAGAAAGTCATGTGTTACTCCACCCAGAGCTACAAAACAAAAGAAAAAAAAATTCCATGTCCAACCAGCAGAATATATACTGGCAGAGGGGAACTGTCAGATGGCAAAGATGATCTCCTCAACAATGACTCCAAGATTGCCAGGCCACAGTCCAGAAATTTGAATAAGGCATTTCAGCAGGGAAAAGAAAAGGTTGTTTTCTCAGAAAGTGGACAATACAAACACATAGCTTATTTCATTTCATGAACATTTATTGAGCCCCTACTGTCCGCCAGCCCTTGGCTGAATAGACACGGGATCAAAATGACTATGACAGATTTCTGAGTGTGCAGTGCTGGGGGAGAACAGCAGAGTGGATTAAAATAGTGCATAAGCCTGGCCAGGCTACTTCTCCAATCTCTAGGCATCAATGGCAAGAGCAACCCTTCCTCTTCGGATGAAATTCTTTGTTCTTAACCACTGTCAGAAACATAGTACTGGCTCAGCTAGGCTTTCCCGATGAGAGGTGTCTCTCAAACATAAAACCTAGATTTTCCTTTCTAGAAATTCATAATCAGAAAGTGCCAAGAGATGATCCTACACAGAATAGATGGTTTTCAAAGGGTTCTTTTTAATCAAATGACTTTTCAGTTAAACTCAGTGATTTTTATTGCAGTTCTCAGAGTACAGATCTCCAGACCGTCTTTGGCTGTGTGGGCAGCATCTATTGGCTCATGTTTACTTAGTCCTCTAATATAGAGAGAAATGCTGAGAGGTGGGAAGACATGGGGTGATATTTGTAAACTCATTATTGACAGGAAAATTGTTTTTTAAACGATGGGTTACCTTTAATATTCCATGCACTAGAGCTATCTTATAATAATATTTTAACTGCAGTTTATTATATTTAACTGCAGTTCAGCTGTAAACATTAGGAAAGTTCTTGAATATGTCATCGCTGTTCTTGCACTCATATTTGACATTCCAATGCATACTGCTGCTGCAGTAATCTTCCCCTCAAACCCTACTTTCATTCAACATCTTCTTGAAAACGTACAATGGCTCTGTGATGCCCAATAAATTAAATTTCAAAGTCTCAGCGTATTATATTACAACCTGCACTAAGTAACTCTTCTTGTTCCACTGACTCCATCTCTCACCAGGGACCCCTATGTTTTGCTTAAGTTCCTGGATGGCCATACCCTTCATAAAATAGTCAGGCTTTGCCTCTTGACCTTTGCATCATCCTGCACACTTTCCAGCTTCCTTTATAAAGGTCATTCTTCACTTCTTCAGAACCTGGCTTAACACTAATTTCTTTCAAGAAATTTGCCATACTCTGCTATACTGTCTCTTTTAAGACACTCACTGATTTGGTTCTCTTTCTACCTGAGTATTTACTAAAAATATATACCTTTGTATCTTACACCCCCAAATAAATTGTGGTGTCTGGAGAGCAAGAGCCCTAACATTCATAATTTCTCCCACCCCCACCTCAGCCCTGTCCCCGGCTCCTGGCATAGTGGAATGCAAATCACAGGCTGACTGACAGACATGATTGTCCATGCTGTGTCGATTCAACATCCCCACTTCCTCCGAGTATATTTTCTATCTGTTTCTCATGGTTTTACCTATTTAATGTTTTGTTGTGCTCTCTTGAGGTCCTAACACATTGCTGAAAATGAGACATGGATATGAAATCATTATAGTAGGGGCACTTAGGCATTTTGCTGCAGGATTTTTGATTTAAACAATTTTTCATGCTAGTATGTGCTGTTCTGTCTCATCATCCATCATGTTTGATAGTAAGCCATTGTCTCTGCCTTTTCCTGATTCACACAAGAGCCCAGTAAGATATTCTCAGCCTGATAGAGATCTTCAGGGTCTTGAAATAAATAGATTCCATCAATATTGGTGATTGCAGACTAATTCAGATGTGTTTTCCTGCAAAGTACAGCAGGCTTTGTTTGAAACTCATGTCAGATTATCCATGTTAGTGGTGATCCATGGCAGAGATGGGCACTGGCTTCTCAAAATATATTTTAGCTATTACCTATAAATGCTTGAAAGAATTCACAAATGCAGATACCTTGTTATGCACGCTGCTTCCTGAAACCGCCTCTGAGATACCAGATGGCACAGCAAGAGCTGTACAAGTGACAGATGATAAAGTGTATCAAGCCACATAAATTAACCTCATCATGGCCATAGTATCAGATGCCACTGGGAAAAGTAGAGAGACTGAGGAGCAACTGCACTCTATTACCCACAGGGATGAATTTATAATCCATCTGGGGTCTCTCATGTGAAGATATAGGAACCCCAGATGGCCTGTGAATTTTGAACATTTGTGTATGTGGGGATAGTTTAATCTTTCTGGAAATTAACTGACACTTTGGTCAGAAAGGATGCTTTAGCCAGCACCAAAGCCATGTTTCACTCAGCTCGGACAACTTCTGAATATCATTAGAAGAAACATCCCCAGGCTCACCATGCCTGTGCACCATGACAGCTTTCAGGCCAAAAGAGTAAGCAAGGGGCCTGTTTCCTGGATGCGCTTCAACCCAGAGCTAATGAAGCCTTACTGTGAGTGGTGTTGCTAAATTTCATATAGATACCAAGGGACATCACAGGGGACAGAACAACTGCCCACTACAGTTGTAAAAGCATAAAAAATTCATAGCCAACTTTAGAAAGTACAGAAATAATCTCCTAAGGATTATATTTCACAAGATTATAAACAGGTTTAGATCCACACAAGCACCACAACTTCTAGAAGGTACACTGCTTCCTGCTGAGCAGTTCTGGAGACAAGCAATGGCTTCAAAACCATGCTTGCAGTGGGCATATAGAATAGTTCTTACAAACAGACAAGCTGGATAGAAAGAAAGGAATAATAGAGAAATTAAGAGTGTGACAGGCAAAATGTTAATAAGAGACAGGGCAGGAGATGGGCTAGAAGGAGACACAGTATGTTGACTGAGTGATGTTGAAAGAGCCTGCATATGGGAGGAGGTCTTTTGGGAGAAAGCAACACTTTAGAGCCAGGCAACCTGACATAACAAGGCTGGTGCCAGTCTTTAGAGACCAAGTACCAGAATAATCCCTGGAGCCATAGAGAGGCAGGTCCAGCAGGTTGCATTGTCAGGAGCATCAGAGTGATGAGGAACCTGGGATTACCCAAAACCACTGATACGAAGAGGAGGGAGGAGCCTGCAGGCAATAGGGCTAAAGCTTGGGACTGAGGCATAGAAGCCAGAGGCCAGGACTGCCAGGGAAACTGTTACTTCAGGATGGAGTTGACTCTGGGACCTTGGGCTAGTGCTAAGCTTACCAGTGAGAATTCAAGTAAATTCCTTCGAGGAGCCTCCTTTTACCACCAGCATTCACTTCAATTCCACTCCTGCCCCCCATAGATATTGATGCTTATCCTTATCCTGGCATTGTTAATTGTCTTTATTTTTGTTTTTCTTCTCTAGCAACTGTGACTACTTGAAGATAGGAGCCAGTATTTATATTGTAAGTGCTGGCACGTAGTAAATATTCAAGATAAATTGTTGATGCAACAGATAATCAAGGATTGATACGAATCACAAATCCTCAAAACCAGAATCAAACCAGCAGGGACATCCTGGAGCTGGGGAACTATGTGAAGCCCTCACCTAGGGCAGTTCTCAGCAAATTATGGCCACATCTCACCCACTGACTGGTTTGTAAATAACATTTTAGGAAGACACAGCCACACTCACTTGTTTACCTATTTTGAGCTGCCCCCATAGAGTCAAGTCCCTAGGGACAGACCCCATGGCCCACAAAGTCTAAGACATTTACTATGTGACCCTTTACAGGCCAACTCCTGAGCTATAGAACTTGAGAAAATACCACTGCCTGGACTCACCCCTGAGATTACGATCCAGGAGTGGGATGCAGGCATATGTGTGCCTTTATATGTGTTTTCAGGGCTGTGTGTGTGTGTACGTGTGTATGTGTGTGTGTATGTGTGTGTGTGTTTTCAGGTGAATGTATTTTTAAAAGCTCCACCATAAAGTCTGATGTACAGAATTCATGAGGAGAACTATCCAGTGACAGTATGGAACAGTCCTACTTCAACTAAAATTTGAAGGTTTAAATTAAGTGGTGTCATTTGGGGAACACTAAAGGATCCTCTCTGATTTAAATAATGATCGTATTGACTTGGCCACTATCTTGGCCCTTTCCAACAAGAATTATTCCATGTTAAAATGCAAATGATGTATTTTTTATGGACGTTGTCTGTGAAGTAATTTACATTTATTGGAAAACACCTTTAAAAAATAAACTTTAGTCACTCTGTAGGGCCCAAGGAGACTGTAAGATATAAGAAGTGATTATAGGAAGTGACTTAAGAAATAAACTGATCACAATGTCCTCCTGGAGAGCTCCTCAGCCACTAAGAACTGCATGGGGACACTGATGGAAAAGGAGGTAGAGAAAGAGAAAGTGAATGGAAAGACAGTTCTCCAACAGCATGGATTACCTAAGCTCATCCTGTGATTTTAAGAAGTTGTTAGTTTGTTGTTAATTTTTTGTGTCTGTTCTTGCTCTAATCAATGAGAAAGTCTCTTTGTCTCCACCTCCAAAAGAAAATCCTGAATCTGTACTCTTGTCACCCTCTAAATGATTTCAACACCGACACCCATCCACCCACGGAGGCCCCAGCCACATGATCTCTCTACTGGACCACTGCACTAGCCTTCTAATTGTTCTCCCTGCCTTTGCCCTTCTCTTCCTTCAATCTGCTCCCCATCTGGAAGCCTGAGTGAACTTTCTGATCATAATCCAGGTCATGTTACCCTTCTGTTTAAAACCTCCCTTGACTTTTCAATATGCTTCGCATACAATCCAAACTACTTACCCTAACTTGATGTGGTTAGGTACACTGCCCAAGGTTACACAGCCAATGAGAGATGCAGCCCTATTTAGATATTGGATAACTGACTTCTTTCTATTGCAGTACCAACAAAGACTTTGCTCTGCTTGCCAGGAATTGGCTTGTTCCCACCTCCCACTTGTACCCACATCCTCTCCATGCCTGTCTCTGACTCAGCACAGGCTCCTGCCCCAGGCTCTCTCCAATCTGCTTGTTCCAGTAGAGTGAAACCGGCCATGCCTATCAGTGATATCACATGAAAGGGCAGTGGACAAAATGGAAAACATAGAAAGAGATAAACATTTCTTCATAATAGCACGAACAAAAGTAAATATTGAAAGTCATAAAGCCTCAAACAGAAGGTGATATAAGCATGATTTGTGTTGACATGTGAAAGACAGATCTTGGTTTGTACAGCTCCATGTTTCATTCCTTATCTGCACATACATGTCCATTTAACAACAAATCTTAAACGTGTGTACACATCAATTAGATGCCCAGGATTACGTCACATAACCACGCAAGTCTGGCCACCATGAATCAAAGTGTGTCCCAAAGTTTGACATGAGAGAGACCAGTGGCCTATCACCTGGCTCAGCACAAGCATTACCCAGCAAGAGACGTAAATACTGGACAAGCCCACTCAATTGGATCCTCTCTTGAGAAGTTTGAATAAAAGTCAAATTGACACAGATACACAGAGAATAAGAAGATAAGAGCATAAGGACTTTTAGAGAGAAGGTAGTATGCATGAGCTTACCAAGAGAGAAAGAACAGAGGGGCAGAGGAAGACCCCAGGCACAAGAATAGCAAGACTGTCTTGCTGAAAGTTTCTCAGTAATGTTCCAGTTCTCTAGGAGTCTATTTGTTATAAGGCTCTGAGCACTTCCTTACTTCTGTACATACAATACACAAACATTGCCTGGGTAACTTGAAGTCATTTTGTGATGTCTCTGTCCCTTGAAAGATGCCAAATAAAATCAAATTTTTCAGTTTTCTTGTACCCATTTTTTAGACATTTCCTATGAATTTGCTGAAGGAGATCTGGCAGGTTTCACAGGTATTAATACTTTTTCATTCCTATTTCCTTGAAGAGAAAAATGGGTCAGAAAACAACTATGTAAATTTTTGTGCATAAATAAGTCATAAGCAAACAAAAACATTCTAGTCCACATCTATTATATTTTGCCACACCTCTGATGTTTACCATAATACTTTCATCCGTTTTAAGTCAATAAAACCTGTTTAGATTCAACTATTAGTAGGCACAAATCATACACACAAGAAAAGTGGAATAGATTAAGACTTCCAACTCAAAGTTAACTACCAGTTTACTTTACACTTTTATGTCTCGCCATCTAGACAGTATATTGAGTCACTCACTGTCTTAATCTGCTCAGACTGCTATAACAAAATACCACAGACTGGATGGCTTAGACAAGAGAAATTCATTTCTTCACAGTTCTGCAGGCTGCAAATCCAAGATTAAGGGGCCATCAGGATTGGTATCTGGCGAGGGCTCTCCCCTTAGGTTGCAGATGGCTGCCTTCTTGCTGTATCCTTACATGGCAGAAAGAGAGAGAGAGAGAGTTTCCTGGTGCCACCTCATATAAGGCTACATCCTAATGAATTAGGGCCCCATCCTTATGACCTCATTTAACCTTTGTATCAGTCTGTTCTTACACTACTTTGAAGAAACACCCAAGACTGTGTAATTTATAAAGAAAAGAGGTTTAATTGACTCACAGTTCTGCATGGCTGGGGAGGCCTCAGAAAACTTACAATCATGGCAGAAGGCACCTCTTCACAGGGTGGCAGGAGAGAGAATGAGTGCCAGGCGAAGGGAGAAGCCCCTTCTAAAACCATCAGATCTAATGAGAATTCAGTCACTATCACGAGAACACCAACATGGGGGTAACCGTCCCCATGATTCAATTACTGGGTCCCTCCTGTGACACATGGGGATTATAGGAACTACTATTCAAGATGAGATTTGGGTGAGGACACAGCCAAACCATATTGACCTTAATTACTTCCTTAGGGATCTCATCTTCAAATGCAGCCACACTGGGGAAGGGAGAGGATTAGTGCCTCAATATATGAATTTGAGGAGACAGCACAAATATTTAGTCCATAACAGTCACTGTGAAAATGGAGGGACAATACCTCTAAGGTACTTCATATCTTCTACCTTCTTGTGAAAACAACAATTTTTCTTAAAAGGAACAGAATATTGAAGTGATTTTTCAATGAGTGCTCCAAAATTAGTACCTCAGAGAGTTTCACCACTCTCCACTTTCTAAATCAGTTTGCACCCTGAGAGCTCCTTAGCATCCACACTGAAGATTTTTCTCCAACGAAGTAACCTTGGGCTCATACGACTGCTCTAGGCATCAAAACACTGTGGGCTCTGCTTTCATCAGACCTTTCCTGAGAGCTGCCGAGCCTGCTACTGTCACTCAGCTGGACGTTCTGCCTAGTGCCAAGATTATGTCAGGAGTTTTTATGTAAATTCTGGAATTTTCATCACAGATTTTATGTGCTAAGCCTCATTTTGGCTGATGCCTACAGCTCTCTGTCTCCATGCTCACAGAGAAAATGCTGGACGCCTATTTTCTCAAACAGAGAAAGACAAAATGCTTTCCACATCTTTCAGAAGACAACAGGATTGTCCTATTCATTTCCAAGTGCGTCTCTCCTGCCCAGTTTGGACAAAGCACACTTATATCATTTCCTTAATGTTTCTCATTCTCTTTTCAAGTTTGAAATATAGGCAAATGAGAGCCATCAGAAGTTTAGGTTTTTTTTTATTTGATATGAAAAATCATAGCTTAAGTAACCTCTAACTCTCTCACAGGAGACAACTGGCAATATCCATCATTTGAGTTACCAATCAAATAACCGTAAGCCTGTAATCCGAACAAAGGCCGTGTATACCTATCCCATATACAGTGTTCTGAGAAATGATTGAATACTATAAATCATATTCGGCCTTTGCCATTTATAGCTTTTTCTCACTTTCTTTTCTACTCTGATTTCCAAGTTCATCTGTCTACAAACCTTATTTCTTTTGGAGAATTGCTGTACCCCAATAGGGCATCTTTCTTGTTATTTATGAAAAATATGTATAACCTTCTGGAGGATCTTGCCATACTCTAAAATTCCAAGAAATCCATGGGCCAGGCTTCTATGTCAGTCATGACAAAGAGCAGTAACCCTTTATGGTCTCAAAGGACTTTCATGTGCATCCACATGTAATTCTTCCACAATCCCCATTATATCTTCAAGGAAAACCAGAAATACATTCAGGCCGGTTAACTTTCCCCAAATCTAGCAGCTACTAAGGGCCAAAGTCTAGGTGATAGCAAGTTTTATTTTGAAGAGCCAGGGCTCTTCTCATCAAATTAAAATTGTTGCCATTTAAAATTCAAAAGGAAAAAAAATTCATTTTCTGAGAAAACAAATAAAACAATTATTCAACAATGTGTCTAGACAATTAGCAAACATTCTGTATTAGGCCGTTCTCCTATTGCTATAAAGAAATACCTGAAACTGGGTAATTTCCAAAGAAAAGAGATTTAATTTGCTCACCGTTCTGCAGGTTATACAGGAAGCATAGTGGCATCTCCTTCTGGGGAGGCCTCCAGAAGCTTAAATCATGGCAGAAGGTGAAGGGGAGCAGGCATGTCACATGGCGAAAGCAGAAGCAATAGAGAGTGAGACGCTGCTACACAGTTTTAAATTAACAGATGTCATGAGAGAAGTCACTTATTATCACAGGGACAGTACCAACAGAATGGTGCTAAAGCATTCATTAGAAATCTACCCCATGATTCAATCACCTCCTACCAAGCCCCACCTCCAGCGTTGGGGATTACATTTTGATATGAGATTTGGACAGGGACACACATCCAAACTATATCAATTTCCCTCCCTACCACCTGCTTTTAAGGAAAAGTATCACAAATATTCCTTTTCTTCCCATCAGGTTTTTTTTTTTTTTTTTTTTTTTTGAGACGGAGTCTTACTCTGTTGCCCAGGCTGGAGTGCAGTGGCGCAATCTTGGTTCACGGCAACCTCCGCCTGCCAGGCTCAAGAGATTCTCCTGCCTCAGCCTCCTGAGTAGCTGGGACTACAGGCACGTGCCACCACGCCAGGCTAATTTTTTGTATTTTTAGTAGAGATGGGACGGGGTTTCACCGCGTTAGCCAGGCTGATCTTGATCTCCTGACCTCGTGACCAGCCCGCCTCAGCCTCCCAAAGTGCTGGCATTACCGGCGTGAGCCCCCACGCCTAGCCCCCATCAGGTCCTTTTGATTACAAATATCAGAGACAACCTCAAGTTACCTCCAGCAGCAGGGGTTTGTTTTCAGAATATTCATAGGTGGATACAGCTGACCTCAGGTCTCAGGACCAGCAAGAACTGAAGACTGTTTTTATGGTTGTAGAGACTAAAGCCACAGAAGCCCATGAACATTTACTCTGGCCAGCCCTGCCTTTCCCTTGACACAGCTGCTCTCTCCTTCCTTACTACATCACGTGTCTCTTGTGTCTCATACATTTTTCTAACTCATAATTTTGGCTCCCTTATAACTTGGGTGTGCACATTACCTGGGATAGTAGGCCAAATAATGGCCCCTCAACATACCCATGTTCTAATCCCCAGAACCATGAATGTCACCTTACATGGCAAAAGAGATTTTGCTGATGTGATTAGATTAAGGATCTTGAGATGGGGAGTTTATCTGGATTATCCAGGTAGGTCCAATATAATCATGGGATCCCCATAAGAGGGCAACAGAAGATCAGACAGACAAAGATGCCCTAAGGTTGGAAGTAGATCTGAGGATGAAGGAAGGAACCAAGGAATGCCAGGAATGCAGCTCCAGAATCTGAAAAAGGTATAGACATAGATTCTTTCCTCAACCCTCTAGAGGGAGTTCAGACACCTTGGTTTTGGCTCAGTGAAACCCATTTTGGATTTCTGACCTCCTAACTGTGTAAGAATAAATGTGTGTTGTTGTCAGCCACTAAGACTGTTGTAATTTGTTGCAGCTACAATGGGAAACTAAAATGTTCAGCATTGCTCCACCTGCCTATCTCTATACAAGACAGTTTAGGCTCAGCCCCCCTTGCTAATGGGTTCCTTGTCTTGGTATTCCCTGGCTTAAATTGAAAAGAGAGTGTCTTAGAACTAATTTATTGTGTGTGTGTGTTTGTGCATGTGTGTCTGTCACGTAGCATCAGAGGTGGCTCATCACCCTAAGAGTTGGCTCAGCTTGGGTGGAATGACAGCACATTTTCCATCAGCTGTGGCTGAGAGGATGAAGCCATGTGATCGGAAACATGACTGTTGAAATAATTCTCTTTCAGCAGGAGCTGGAAGTGAAGTGCCCTTATGCAGAAGGAATTGAGGCAGGCAGAGCCTTCCATGATAACTCAATTCTTGTTTTAAAAAGGAACCTGTTAGCCTTGAGTCTCCAGTATAAATGTCTAACTGATTAGTCTTCATTTAATTTGAAAAGAATGATGTTCACTGAGAAGTGATCCCAAGAAGAGACAGATTCTGAAGTTCCTGCTCCATCTTTACCCTATAGCTCCTTCCCCTTGTACAAAGTCTGAAAACTGAGAGCTCCTATCAGCCTACAGGTTCAGAATACGAGTTCACAATTGTAGTTGTGAGACAGCCTCAGCTCTGAGAGGAAGCTGGAAGCCATAGAGCCCAAGTGAATTATCAGCTGTTTCTCAAATAAAACTGCCATAGGAGCTGCTCTTCTAGGCTAAATGCCCTCACGCAGCAGAGAACACTAGGGGCACCTAACACGCAGCCCCACCAGGGGAGATACGAACTATCGTTTCATTTATTTGCTTCTAAAGGAAGGAACTGATTTCTTTCATGAATAAGTAATTACTGCTTTTATTTTTATTTCTCAAAGATATTTAGAGTAAAAGAAAATGTCCTTGAAAAGTCATAGAAGAGATATTTTTCAAAATCTGAAAGCCAAGGTGTCAGTTTCTTTCTTCTCCTTTATCATTCTCTACAATAAAAATATTTCCTTTTGTGGTCATATTTAACATCATGCAATTGGTTAATCTATTGTGGGAAAGCAGAATGTGTAGATTATGGAAGTCTGTATGTCTAATCTTTTTATTTAAAAAGGTATTCCTTCTATTATTTTTCACTTGAATAACTAATAAAGCTGATATGACCAAATGATCATTGTTGTTTATTTGTTAGTTTTTACATTTTTTAAAAGGACAGCTCCCTAAAGAATAAGGTAGCAAATAATTTATCTGAATGCAAAGGATGTGTTTATGCTAAACTATTTTTACTATGATTTTAAAGAAATGTATTTTGAAATTACATCAGGGTAAATTTCCATTGGGAGAATCAGGCGAACATGAAGTCAAACAATTTAGAAATACACACATTTCTGGAAAAATGCCAAATTGGATCAAGATACCAAAAATATATGTGTATATATATATATAATTTATTTAAATATACAAATGTTCAGTATATTTGTATTATATATTTTTCTATATTAATGTGTATTTCTGCATAGCAATATATGTAAAGTAGACTTTCATTTAGTTTTAGATTTAAATCATATGCAGTCATCCTCAGTATCCATGGGAGATTGATTCCAGGACTTCCCAGGAATACCAAAATTGAGGATTTGCAAATCCCTGAAATAAAATGGTGTAATGTTTGCATATAACCTATATGCATCCCCCTGTATACTTTAAATATTTCTAATTACTTATAATACCTAGTACAATGTAAATGTTTTGTAAATAGTTATTATACTGTAGTGTTTGGGGAATCATGGCAAGAAATAAAAATCTGTACATGTTCAGTACAGATGCAATATTTTTTTCTTTTTGAATACTTTTGGTCTAAGATTGATTTTATTCATGGATGCACAACTCTTTGAGTATGGAGGGCTGATTATATATTCAGAAATAGTAACTATAATAAATATGATGGTTTGTCTGAGATTCTATCTTAAACTATTCAGTGAAAAGAACATGCTTTTTCTTCTTAGGAAACTCAATGGTGAATTTCTGACATGTTTTACAGTAATATGTAGGGTGGTAAGCAAATATCAAAGATAATTCACAAATTGTAACTTTTTAAATCCATTCAAATTTTGTCATAAAAATATATTTTTCTTTTTTTTAATATAGCTTCTTACTAATAGCCATTTAATTTTCAACTCTCATCACCCCTCTCTGTGATCCCTGATCAGTGTTGACTAAGATGTAGAAAAATCCAAAATGAGGACTCATGGAAAAAAGTTGCAGTGCACTGTAATATTAACAGTTCATTCTTGGATTAAAGAGAGAGCCAGTAAAATTTGATTGCAGATTCTTCTCCCTAATATTTTGGAAAAGTGATCTGAGAACATACATTTAAACAATGTCTCCTCTTTTACTTTTGAGTGATCAACTGATTTTTCTCAGACTTCATAAAGATTTATCTTACACTGTGTTCTTCTTAGTAACCCAGATGTATATTCTCTGAATACACAGTAGCCGGTTTGAAATGACCCAGGAAGATGATGTCAGTCAAGAGAAACCAAAAATCTGCATATTGAGAATTAATTGTTCCCATAGTCACAGAATAGCTATGACAACCTAACTCATTTGTACCATCTTTCCATTTCCCCAATGACATGCCTATAAACCAATATTTATAAATGCATCCTACTTATGACAGTTGTGAAACTAACAACTTAATGTCACAAAATAACAACATGCAGCTAGTATAAGCTATTACCTCCATTTCAGTTAGTGATCCACTCCTTGCCCCCAAAGCTGTTGCTTATTATTTTTTGGCCAAACCCTTTCGAGTGTTTTCTACCCTATCTTTTGCATATCCCTACCTGCTAAGATTTTATTCAGCATTATTTTTTATAGTTTATATTATGAAGAAAATAGAGTAGGTATATTGACTATGCTCTTTAAAAATACAAAACCCACCTCACTCCCTCACTCACACACAAGCACATTCTCTTCATACTATTTCCCAGGGATCAGTGCCCCTCCACTCTGTAAATCACTTGTTAAAGCATGGCTGGTATTAATGAACAAAACACTTCTGACATCTGAATAAGATACTACATTATGCATAGATGATCTTGGAGAAATAAAAGATCCAGTGGCCTTGGGATACAAAAAGTACTATTCAATGACTTCAAAATTAAGAAGAGATATTCAGTAGAAGAATGACTAATTCACAAAAGCCATAGCATAAAATATGAAGAATGATTACCGAAGTGATGAATTTGACATAAGCATCCTGGGGAAAGATGTTTCTGAACCATCTGCAGAACTGCTATCAAGTAGTGTTAACTTGGTTAAAGACAAGACAGAAAACCTGGTAGATAAATATTCTTATTTTAAAACACAGTGAAAGTATGGTAACTAGTTTGATTTTAAAAAAAATTGTTACCACTTGTCTTGTAAAACAGAATGATCCAAATTAATACATATCAATGTTGGCTTCCTGGTTATACAAAAAAGAAAAACAAACATAAATGATATCTTGATGAGAAAAGGAAGAAAATTGACATTTTAAAAGTGACATAGAATTTATAGATTACAGGAAAAGACAAGAAAATATATTCATTACAAGTCTGTTGGCGTCTTAGCCCTCTGGTCCTTCAAAGTGCAAAGGATACATTTACTTCCTTATTAACTACCCCACGTTTACTGAAAAAGGTGTATCAGTGTGAAATTCTGGTATTCCAAGTCCCTGTCACCAACATTGAAACAAATGTTGATTTTATGTTATTTTAACATAAAAAAATATATATTGTAGGAAAAAAATATTTCCATGTGTAAGGAAAAGGTCCTTAGTAATTTTTATTTGGGAATAAGTTTTCAACACATCCTTTAGAAATGCAACAAAAGCCTTTGCAGATTCCACCTTTATAAATGGCGATCCTTAAGAGTATCTAATTATGTAATATTTATATTGTAGTCCAAAAGGAATGATGTAAGCTGGCTCGGGAATCTTTAAAATTCAATTTTTAACAACTTGATAGCATTGTGCTTAGCTATCCTTCATTCTTCCTCACTTGTAGAATGCCTTCTCCAACTCCTAACCACAACTGACTTTCTATTCACTCACCGCACTCAGTTTCCATGAGAAAAAAAGGCATGCCAGCATCTGTGCATGACACTTCATTTTATCTCCTACAAAGTAAAAATTGTTTTCACGCAGTAAATGACCAAAGAAAGACACATTACCCCAAGTTTTGCATACTGAAAATGTGATCATCATTAGAAAATGTCACTACAACAGAACAAATGACTGTCTTAGAAATACATTAAAGTAGATTTTCATCTGTATACCATTTAGAGAAATATTTAAGTCTCACTGTTTTTTATTTTTTAACCACTAAATTAGGAGAATGAAGCTTTTATTTCAGCCTCACGATTTACAATACTTAACAGTTTGTCTTCATTTTGAAGAAAAAAATTTGTTTCTTGAAACAAGAATTAGTCTAAGAAAAAATAGTCTTAATTTAGAGAAAAAAATTGGAGGACTTGAGAACAGAAGACAGACTTCTCAACGAGCCCCTAGGGAAGAACATGGTCTGATGGTACTTTATGCCTTTAGTTTCCTGCTAAGTGTCAACCAGGGTCAGACTTCTTTAATATCAGATATTTGGAAAACCAGATTCCCCACTGTCATCCTCAGGGCAGGATGTGAAAAGCAGAGAACTCTCTACCTCAGAAATGCTCTGAAGAACTAGTACAGTCCGTGTGATGAACATTCAAATCTCAGGGTGGAGCAGCAGCAGATCTGAAGATGTCCCACCTGCTCAAATGGGACCAAAAGATATTCTATAGAAATAATGCTGAAGCCAAGACAAATAAGATGAAAACATGCAAAGGCTGCAAGCTCAACCTGGAGAAGATGGAATGTTTTATGCAAATCTAATTTAACATGTTGCTCAGTTGTGACCCTCCCATCTGATACAATGGTTCACAGATGGGCTCCAGAGAAAATATCATCAAGCTTTTGGATGGATGACAGCCATCACCATGACACTTCTTAGAGACTGAGTATGTAAACCAGGACAAGGGCAGAGTGTCACCAGACTTTAATTGCACATGCACATATTGTCAAGACAAAAAGCAAGATAACTTAAAGTTCCTGATATTTTTAATAATCCCAACCTCATAGCTCATTCTTCTGTTATGTAATAATGAGGCACCTAAAGTTCTTCTAGTATAACAATTAAGTCTGTTCTTCCTGACTGGCTACCAGAGCATTTGAGTTTTAGTTTTTTGGATCTCTTTCTTCTTTCCAGATTCTTTTCAACCACTGAAACATTATTTATTAATGATTTAGCTACAGATTTTTTCCCCACTGTTGCCAATTAGTATTGGGAAACTAGAAAATTACAAAATATATATCCAGAAAGCCCCATAATATACACATAAGGAAAGAGCTAGGTAAGGGCCAAACAGCAGTTCCTCAGCAGCTGGAATGAGTTTTAATTGAGGTAGTTGAATAATTAAATATTAACAGACAGGAGGAATAAATTGGCAAGCTTATAAAAAGAGTCAAAACAGCACATGGCTAGGCAATTAAACAAGACCCTTTCACAGGCAGGAAATAAAAGGGAAAATCTCATGGAAAGGACTTCACCCAAAGGAGATTAAGAGAGAGAAGACGACATGTCAGATAATAAGAATTGTCTTTTGACTATCTCTAACTTTCCTGGCAATGAAATATTTCCTTTATATAAATAGTATAATGAGGGCCATTGTTGCTAAATTTTGTTCTGTAGCAAAGGAGAAAGAAGAACATTTCACTAGAATTTTCTATCTATCTATCTATATTAATATATTCCTATTCCTTATGGAATATAAACCTTGATGGTGAAGAGAATGTTTCCTTTTGGTTGGTTTGATTTAGTTCAAGTTGTTCTACTTTGTTAACGTTCTTTTAGTTCAGATTTAGCTCAATTGCAGGAGTTAAATTTGAAACAGAAGCAGGAAAAAAAAAAACATTTTCCTTGATAATGAAAGTGATTAAATTCCTAACTGTGATGGACCTGTTAAGACTGGACAAAGTTTAATGAGACTGTTTAAGTGTAATATTTTGAAGGACGATACCAGCATATTCACTAATGTTGCTGAAGCAGCCACCTGTTATAGTCTTTTGGCTACTACAGTATGACCAGGCTGGGCACGGTGGCTCATGCCTATAATCCCTGCACTTTGGGAGGGCAAGGCAGGAAGACTGCTTAGGCCCAGGAGTTTGAGACAAGCCTGGGGAACATAGGAAGCCCCCATCTCTATAAAAAATAATTTAAAAATTAGCCAGACATGGTGGTGCAAGCCTGTGGTCCCAGCTATTCAGGAAGCTGAGTCAAGAGGATTGCTCGAGCTGTGATCATGTCACTGCACTCCAGCCTGGGTGACAGACCAAGACCTGTCTCAAAAAAATTAAAATAATAAATTAAAAAGTATAATCAAAACAGGCTACCTGAATTAAACACAGGGCAATTATTGCTGTTGTCAGCCATTAACTCCTTCTCAGCCTTAACTTCATTCCCAAATGCATGCGCTTGTGCGCGCGTGCACACACACACACACACACACACTCATTTTCTTTCTTTCTCCCCTCACTCTCTCTCCCCATCTCTCTATGTCTCCATCTCTCTCTCTCTGTCTCTCTCTCTCTCTCTTGCACACACACACACACACACACACACACACAGAGCAGCTTTGCCTCCTGAACTCCAGCCAAAATGCTAATATATTGACTAATCAGTAAAGGTAGAACCAACTTAGATATTTTAGTAGACCAATCACTCTCAGAAATAAGAAATGCACCTAGAAATGGAAGCCAAAGCCCAATGTGTATTTTCCTATGGTTCCATATTATGAAGGATGATTTATAATACTTCTCAGGAAACCAGTAATCACAAATTTGTCCATATTTCTCCCTTCAAGTTGGTTCAAGAATAAGTAGAAAATTGACCAGCTTTACTGCAAAGTGTTTGGGAAACAGTCCATTTGGGTCACTGGATGAAGAAATAAAATCTAGAGTTCTTGTTTACCCCGAGAAGCATATGAAATAATGATAAGCACCTACGTACAAGCAAAGAATATGTTGGGATGCTTAGCAGAAAATGTGGGAAATAGAAATTTTAAAAAGAGACAATTTACAAACTCCAAAGAACCTAAAAAGAAGGGAACATACCTATAAAAACCATAGTACTAGTTAAAACTGAATTCTTGAGAAACAAACCTCAAAGAGAATGAGTTAATTCTTCCTATTTGTTCAGTTCTCTGTTTTGGAAATTAATGTGGATAACTCACAGGCAAAACACTTCCTCTAGAAGGTGATTTTGTTTGCTTGCTTTGTTGTTTTTGCTGTTTTCAGTAGTTAAATAGCGGAATGAGAGTTGCTATTGGGGGAACTAAGCAACCCTATAAAGTTGATCCAGTGCCCAAGATTTTTGTGCCTCCTACAGAAATTTAAAGAATTCCAAAAGAATGCGTGAATTCTAGAGAAATCCAAAACAAAACATGAGTCCTGTGTGATTAGCCTTTCCTTTATTGTTTGTGAGGAAGAAAAAAAATAAAAGGAAATTCATGACTGATACACAATTCTTCTTCTACAATGGAACAGCATTTAGCAATACCAACACTCAACATTTATTGAACCCTATCTACATACCAGACACTGTTAAACCCTTTACATGGACAATAATTTGAATCTTTACAACAACTCTGTAAGCAAGACATATTGGTCAGGGTCTACTCAGGAGATAGAAATCACATTGCTTATTTTAACAGAAAGAATTTAGTAAGAAAATTTGCTAACTAGGTATTGAAGAACTGAAAAGATGGAAGAGGAGGTGGTAACAACAGAGAGAAGCTACCCCTCCTGTCTAGGGAAACAGTTGAAAGTGTTTGCAATAATTAAAATTAAAGGCTTATAGGAGGGACCTTGTGGAGTTAAAATTAAGCCTTATGAGGATAGAACAACGTTTGGCTAAAGTGATAGTATACCTGATGAGCTTCCATGAAACTGTTCCTGCCTAATTTGGAAAAACTTAAATATATATATACACATTTTACTTCTAGTTTCTCAGTCTCTCTCTCTAGTTTCCCCTACTGATAGATCCTAGCAGGAAGGCAGACAGCAAAGAGACATGTCCCAGTCCAAACATCCCAAAGCAGGGTGTAGAAGGGAAGGTTTGAGGCCAAAAGACAATAGCTAAATCACAGGGACAGGAGGTGCAATTGGTGCAATTAAATATCCATGTTTGACAGATGAGGAAACCAAGCTCACAGGGGGTAAATTGTCTTGCACAAGGTCCCATAGAATGTAAGACTGGGAAGCTGAAATTCGAACGCAGTCAGTCTGACTTTAGAGTACCTTCTCTTACCCTTTGAGCTATGTCCCTTGTTACCATCTTTTGGAAAGGGGATACAGCATGTTGTGGTAAAAATCTGAGTCTACAGAAGCCAGTTTTCTGTACAAGTTCAGCCATGAGATGTGAGAATTTCAGTAGGTCATTTCACTTTTCGGACCTCAGTAATACACATCACTGAAACACGATGATTGAATCAGATAATACTTAAAGTTCCTTTTAGTTTAATACTCACTAAAAATAAAATAAGAACCATAAAAAAAGTGATTCCTGAAGGGTCTACAAGTAATTTGTGATATGGGTGGTGGTAACTCTAGACTATCATTATTCCACAGAACAACTGCGTTTGGAGATAATTTTCTGCAGTTAACCTTTTTTATTTGTCAATGGTACTGAGATTCTTCTTCCACTGAGTTCAGGAGCACTTAAAATGTTTAGCCACAAGATGTACAAGCAGTGAATGGAAATTTTGTATTTTCAAGCATATTAAATTCTTACCATGTGCTATATTGCTAACGACAGAAAGACATGATTCACTCCTTCAGTTACCTTACAATATGATAAGTCTAGAGTAGCAAACCAGTGAACAAATGCTTATGATACATGTGATATGAAGAGGAAACTATGGATCACTGGGGCATCTGCCAGTTATTTGCCAGCCCAAAGTTGAGGGTAGGACGGCTATGTGTCAGAAAAGCCTTTTTAAAGCAGGTGACTTCTGAGTTGCATTAAAAAAAAAAAAAGAAATGAGTCAAACAAAGATACCTGGAGCAGAATATGATTAGAGTTGGACAGAGGCAGCATAAGGGTGTTCAAAGCAGATTTAGCTTTATTATATCATTTATATTATTATTATTAGAAAACACATATAGGAAAAGAGAACATAGTATGCTTGGAACCTGCAAATGGCTTAATATTGCTAGAGTAAAATGTCAGGGTAGGGAATGTCAGGGGGTGGGCATCAATAGAAGGAGGTAGATATCTAGGTAGCAGCCAAGTTATAAAAGCTTTATATGTTAAACTGAAAAGTTTAAACTTTCTTCTCTGCAGTGGACATACACCATGGATTACTAGTCAGCAACAAAAAGGGACACACCACTGAAACACGCTACAATATGAATTAAGCTAAAAAAATTATGCTAAGTGAATGAGGCCAGAGAATATTCTATGATTCTATGTATATGAAATTTCAAAAAAAGGCATCTATAGACAGAAAGCAGATCAATGCTTGCCTGGGGTTACGGTTCAGAGTGAGACTAACTGCAAATAGCACTAGAGATGGAAGGTAGACTACTGGCTCTGGCTCGAAAGTCAGATAAATTAGGATGCACAGCATAAAACAAAAGGGTGGGTGGAATCGAGTAGGCCAGTAGCTGGCACGTCTTTATGCAAACCCAGTCTGACTCCCTCAGTGCCTCCAGACCTCAGGCAGGATCCTGCAGGGCAGTGCGGTAGAGGACAGTGTTTTCAAAGCCAGCTTTATACTCTCTGGTCCTTCTGAACATCAGCCAGCTTTGAGAAACACCTGCATATAAAGAAGAGCATACCCTTTGGATTCAATTAACCAGTGTTCAATTTCTGGCATGGGCATTTCCTTGTTGCTTTCAAAAAGTTAGTTAACCTCTCTGAGCCAGAGTTAATTATTAAAATGGCAGTAATTATCCTACCCAACTCAGGAAGTTGTGAGTAAATGGTAACATAGGCAACTATCCACTGTATATTCTTTTAGGTTGTACATTGTTCTTATGCCAGCATTATTATCATAGCCTCTCAAGCCTCAGGTTTCTCAACTGTAAAAGGATCCCAGTTACATAGAAGTTGCTTTCCAGCTCTAACATTCTATATCACTGTCAGAACATCAGCAAAATAGTAGGCTTCCCAGAATGTTTTATTTGTATGAAGCTCTCACTGAAGTGATTGTCCAAAGAGGCTCGATAGAGCTGCTCATTCATTCCTAAGCCTGTTTAGAGCCTATGTTCAGGTTATGCCATATTTGTGGTCTAGATGTAGATCCAGCCTAGAAACAAGAGTCCAAGAGTGAAATGCATCAGCATGAATACTGCAGGAATTCAGAGAAGATAGAACAGGGTACTCCTGCAACTTGAGCAGCTCAAGTGTAATGTTTTGGACAACATGCCTAGGCATCAGCGTCAAGCACACACATATGTTACCGAAATCTATTCAAGCGAGGGTTATATCTTCTTCAAATAACCCTATTTAATGATTCTCTGACTTTCCCAGCTGTTCTTGCCTTTGTTAACTAGCTACATTAACACAAGTCACTTTGCAGCCTACACCAGGAAGGTGGAAGGGGAAGAGTTTGAATAGACCTGATTAATTCTTTACTTAATCATGCACTATCTTTCCAACTGACCTTTTCCTATTCTCACTATTACAATTCCTTTTAAGGAGCATACTCTACGGAACGATTAGCATTCTTCTTTGTCTTTATATATTTAAGCGACTCCTTTATAAATACTCTTTAAGAAAAATGTTCCTCCTCATCCTTTGGTGTACTGAAGATGAGAAAATGGATTAAGTTTCTGAACACAGGGCAGTCCCAGCACAAATTACAGCTGCTCAAACTATTTTCTGTTCCCTGACATACACACAGAGCTTCTGCAGCATATCTTGAGTCTTCAAGGGGATGCCAGGCCAGTTCTGAGGCAACCATTATTCTCTGATGAAAAACTCCTGTGACCTCCACCTCGGCATTAGAAAACTTATCTATTTCTCACTTTATTCTTCAAAAGAATGAGCTAGCTTTGGAACCTAGCAGGTAAGAAGTTAAAATGCATTCTATTAAAAAAATATTTTTTGTGGCAGAAATTCCCACTTTTCCTTTTGAACTGACCCACCTTGATGCAATGAGAGCACATCCCAGGCACAGATTTGAAGCCCAGCCATTCAAATACAGGAGAAAATTAAGAAATGTGGGAAGCGTGACCTTGGAGGTGTAAGTCTAAAGCAAATCTGCATAAGTGCTGCATAATTGATAATGAACCACTTACTGATCTTGCAAAAAGCGCTAATGAAATGGCTACTTTCTGCTGCACGGACTATTCAGCTATTGTTAAGATGTGAGCAATTTAACTTTTAAACTTTACTCACCAATAGCACCTAATTATTTTTTGGAGTTGGTAAAAACACCCTTGCAGTGCCAGGGGCTTGCCTATGCAAAATGATGAGGTTGGCACTTAGTCTCTGGGAGTTCCAGTAGCTGCTTTGTATGGCTGGCTTTTGGGAGTTTTTTGTTTTTGCTTTTGTGGTTTGTTTGTTTTTAAATTACTCTCCATTCCTCTTCATGCACCCAGATCTTCGTGTTCCGTCTATCTTCATGAAAATTGACTTTAACAAAAAACCTGACAAATTCAATTTTACTAAGATGCTTATAATTGCTAACAGCTTCAAAGTCTTATCCTTCAAGGGCATTCGTGTTTTAACAAGATTTTGAATCTTAGGCTACAGAGATACAGTAGTTGTTAAAGAGAGTAAATATCAGAAACACCTAATGAGCCATTTCAATGCATACATTCAGCCTCCTACTTCAAGATGCTGATTTCAGAAGTTCGACGTGGAATCTCTCTCTCTCTCTCCCTCTCTCTCTCTCTCTCTCCCTCTCTCTGTCTCTGTGTGTGTGTGTACATGCATGCATGTTTGTGTGTTGTGTATGCTTGCATGCATGTGTGCAGACAGTCACAGAGCTCCAAAAGTGATTCAGATGTAATCCCTCAGTGGTAAATCACAGGCTAAAGGAAAGGAGATCTAATGGTAAACTTTCAATCATTAATCAGTGGTTGAGGTAGCTTTGGTTGGGCAATTGATGGTGCCTTGACATCAGACTGACTATAGGACCACCTCTTCTATCTGCATGTTAGACTAACATGCTAGACAAAAGAATAGACAATAGATTGAAGATAGACACACTCTCGGTTATTATTTTTCCAAATGATTCATGGCACATGCATTAGAATCTTTCAGTGTATTTTTTTTTAATTGCAGGTGCAAGAGCTTCAACTGAGACCTTGATTTAGAATATTTGAAAGTAGAGTCAAAAAATCTAGGTTAGTAAAGTTCCCAGACAGCTTTTAGGCAATCAAAATTGAAAATCCTCTAAACAAGGCATTAATGGTTTTCTCAACAATTATTTTCTTATAATGATTATAGAGAAAATAATAGCATGTGCAATGGCACAAAAATAAATGAAAAAGTATCTTGATATCATCCAAAGATAACCTATCAACATTTTGTGTATATTTCCTTCCGGTTTTTTTTCTATTAAGTATACACAATTTTATATCTTTCATCACGTTAAAAGTCTTTTTGATGGCTTTTATCACATCATTAGATAGCTTGAAATGGCTATGTACTCTTCTATTCCATGAATGTATTTCACTAAATTAGTCCCCATTTTGGACATTTAAGTTGATTCCCAATTTTTGCTATTATAAATAATATTGTAATGGATGTCTTTATATATACATCTTTGTTTTACCTTAAATCCTAAGAGAAGAATTACTGAATGAGAGGTTCACTAAGTGTTGAATGTTTATCCTTGGGTTAAAGCAGTGTATGATCTGCTCTTCATGGTCGAGGTACAGCAATAGTTAAGTATCAGTGATTGCAATGGAAATGAAGATCTTCTGGAAGGTTAAACAATGGCTTTTTAATTTCAAACAACCTATCATGGCCTTAATTATGGTCCTGCCAGGACTGCAGCCCAAGAGAATGCCTTAGCATAGTCAACTGTTACTGGAAAGGAGTCCCAATCCCAACCCCAAGAGAGTGTTCTTGGATTTTGCACAAGAAAGAATTCAAGGAGAGTCCAAAGAGTAAAGTGAAAGCAAAGGAAAGTATTAGGAAAGTAAAGGAATAAAAGCATGGCTACTGCACAGGCAGAGCAGCAGCCTGAGCTTCTAGTTGGCCATTTTTATGGTTATTTCTTGATTATATGCTAAACAAGGGGTGGATTATTCATGAGTTTTCTGGGAAAGGGATGGGCAATTCCTGGAACTGAGGGTTCTTCCCCTTTTTAGATGATATAGGGTAACTTCCGGACATGGCCGTGGCATTTGTAAACTGTCATGACACTGGTGGGAGTGTCTTTCAGCATGCTAGTGCATTATAATTAGCATATAATGAGCAGAGAGGATGATCAGAGGTCACTTTTGTTGTTACCTTGGTTTTGGTGGGTTTTGGCCAGCTTCTTTACTGCAACCTGTTTTATTGGCAAGGTCTTTATTGTGTGCTGACCTTCAATCTCATCCTGTGACTAAGAGTGCCTTAACCTCCTGGGGATGCAACCTAGTAGGTTTTAGCCTTATTTCACCCAGCCCCTAATCAAGATGGAGTCGCTCTGGTTCAAATGCCTCTGACACAAGTGTTCTGGTTTGCCTGGGGCTGGGAGTCTTCTTGCGATGCAGAATTTCAGTGATAGAAGCAGAAAGTCTTGGGAAAACTGGGATGGTTCATCACCCTTGTCAAAATCTAACTTTAAGTTTGTAAAATATCTGCAGGAATTCACCGAGACATGAGTATAATATTATATAATACAATCACAATAGTCATCATTATGGTTTTCTTCAACATTTTCTCTATTAAAAGCCAGAAGCGATTTGGGTATAATTACATTTTATAAAATCTAGAACTACAAAGTTGAGTTGAAAGAGTTGAGTTAGGAGCCTAGTATTACCAGTAGAGGCAGCAACACCATTTGCCTTATCTTCAAGCCTACCATGAATCTGCACTGCAGTAACAATGGCTTCTGAAAAGTCAGCCTTCCTTTGCTTGGCTGCATCTTGTGAGGTATAACACTGGGAAGAGCTTGCAAACTCACCTCTTCTCCCTATGGCCTGCTGGCTTTTCAACACATTTAGAAGCTAGTTCTTCAATTCTCATCTCTTCTTTATATTATTAAACACTTATTAATGCCAGGCAATGAGGTAGAGATCTAACTTAAAAAGAATTAACTAGCAGGGGGATGGAATTACCTCAGAGATTCTATCTACTTCCCCTAATGCACAGTGTCAAATGAAGAATGAGAAGGTTCATAAATTTGGAAAGGAGAGTTTTATTTCTCATAAAAGGTTGCAGCCTGCAGGTAGCCTTTCTGACAGGTTGGGAAGCTTAACTCCAGGCAAAAACTGAAAACACTTTGAGAGGGGCGCAAAGGGAACAGGAATTGATGCTGAATGGGGTGGGTGAGTATGCATATTAATATATAGAAGGAGTCATGAATATTTGTGAAAGGAGAAACATGCCTATATGCAATTATGCTTCATCTTCCCCATGGAACTGAAGGTGAAGTTTTCAGCCCTCTGACATCATGACTGAGGACATGAAGGCACTCAGTGCACATCCTCCATCTACTGGTCAGAACCGCTGCATGCTCAGTAGTCTCTTATCCGAAAGGAATGCTGGTCACTTGGGGGAAACTGCAAAAGGAAGGGGCAGCCTCAGGTGGTTGGTTGATATCAGGAGTGGAAAGAGTCTTTCAAAAGGGCTGGTTTCTGTTAGAGAAGAAAGCCTAATGGCACTTAGCAAAGAAGGGGATATAGCAAGGCATACTTGATCTTGCATCCCATCATGGCCAGTAACTCAGTTTCCATGGTTTCTCTGTGGTCCTCTTGGCCAGGATGATGGTCCGTTCTGTCAGCTGGGGGCCATGGGATTTTCTTTTTCTCAACTGTGCAATGCTTTTGTTTCGGCTAAGTGTGATGGTCAGAAAGGGTTAAATGCTCTCTTCCATTCTGTCTAAAGTTCCAATACATCAAGGAAAACATCGCTTTTAGAGTCAATAATGCCCAGAATCTCAAAAACCAAATAACATAATACCAATCTTTACCCCTGCCTTTATCTTCATGTTTCATGACTATTAAGAAGACACAGTTGGGCCACTGTATTTGCTGTTACAATGATATAAATTTGTAATTGTGGAGAGAATACAAAGTATGTAGTCTATTCTAATTACCTTGAATTTCCTTAGAACTGGATCTGTCTATAACTTTCTTGCATTTAATTCTTTGTAGAAAATGTGCACATTTAGAAAATCTTTAAATAGTATAGAATGAAACCCAGTTTAGATTACTGTCTTATTATATCTCATTCTTCAGTTGAAGAAATGTGAAAGTTTGGCTTTGAAATTTAATTCATTCACTTAAATATTAATTGTTTGCCACCTATATGGGTCTTGGGATAGAAAAATGAATAAAAACATCTATCTTTCAAAGAGCTTACAATCTGTTTGGGGGAGGTGTGTAAAATTAATAAATAATGATAAGCACTTTAAAGAAAAATAAATCAGGGCAAGGGACTAGTACTTGAGGCACCACGACAGGGAAAAGCTTCCCAAGGTGTGATACTTAAGCAAAGCTGAGTGATGTGATGGCATAAACCATGCAAATATCTGCTCAAAAACCAAAGGCACAGTAAGTGAGAAGGCCGTAAGGAGGGAAAGAACTGTAATTAGAGTGGAGTTAGTGTTAAAACCTCTATATAAGGGAAGGAGAATATATCATCTAATTCATTTTGTACAAAAAAGCATTCCTAGTCCCTTTGGGAATTGGGGTAGCAGTGGGGCAAGTGAAATTTATATAAATACCCACATGCCCTTCTTGGCAGCTGAAGATACCATTACTTATGATAGTGTTAGTTATATGAACAAATCTGACCACAAATGCTATTTGCACCAGGGTACTTTGAGTTTCTTATACTTCTATTTCACGAACTTTCTCACTCACCTATTTATTTGTGTACTATTTGCAAAGTACAGTGCTCTGGATTGTATGATGTTACCAAAAACTAGATTGTATGGTTCTTCTTCTTCAGATGTCCAATATTGCTCACAACAAAATACTCCCACCATAATTACCACATGCAAGCCCAATTTTTTGTCTGTTTTTGTCATTCATTACTCTTTCATGCCTTAGATTCTCTTGAATGCCATCTATTTTTGGCAGACATAGAGCTCTGGAAAGTTGAATTTCAGCCAAGATTCTTTAGGTCTACCATGTCGGAAAATATTTTCATTCCACCTTTACAATTGAGTAATATTGCCAGGTATATTTGTTATCTATTGCTTTGTAACAATATTACCATAAAGGTATCAGCTTAAAATAATTTAGTGTCTGTGGGTCATGAGTCTGCAATCAAAGCAGTAATCAAAATGTCTTCTAAGGTTTCAGTCTTCTCTGAGGCTCAACTGGGGAAGTATTGACTTCTGAGCTCACACAGGTTATTGGAAGCATTCAGTTCCTTACAGTTTTAGGACTGAGGACTTCAGTTTCTTCTGGCATTTTGTTTTTTCATTTTTATGTATATGCACTATTTCATGCCCACCCTACCCTACTTGAGCTCCTAGGGTCTTCTTTTTGGCCCTGATATTCTAAAGTTCTGATATTTCTAGATGTGGGTTTTGATTTATTTATTTCTTATTCATTGTGGTGGGCATTTGGTAGGCTCTTTCAATCCAGACTACATGTCGTTTTCCTCCAGAGTATATTCATGTTTTCTTTCTTTGATAGTTTCCATGAATCTTTTACTGTTCTCTAATTGTCCTTGTTTTGTGGATGAATTGTTTTTTCTTTGAGATTAACAGTAGTTTTAAAGTTTTTTTTTATACTCTCTATTTTATCTGTTTTCTTTCTTTTTTCTGTGCTCGATTCTTTTCTATTCATTTTGATCTCCAAGTTTTATGTTGGAGGACTTCCTCAAATGTGGTTCTTGGCTATCTGTTCATAATCACAAACAACACACTAAAAATCTGACTGGAAGTTCTGTGTTAACAGGTAGAGCATGGTGACTTTCGAATTTGGGTTGGGCTCATAGGCGGGTTACTCCATTATACCTGGTGTCACTGAATCCAGAAAATCAACATGAGGGGATGGGGATCAGAGAGTCTAACTGCTTTGTGAACAACTTACAGCTAATCCGTCTGCCCTGAAGTAGCCCCATGCACTTTTCAGACGACTTGGGGTCTGCAAGTCCTCAGCTTTTTTGAAGATCTGCAGAGTTCTTTACCTTGCTTCTTATTCTTACCACTCTGTAGGCAATTATGTTTCAGCTTCTGCTAAAGCAGTTGTCACTTCTCCATTTATTTTTCAACTTCCAAAATTGTGTTTTCTCTCTTGTCTACTGTTTCTTCTCCATTTGTTTGCCCTTGTGGGCTGGTATCTTTGCTTGTTCATTTGTTTGTTTGTTTTAGTCCTTGTCCCTTGAGAAATGAGACAGAGATAAATGCATATGTTCACTTGCCATGTTTATGCATAAATCACCCCAGACAACTATCAAAATAATCCATTGACTCATGAGAGTAGTGAGATTCTCATTACCTGATAGATGCTGTCAGAGAAAGAGAATGCTTTTCAGGAAAGTGATGTAAGGGAATTATTGTCTCACTTGAGAAATTGTAGTTAGAGAACTTGTCAGTATATCTGAACCTTCAATATGATCCTCTCTTTAAAAATTGTGTAATCCTGAATGTACAATGTAATACTCATATTTATGTTTTAAAACACCGGTATATAAAGAATTTACTAAAACTCTGCCTCTGATACCTTATTTGTCACTGGGATCTGAATAATGCTCAGATTATTATAACGCTCTATGGTTCTGAGTACTGAACAAATTGTCATCTAATATGCTGAAATTTGAGACATATTGTGGCCATATATTGTAGGATTTACCATGTTGTCTATTTCTGCTCTAAGATTTCTTACTTAAAGCACCATGGTCTACTTGTGCTTGCTAAATAAATTATTAACCCCTGCATATCATAGATTAAACTTTATTGTTTAGTAGTAGTGGTAGATGGTTGCCAGGAAATAATAACCTGAGTTTAATATGTGCAGTTTAATGTTTGCAAAAAAATCCACCTATATTACAGTTGGTGAAAAAAACATGAATAACGGCCCTCAAAGCTGTCCAAATCTTAATCCCCAGAACCTGGAAATATATTATCTGATATGACAAAAGATAATTCAAGTTTTAGTTGCATTTCAGGTTACTAGTCAGCTGACTTTAAAATAAGATTATCCTGGAAAACCTGAGTGCATCCAACGTAATTGCAAAGGTCTTTAAATAGAAGAGGTAGAAGAGGTAGAACCAGAGAGATGGCATTGTGAGAAAGACTTGACTGACCATTGCTAGCTTTGAAGATGAAAGGCTAGCCATGAGCCAAGGAATAAAGACAGCTTCTAGAAGCTAAAAATGGCAAGAAAATGAAATCCCCCAGAGCTCCAGATAGGAACACAGCCTGCTGATACCTTGATTAGCCAAAGCAGACCCATCTCAGCATTCTGACCCCCAGAACTGGCAGGTAATAAATTTTTATTGTTTTAAGCCACTAAGTTTGTGACAATTTGGTACATAACTATAGAAAACTAATGGACGTGGTTAATGGGCAGGATGTTTCAATATAAATTACATGGGGACACAAGGAAAGAGAACTACTATTCTTTAACAATCACACAACAGCACTGTCAATTCTACTTTTTCCACTTCAGGGCTTTGCTGACTGTTTTGCTTCTCTGAGTCCCTCAGCATCTGTTGCTTTAGTGTTTGCTGATTACTTCTCTATACGTCTCATGTCTATACTCACTGAGAAAGAGCATCCCATTGGGTTGATGAGACACCATTCCAGCTTATGGCACTATAATTGGACAGAAATCTATATGCAGATCCCTCATGGACCACTGGGCAATCTGTAGATGGCTTCTCCTGGGTCAGGTCAGCCCTTGTTCAACTAGCTAGGACTATGAGAGCAGAATTGCATGATTAAAAGCCTATGTAAAAGGAAAAAAAAGTGACATTATTGGCCAGCATTTCCCATGCTGTCCCACATAAGTACTCAAACTTCCAGAGACTAGAATAGAACTTCATGCCACATGTCCATATCTAACTGCAAACAAAGCCAGGAAATATAAATTTTCTTTTTGCCCCAAATCAGAAGAAAGTGGTATTTTCCGAACCAGAAATGTTCTCTACACTGACTGGGCAAGATACTTCATTTCTTATAGCCCCAGCTTTGTCATTTGTAATAGTTCTTACCCCACAGGGTCACCATGAGGCATTTATTATTATTTCAAGGTGAATTTACTCATATCATTAGGACAGAACCTGAATTTTGTATAGAAAAACAATAGAATTTTAATGTCTATAAGTGCCACTGCTCTGGTTATATAGTGTGGCTTCTGTTCTGGCTTTTACTACCCTGTCACTAATAAGCCACTTATCAAACCAGAAGTCATTTGTTAGTTCATTTCTATTTTTCAAAGAAGTGAACCATTCTCTCCTTAGAGATTCTATACTCCACGTTGTTTACAAAAATACTTACAGAACGGTCCTAAAGGACTTCAAATACACCTGTTAAAATAATATCATTTTTTTCCTATACAGCTGGAAATAACAATCTTGAATCAAGGCATGGAAAATTTATGTTTTGCATACATGCTCATTTAAATGAAATTTTGTAGTAGAATTCACAAAGTTTCTAGGTTCAAAGGATCCGATTTGTCATTTCATCCTGTAATTTTTTTAAGACTGCCCCCATTTCTCTTTACAGTATTTCTGCTGAGTTTAAGGCTGAACACAACCACTTCCTAAGGGCACAGTTATTCTTGGACAATTCTGTCTGCAGAAATGTATCTCCTTATGCTGAGCCCAAAACTCTGTAACCTGGTTACGTCTATGTTAGATCAAGTTGTACCCATTTTGGCACATGTAATTACTCTTCTAAATGCCATTCTCTCAAATATTTAAAGGCCATAGTAGTTTTTAATTAATTATCTCATATCCAGGTTAAACATCTCTAATTCCTTCCATATTTCCCAAATTAGAAAGTTTTGAATGCCCCTTCAGCATCATGTTACTTTTCATGAACTTACTCCTATTTGACATAGTCTCTTAAAGTCCATTCCCCAGGACAGGGATAACAGATATAACTAGCACAGAGTATTTCCATGCATCCCCTCTGAGTTAATACTATGCTTTGAATCCTGCTGGGTGAGACCGCATTAACATTTTACTTAATCAGTTACATGAAGTAATGCTAGCAGATGCTCTATGACTCCGCTCTGTGATTTTATCTAAGAAAAGCTCAAAAGGGCAAACACTTAGAAAAAAGCAAGAAAATGCAATAAGTCTATAATTTGAGAATTGTGTCAATAATACTCTATCTCAAAATGGCATAGACCTGGAAAAAACAATCTAAAAAGAATATACCCGCAATTTAATTAACAAATTTAGGAAATAATGGGTATTACATTTACTTATTGAAAATTCACAAGGTTTACTGTATATTAAATTCATTGAGCAAAGCTGTTTAACTCAATTAAAACTCATTTAACAATGAGAACCTTTAGAAGCATTTAATACCAATTAATATCTCCAAAATAGCATTTTCAGAGAAAATCCTGCACAGCACTAGTGAACTCAATATTTGCACAAAATAGTGTGGGTAGATCTTCTGAACTTTCCACCTATCTATTTATCAACACTATTTATTTATTATCACACTACCCAAGCAGATATGTGTCCATAGAGCTCTAAAAATAGTTGAATACAGACTTCCTTACTTAACACGACATTTTATATAGCACAGCTCAGAAACTGTACCAAGCTTTTATACACCTTATTTAGTATTTTCTTCCTTACTGATTTACAAAAGAAAATCAATATTTTCTAACCTAAATTGCCTTTACATATTTATGTTAGATTATCATTGTATGTTGTATTGTGTGGGCATTCAAATGAATGTATGAAAATCATGATTTTATAACTTCACTTTAAAAGCTGATTCTCTTAATATTTTCTGACAGAGGAAGAAAAAACAGATAGTGATGGCAAATTTTGTTTCAAATAGGTGAACTTGAATTCCTTTTAAATCAAACATATCACAATAGAGAAAGACTAAATTCACAGAATCCTGGAAGATTTCACATATATACTAGATGGAAACCCACTCCCTACACTCCTAGATTTGAAAGTTTCTTATACTCCCATCACATTTCTTTCACATGTTGAAATTATGTGTTTCCTTCCCTGTCAAATCTGGAGAGCCACAACCAATCTACGCACACAATATCTCTGTTTACTTATGATACTGAACAAGCTAAAATGAAAAACACTGCTGCTTTTATGCTGTGAATGGCTGATCTTTGATCTTTACCCCTGAAGAGAGTCCTTCAGCAAATTCTTCTGAAGGCATTTTCATGACCTGCTGAGCTCCCACGCCATTTCTATTTTAAAATGCTTTGCTAAACCCCTTCATTTTTAATAAAATATAACTGTTTCCACTTTGGACCACTGAAGGGCCAAGAGTTCTTCCCAGTTCTTCCTGTTCTCCCATCTGATTTCACACAAAAGTAAGACAAGTTAAATGTAAGAGAGCAGTAAAAATCTATGGTACTCAGAGGAATAATGCCTCAGGCAAATTAAACTTAGAGGACAGTGCTGGACATATGGTGTTTGCTAATCAGAACTGTTTGGGTCAAGTAATCAGGTTGTGAATGTGATGGATAGAATCTACATTTGTTAAGGGAGGAGCCTCATTCCTCTAGCTCTTGTATCTCCATCACCTTCTCTCTAGTCTTAAGCAGAACAGGTACCTGGTAAATGTTTGTGGAACTGAATTGCCTTTGTCATGAAAGTAATTACAGTGCTGAATGACAGAAACATGCCAAGGATATGACTGAGGAATGTCAGGGATGCCTTCAGTTGGAAACCACAAAAGACACTGGATTTTATTTTTAATAATAGTTACATCATCACATTAAAAATAGATTTACTACTTATTCAACAGCATTTTAAAAGTGTTTTATTGAGATTTCTAAAAATGTTTTACCCATAGTTTATATTTAATCATCACAAGTACTCTGAAAGGTAAGTAGCATCGTTTGCGTTATCAAATGAAGACAGTGAAATGAAGACAGGTTAACTGTCTTGCCCAGGGATCATTCCTAGGGTCAGGGAGCAGGATTAAGCAGAGCTCCAACCAACTCCCAAACTGAGAACCTTTCCACAGCCCTGTGCTAATTCATTGCCTTCCTGTGGCATCACATGGCATTTCACTTATCAGGAATTCAAGCTATTTCCAAAAGGGCAGCATTTTCCAATCTCCATGCTCCAAATCTCTCCATCTAACTGTACAAATAGATGAATTAAAAATACTGGGCTAGCTGAATTACTGTCATAGAGACCTTCAACCATTTTCTCACCAAATAAGAAACAGTGGATGGACTGTCTTCGAAATTAGGAAGTAGGCAATTTCTTTTTATCTTTGTAGAATTTACCATGCTGTCTATTTCTGCTCTAAGATTTCATACTTCAAGCACCATGGTCTACCTTTGCTTACTAAATAGATTAACTGTTAAACCCTGCATATCATAGACTAAACCTTATTGTTAAGCATTAGTGGTAGATGGTTGCCACTTTCTTTTTACCTTTGTGTAAATACAAATCTTTTGCCTTCCTCAAGGTATAGGTATTAGTTAGAGATATAGAATTCCTTCCTTCAGTCTGGCCATGTTTATTAAGATACTGAGATGCTTTTCTTTCCTAAGTAAACTGTTTTATTTTATATACCAACTCCATAATCAGTTCCATTTAATGCCTCTATGATTCTGTAAGAGCAGCAACAAAAAAGCAATCTATTTATTTGTAAACATATATGTATTTTATTCTAAAAGTAATCACCATATTTACATATTCATTAAAATTGCCATTCTCCATGAAATGGGGACAGTAGCTAATGGCATAATTTTAACTTTGTGGATGACCAGTTTTGCATAAACAAAATGAAATCATTAACATTGCATCTATATAGCAAAACTAAGGATGAAAAATAAAGCACAATGATATTTCCTTTAAAGGTTTCTTTAAGAAAACAAACTAATGAGTAATGCCAAAAGTAAATGTCCCAAAAATGTAAATTAAAGCAAATATTCAAATTTAAATTCTCAAAAAATTTAGAGCTGGTTCTTAGGGAGAAAAAAGAAAATAAGCAAATCTCTGGACAATCTAATCAATAAAAGAAAAATACAAATAAACAAAAATGAAATTACTGAAGGGCTACACTCTATAGAGAGAATTATAAATCATAAAAGTATACTATGTGCAATAAAAGTTTAAAAGTTGGATTAAATTTAAATTTCTAGAAAAATAGATGTGACCAATAATTCAAAAAGTAGGAGAAACTTTGAAGAGACAAAAAAATTAGTTTAACCAAGACTAATTATACAAATTGACTTTACTGGTAATGTCCTTCAAACTTTTAAATAATAGCGAATTTCATCACCACATGAATTTTTGCAGAGCATATAAAAAGAATGAAAACCTACCAAGTGCATTTTATAAAACCAGCATAACTCCTCAGCAACCAAAAGCTAACAAAAATATTACAAAAAAGATATAGACGCATCTTGTATATGAAAATAAATCTGAAATTTTTACATGAATACAAACCATAACATTTAATCATATATTAATGGAACATTGAGCTCTGGGAAGGACAAAAAAAAGATTTTAAGTCTTCTTAAGACTTTAAGTGAGGATCATTTAATCTCCATTCATATTAATCATCTATTAGTATGACATTTTCAATCAATCAGCCAAATAAGAAAAATTCTGTAATCTCATTACGTGAGGAAAAAACAAAAGATAACATGCAAAATTCATTCATAACCAATAAAAAGCAGCCTCTTTAAAAACTCCGACTAGAAAAGTATCTCTTGATTATTTTGGATTTACCACAGGGTCACCATAACAATTTAACAATGCAGATATCTATATATTAAAAAGTAGAGTGGTGCCTCACTCCTATAATCCTAGCACTCTGGGAGGCCAAGACCAGCTGATCGCTTGAGCCCAGGAGTTCCAAACCAGCCTGGACAACATAGTGAGAACCCCCGTCTCTGGAAAAAAAACACAAAAAATTAGCCCGGAATGGTAGCACACTCCTGTAGTCCCAGCTACTTCCCAGCTACTAAGGAGGCTGAGGTGGGAGGATCACTTGAGCACAGGAGGTTGAGGCTACAGTGAGCCGTAGTCATGCCACTGCACTCCAGCCTGGGTGAGAGAGCCAGATTCTGACTCAAAAAAAAAAAAAAATTTAAATGGAAGTCCCCATACCTGCCCCCACCATTTGTCATTTTCCAAAAGATGAGCACTAGCAACTGGTGTGAATCCTTCCAGAACTCTAAATGAAACAAATAAATGTGCTAATGCGTAGTATAAAATATGATTCATTTATGTAAATAAACCTTTATAAACATGCAGTTTCAGAGAGAGAAGCAATATTATCAAATTACACACCAAATACATTACAAATCGTGCCATGGCATAGAAACACAGAAGGATGTATTTATGTTTGTATGCCATGGTATGATTTGTAACATACTTGGTGTGTAACTAAATAATCCCATATTTAACTCTATTTTCATATACAAAATGGGTCTATAATTTTTCTGTAACATTTTTGTTAGATTTGGTTGCTGAAGAGTTATGCTGGTTTTATAAAATGCACTTGGTAGATTTTCATTATTTTTATATGCTTTGAAAAAAATCTATGTGGTGATGATATTAGCTATTACTTAAAAAGTTTGAGGGGCATTACCAGTAAAGTCAATTTGTATAATTAGTCTTTGTTAAATTAAATTTAATAAACATCCTTGTATGTTTCTATGCCATGGCCTTATTTGTAGTGTTTTTGGTGCGTAATTAAATAACTCCATATTTAACAAACTGGTGAATACAAGGGAATTATTGATTTAAAGGTTAAACATAATTTAGGTAATAAATGTTTAAAGTGATTATCAAACTTTCTTTCAAGAAGTTTGTGTCAATTTCGACTCATGCAATATACGAGAACTTTTTTTTTTTTTTTTTTTGATACTAAGTCTTACTTTGTCGCCCAGGCTGGAGTGCAGTGGCACAATCTCGGCTCACTGCAACTTCCGCCTCCTGGGTTCAAGAGATTCTCATGCCTCAGACTCCCAAGTAGCCAGGATTACAAGTGCCTGCCACCATGCCTGGCTAATTTTTGTATTTTTAGTAGAGATGGGGTTTCATCATGTTGGCCAGCCTGGTCTGAAACTCCTGACCTCAGGTGATCCACCCGCCTCGGCCTCCCAAAGTGCTCCCCAAATTCCCCAATATTGGTTAGTATCAGTTTGAGGAGGCAGGAAATCATGGTGTTTGTTTCAGCTATAGAGAGACTCCCTGCATTCAAATCCAGCCTCCACTACTTGGAAGCTATGTGACCTTGAGCAAGTTACTTGACTTCTCTGGGCATCAATTCTTTATCTGTTTTGACGATTAAGAGATTACTCATATAATGCCCTTCTCAATGTGCTTTAAATTTAATTACTTTGTGGGAGAGCTTCATATATGTATATAAAATATATATATCATATATTATATATATGATATTATATATAATATATTAAATATATATTATATCATATATTATATATGATATTATATATAATATATTAAATATATATTATATCATATATTATATATGATTTATATATTATATATCATATATTATATATTATATATCATATATTTTTATATATGATATATTATATATATATAAATGTCAACTCTTTGCCTTCTATGCAAGCTCGGTGTTTTCATTTCTGTCTTTAATCTGCACTGTCTTCATGTTTTAGGTTATCTTCCTACTACCAGTTTTAACATTTTTTAATAGTTAAAGCTCTATTTTTCATACCTTGCTTCTAGATTGCTTCTAGATTTCATATCCTTCTTGAGAAAACCTTAGCATATCCTAAATAATATGTATACATAAATCTCTCATGTTTTATTCCAATTCTTTCATAACTTAATTTGTTACACTTAGGTCTTAAATCCATTTGGTATTTTATGTGTGTGATATGAGATGGAAATGCCAATTTTATTTTAGATTGATAGAAAATTATTTTAATACTGTTCATTTATTCAGTAGTCTATATTTTCCCATTGATTTGGAAAGCTAACATATATATATGTGAATTTTTACAAACACCAACACACATATATATTTCTAGACTCTCTTCAATAAGACTGATGCATTTGTCTTTCCTGTACCAGTGCTACACTTTCAAAATTACTATAGTTTACATATGTTGAATCTTCGTAGGGCAAGTACCCCCTTTTGAAGTGTATTAGCTATGAATTAGACTCAAGCACTTACTCTGCCAGATGAACTTCAGAATCGGCTTATCAGTTTACATAAAAGTCCTCCTGGGATTTGTATTTGTAATGCATTGAACTTACATATTAGTTTATGGAGAATTCATTATCTTTGCAAGTTTGAGTCCTTTCAACTAGAAATTAGTATGTTGTTCCACTAATTAAAGCTTGTTTTAATGTTCGACAATAAAGTTTTGTGATCTTCATATATATAATGCACATTTCTTCCTAAGTTTATTTCTAGTTAATATGTTTTTTGCTGTCATTAATGGGATCTATTTTCCATTTTCTAATTGGTCACTATTGCAAAATAGAAAAACCATTAATTTGTTTATGCAGGTGAAACCAACTCATATTACTATTGAATATCTCAAATCTGCAAGTATCTATCTCAAGTCAGCGTAGTTAATAGTGAAATCCTAAATGCATTCTCAATAATAGTGAAAAAAAACTAGTTAACTGCTATCACCATTACTAATTTACCTTTTTCTATAAATTTTGACCAAAGCAATAAATCATAAAATAGAAAAGAAAAGAAGCAAATTATGTGGTCTGGGTGGGACCACCTCCTACATCTTAGTGGGTTGTTCCTGGTCTAGGGCTCCAGGCAAGAGGCAAGTGAGAGCTGAAATACAGCCACTGCTCTTCTCAACACACTGTGTACTGCGTGGGGTGGGGCTGCATCAACCCTGAAGAAGGAGCACTCTGTTCAAATTTTTATAAAGGCTTCAAGCCACTCACTCATATTGAGATATCTGCCTAGATAAAGCATTTTTAAATCCTATTTTTGTACAAAGGTGTTTCATAGGCTAACACGGTACTGAAAATGAAAAAACAAATTATCACTATTTTCAGGTAATATAAGCGTTCACCTAGAAAATCTAAGATAATTAATTGAAGAAGTTTTCTCATTAATAAAATAATTTTAAAAGTGATTGCATACACAATATATAGCTATTTAGATTTATAGAGACACAGATATTACAGTTGCAAAATATTTAAATATATAATTTTTAAAACATCATTCACAATAGCAACCCAAGGCACAAAACTCTCAGGAATACGTTTATTTAAGAAAAGGAGAAAGTTAAGTAAATTAAATTTTATGAGGCTATTGCAAGATATGAAAGAGGATTTGAGTAAATAAAAATTAACAGCTTTCCTTTATATCTAAAAAAATAGAAAACATTAATGAGAAAAATGGATTCTCATTCTCCTAAGCAAAAGTAAACACATTGGACATTTTTGAAAGGCCAGGGGGAAACACTGCTTTGCAGAAAGCTTTCTACCCACCTTTGCTCTTTTCTCCCAGAATCTTCCAATTCACATTCTTACAAAGGGGAGCTGGAGAGGGACCTGTAGTTTCAAGTTAGGAAGGGCCTTATTAGGAGAAAAATGTCACTCAAGTTAATGGTCTCTGAGCTGGCTCCTTGAACCAACTTTGAACTCTAACATTTAGAGAAATGAGAACCAAAACTGTTTTTCATGACAAACTTAGTGAAGCCCTGAATGATGAATGATGGGTCAGAAGTCAACCTCTTTGAGTCTCTGGGCACAAACACAGCTGCCTATGGGTCATGGAGGCCATGTGCAGAGCTCAGAGGTGGTGAGGAGGCACTTCTTATTGTTTTTGCATGGATGCCCACTTGGCACCAGCCATCTGTGGACTGCAAACGCTGAGAGGATGTGGAGATGGCACCCTCAGCAAGGGCACTGGTCTTGCTGTAATGAGTAGAAAGGCATCAGAAGGAGACATCATGGCAAGGCCACACAGACTTGGGAACAGGACCAGAGGGAGCCGGAACAAGAAAGGAAGAATGCAGATTGGCCTCTTGGCCTCAGCAGCATTGACATTTTGAGTTGGATAACTCTTTGATGGTAGAAGCAATGGAGACTGTCCTGTGCGATGTCGGAAATTTAACAACATCCCTGGCCTCTACCTACTAGATGCCAGCAGCGTGCCTACCCCAGTAGTGGCAGCCAAAAATGTCTCCAGAAATTGCCAAGTGTCCTGATGGTGGTGGGTGGGTGAGGATTGGAGGGTGGGCCAAACAACCCCAGCTAAGAACCACTGATGCAGACTGACTGAAGCTGAGAGATGGAAGCATGCATCCCTTTGGGGATTCTCAAAATAAACGAGGGAGGGGCTTTGATAAATAGCAGTTTTGATATATACACATTTATGCATAGATTCATAGTATATGTGCCTTTTCAAAATGTTAATGAAATTGTTTAGTAAGTTAGGAGAAATTAATATTTTTAATTATATATTTCTTTATATTTTTATACATTTCTTCATTTTTTTTCAGTTTTTAAAAATAAGAATACACTCCATATAGTCATTCAATCATTTTTTTGAGTGCCTCCCATATGTCAGGTGGGCTAATGAGGGCAGAGAATTGGGTTTCGGAATTCCAGGTGGGGAATGGGAGGTAGGGTGAAGAGGCAGACAGACCATAAACAATAAGCATAATAAATAATTAATTAGATATGTTAGAAAGTGGTGCCATTGGAAAAAAGAGTAGACTGCCGATGTCCTTAAAAATACAAAGAATGCAGTTTATGTGGAAGCATTTAGTCTTTCTTCTGACCACTCTGTCATCTCTCCTGCATTCTTGAGTGCCACTGACCTTTCATACAAAATGACCTTTATGTGGATTAAGGCAGTCGTGCTTCTTGTGGAGTGCCCAAAGGCCTCAGGAGGGGAATGGAGGCTCTCAGTCTATGATGATAATCAGCTTCAAACAGCTTTATCAATGGCCTTTCTAGACCTTAGAATTGACACTGACATCTATTTTCCAAAACCCTTATAGTTCTTGTGGCCATTTTATTACCTAAAGCACAGATTTGCTTGAAACTCCTGCCATGATAGCTGGAGCAAAGCTGCATAATGCCCTTCAGGAAGGCTGGAGTGCAGTTTCTGATCCTGGTTGGAACGGTTAACAATCCTGTGAGTTGTGGATGCCAGCTGGTTGCAACTTAACTTGCTGTGAACAGGGGTTATTAAATGACTCATTTAGACCTAAGCCAAACACCAAATAAATGGATAACGTATTCAAATGGTCTGGAGGAGAGGAGTGGATGATATGTTTGTTTGTGTCTCAGTGATTAGGTAGATCAGTTCTTAGGTAAATAAGGCAGCGATCATGTGTGCAGGCTTCAGGAAACGACAACAACACACCTTGTGAGCACTGAGTATAAGAGAAGGAGCCGTAATAATTCATGCAGCCAAAGCCTATCACATGCAACTAGATACTCTGTTCCATGACAGCAGCAAAATACATAGGCTTGAGGGAATTTTGCTTAAACAATTATTTCATGATCACACTTTTACTGAGAACTGACCAAAAGTCGTCTTCAGGGTCTGCCTGAAGAACATTCAACTGAAAATATTTTTTAACATTTTTGTCATGCCAAATGAAAAACTAAACTAAAATAAAACTGAGTCTTAACCTCATTGTTGCCGTTGCTGAAACCATTTTTTTTTTCAAGTGGTTTCAAGTACGTTTGCAAACCTCAGAGAGGCCAAGTCCAGCCTGTCAGTCTTTGAAAGTTTTGCAGTGGAGAGCAAGGTCCTCATAAGCATGAAGATGTCTTGTTTCTAGTAAACTCTATTTTGAAAAAAACCCACTGACTTTACTTTGAAGACTTTGCATCAGTCTCTGGAGGCAAACAGGGCAGCGGTCCAGAATTTTCTTGGCTGTCAGCACAAAGGAGGCTGCACATCAGTAACAAGGAGAAACAGCAAACTTCAGCAAAAACAAAGACCTGTCCCGGTTTTAAAAGAAAGACAGAAAGAAAGAGAAACAGGACATATGATCACCTTAGTCGGCTGCCAAGTATATGAAGTAGCTCCAAAAAGAGTGTAATGTTCCATTGTAAATGAGAAACTATAATTACAGCTAGAAAATCTGGAGAGATAAATTCCACAGAGCCAACGAGCACTAATTGCAGATGGGCAGTGGAGAATAGATGGCCTTTGAGTGAAGACGGGCCTGGAGTGACAGCCAACGTGCGGGCGGTCCTGTCAGCATCATTCCCACACCAAACCATGCTTTCGTGAGCTCTGTAAGATGGGTTACCATAGAGTACTGAAAGCCAGGGCTTCCCAGGAACATGAAAGCAAGAAGAGAGCTTTTGTGACTGTCAGATGTCTCTGAGCTGGTGAATTCAGCTTGATTTTTCTCTAACGGTTCATGTTGTCTTTAAAGGAACACCAAATGGCTGTTCCCCAGGAAACACAGGCAGCCCCTAGTACAATGGCAGAGCTAGCATGTCTGGGGGTAGAACTGGGGAACAGTGGCCTTAAACTTGTTCTGCAGATATAAGAAATCCATTTTTAGATAAGAATCAGGGTATGCACAAACTTCCCAAATATATTACCCAACCCAATGACTTGGAAATAAAAAGTCACTGTTATTTCACATTTTTGTTGTGTTTTCATTCTTGTATCTCTGTCATTGCTCTTGTTCTAAGCAATGAAATTAATTTTAGTCAAGGATGGTGGGTAGGATTGGAAACTGGTGGCTTACCTAGGGACATGCCTACTGGTTCTGTTGTAAGAAAGTAGGTTATCAAACAGGTTGGGCAGATGCCATTATCGTTTCATAACTTTAGGTAAGATAGGGTTTCTGAAAGCCACTCTTACAGCCTTCTATTTTAATGCCAAAATATTATTTAAGTTAAAGGCAAATTTCCTCTTTGTTCACAAAAGATAATGCATTTCACTAGATATTGAAGCTCTTAGAATGTTCTTTGTTTTTTCTGTGGAAAAAGCCAAAAAGAGAACTCTCCCACGGGACACGCTTTTCTTTCTACATTCATGGTACAAGAAAACATAAATAAGATAATATCATTATTATTATGTATGATGGAAGTATTATGGAACTCAATATTATTATATGTAATATAATATAATAATACAATTATGGGACTATTCTAATTTATGTTCCTAATTCAGTCAGCCTTCTCAGAGTTCTTTACGCCAAAGTGTCTTCATCTCATTATAAACAAAACAAGGTCAAAGGAGAACCTGGCAATCTCTGAACACTTAAACTAAAGTATCTAAAATATAGAGTCATTGCCCAGAAAAGAAAACCAGGACACCTAATCTTTGAAATGGGTAAGCTTGAAAAGTCTTGGAAATCACTGATTGTCTTAGTATCGTGACATAAAGAATAATTGATGGCACTGTTGATGGAATTGGGAGTGAGCATGATAAAATTGCAGGAGCCACAGCTCTGCTATAGACAGGCCTGTGGGGAAACTCAACAGAGAATCTACTGTTACTCTTATCCTCAAGAAAGTTGTTTGGTACACAAGGTCAAAGTCGGTCAAAAAATTAGGGATTGTCAAAGATACTGTCATTTTTCAACTCATAAAATTTTATTGCTAACTGAAGATGATAAAGCAAAGGTGAGAAAGTTGAGTAAAAATTTAGTAAAAATCCATATTATTTATTATCACCTTTCATAATCGCAATTCATAAATTACCCAAGATGAGGTATAGTTTGGTTTAAGGGGAAAAAAAAGTGGTTATTATCATCCTGTAGATACTTCTTGTAAACACCAGTTACATTTTCATTCAAAGTAGTTTGCATTCAAATCAACACTTACAAACTGAAGTGATTGCGCACTGGCATTCTGGAAACCAGCGTTGTCTCTCTGGCCCCCAGAGAGGCATGGAAGATCACTGCCAGTGGTGAGGGCACATGACCCTCAAGCTCCATCTGCTTTCACTTTAAAGTTTTCAGTTGGGCACCTAGTAGATTTGGTTAGCATTAACTATAACAGGGACTAGAAGAGGAGCAGTGCCTTTGATAGAGAAGATAAGATTGATTTTTAAGTTGCCATTGAGACCTCTATGGGGAAATGTCCAGTGGGCCTTCAGAACTGCAAGAGGGCTTAGCCCTCCTGACTCTTCTTACCACTACAATTTCTTCTTCTGAGTCCCTCTCTCTGACTCCTCAATCATGACTCACCCTGGAAATACAAAAATTCCATAACATTAATTTTGATCATCTCATGGATGACCAAAATTATTTCAAGTCAGACCACCTAAAACTTTGCCTATAATTGATAATAATCTTTCTGGCAGTTTTTATATGATGTACTTAAAATATTAAAAATGTTAATTTTATTTATTTAGCAAAGTCAAATGTTAAAAAGATTCCCCATATGATATATTCATTAACCAAAGAAAAAAAACCCACTGTTGGGTCATGAGTCACCAGAAAGGCTCTAGTTAATTCAAAATTGCTATCTCAGTTCTTTCTTCCCTCTTCTCTCTCTCTGTCTCCCTGTCCTTCTCTCTTAAATGTGTATCTATATCTATATATTTAACTATCTGTAAAACTGATGACATACAAATATATTCCCACAAATACTATTGTCCCATGAAATCAATCACATGCCTTCATTAAATTATTTAAGCAATAATTTGGAAAAGATATTATTTCTTTTGCGGTGGGCCTTCTTAAAATAACAAGTGAATTTAGATAATAGCACCAGGAAGTTGAAGGCAGTAGATTTGTAGTGGAGTTGAGTTGAACTTTCTTTAGCTAAAAGTATTTTCACTCTGTAACAAAATTCCTTATTGGGTTCTATGAAGTGACCTGCAATTTCACTTCCTGGATGAGAATAGCTCAACTTTTAAAATTAACTTACTAAATATGCAGCACAAAGCACTCTCTATATATAATATAAGCAAATTTGAGCTATAACAAAGGCTTCATTATGTAGGCTGATTTTAGAGGATTTTTAGCTCCAGGGGACATTAGAGATTTTGAGTACTTTTAAGCTATGTGGCATCACTGTCCTCAAATTTAATTTTCTGAGAATCATAGACCTGAAAGGAATTCACTAATTCACTTTTTCTAATTAGAATTGGACTCTATTCCTTTGTTGTAGACATTTATATTTAATTATATGAATAGTTGATAAATACACCATTTCAAAGCACTACAGAATGAATCATCTGCTTCTTGCTCGTCCTTCTAGAATCTTACCTGATGATAGCATCATTTTTGAAATACACAAGCTCCTTTTAGCATTGTTATACACTGTAATATTCTCCAAATTGCAAAGACCCTTCCACACACATGCCTTTTTTTTTTTTTTTTTTTTTTTTTTGCATTTTGGAAAACTCCAACATAGTCGTTCACAACAGAGACAACATAAAAACCTGAAAGCTCTTCTAATGCATACCCTCCAAACTGTCTAAGTCCCCACCCACTTCTCTAGGACTGGGTTCAGTCTCCTTGTAAATTGTTCAGCCATTGAGACTTCCATCCATTCCCTTGGGTCTTTACCTCTGGCTGTGTTGTGTAGTTTAACACACTTTACTCTTCAAAAACTTCCCCTGACATTCAGCCCAAATGTTTTTTAGTCTCCCTGACAATTAATACTCCCCATGACTGACCTTTGTGGAAGTACACTAAACCATCCCTTTCTCTCCTGAGTGCTAACACTCTTTCCACCCCGGGATCCCTCCCCTAACTCTTAGATATCAGTGAAAATATTAAAGTGCACTCAGGATACACATTTCATTGCAGCTCAGCTCTTTGATGATAACAGTTCTTAACCTTCAGAAACCAATTCGATCATTGATCCATTTGTTCAACAAATATTTTTTGAGCACCTACTGTGTACTCAGCATCGTGCTAAGCACTATACCTAAGGGACATAGGCCCTGTCGTCCATCCTCATTTACACATTCAAATTCCACGATTGTTGTCTGTCATGTAGTAACAGACTCAGCATGAATATCATTTTTTCCTTTACTCTAAACTTGATAATGTCTTCCTGTAACAAGTATTATATCTTAAACTGTGAACAAAACTAGGCAATTTTAACTCATTTGGTGCAAGGCTATGGCATTTTGAATAATTTACTCCAGAGATCAAAGATGCCTTTTGTTCTCTTGTCTGAATATAAACTGTTGCATTCTTTATGACCAACATGTGAAGACGAATTTTTTTGGTATAGCTTTCATTATGAGGGTATGGAAAGTCAGAAGGAATTATTTTAAAATCACTGTCCTAATTTCTCTGACTGCCTTTATAATAATAGGTGCAATTAAAGTCCTTAAAGTGTATTCTTTAAACAGAGTTTCTCAAAATGGAAAAATAAAAAGGCCTAAAATCAAAGAAAACTGTTCAAAGTAAGAGGATGCAGTCCAGGAATTCTTACCAATGTATTATTTTTCTCTGCTACTTCCATTTCATTTCATTAGCTGTAGAATCACCTTAGAAAAAGGAATTTTGATATTCTTATTTAAGTATGAGAGAATCCATCCATCTTTTTCCGAGGTTAACCCTTTAGTTTTTGCCCTTGATCCCAAAGTTCCTTGTCTTCTGTGGCCCTGATCATAATTATTTGTTGTCCTGTAGCTCTAACAGCACCCAAAAAAGCTCATCAACATGACCAAAGCAAGTCTCATTACCCCTTGCTCTTCCTAACTCCTTTGGTTTGATGGCAGCTGCATCTACCAGGTACTCCAATTAAAACTTGTGGATTATCTTTAACTATTTTCTTTCCTCATTTCACCCATCATCAAGTTGTATAGATTTTTACTGCCACATTTTTTCTTAATTTGGAGCCACTGTTTAAGTTGAGGACTTAATCATACAGTTATGCTCAAATATCAGGTAGGCTTGTATATAAGCAAAGAGTTTCAACTGTCATGTGAGTCATAGGTTTTAGGCAAGAAAGTAAAATTTTTACAGCTCACATTAATTAAATGCAATGCTGGGTGTACACACAAGGTTTTTCATAACTGTGTTCCAACTATTCCTCCAAATGTTAATAACTGTTTCTTAAAAACATGTTTCATGGTCAAACAAAGTAGAAAATGCTAGGTTACAAAAGGTTTCTCCTTTTTCTATTTTTTTAAATTGTGGTTGAATACATCTCATAAAATGTACCATCTTAGCAATTTTAAGTGTCCAGTTCAATGGCATTAAGCACTTTCACACTGTTGTGCAAACATCCCTCTAACCAGCTCCAGAATATTTTCATCTCCCCAAAGCAAAACTCTGTACCCCTTTAACAATAACTCCCCATCACTTCCTTCCCCTGGCTCCTGGGAAACATCATTTTACTTTCCATCCCCGTGAATTTTACTACTGTAGGTACCTCATGCAGGTGGAATTATACAATATAATGACTGGCTTATTTCACTTAGCAGAATGTTTTCAAGGATCATCCATGTTGTAGCACGTGTCAGGATTTCCTTCCTTTTTAAGGCCGTATGTGTCTGCCACACTTTGCTTATTCATTCATTCATCAAAGGACACGTGGGTTGCTTCTACCTTTCAGCTATTGTGAATAATGTTGCTATGAACATGGGTGTACACGTATCTGTGCGAGTCCCGGCCTCCAATTCTTTTGGATATATACCCAGAAGTGGACTTGATGGATCCTATGGTGATTCTATTTTTAGTTTTTTGATGACCCACCTTACTAAAAACTGATTTATTTATTGTGGAATCTTTTAATCCACATGCATGCATTGTAATTTCCTGGAAAGATGATTACTAGAGGCAGTATTTCTTCAACTTTATTTCACTGTGAAGCCTTTCAATTCACAAGTAAAACTACATGGAGGGATGACATTAGGAAAAGAAAAAGCCAAATCTGACCAAAATATAAAGTGGGTGCAGGGATAAGTGACTATGTTTGCCATCCAGGAACTCCACAGACCTTCCCACTCTCTTTACACAGATATCCCCTTCATTGTTTTAAGCATAAATACATCCTACGAGAGATCTATGCACTATTTGAATTTATCCAATACTGAAAGAAAGATTTTTGTTCATAAATCAGTAAGGTAAAGGCATTTGAAACAAAGAAAAAGGGACAAAAAGCCATAAAAGAGAAAGGAGAAGGAAAGGAGTACATATGTGTAAAGCACTTAGAGTGCTTCTTGACAGATAGTAAGCACTATATTTGTGCTAAGTAAAAGAAAGAAAAACTGTTTAAACAAAAATATTTTTTAAAACAACAGAAATGATGGGGACACATATTTTAGGCTCCTTCACTTCTGATGCAGGGCAGGAAAGAGCCAATTGCTTTCCACTCCTGAAAAGGCTGGAGAAAAACAGCTGTACTCAAAGACAATTGTTTGTACCTCACAGTACTTGCTAGCATTGAAGCTGTTTTTGATGAATCTCCATAGTGTCTGGAAATAAAATCATTTCCTTCATGGTTCTGTAGACTTTTACAAGTATTTAGAAAGATCGAAAAGGAGAAAGGAAGTGTTGGAATTTTAATTAGCTACTTCATCCCCCTCAATATGGAAAGAATAAATGTTGCATCAGTAACAAGATTATGTATTTCTACTGACCTAAATGCAACCATCTCAGTTATAATTCTTTCTCTCTTCTGTACACAAATTCACCTCTTTTGGATCATTAATCAAAACCACCTGGTAACATAAAACAAATTGGACAATTAAAGAAATACTACTAACTCAAACACGTTAAGACCAGAGCACGTGCTGCCTAAAGATGCCTCATCCTCTCCGCCAATGTGCAGGGGAATCTGCCAGTAAGAATCAAACAAAATGCCCTTTATTAGCTTTCATCATCACAACACTTAATCATACAAGTAGTGCTAAATTTCTACAGCAGAATAAAAGAAACAGTGAGAGACATGAGCTTCAGAAGCCAGTATATCCTACAAAAATGATATATTTTAACATTAAGGTGTTAACATTATTTGCATTTTTCTGTATATCTATGCACTTAACAATTTCAAAGCATATGATGTTAAGTTATCAGTAAAAGTTACTCCTGTAGAACAAATATCTGGACATTCACAACTAAGACACAGATGTTTATACAATGTTATGTATCATTTCCCAAACATGTTATCAATTATTTGAAATATACTTAACAGAAAACATACAGCAAATAAAACACCATGAAAGCAAACATGTTTTCTGAATAACTACATTTGTTTGACAAATCATGAATCCCCACAAGATCTGGCCAAGCGATGACAAATTATCAACGGACTGAATGGCAAGACTGACATTGTTTTCACAAAAGCAATATTCCAGGAGAGAGAAAACGGATTCAGTAAAGCGAGTTTGTACAAATCCATGTGCGGTAGCAGGGAGGAAGGCAAAGCCTGGGATCAGAGGAATCACGATGGTTAGATCTGTGACATAAATGAGAAATTGGCTATTGCCTCTCTAATGTTACATCCTATTTTTCATAAAAGCCATGACATTAGGCTGTTGACTCTTAAGCTGCCACATCAACTGAAGTTACTTTTGTTTCAAGCCTCTCCATCGCAATTCTTGTCATTTGAGAAACAACAAAAGGACTTGCAGGTGTCTGTAAGTTTCCCTTAGCTTCAAACTACGGAGATAGAACCTTCCATTCCAAATCAGAGCCCTACTTAGCCACACATGGAACATATTACATGCCTCACCAATGAAATAAGTAAAGTCGTCAGTTTTTTTTTTTTTTGGCTCTTTTAAACAGAGTGTATATGGAAGGTCAAGACATCCTTAATGTGCTAATAACTCTGAGCCATCTTTAATCACCTATTGGAAGCTTTCATTTCATTCATTTATTCACAAAATATTTATGAAGCAACTATTATGTACCAGGCACAAGTCTAGAAGCTAGGGCTATAGCATTGGGAAAAAGAACAGACTAAAATCACTGCATTCATATTCTCTGGTGAGTAGAGGAAGTGCCAGACAACATGCAAGACAGATTACAGGCACAGTATGTGATGTACCGAAAAATGATGAAAAATGAGGTAAGAGAACAGAACAGGAGAGGTGGGAAGAGTTGCCACGTCAAATAGGATGGCCAGGGAAATAGCGAGTACAAGGTCCCTGAGGCCTAAGTGCATTGCTGTTCAGTTACCAGCAAGAAGGCCCAAGTGGCTGGAGCTGAATGAGGGGAGACAAGTAGGTGAAGAAGTCAGAAATGAGGGAGTGAAAGTGAGGGGCAAATATTCTAGAGCCATATAAGCCTCTGCATCATCACTCCAGCCCTCTGCATATTTGTGCTTCCTGGGATGCCATTCACACAGACCTTAGAAGCCTGTGGTTCTACCAGCCATTATATTTGGTCATTTTCTAATTGTGGCAAATAAAGTCATTGTGATCCTGCATGTCTGTGGAAGCACCTTGGAGAGTATAAAAGGTAAAGAAAACATCATATTTTACTCAGAAATAATCACAATTTACGTCCTCTCCTGAAATTGCCCTTATCACGCATAGTACCTGATCCACAGGTCATATAAAGGCCACCTTGAAATAGCAGTTTTAATCATCTGCTCTTTGACTTAAATTGCAATGTGATTATCAGAGCTAAATCCCCACTTTGTTATTTTACCTACACATCAATATAACCAGTTTAAATTCCTAAGTATCCTCTCTTGAAATTGGAAAATGACTATTTGATGTGGAACAACATCAACAGGTGATTAGACCAGCCAGTTTGGTCAATGGAGATAAGCAATTGAAGTTGAGACTTTCAGCTAGCACAGCTGTGGAAATACCCTGTGTAAACAAGGTCACACCAGACCCACACTCTTCTGCCAATACACATGGCCACAGTAAATTGGTCCAAGAGCCATCTCATTCTGGCCCTTTTCCAACCCAGTGATGAATCCGTTTATCAAAATCACTGTCAGGTAAATGTTGTAAGACCTTGGCCAGAGTATTCCTTAAACTATAAGAGATGGAACACTTTGTAATGTATTTTCAAATTGAAAGTCGCTTATCCTCTTAGCGCTCCAAGAAGGTTTATGAACCAAATGCATGCTAAGAAATATTTTGAAAAGAACCAGTTAAGGTTTAGATGGAAAGCTTCAATGTAGTGGACTGTGGTATACTACCAATTCTATCTAAAATAGGTTTACAGAATTAAAAGTTTATGGTCTTATTTACTCAGAAAAAAAATAAAAAAATAAAAAGCAAAGCTAAAGTACTGGAAATGGGATGCAGTAAAACTCTAGGATTTCATCCAACTATTGCTTGGAAATGAAAATTCCCTAATGGGAATAGGTCTTTGAAATGGGACATCTGGGTTTTACTAAGTGGGTAATTAAAAGTTTGAAATCTTGCCTGGAAAACGGGACAAAAGCTCAAATTACCAAGATAGGTGAGACATTCCCCACCGCCTTTATCCTAGGAATGGCAGGGGTCCAGGTTCTAACAAAGCGAGGCAGAGAATGTGTGGAGTGTTAAACCACCCAAGGACAAAGGGGACTTTGGAATCTGATTTCTAGGGGATATTTGTCAGAAAACATGCTATACTCCCCGCAGCTAATGAAACATCCTGTGTAACAAATCCAGCACGGAGTGACTAACGCTCAGCCAGGTAAATCATCATCTTTAAATGTGCTCTGCTCTTTCCCCACTCATAATCAAGACAGGCTTTTCCACGCAAATGGCCAGGCACCAGCTCAGAATGAAAGTCAGTATCTACCAGTTCACCTGGGTGACCTCCTAAAGCTTATAGGTGAACCTCAGAGACTTCAGATTCAAATAGAGGCAGTCTAGCTATACTTCATTCTGAGAATAAATAAGATAATAGATTGGAACAGTGAACGTAGACAAGAATATGGATAAATAAATATAGACTTTGGTTGGCCTTCCCAAACCAGCTTATATAGGGCTTCTCATATTATATATAGCTTGCTTAATTTTTCTGTGAACTTTTTGTTTAAAGAACACTGCACAAAGCTTCTAGCTGGATTGAGGGATTACTGTAATAGTAATATAAGAATGCTCAGGAAAAATTGTTACTGTATCGTCATGTTTCAGGCTGTGTCTCATAATAATGACATTCTACTCTGCAGGTTATACCATCCATTGGGACAGTTTGTAATATCACCTGACAGTTAACATCAGTATCTTTAGAGGTTTTGCATCACAATCCTCCAGGAGGCCATGAAGAATCATGGTTCAAAGCTTGAAATATTTCACTGCTTACACAATTTATAAAATAGTAGAGAAAGTGTAAAGTACAATATTATGGTAGAAATCTGAGCATTGTGCCATGCTAAGAAAATGTTTAGTTAGTTAGTAAGTGTAGATTAGTTTAATTTGGCACCCAAAGTAAGAATTTCCCAAGGCTAAGCACTAATGCACAACATTAGTGCTTCACAATTAGAATTCAGATATGTTCAGCATTTGTCGTAATGTTGCAAATCTCCTCCTAGGAAAAAAAAAAATTTTTGTCAATCAGGTCTATTTCAGTCTCATAGAAAATTCACACAATGGTTCCTCCCACAGACTAAAGAAGGTGCATGCAGCCCGGAAAAACAAATTAGAAAGCAACGTAAAAGGACTTTCCAAGTTTGATCTTGTTCGCTCTCCTGTTAGTGACATTGAGCAACCTGCTGAAGCTCTCTGGGCTTCAGTTTTTCCTTGCACAGGAATAACAATGCGGCTACTTTTGTTATAGTAGTATTAAGATCTTGATTACAAGTTGTTCAATTTTTTAACAAAAGGCAACAAATCATATCAATAGGTCAAGGCTACAATACCCCTTTACTCATCTGCCTACCTGAGCCTCACGCCCTAATTCTATTTTTTAGGCCAGAAGATTTGGCAGGTACTTAGGCAAGAACAAACATCTTCTTCCTTATTTTCAGGTCTCTCAGAACACCCCAAGCATCATACTAGCTAGGCTATGTCTGCTGACCTAGCACTTCATTGAACCATCTTTGAACTCAGGCTCTGACTAGGAGCATTTAAATAGAGGACGGGATAATAGGAAGGTGACATACCCGTCTCCTTTCCAAATGCCCATGCCAACTGTGGATAACTGAGGGAGCACATCTAGAGTCTGCTGGTCACTACACTCGCACAGAGGATACTGACATAGGCCACCACCTCATCAGCAATCCCAGGGGGCATCATATCCTTAGGCCCTGGGCCCGTTACCCCACCACCATCACCACTATCAACACCAGCCCCTTGTTTCATCACAGTGCCCTTCTTTTTTTTTTCAGATGGAGTCTCGCTCTGTCGCCCAGGCTGGAGTGCAGTGGCGCGATCTCTGCTCACTGCAAGCTCCGCCTCCTAGATTCACACCATTCTCCTGCCTCAGCTTCCCCAGTAGCTGGGACTATAGGCGCCCACCACCACACCCAGCTAATTTTTTTGTATTTTTAGTAGAGACGGGGTTTCACTGTGTTAGCCAGGATGATCTCGATCTCCTGACCTCGTGATCCGCCCGCCTCGGCCTCCCAAAGTGCTGGGATTACAGGCGTGAGCCACCGCGCCTGGCCCACAGTGCCCTTCTTACTCTCTCTTTAAATAGTCTAGTAGATTACAAGGCTTCAAGGTCAAGAGCAGAGAGTCTGGTAAATTTTGACTTAGGGATTTTGGCTGGACCAAGATGATATTTAGTTGTGCCCTCTTTGCACTAATTTTTTATTCACCTACCTCTATGCTCACACACAACTTAAAAATAAGATAGGGCAGAAAATGAGGACTTATACTTTCAAATTGTAGTATCTTGATGTCATATCTTCACCACCTCAGATGCATATTAAGGATAAAACCTAGAATAAAAACTGAATCACCAAAGAATTCCATTCCTTTGCTTATTCTGACCTTTCGCTTGAATACGTCAACATGTAGCTTTTGCATCTAGTTGTACAACTCTTGCATAGTGTCTCAGATTCTGCATTTCTCCAGTATCCATATTACTAAAGTGAGAAATTTTGTAACAGAATAAAATTGGTGCTACTTTTTTCTCCTCTATGGAAGGTATCTAAAATGAGACAGGTAATTTTTGTTTTTAAGAAAAGTAACCAACACATAACTTCTTACCGGATGCTTAAAATTACCCTAACTAGACCCTGAATATGACATCTTGAAATAAATATTCCAATAAGTAAATATCATACATGGAAAAACTATGAAAAATCAGCAGACAAAAAAATAATTTGTCTCATAAAACTTAGTATTGAAGTCTGGATATACTTTTGAGGTTTAAAAGACTTCAGAGTTGAAGCATGGCGTAAAATACAAGAAAAACATAAATAAACCTTTTAAGTATAATATGTTTTTTCCCAAACATGACAGTTACAGTAAGTAAATAAAATAATCATAAAATATCAAAGCACTAAATATATTTCCAACATGCACAAATAATCTACATGAGGGTAGGGTCGCTGAGACCCCACGATCCTGCTGTGAAATCCTGGCGAACTATGACTGTAGTCAACCCCCCACAATTCCAAACATGACAACACAAATGCTGAAGACTGTGTGAATTGTTTCATCACTAGACCTCGGAATTTAAAGTCCTTGAGGAAATTCAAAAGTCAGCCTAGAATTCTGTTCTTCCTAATTCAGGAATGGGTGGCTTTTGGGTTTTCTCTGTTTTTATTCATGATAAATTTCCAAAGGCACCCATGGCACTGTGTTCATGCTGCCTCATGTAACCAAGAGAACTGTGATGTCTGTAAAAGATCCCTGGAGTGTTCTCTCCAGAAGAGTTTGTCCAAGTTCACAAATTCTCTCTTGTACTTCTGTAAATATCAGGACGAGGTAAACATGAAGAAAGAAAAAAAGTCACCAGCATAGTGAAAGCATGATAATGAGGAAAAATAGACTGGAATTAAGAAGAGAGAAGTTTTAGCTTAAATATCAAGGGAGGAAAAAAAAAGGATATATTGATAATAAACCCACCGGATTAGTGCACTGAATGATTTTTAAAATAAATAATGATCTTAAAACCATTTAAAACTGCATGTTCCTGGAAAAAAAAATGCAGAAGACCTTTAAAAGTTCAAGGTTACAAAAGCTCCTGCAGGAGAATGCAGTTCTTGATTATTTACATATTTTTATTATTTAGCATTTTCTGAGATATTCTCTGAAACTAAAAATAGCTCATATTTACATAGTTTTATTTGCCAGACACTGTTCTAAGCACTTTAGACACTTTCACTCATTTTATCCCCACAACAACTCTGTGAAGTTATTACTGTTATCTCCATTTTACAGATGAGGAAACTGAGGCACCAAGAAACAAAGTAACTTGCCCAAAGCCACACTGTGATTGAGCAGTGAACCCCAGGACTCCAGAATGAATACTCTATCTGCTCACTCTGTAGAGAGATTTGTAGAGCGTGCATTTGGTTTAAAATACCAAGTTTATATACCTAATTCTTCCTTCAGCAATTGTAGTTATATATAACCAAATGAGGCAAAGTTGTGCAATAGGTGAAATTTGTCCACTTTGTACCTGTCTGGGGCCTTCTTCTGAGCCCCGTGCCTCCTGACAGTGCGCCTACCACAGCCTTTGGTAACCAGGATTCTCATGTTTTTTTCTACCTTCCATATTAAAAAAAAAAAAAATGCTGTCAGTTGTTAAAATGATTTAACAAATATTCCAATGAAGGACAAGTGGCCAGAGCTTCTTAATATAATCCGTGCACAAAAAGTATTTATTGAATGACTATGGACTGGAAGAGTACTGTATCTTACTGACTTCATGGCACCAAAAGTTCTAAGACTCAACAGCAGATGGGTTTAAAACCTTTACATTGATTCTTGCATAACTAAAGCAATAACTTAAGAGTCGTGTGGCAAGCTGCTCTCACTTGCTGATGCTCAAGTTAGTTGTAATTAAATGAGAGAGGGTGGGGGAGAGGGAGAGACATGGGAAGAGGGCATGGGTGGTTGTGCAGAAGATTAAAACACAGATTAATGTACCCTATGAATGGGGTGGGGGTGGAAGTGGAAGCAATTTCCAGAACGGGGAGTGGGAAGAGTAAGAAAAGTCAATTGTACATGTGGCATTTCAACACCGCAGCATTCCACCAAAACCGAGAGCCAGCTCAGCAGGGAACATCTGCCAGTTGCTTCCAAATGAAGGGGAATCATTCTTCCAATGAGAAAATAGTGATGAAGGATCGTCTTGGACTGGGAATAAAACTGAATTTTTACAGAGCCAACATCAGGCTTATTTTTTAAAATATTCCCACAACATTTAGATGTGCAGCGAGAAAAAGAGAAGAAGGAATCCACTTCCCCGGAATTGAAAGCATATCGGAAAAAGAGTTTAGTTAAGCATGTGCCTAATTTAAAGTACAGAAGTTTTATCAGGCTGAACCATATAAAGCTGTCATTTTTGTAAATCAAAAATGGTCAGATAGAGGCGATTTTACATGGTTCAACCTAAAAGAATTGAAGCAGTATTAATCAATATGTAGCTGTAAATCACAGTAATACCTAATCATTGTAAGCTGTGTTTTGTTCATAAAATAATTTTGCCATTGTCACACAGCTGGTAAATGGAAAGCTTTCTAGCTGGTGAGGTCTCCTATCATTAGCCCACATGTAGCTTCCATAGCACATTTATTCATTCAGCAAATATAGTTGAACGTTTACCATGTGTCATATACTGTGCTGAAGATCATTTTTTTAATGTGGACGAATTGCCTACTATTTCTTGCATAGCCTTTGGCCTCTAAGCTATTCACTGGGAAGCCTAGTGTGTTTTCAGTGTGAGTCAGATCAAAACTGTAAGGGGAGGGACAGGGTTGGTAAGAAGAAATGATAAAGAGGAGTTGCAAGCCTCACAATGACTTTATCTGTTTTTTCATATAAACACATCTCTAGAGGAAGGCATTTTAGACACCAAGGCCAGCCAGGAAAGGGAGCCAGCCTGGCCTGGAGCAGCTAACTACAAAGAAGCCTACGCAGCCCTGCCTCCCAGTCACAGCCCACTGTGCCCACATGAGGCCCACCCACAGGCAGGCAGAGCAGGTATGCAAGCAGCATCAGCATCGCCTGGGCATTCTTTAGAAATGTCTATTCTCAAGTCCCACCACAGCCCCACAGAATCATAAGCCCTGGGGGTGGAGCCCAGCAATCTGAGTTTTAACAAGTCCTCCTAGTGATTGGATGCACACATTAGTCTGAAGAACACTGCTTTAGGGAAGAGGAAGGCCGTGCAGGGATTAAGAAGGTTGAGGGCATGCGGGAACCCAAATGGTAACAAAAGAATCAAGGCAGCCCGGAAATACAAATCCTGTTGAATTTCACATTTTCATATGAAAATATCAAGTTGTTTTTTACTAGGCATTGAATCACATGAAAACTTAAACCACAGATAATACCAATTACTAACACACTGAGGAATTACAATGTTCCAGATTATTGGTTAAGTTCTCCACACAGATTTCATTTACTCCATCAAGAAACCTTATAATGCAACTATTTAACAAATAAAAAAATAGATAAGAAGTGAAATAACGGGTGGGTTAAATAACTTTCCATTTTCCATGCATTTAGCAAGTCGTGGGACCTAATTCAAAGTGAGGCAGTCTGATTTCGCTCAGCTATCTGCTACATTTCACAGGACATTCTAACACATCGTATCTCTTATTCCCAGCATGAAAACATGCCCATTCTCCATTCATTCTTCATTCAAAGTACTGTAGCTCCCACAACAAGGTGAGAGAAAAAAACGATGTATACTCTTTGCTGAGTTCCCACCCAAACCAAATACATTTTAGTGTTGGGAAAAGCATCCATCAGAGAACAAAGGATGTAGCTCCACCTAGTGGATAAATGTCCCCATTTATTTCAAATCGCCTTCTGTTTGTGCAAGAGCACAGTAATGAAAACAGAACCTAGTCCTGACAAATCACTACAAAGCTAGCAACCCCAGCTACAAGCAGAGACTTTGTTAGAAGTGAGCTCAGCTGTATTCCTCTTGGTCAAGACCCTATTTTGTGAGCTGTATGTGCAACAGCCCATTTTAGAGTATCACAAGAAGGACACACCCAGCTAGGAACTCTGTTATCCCCTCAATCTCTCTATGCACTGCTTTCTACCTCTGTAAATGCAGACAATACAATCTGACTTCTCTGAGTCCTGCTGGTAGGAATAGCAAAGAAGATTATGCTTGCAAATAAGAAATGTTAATTCTGCTTAACTACAACAAATCCCAGTTAGGCTTCATGGGATAAGATATACCTTTCATTCTCTACACACCCTTCTGAGAAAAGAAGTACAAGAGGGCAGGTGGGAAAAATGGAGCTCAAGAAAGTAAAGCAATTTGCCTTTGTTTATTTAGTGACAGGTAAACAGCTGACAGGTTTTTCTTTTACTGGCTTTATCTGACTCTGGATCCAGATCCATGATGAAATGAAGCCATTGCCCCAGGACTATGCTCCAGGGGTCATTCAGAATGGTCTAAGGAAAATTTCAACTTCCTGTGATTCTGCAATGGCCCTAAACAGATATAACTGAAATCTGCTTTAACTAGCCACAGCAGCAACATTGCCCAACATGTAGGAAATATTTGCTATATGTCAATGGGCTTCTATGTTCATTGAAGCTCAGGAGGCGTTGCATTGAATGAAATAAAGTCTGTTCACTGAAGTCCAGACCCTCATATGCTATTTAAATGAAGGCTCTCCAAAAGAAACATCTGGTCCACTCTATTCCCTAAATTATTTGGCCAAGGATCCTTTCTTTCTTTTTTTGGTAGAGCACCCAGTAAGACTGGTGTTCAGCGGGATATGCGATGGGAAACCCTGGCCTAGGGTGGATGGTGTGCTTATCACCAACCCTGCCCTCCCAGTGCACACCTTAAAATGATGTGCCAAAACAGGCCATTTCACATCAACATGGTAACTCTGGTAACCAGCATTTAAGATATTCAGGTCTTTCAAAATAAAATATTTTTGAGAAAAGTGAAATATTAATTGTAATTTTCCAGTATAATTCCACGTAGTTGTTTCTCAGTGGCTAGCTCCATCCCTTTCAGGGCTTCATAGACAGGACAGAACAGTCTCTTAGTCTATCTCCTCCTCAACACATGCCTCTAAGTCTGAGTGTTCTGCCCTCCAACCTCTCCACAGTTCTGGTGGCTCCCTCCCATCTCCTGTGTCTGATTCTTCCTTCCAGCAATGAAGGATGCATTCTGCTGTGTGGCCAACATAGACTCTGGGAATTCAAGGAGACACAAGACACAGCCTCTGCTCCCAAGGAGCTTAGATTCTTATCTCTGGGATTGCTCATATCTGCTCAGATGCCTGGCTTTATTCCCTGACTCTAAGGACTGAGGATCGTTAGTGGGGTTCTCCTGCCCCCTGCAGCAGCACTCAGTGGCCCTGCGTTGGCTCTGCTCTGGATTTTCCCATGACTTCCCAGCACACCCACAGCTGCCACCTCTGCCCGGCTGTTTCACTGAGTAGGGCTGGGGCTGCTGCTGGAGCTGCACATGGTGATTTTTGCTGTATTTTCCACTGCACAGGCTGCTTGCTCCTAAAATGGTAAAGGCTGCTTCTACTACACAACTTTGCAAAAACAGGTGAAAGAGAGAGGAGATGGGAGAGAGAAAGAGGCCCCGGTCACTGCATGCTATCGGTTCTGGGAAGCCAGGAGACAAAGAGCTGTCACCCAGTCCTCCATGTTTCACAAGGGGACTCTGAACAGTGTCGAAGAGCAGCTGCAGTGCCAGCCTAACTGTAGCGCTTCCTGGGAGTACATATGAGTCAATATAAACAGGTTCCAACATTTTTCATCTTCCCTATGGTATCTAAAGGCAGTGCTCCTCACGGCCTTTCCATGCCCAGCTCAGGAGGCCACCAGCTCACTTGGAAGCCCTATACTGGGGACCACCTTTCATTAATAGAGTTTATGCTTATCCTTGCAGCTCTCCCTGCTCCCACTCAAACAGGATTTTCTTTTATCACTCTAATTTCAAAATTACACCCAGGAGAGAGGGAAGGAGATTCTACTCCTCATTTCCTCCCTTCTGAGCTGCATGGTCCCCTTTTCTCCAGGCTCAGAGGCCATTTAATACAATTGTAGGCTTGCCCAGGAACAGAACCACCATTTATCATCTCACTTCTAGGAGAAATGATGATGCCTGGAGCACAGATACAGGCACCAGGGAAAGCAAGCCTATTTGATAATCGAAGGGATAAATCCAAGGGTCACTCCACCTTCTGATATAAAAGCTTTAGAAATGAAAGTTTATGCATTGGGGACTTCTTTTATTTAGGCTTTGGCTGACTGATCCTCCAAACCCATCAAAAATAAAAGAGCAAAGTCAGTCTGAAAGTAATCTTTGTTCCATATAACTTAAGATGAGACAGGGGAGGAGAGGGAAACTACAGTCCCCAGGCAATAGGTAGCAGGGAGTCCCCTGCCAAAAGGTGCAGAAGTTGATCTCTGACATCTTGGACAACTAATGGCTCCCATCTTGCTCATTATAAGAGTTGGACCTTATCCTGTAAATCAGGATAGGAGGCAGTGGCAGCTTCGCATCCTGCTTTGAAAGGATGCTGACTCCTACCATAGATCATCTGGAAAACTCCAATCTAAATTCTAGGGGAAAAAGAGATGCTGAAACCTCAGCTTTTTTCCTCTATTATTATCCACATAATAAACACTATTATTATTTATATATTATTTCTAGAAATAATATTTATATACAAATATATAATATATGTAACATATATTTGTGTATATGTTATTTCTAGAAATAATATACAAATTTATATAAATACTATAAATTATATATTATTTTATAATATAAATATATATTATTTATATTTATAGTATTTATTATGTGTATGGAGATAAACACACTTCAATGAATATTAGCAGCCCATTGCACTTAGGAATAAACATCAAACTCTAAAGTTGACCTGAAGGCCCTACCTGAGCCCACATTTCCTCCTGGTCTCCCCAGCTCATGTCATATCAATCTCCATGCCTGCTGCTCTGGTCCTTTTTCAGACCCTCTCAGGTGCCATGCTACTTCCTGCCTCAAGGCCTTCATGCAGGTGTTCCCTCTGCCTGGAATTAATGCCCAGCTCAAATGTCACTTCCTCAAGGACTCCTGCCCTTACCCTAGACCTAGGTTGGACCCCATCACTCACTTCCATCATATATTTCCATAGCCTCTTTTGCCTCCTAGTACTTTTCATAATTGAAATTAAATAATTTATTGGATCATTGGTTGATTCATGCCTCTCTCCTCCCACTCAACTAGCAGAAAGAAGTGTGGAGGCAGCCAATTATTATTTGTAAAATGAAGGAAAGAAGAAACCATAGAGTTTAAAAACAAATGTTAAAGCAACCTCTCTGAGGTCACAGCTTCTGTAGAGAGAAGATATTGCATAGAGTCAAGGACATAAACTCAAGCCAGGATGCCTGGATTCTCGTCTTTGCTCTGCCACTTACCAATTGTGTGACTTTGGGGAATTTGCATGAACTCACTCTTTCTCAAATTGCTTTTTTCTAGAAATGATCTATTTGTGTTATTTAACCTCCAAGCTCTGTTATTTTTGCTTTTTGTTTTATTAAGCTTATGCAGGTGGTAGGCTGCCTGAGGCCATGGTCTGCTTAGACTAAATCGTATCTTTTACTGGGCCTGGCTGAACTCTCTGTCTATGGGTCTGGGGTTAGGGATTTCATTTCATTTCCTTAAAATGAAGTGTAGGTGAACACTGTTCATTCAATGACCATGTGATGTTTTGTATAAAGCTGATGTCTACGGATGGTGGCCATTTGAAGTGTTTTGACATGTACCTATTATTTTCATTGCCAAAACAGTGTCCACAACATGATCTTCATGGGGTGGAGATTATGGATTTTATTGTAAAACAATGTTATCTTGGAGTGGTGTCTCATTTTTCTTTACTTTCCTTGATATTTCCCTTCTTCCTAAACTGAGGAAGTTACATCACATAGGCTCTCACCCTCAGCAGGATAGTTTCCAAATGGTTCATGTGGTGTGATGAAGATGTATATATAAATGCACACACACAAATTTATACATATACACACATAAACACACATACATATATGCATATTCATATGTCACCTCACCTTATTTTGCCCTGAAAACTTAATTTACCAGAAAGCACCCTTAATCTGTTGAAAGGACCACTCAACATAATCATAATCAGAAGAATCCAAATTCTGACACTGCAATCGCCCAAACTGGATTTTTTCCTAAATTCTAATACTCAGGTTTCTTTGTGATGAGTCATATTTACCCAAGATACACAATGGCAGGTGAAAAAAGGCTGAGAGAGTAAGTGAAGCTCAGCATTATGATGTTTCCCAACTGGTTGTTTCTTATATAATCTGGTGTAGGAGGAGAGCTCAGCAATTACTGTATTTCCTATGCTTATGAAACAGATACATATATATCTTACACACATACACATTCATGTGTAAATATATAGAATAAAATACAGCAGGTTACATAAATAATTAGAAAAGTAGGGACACAGGACTGAGGTTGTCTCTAGGTACCTAGCCCAGCTGCTTCAAACCAGCCACCACAGGATCAATTAGGGTATGACACCATCTCATCTTCAGTATAGCTACAAGGAACAAATTGACCACATGATAGTTCAGGATCATTCAGGATTTCATACACCCTTAGTCCATAAATTCCACAAGCCAGCATCCCTCCATACTTGATGTGTGTCTTTCCAGCCACTCAAACATAGGTGCAGAAACCAAGACTTGGCATACATTTGCTCATCAAAATTTGCTTAAGTCCAAGTTTGGTGACTCACGAGTCTCCTTCAACGAGTGATTCTACCTGATTTTACTGCAAAATAACATTGGCTTTAATTCGTTTCTATTTATCTACCATTAATTTCAAATAATTTTGCTTACATTTTATCTACAAGTTCATGAGATAATTTGCTACCTGAGATCTGCAAAGCGACTCTGTTTACAGCTATTATAAGCATGTCATTCTTCTAAAGCTTCACTCTGGAATATTATGACAAAATAGCAAGAACATAATTTTAACATACATAAAAATTATTACCATGCAGTTGTGCAAGTATGTCTTTCCTGTACTGAGGTCCACAATCCATTCTATTTGTGCATACTACATAAAGAGAGTAACAATTTAGCAGCCCTTTATTTTATTTTCCTGAAATCTATTGAGGAGGTAGGTAAAGGCCTCAACAATCTAAGCTTTGTGCTAAATATCTGCAACAGACCTTCTGCAAAAACTAGAACAAAATAATTAAGAAGTTATTTAAGCAACCATTTGCCACAAACCAGATTGAGGGATTTGAAATATGTACAAATATTTTTAAATAACCCTTCAAAGGGGAAATTTGTACTAATAAGTAAGGGCTGCTGCAGCTCCTGCTGCTGGCTCTGCATCCTGGGAGTACATATGAGACAATATAAACAGGTTCCAACATTTTTCATCTTCCCTATGGTATCTAAAGAAATACTCTGATTTTAACTGCTGCATATCTGGGGCAGAGCCTTTTCTAATAAGATTCCATAATCTTCACAGCACAATACTCTCTGTGTTAGAGCAATCCCACGACTCATAATTCCCCAGCAGTTAGTGTGCCAGGGTGAACTTCTGAGTCTCAGATAACATTAAGGCTGTGGTTTATGCCCTGATTGATAACATAGTCAATGGAGGCAACCTGTCCCAGAGAAAGGATCCAGAAAGCTTTGCATAGTGTTTACGATACAGATAACCTCCTGGCTGACATCTGTGGAGAAAAACCTTTGATGGATGAAAGAGGCTATAAGATCCTGTGCACCAGATAGCTCTGGTGAATTTCTCATGTATCACTCTTTAGACAATTATAGCTCTTTATTTCTTCTATTTGGTCACAAACGCTTAACTGATTTTTATAGCAATATGTTTTGCAGAGAATATTTGATAAATATAATGAAATCATTTTATGCTAGATCCCAGGGGATAGGCCAGGGGTACGCCGTTAAAAGACAATATTTCTTTGTTATACATATTAGGCCCTGTACTATTACTGCAGCCTGAGTCTCATTGGAATGTTTAAGAGCCTCCCACACCAATAAGTCCTCTAACTGCTCACTAATCAAAGTGTGGCCTGTGGCCCAGCAGCATCAGCACCCCCAGAGATCTTGTTAGAAATGCAAAATCTCAGGCCCCACCCTAGACCTACTGAAGCAGAATTTGAAGATTAACAAGATTCCTGGATGTTTCCATGCACATTAAAGGCTGAAAAGCACTCCACTATTGCATCTCAGTGCAAGTTGCAGCCACAGGCTGTCAGTAACCAACAGGAGGAGATGGGATGTGGTTACCAAGTGACCCAGTTCCTTTATATCCCTTTCCTCTGACATCCCTTCCATGGCCATTTGGCATTGACTAGTGGACTTAGGCTGAGATTGACATGGCTCAACTAGGACATGAATTATTTGTGATCTAGTAAACACACAAGGTTGTCATGCCTTGGAGAAAGGCAGAAAGGGAAAAAAATGCACTTGCAGAAAACCTGGGATAAGAATGTCCATGGTTGATGGAGAAAATCCTTAAACTGACACAGAGTAGCTTGCTGGGTATGGTATGCACAGAGCAGAACTTGTATACCCTGAAGTCTACCAGCTCCTCGGGTACACTCTACCTATAATTATAACTTTAGTCTACCATTATTCAATCCATCACTAATAAATTCCACTAGTCTCTTACAGAATATCCCAACTAAATGAGTTAGCTATTACATACGAAAGGCTAATACCACATACGTAAAGCAAAGAAAAATGAAAAAGAAGAAATAAAATATTGTTTGGACTTTGACCTTCTGGTGCACTGAAGTTTGTGGTTTTTAGAGAATGTGAGACCAGTTACCATGTGAATTCCCTTTAAAGATTAATCATGGCTTTGAGACCCTCTTAACTGATTAAACTGAACATTAAGTTTTTGAGCTACCAAAGGAACTTCCCTAGAGACCTTTAAAAGATCAATAAGCTGAATAAAGAGCATGCTAGCATGCTGCTATCCACCTCCCTAAAAACCAAGGAGGAGTTCCCTGTTCAGAATGCTGGAGATCAAGCACCTGGTGCCATGCTGGAAAGCCACCAGAAAGAGACTACCCTTTGCTGAGAAGGGAGACTTTTACCTCTAAGTGGCAGGTTTCTGGAACAGAAATTACTGGATTGTTCTGTTGTTGGCTAAAGAGACTATTCAATTTGACTGTTTCCTTATAATAGCAAGAGAGCCCAGAACATATCAGCTTTCATGTTTTGCAGGAAATGAAACCTAATAGAGCTGGATTATTTTATTTTTGAAGACATTGGGTCAATCAAGAACAGCTCTGGGGTCCTATCACTGTTTTGCATTCTGCCCTGCCTGCTGGCGGCTGAGCTGGATACAGAACAATGCTTTCGTAAATGGATAGAAATGTCTGACATGAACGACAGGGCTCAAATCTTTTCAAAGCTATTATATTAACATACAAAAGATCCTCCAGCCAAACTAGGTCATGGGACCACAAGCAAGAAATACTTACTGTTGTTTCTGCCTTTTCCTCTAGCATTGTTGTACTTGATGACATTGGATAATGACTTTTATGATATATCTATATGGCGTTCACACTTTACAAAGCACTGTCACATACACCATTTTATTTAATACTCAGAACATCCCTGTGAGAAATGTATGAACATCCCAGTGTTATAAATGAAGCAACTCAATTCCCAGAGCTCTGGCCAATTTCTCATGGGTAACAATGAAAGAGACACTGTGTTTCCTTGATAGAAGGAAGTCAGTAATTAATGTGATATTTAATTTTATCTGTCAAACTGACTGGATCATGGGATGCCCAGATATCTGCTTAAACATTATTTCTGGATGTGTCTGTGATGGTGTTTCCAAAACAGTTTATGACTTGAATCAGTAAACTGAGTAAAGTGGATTTGCCCTCCCCAATGGGGGTGGGCATCACCCAATCCACTGTGGGCCTCAATAGAACCAAAAGGCCAAGGAAGTTTAAATTTACTCTCTATCAGACTGCTTGAGTTGAGACATCTCCTGCCCTCAGCAATCCTGGTTTTCAGGCCTTCAGACTCCAGATAGTGTAGTCTAGAATCTACACCATCAGCTCTCTGGATCTCAGGACTTTGAACTACATTATCAGCTTTACTGGATCTCCAGCTTACAGACAGCAGACTTCTCATGGGACTTCTCAGCCACCATAATTCCATGAGCCAATGCCTTATGATAAACTTCCTTCTAAATGTATACTGTTGGTTTTATTTCTCTGGAAAACCTTGACTAAGACAGTTAAGAAGCAGATAGATCAAGTCTCTTCCTGATGCCATGAGAAATAATTCAAAATTTTACCAAAAATGTGGAGAAGTTAATTGCAAATGAAGAATTTTAGCCTTCATGCTATGTCATTTCCTACAGTAATAACACTGTGCAGAACTCTCTTCCCTGATCTCGAAATGCAATTCCTCTTTCTACACTTTGTAGTTCTATTTATCTCTCAGAATTGATGTAAGTTCCTTCTCCTCCTTGAAGCCTTCATTGCACATTCCAGCCAGAAAGTTGAACAGCAGAAATACTGACTACACAGGAGTTTTCATATAATGCCTTGTATGATGGTTAGTGTATTAGTCTGTTCTCATGCTGGTATGAAGAAATACCCAAGACCAGGTAATTTATAAAGGAAAGAGGTTTAATTGACTCGACAGTTCCACAGGGCTGGACAGGCCTGAGGAAACTTACAATCATGGCAGAAGGGGAAGCAAGCACGTCCTTCTTCATGTGGCAGCAGGAGAAAAGTGGCAAGCAAGGAGAAAATCCCCTTATAACACCATCAGATCTCAGGAGAACTCACTCACTATCCTGAGAACAGCAGCATGACAGAAACTACCCCCATGATTCAGTTATCTCCACCTGGTCCTGCCCTTGACACATGGAGATTATTACAATTCAAGGTGAGACTTGGGTGGGGACACAGAGCCAAACCACACCATTTTGCCCCTGGCCCCTCCTAAATCTCATGTCCTCACATTTCAAAACACAATCATGCCTTCCCAACAGTCCCCAAAATTCTTAACTCATTCCAGCCTTAACTCAAAAGTCCAAGTTCAAGGTCTCATCTGAGACAAGGCAGGTCCCTTCCACCTATGAGCCTGTAAAATCAAAAGCAAGTTAGTGACTTCCTAGATACAGTGAAGGTACAGGCATTGGGTAAATGCACCCATTCCAAACGGGAGAAATTGGCCAAAACAAAGGGGCTACAGGACCCATGAAAATGTGAAATCTAATAGGGCATTCATTAAACCTTAAAGTATCAAAATGATCTCCTTTGACTCCATTTGCATACATGCAGGTCACATTGCAAGAGGTGGGCTCCCATTGATGCAACAGATGGGCTCACTCTTGGGCAACTCTATCCCTGTGGCTTTGCAGGGTACAGCCCCTTGCCCCAGCTACTTTCACAGTTGGCATTGAGTGTCTGTGGCTTTTCCAGGTGCATAGTGCAAGCTATTGGTGGATCTACCATTTTGGAATCTGGAGGACAATAGCCCTCTTCTCACAGCTCCACAGCTCCCGTATGAAGAAATACTCAAAACTGGGTAATTTAAAAAGGAAAGAAATGGCTCACAGTTCCACCAGGCTGTGAGGCCTCAGGAAACTTACAATCATGGCAGAAGGGGAAGCAAACACATCCTTCTTCACATGGAAGCAGGAGTGAAAAGTGCCAAGCAAAGGGGGAAAGACCCCTTATAAAACCATCATATCTTGGGAGAACTCACTCACTAATATGAGAACAGCAGCATGGTGGAAACCGCCCCCATGATTCAATTATCTCCACCTGACCCTGCCCTTGACATGTGGAGATTATTACAATTCAAGGTGAGATTTGGGTGGGGGCACAAACCAAACCATATCAATTGGTCATATCCACAACTTGCCTGCCTATTTTGAGCATAGGTTCTGAAATTCAGGAACTCTATATTAAGGATGGAACCACATAGCCTCATATGGAAACCATGGGCTTTAATTTAGCCATATCTAGGTTTAAATCCCAGCGTTTCCTCTTCACAGCCATGGAAACTTTCTTGTTCCTCTATTGAGACAGGTTAATAGAATAATGTCTATAATTTTCATTAAAGTACATCAGGTTATCAGCATTATAACAGGTTCAATGTCAAACATTTTAAGTTTTAATTCTAGGCATGAGCAGGTAAAATGCTGTTAAGAATGCACAGGCCAAGGATAGTCAGTTCCCATTCTAACCATAAGGGCCACACTCTGGGAGTAACTACTGCATTTTCTCCACCCGCCGATATGGTCATCTGCAACAGACGTTTTGCTAATTTGCATACTAGATGTCAGAAACCATTTTCCCCCTTGATAACAAGATTCTGTTAATTCGTATGATAGATGTAGAAGTTGGCTCTCATTAACAAAATCAGAGGCACTCAAGATATGAGGATTGATCAAAATAGAGTCCTGCATACCACTGCATGAAGAGAGGATAAGAGTTCGTCAAGGTCTGTACCTTACATTCCTTGGAGACTGTATTTAAGGCTGGATTCCTAACTGATTCTTCCTCTAGCCATTTCTTTAAGGGACTCCTGACTGCATGATGCTGCTAAGAGGATACGGAACACTGCTTTAGCTACATAGAAACCCTTCATATAGGATGTGGCCAGAGCTCCGACAAGCCAGGACTTTGTTGATCACTTGCCCTTTCTTGAGATGTTTTATTCACTTGGCTTCAGGGTCACCATCATTCAAGACTGTCCTCCCTCACTGGCCACTCCTGTTCCCTCTCCAAGGCTGACTCTCCCTTATCTCCCCAGAAATTCTGATATGTTAGAGTGGCCAGGGCTCAATTGACATAATTCTCTGTCTTCACTCACTCCGTAGGTAATATCGTCTGATATCTTTAAATGAACATTGATATACTGATGATCCTCCCTCATTTCTTTCATCTGCCTTGACATCTTTTGGCAGATGTTTAATAAGTATTTTAAACTTAGCATGCCTATTAACCAAACTCCTTATCATCTTTCCTATCATTATATGAGTACACGGCAACTCTATCCCCTCAGCTGCACAGGCCAAAAGACCTTGGATTTATCCTTGACATTTTGCTTTCTCTCACACCACATATCCAATCCATCAGCAAACCCTACTGGCTTTTACTTCAGAATTCTGCTTCTCTTCTTCTTGATCACTGTTAGCCTCTCATCAACTCTATCCTAGGTTATTGAAAGCCTTCCAGTTAGCCTCAATAGGATCAGTTCTCTACACAGGAGGCAAGGTGAGGCTGCTAAAAGCTAATTCTGACCTTGTCATAAATCTGCTCAAAAAGCCAAAGTTTTCTCAGTGACCCATGAGGTCTTATAATCTGACCCTCCCACCCCTTCTCCTGGATTTTCTGACCTCATCTCCCTTCATTCACCCTCCCAATTGCACTGGCCCTCTTGCTGTTCTTCTGACAAGCCAAGCCTTCTATTCTCAGTAGCTTTGTGCTGGCTCTTTTTTCTGTGTGAAAATGTCTTCTCCCAGATTTCCTCATGGCTTTCTTCCTCACTTTGTAAACAAAGCAGATCTCATACATCACATGATAAGGGAGGCCTTTCCTAATTGTCCTGTGTAAAAAATCACCCCTCGGCATTTCTCATTCACCTTCTTTTTTCTCTACAGCTTTTATCATTATCTGATATACAATAGATATACTTACTCACCCATGGTTTCTGTACCTCCTCATTAGAATGTGCACAGTATGGGAATTCCCACCTTTATAGCCAGAACACAAATAGTATGCCTGGTACATAGTAGGTTACATTCAGTAAACATTCAATAAATGTTTATTGAATGAGTAGGAACTGCCCATAACTTTCATTGCGATCATCATCATTACCATTGTCCTACAAAGGCTCATCCCAGGGCCTTCCCCAGGAGAAGTATATAATATCTCAGTGCTGATGGTAAACATGTTGTGAGTTCATGGTGATAAACATAAATTTCCGCTTCCTCCTAAGCACTCATAGATTTATAACCCCATAATTTAGACAGAGTTAGCCCACAGTAAATTCTCTAGCAATAAAAGACCTACTTCTACTCACTTAGAAGTTATTGATAATGATAGTGCTTAAGATGATTTTTAAGAAAAATCAAGGACAGTACTGTACACTGAATAGCACATGGAAAAGATGGTTTTTGCATCCTTTAGGTGATCTATAATAGTTACTTTTGTCTAATACGATGAAACTAAAATTTTTGGCCCTAAAATATCTGTATCTATTTTTATATTCTTCTTTTTTTTTGAGATGGAGTCTTGCTCTGTCACCCAGGCTGGAGTTCAGTGGCGTGATCTCAGGTCACTGCAACCTCTGCCTCCTGTGTTCAAGCTATTCTCCTGGAACAGCCTCCCAAGCAGCTGGGATTACAGGCACACGCCACCACACCCAGCTAGTTTTTGTATTTTTACTACAGATGGGCTTTTGCCATGTTGGCCAGGCTGGTCTTGAACCTCTGGCCTCAGGTGATCCACATGCCTCAGCCTCCCAAAGTGCTGGGATTACAGGCATGAGCCACCACGCCTGGCCTTATTTTTATATTATTCTTAAAAGATAAAGTATATATAAAAATAGTTGATATACTTGTTCTAGTTCCCATTTGACTGCCTTCTGCCATACAATTGCAATGTGAAAGGTAATACACTCTTTTTGCCATCAATCAATAATTCTTTTTTACTGGGCCAAAATCCTCTTCTAGTCATAGCATGTCATTCCCCACATTTGTTCATTTTCCTAAAGTTCTATTAATAAATTCTCTATTATCCCAAAAATCTGTAAGTCACTAAGCACAGAAATAATTATAAATTTAAAATCTACATACAGGATTAATTCAAATACTTGTTTTGTGAATAATTCAAGTCCCCCCAAAAACTTGCATTCCATTGCTGTGTTATTTATTCTGGAATTGAAAATACAGCAAGACTTTATTCATATGGGCTTTACAGATCTGGAATTTGAAGAAATTCAGACAAGGTGAAATTTGAAGGTTATCTTTGATAAGTATGTTCGTCTTAATAGAGTATATAGATTAATTTGATAACCAAATATAAATGACAAATAAGCATTTGAGATTAAAAATTTTGCAAAACCCTTGGATATATTAGCAACAATTTTTTTCTTCTTTTAAAATTTAAGGTAAGAAGTATTTAAATGTTCATTCAATTATTTTGGTATCATTTAGTAAAGTGTCCAACCTAATAACAAGATCCTTTCGACACTGATTTGTTTCAGTGGTTTCCACAACTCTTTGATTTTATTATTTTAATTTATAGGTAATTCCTCTAGGCACTAGCTCTGTAACTGACATTGATTTATAGTTATTATTATTAATAGTTTATAAGCAATAAACTGCATTACCATTGTCTTAACAAAATATTGTAAAGTGGGTGACAGGTAAACAACAGTTATTTATTTGTCAGAGTTCTGGTGGCTGGAAAATCCACTATCAAGGCGCCAGCAGATTCAGTGTCTGGTGAGGGCCAACTTTCCGGTTTATAGACAGTGTCTTATAGCTGTGTCCTCACATGATGGAAGGGACAAAGCAGCCCTTCGGGGCCTCTTTCATAATAGCTCTAATCCTATGCCCATAGGTTCCACCTCCTAATACATAACCTTGGGGGTTAGGATTTCAACATATGAATTCCTGGGGGACACAAAATTCAGTCTGTTGCAACAGTTAAATTCTGTAATTTAACATGCTTATTATTTTAGAATTGCTCTTCCCCATCTAGTTTGAGTCGCTAATGTATTAGTACATAAGACTGCTACATGTACATAGAAATATTTTAAGGATCACTAACATTTTTCGGATAAAGCAATTTAAGTGCAGTTTACCTCTGATAAAATTTTGTTTTCAATTTAAAATAAGCATATTTTAGTGAATTTGCCTTGTTGTCTTTGAGACATCAAACTGTTTGCTCAGTTAAAAACTTGCAAAATTAATTACATTCTAAACCCACAAGAAAATTGTATGTTCTAAATTTCACTGCAAGGATCACTAGCATTATATATGTCAATACTTAGTAACACTAATTTAACAAGGACTGATTTTCAAAACAGGCATTTAACTTGGAAGACATTGCTTTAACCTTCCTGTGTTAAAAAAAAGAAAATATTTCCTGTGTTAAAAAAAAACAACATAAAAATACAAAATGATACTGAATATTTACTAATTCACTATTAGCTTGTTTGTTGTTTTTATTACTTGAAATACCTCAAGGAGCCATCAGACCCACAAATCAAATAGTTTAGTCACAAATCACATGAATTAAAACTATCTCAGCAGATACAATGTTGGTTTATAGAAAAAAAATATATTTTGTACCTGATGGTCAACAAACTAGCAGTTTGCTTTTCCAGAAGGAAAGGGAATTTCAGTGACAAAGGTCCTCTGAAACCTTCTGCGTCTGTTTCCCTGACATTCAAACATGGCCTTGTTCGTTCTCTAGGAGCCTCAAGGCTTGAAAGTCATCCAAGAGCCAGGGACCAATCTAAAGTAGATTGGCTTATACCCAAATTTAATGAAACTTCCTTAGAGGAAACTGATTTCCCTCATTATCCTTTATGTAGATAATATGTGGAATTAATTCTCCTTCGCTAAGTTATCATTACATTGAGCACACAAACACAGATATAATGTTATTAAAAGTAATGGAATGAGTTCATTCACTGTTAACTTTAATGGTTATATCCTCTCCAGTGTCCCAGAGAAATGCCTCTGTCTCTCTGCTTTAGCAGATTAAAGGTCAGGCCTAAGGTTACCAAATTTCATGCTCACTAGAGAAATATCTGCTCTCTCTCAGGCCTTACTCCCTTGGAACTCTGAATGAGGCTGGGAGGAGCAGACAAAACTGTTCTAAAATACTTTCCAATGTGACAGCGACAGGCACAGATATATATTTCTACACATTTGTTTTGCAATGCAATTGAAAAATACAATTTTATTTTTTAAATAAAATTATAAGAAATTAAACCTGAGACATTTAACTTTAACATTTATTATTGATTTTTCCTTTCTGGGTATTGGAATTAGTATTTCTTTGTAAATATTCAACAATCATACTTACATACTTATTAATATTCGGAGTGAGTAAAGCCTGAACGGGTAACACGTTTACATTTTAAGCATCAATCTTATTGTTCATTTTGCTAAAGTAAAACCTAATTAACCTTTATTTGCTGCAAAAAAAAAAAAAATTCACTAAGCATTTCTTGGCTATACACACAAAAGAATTACAGAACTATAAATGCAATGTAAGAAAAATACACATACACACATATATTCATATATATACACACCCATGTATATATAATATAAAATGTATTTTATATTATATATAAATGTAATATAAATATTAGTATATATACTAATGTAATTATATATCTATATATTATATATGCAATTATATATTATATATATTATATAATTTATATATTATATATATAATATATAATTTATATACTATATATGTAATTATATATATATTTTGTATATATAATTAGTATAGATATAAAATGTAAATATTAGTATATATACTAATATACCACATCACAGAAGCATAAGCTTACCCCTATTTTAATTTTATTAGTTCAAGAAGCATTAAATTTCTATGCGTTAAGCACTGCTATATTAACTTTGAAAATATGAAGGCAAACAATAAAGGTTTTGTGTCCTTAGAGGTAATGATTGAGGAGGGAAGGCAGACTTGCAGACTTAACTAAACATCAGTAACCCTAATTACATGAGGAGTGCTCAACACACACAAAAATAAGTTTTTAGCATTAAAAAAACAATAAGGAGAAAAACAAGGCTTTCAGCCAAGATATAATAACAGGGACCAAATTTACACTCTTATTACAAACAACCAAAGTACCAAACAAAATATGTAAAATTATGGTTTTGAACACATTGGAAATGAGGGGTTGGGTTTGAAAAAGATGAATTGACTCATACCTATGATTGCCCCAGCTTATTTCCTAGAGGTAGTTTCCAGGTTGTGATGCAAAGACGGGAATCCAGGCAGAGCCCAGTGAACTCCCTGAGTTGAAGAGACAGAGTTGGGAGCCCAGGGAAGACAAGATTCCTGGTGTTTGCAGAGCAGAACACTGAAGAGGAGAGATATACACAGGAAGAGAACTCCACAGAACTGCAGGTGTTCCCCACTGAGTATTTGGTTAAGCACCAAAGAGTGCCTGTGTGTGAGAAAACTACCCAAGGCCAGGAAAGGGCCACTCAGAAGAATAAGAAGAAACAGCACCCAGGAATAACACATGGCCAGGAATCATGCCTATCCCCAATAATCAAAATGTAAATCCTCATAATTCATGGGCATCAGTTAAAGAATTAAGATGGGTATTACCTCAAGAATGGGAACAAATAATAGCTTTGTTCTACCTAACAAAGCTTAAAAGCAAGACCCTAAAACATTAAACTAGTTTGAAGTAACTTAACCACATTCAAATACAAAGCTCTAGAATATTTTTAAAATTCAACAACATTCAGCAATCAACAGGGCAAAATTTACAATGGCTGGCACCCATAAAAATTATAAAGTATGCAAAGAAGAAGGAAAATACAACCTATAATAAAGAGAAAAAAGTCAACCAATAAAAATTAACACAAGTATGACACAGATGGCATTAAAAAAGTCATTACAACTGAATTCAATATATTCAAAAGGTAGAGAAAAAGTTGAACTTTTTAAATAAAAGATATAAAAAAGACCCCATTTATATGTTCAGAAGTAGAAATTATAATGTTTGCTTTGTAAAATACACAGGCTGAGAATAATGGCAGATGACATTTCAGAAAAAAAGATTAGTGAACTTAAAGACATAGTAATAGAAACTATAAAAATGAAACACACAGAGAAGAAAAGACTTGCAAAAAAACAGTAGAGCATTAGTGAAATGTGAGATAATTTTAATTGACCAAATATATGAGCAATTGGAGTCCCTTAAAGGGAAGACAAAAAAATTTTTGAAAAAATAGTGGCTAAAACTTTACAAATTTGATAAAATCCGTATACTCACATATACACAGAGCTTAACAAAGCCCAAGTACAAACATATATATGACTATACCATGGCACATAATAAACCAATTACGTGAAGCCAGTGATAAAAATACAAATCTTAGAAGCACTTGGAGAAAAAGAGATATTACACACAGGACTAAAATATGGACAGTAAAAGATTCCTTGTAAACAATTAAAGCAGGAAGACAATAGAGCAACACTTCTGAAGTACTAAAAGAAAAAACAACTTAGAGTTCTCTAACCTAAAAAAAGCTTTCAAAAACAAAGGTGAAACAAGGATTTGTTCACACCCACAAAAGATGAAAGAATTCATTAACAGCAAAACTAAATTACAATAAATACTAAAGGAAGTCTTTCAAATAGAAGAAAAATGATACCACACAGAAACCTAGACCTACACAAAGGAATAAAGAACAATGGAAATGATAAGTACATGGGTAAATATAAAGAGTTTATTCTTATAACTTAAATCTGTTTAAAAGACAATTAATTGCTTAAAGCCAAACAATAACAATGTATTATGGGATTTATCACATATATAAAGTAAAATGTATGACATTAATAGCACAAAATGTATACTAAACCCTAAAAGAATCACTTAAATGTCAAAACAAAGAGTTATGATTACCAAAAAAGGACACAAAATGAAATTATAAAAAATAATCCAAAAAAGCCAAAAAATAAAATGAATAAAAAATAAGTAGAGATAAGTAGAAAACAAGGAGCATGATGGTACATTTAAACAAGACTTTGTCAATAATTACACTACAAGTAAATGGTCTAAATACTCCATTTTAAAAGCAGAGATTATAAAATTGAATAAGAGAGTAAGATAATTTACATGCTGACTATAAGAAACCCATGTTAAATATAAAGACGTAAATAGTTTTGAGGTAAAATAAATGGGAAAAATTTGAAAAAAATCAAAGGAAAATAAGAGTGGTTATATTGTTATCAGGCAACACAGAAAAAAGAATATTACAAAGACTATGACAAAGAAGGTCATGTTACAATGCTAAAGAAATTCTTCAAAAAATAACTATCCTTAACATTAATCACCTAATAATGGAGCTCAAAATACATGACAAAAATCTGAAATGCAAAGATATATCCATAAATATAGGCTGAGATTTCTGCCCCTAGTGAAATAACAGGAGGAACAAATAGAAACAAAATCTTAGTTATAAAATTATTGAACAATACTATCATCTAATTTGATATAATTGAAAGTTATAGAATGTGCCACCCAGAAAACAGCACAACATATTGTTTTTAAGTGAACGTATAACATTTGTCAAGATAAACTACATTCTGTTCCGCACAACAAATCTAAATAATTTAACCTTGGTGTCATTGTCCTGCCTAGAGATCCTCCATCCTTGAGCCACGGCATCACAAAACCACCCACAAACATACCCTACAATCTGCTCTGACTTTGGCAAGCACAGAAGACCAGTAGGTCCCTGGGAGTTGTAGATCCCTGGAGATTTAATCTTCAGCAAAGGCCACCCCTAAGCAAGGGGAAGCACAAGCCACCAAAGGCTCCCTTGAAATAAAGGAAACACAAACACAGCACCAAACAGTGAAGGGGACACCACTGACATCTGGGAACAGATGTGGAGAAAGAGTTATCTTTAAATATCTGCTGTACACTGTTGCAGACACAGTAGTGGATCTTCTCACCCTGCCTAGTGAGCTTGTGCTAAAAGAAAGCACTTTTCTCACTTTTCCAGCAGCTCCAACCCCACTGGAAATGAGCAGAAACTAAACAAAATCACTTTTCATGCCTTTCTGGTGGCTCCACCCCCACTAAAATCAAGGCTGTGCCTGCTCAGGCTTTCAGGAAGGGTGGGTTTCAACTCCCCCTCTCTACAAGGTGTGGCAGTACCCCAGCAATGGAGGATAAACCATGAAGTTACCTGCCCTAGACTGTGGGTCAAAGCTCTGCTCTGACCCCCATTCTAGTGATAACTGTCAGACAGTCAGATCTATAGCACAGAGCCACACTGTGGTCAGGAACCAAAGGACAAAGCCTTTAAAACAGATGGTTGTGAACCCCATGACAGGAGTGTGACAGTGAAGCAAACTGCATTACTGCCAGTCTAGGGTGAAGAGCTGGTGCACCCCCACCCCTGCCCCTTCCTCTGAGACTTTCAAGGCACCCCATCACGATCTCTTCCTGCTACCCTAATCAGGGCAGGTGCATCCAATGGGCACCAGACTATCTGACAGCTCTTAATCTTAAGTGCCATCTACGGGACTGCAGCCTAAACTGCATCACCAAATGAAAATACATCCTCATAACAAGCAGCATCTGAGAAAGATATTGAACAGAAAGTATTCACAACCAAGGAACCCACACAGAGCCTTGGCCCCATGAAAGCAACCAAAAAAAAAAAAAGCCAATCAACCATACACACATACACAACATACAACATAGTCATACCCTCAAGGGAGAAAAGAACAAAAAAATTAAAGCCCCATCCAAAAGATAGAAAATCCAAAAAAAAGAAAAAGAAGAAGACAGCTCCCTCAGATTAGAAAGAATCAGTGCTAGAACTCTGTCAGTACAAAAAGCCAGAGTGTTTTGTCACCTCCAAAGGATCTCATTAGCTCCCTAGCAATGGATCCTAATCAGATTGAAACATCTGAGATGATATTTAAAGAATTTAAAATACAAATTGCAAAGAAACTCAATTAGATCCAAAAGAAGGTTGAAATCAAAAAAAAAAGTGAAAAAAAAGATTTGGGATATAAAAGACAATATAGCTGTGTTAAGAAAGAATCAGGCTGGGCACAGTGGCTCACACCTATAATCCTAACACTTTGGGAGGCAAAGGCAGGTGGATCACTCGAGCTCAAGAGTTTAAGACCAACCTAGGCAACACGGTGAAATCCTGTCTCTACAAAAATTACAAAAATTAGCCAGGCATAGTGGCATGTCTGTAGTCCCAGCTTTGGGGGGCTGAGGCAAGAGGATCACTTGAACCTGGTAGGTCAAAGAGGCTGGAGTGAGCTGAGATTGTGCCACTGCACTCCAGCCTAGTTTCAGGTGCATTATATTTATTGTGCACTTTATTTCTATTATTATTACATTGTAATATATAATTAAATAAGTATCCAACTCACCATAGTGTAGAATCAGTGGGATCCCTGAGAGTGTTTTCCTGCAACCAGACAATCCCTTCTGGGGATAATGGAAGACAGTTACACATCATCAGGAATTAGATTACCATAAGCAGAGCGCAACTTAGATCCCTGGCATGTGCAGTTCACAATAGGGTTCACACTTCTATGAGACTCTAATGCCACTGCCCATCTAACAGGAGGCAGATCTGAGGTGATAATGCGAGCCATGCGGACATGCTATAAATACAGATGAAGCTTCACTTGTCTGCCCACCACTCACCTCTTGCTGTGCAGCCCGGTTCTTAGGTCACGGATGGTCCAGCACGTATCTGTGGCCTGGGGTTTGGAGACCCCTGGTTTAGAGAATGCAGACCACAACCCAGGTGGCTGGTCTGCCTGACCAAACTTGCTTCTGCTTTCAATCCCAGAAATGGTCCAGTCCCTGCTGGGGCTTGGCTACAGCACTGTTTGACCTTGAAACTGCAGCAAAAAATCATCTGCCAAGAGGTCCAGAATGAACTGCCCACACTACTGTCTTGGAGAAAAGGCTTGTCTGTTGGCTGACATTAGTCTCTGCAGTTAACCTGAAAGTTGCCCTGAAGCACTGTTCTAGCCTTCTTCAGCTGAGGTCCTAGCTCAGAGCTGTTCATACAAAGACACAGGAGACTTGCCCGTATATCACAGCCAGAGAGTCTGAGCTTCCCTTATGAGCTAGCTAACCTTCATTCCACAGATTCTGAGGAGGCCCAATAACAATTCCAGCCCCTCACTGCAGTTGGGGAAGCAATCCACCTGTGCTAAGCTCTGCTGGGAGATTTGTACCTGTTTGGACCAATGAGACTGGGCTCTCCAGCCTCCATCACACAACAGATCTGAAGGGGGCCCATTCTCAGCTCTGGCCCCTCCTGCAGTAATCGGGAAACCATCTCACCTGTGCAAGGACTTCCTGGGAAATACACATCTCTCTGAGCCAAGGAGCAGGTGCTCCAGCCTTGGCCTCAAGGAATCCAGTCTTATATCTAGCCTTCAGTTGGGAAAGTACCCTGTCTGTGCTGAGACCTGCTAGGAGACACGTGCCTCCCTGAGCCAACAAGACAGACTCTCCAGCCTCTATCCTATAGCAAATCCCAGGGGACTCAGTCTCAGCTACAGTCTGCAGTTGGAAAACTATCCTGGCTGTGCAGTGTCCTTGTAGGAGAAAGGTGACCCTTTGAGCCAATCAGGCTTTCCTGCCTCTGTCCCCTAGGAGATCCCAAGGGGGCCCAGTCTTAGCTCAAACCCCTCCTGCTACAGTTGGGGAACTATCCCATCTGTGCAGGTACCAGCTGGGTGGTGCACACTGTCTAAACTAATGAGACAGGCCCACCAGCGTCCTTTCCACTGCAGATCCTGAAGTTGGTCCAATCTCAACTCTAGCCCCTCTCACTGCATCTGGTAACCCATACCAGCTGTGCAGAGATCGGGGAGTCATGCTTGTCTTAGCCACTGGGGTAGTCTTCTAAACTTAAGTCCCTGGCTTGCACTCCCACACAGCCCCAGTACTCTCCTTAAGTCTTCCCCAGATCCTTCTGGACCAGAAAGCCATGTCAACCTTGCCCTTGTGAGACTCATGGCAAGCCTGGGTTTAGAGTGTCCTCTAGTGCAGGTACCTGCACAGATCACAAGCTCTGAAACACAACAGTCCATCAGCTTAGAGTCCTTGAAAAGACCTCTGTAGGACAGGTGAAAACAAAGACAGACTGCAAATACTAAAATAAATCCCTAATCCCTAAATGTGCAAAGATCATTGTGCATCCACAGACATCAAGAACATTCAGAAAAATATGACCTTACCAAACATACAAAATAAGGTGTCAGAGACTAGCCCCAAAGTTATGGGATGTGCAGTCTCTCCGACAAAGAACTCAAAATAGCTGTTTTAAGGAAGTTTAATAAATATTTTTAAAAGAGAGAGAGAGAACCAGTTCAGAAATTTATCAGAAAAAAATTTAATACAGAGATTAAAGTAAGTTTTAAAAATCAAACAGAAATCATGGAGCTAAAAAAAGTACAATGAATGAAATGAAAAATGCAATAGAGCACATCAACAGCAGAGTTGATCAAACAGAAGAAAGAATCAGTGCTCAAAGACAGGCTATTTGGAAACACAATCAAAGAAGGTAAAAGAAGAAAAAAATGAACAAGCTTACAGGAACTATGGGACAACTTTAAAAGAGTAAATATTCAGATTATCTAAGTTCGAGGGAACTGAGAAAGACAACAAGCAGAAAGGTTATTCAGTGAAATAATAGAAAACTTTACAAACCTGGAGATAAGATATAAATATCCCTGTATAGGAAAGTCAAAGGTCACCAATCAGATTCACCCAAATAAGAATATTCCAAGGCATATTATAATCAAACTCACAAAGGTCAAAAATAAAGACAGAATACAGAAAGCAGCCAGAGAAAAGAAGGAAGTAACATATAAAGGATATCCAATATGACTTGCAGCAAATTTCTCAGCAGAAACCCTACAGACCAGGAGGGAGTGAAACAATATATTCAGAATGCAAAAGGAAAAAAAAGCCAACCAATAATACTATACATTACTGTACCCAGCAAAGTTATCCTTCAGAAATGAGGAGAGATAGACTTTGCCTGACAAACAGAAGCTAAGGGAATTTATTGCCACCAGATTTGTCCTACGAGACATGTTGAAAGGAGTCCTTCAAACTGAAATAAATGAACGCTAATATGATTATTATAGTAATATTGTAATTGTGGTATTTAAACCATTTATATCTTCAGTAAGAAGACTAAAAAATAAAACTACTTAAATAATAGTAAATAAAACAATTTGCTAAAGTTAAACAGTATAAAAAATGTAACTTGTGACATCAAAAAATCAAAGTGGGAAAAAAAGAAAGTTAATAAGTACAGAGTTTTATATTTTGTTTTGTGTCTTTTTCTTTTTGTGATCAAAGTTATATTGGTGGCTGTTTTAACTATATCATATATATCATTATATATATATCATTATATATATATCATTATATATAACTATATATAATTATAACTATAGGATATTTTTTTTAGCCTTCATGATAACCAGAAAGCAAAAATTTATAATGGATATACTAAAAATGAAAGGCAATGACTTAAAACATATTAGCAGAGAAAATCTCCTAACCACAAAGGAAGGGAAGCAGGAAGAAATGAGGAGATGAAAGAAAGAAAAAGAAGAAAAAAGAAGGGAAGGGGAGGGGAGGGGAGGGGAGGGGAGGGGAGAGGAGGGGAGAGGAGGGGAAAGGAGGGAAGGGGAGATTTTATCTAAGCGTGGCAAAAAACACATTTTCCTCATCAGCACATAGAACATTCTGCAGGATAAACCACATCTTAGGCCATAAAACAAGTCTCAACAAGTTCAAAAAGTCAAAATTGTATCAAGTATATTTTCTGAACACAATGGAATAAAACTAGAAATCAATAACCAGAGGAACTTTGAAAATTGTATAAATTCATGGAAATTAAACATGTTCCTCAATGTACAATGAGTCAATGCAGAAATTAAAAAAGAAATTCTAAAAAGTTTTTGAAACAACTGAAAATGGAAACACACATACCAGAACCCATGGGATACAGCAAAAACAGTACTAATAAGAATGTTTCTAGCAATAAACACCTATATCAGAAAAAATAGAAAGACTTCAAATAAACAACCTAATGATGTACCTCAAGGAACTAGAAAAGCAAGAACAAACTAAACCCCAAATTAGTAGAAAAAAATAATAATAAAGATCTGAGCAGAAATAAATGAAATTGAGAGCAATGTATACAAAAGATCAACAAAATTTGAAGTTGGTTTTTTGAAAAGATAAACAAAATAAGCAAAACTTTAGCTAGACTAAGAAAAAAAGAGATGATCCAAATAAAATCAGAGACGAAAAAGGAAACATTAAAACTGATAGCACAGAAATACAAAAGATCATTAGACTCTTATGAATAACGATATGCCAACAAATTGGAAAACCTAGAAGAAATGGATATATTTCTGGACATACACAACAAGATTGAACCATGAAGAAATAGAAAACTTGAACAGCAGAATAATTAATAATGAGAAATTCAACAACACATTAAAAAGATCACTCACCATGATCAAGTGGGATTCATCCCAGTGATGAATCCCAGTTCAACATATATAAACCAATATACATGATATATCATCACATCAACAGAGTGAAGGACAAAAACCATGATCTGTTCAATAGCTGCTGAAAAAGTACTTGAAAAAATTCGATATCTCTTTATGATTAAAAAAAAAACCTAAACAATTTGGATATAGAAGGAGCATACCTCAACAAGATAAAAGCCATATATAACAAGCCCACAGCTAATATCAAACAAATGGGGAAAAATTTAAAGCCTTTCAAAAAGTTTAGGAAGAGAGCAAGGATGCCTACTTCCAACACTTTTATTCAACATAGTACTGGAAGTCCTGGCCAGAGCAATTAGGCAAGATTAAAAAAGAAAGATCATCCAAGTTGGAAAGGAAGCAGTCAAATTATCCTTGTTTGCAAACAACATTATTTTATATTTGAAAAAACCTAAAGACTCCCTTGAAAAATTATTAGAATGGGTAAATGAATTTAGTCAAGTTGGACTATACAAAATCAACCTACAAATATCTGTAGCATTCCTGTAAGCTAATAGTGATCAATCTGAAAAACAAATCAGAATGTAAACCTCACTTACAATAACTTCAAACCAAAAAATACCTAGTAATAAATTTAACCAAAGAAGTGAAAGATCTGATGAGAGAAATTGAAGAGGACACAAAATAATGGAATAATCCCATGCTCAAGTATTGGAAGAATAAATATTATTAAAATGTGCATACTACCCAAAGTAATCTACAGTTTCAATACAATCTTATCAAAATAAGAATGATATTCTTCACAGAAATAGGAACCTCAATCCCAACATTTATATGGAATCACAAGAGACACGAATTAGCTAAAGCAATCTTGGGGGGAAAAAAAGCTAGAGGGATCACACTACCTCATTTCAGATTATACTACAAAGCTATCATAACCAAAACAGCATGGTACTGGCATAAAAATAGACACATAAGCCAATGGAATAAAATAGAGAATGCAGAAGTAAATTCACATACTTACAGCCAACTCATTTTTGATAAAGGTGCTAAAAATATACATTGAGGAAAGTATAGTCTCTTTAATAAATACTGATAGGAAAACTGGATATTCATATGCAGAATGAAGCTAGATGCCCATCTTTTACCACATAAAAAATCAATACAAAATGGATTAAACAATTAATTGTAAGATCTGAAACTATGAAACTACTAGAAGAAAACGTTGGGAAACACTACAGGACATCAGTCTAGAGAAGGAGTTTTTGGGTAAGCTCTTAAAAGCACAGGAAACAAAAGCAAAAATAGACAAAAGGGATTATATAAAGCTAAAAAGCATCTGCACAGCAAAGGAAACAATTAACCAAGTGAAGAGACAACCTATACAGTGGGAGAAAAATATTTGCAAACTATTCATCCAAGGTGTTAATAACCAGAATATATAAGACACTCAAATAACTCAACAGCAACAAAAGTAAATAAATAATCCAATTTTAAAATGGGCAAAAGACCGGAATAAACAGTTTTCAAAAGAAAACATACAAATGGCCAACAAGTATATGGAAAAAATGCTCAACATCACTAATCATCAGGGAAATGAAATTCAACACCACAATGAGATATCATGTTACACCAGTTAGAACGGCTATTATCAAAAAGACAAAAAAATAACAATTGCTGTTGAGGATGCAGAGAAAGAAGAACACTCATATGCTATTGGTTGGGAAGTAAAGTAATACAGCCATTATGAGAAACAGTAGGGAAGTTCCTCAAAAAGCTAAAAATAGAACTACTATATAATTCAGGAATCCCATTGCTGAGTATATAATCAAAAAAAAGGAAATTAGTATATAGAAAAAATATTTGCACTCCCATGTTAATTAAAGCATTATTCACAATAGCTAAGATTGGAATTAATCTAAGAGTCCATCGATGAATGAATGAAGAAAACATGGTATGTATACATAATGGAAAATTATTTGGCCATAAAAAATAATGAAATCTCATTATTTGCAGCAACATGGATTGAATTGGAAGTCATTATTTTATATGAAATAAGCTAGTCACAGAAAGACAAATATTACATGTTATCACTTATATGTGGGAACTAAAAAAGTGGATCTCATGGAAGTACAGAGTAGAATGGTGTTTACCAGAGGCTGGGAAGGGACGGTGATGGGGGGAATATGGAAAAGTTGGTTAATGGAGTTTATCCCAGTAATGCCAGGTAGGTTTCTCATTTGAAAAATTGATAAATATTATTTACGATGTTGGCAAACTAAGAAGGGAAAACTATGATCATCTATTTAAATTTTTTAAAAAAACCTTTTTATAAGATCCAAAATGAAATATCTATTCCTGATTTTAAACAAAAATATCTCATCAAATTGGGAATAGAAAGAAACATCCTCAGCCTGATGAAGTAGATCTTTGAAAAATCTATAGCTAACAGCATCCATAATTGTGAAAGACTAAATACTTTCCCCCAAAGATGAGGATCAATACAGTGATGTAGTCTGTAACACTTCTATTCAACATTGTTCTGGAGGTTCTACCCAATATAATAGGCAAGAAAAACAAATGAAAGTAATCCAGATCAGAAAGAAAGAACAAAATAACTTTTATTCACAGATGACATGACATCTATCTGGAAGATTCTATGGAATATATTAAACAGTTATAAACTAATAAGTGAATTTAACAGGTTGCAAGATATGAGACCAACATATAAAAATCAATTGTCTTTTGATATACTACCCATTAAAAAATGGGAAATGATATTAAGAAAACAATGTCATTTATAAATAAGTAGCATACATAATATTTAAACACTGAGAGGTAAACCTAACAAGGTATATGCAATGTACAACATACAATGAAACTACAAAATGTTGCTGAGAGAAATTAAAAGTGACTTAGAGAGTTACACCATATCCATGACTGACAAAGAAGTCTAGAATTCATACAGAAACTCAAAGAACCTGGAATAGCCAAATCAACTTCAGGAAAAAAGAACATAGCTGGTGAACTGCACTACCTGACTTTAAGACATTACAAAGCTATAGTAATCAAGATAGTGCAGTATTGGTGTCAAGACTGACAGATAAACGGAACACAATAGAGAGTACAGAAATAGATCCATACACACGGTCAACTGATTTTCAATGAAGAAGCAAAGACAATTAAGTGGAGATCAAAAATTGGTGCTAGAAAAATCAGATATCCATATGCAAAATATGAAATTTGATCTATACATCACATCATAGACCTAAATTTAGTATATAAAGCTTTAAAATTTCTAGAAGAAAGCACAGAAGAAAAGTCCTGTGATGTGAAGTTAGGCAAATATTTCTTAGACAAAATATCATATCAAAAAATTCATTTTTTAAAGTAATAAACTTTATTAAAAAAAACCTTTTGCTTCTCCAAAATTATTGTTAAGGGAATGAAAAGAGAAGCCACAGACTGGTAGAAAATATTTGCAAATCATATATCTGACAAAATACTTGTATCCAGAATATATGGGAACTTCAAAACTCAGTAACAAACAGCTCAATTAAAAACAAACTGGCAAAAGATTTGAAGGAAAAAAATTACACTACCAAAGAAGATATATGGATGATAGATAAGTACACAAAAAGATGCTTAACATTATTGTTCATTAGGGAAATGCAAAACAAGGCCTCAGTAAGATGCCACTCCACACTTCTTAGAATGCCTAAAATTAAAATGATTGATGGTATCAAGTGTTGGCAAGAATGTAGAACAACCGCAACTCTCATGTACTGCTGGTGGGAATGTAAAACTGCAGTCACTTTGGTAAACAGTTTGCCAGTTTCTTAAAGAGTTATACATACACTTACCACAGCACCCAGCCATGTCACTTCTACATATTCACTTCTAGGTATAAACAAATCATGATTAATCAATGTCAGCCAAGATGGCCGAATAGGAACAGCTCCGGTCTACAACTCCCAGCGTGAGTGACGCAGAAGACGGGTGATTTCTGCATTTCCATCTGAGGTACCGGGTTCATCTCACTTGGGAGAGCCAGACAGTGGGCGCAGGTCAGTGGGGGCATGCACCGTGCGCGAGCCGAAGCAGGGAGAGGCATTGCCTCACTTGGGAAGCGCAAGGGGTCAGGGAGTTCCCTTTCCGAGTCAAAGAAAGGGGTGACAGACGCACCTGGAAAATCGGGTCACTCCCACCCGAATACTGCGCGTTTCCGACCGGCTTAAAAAACGGTGCACCACGAGATTATATCCCGCACCTGGCTCGGAGGGTCCTACGCCCACGGAGTCTCGCTGATTGCTAGCACAGCAGTCTGAGATCAAACTGCAAGGTGGCAGCGAGGCTGGGGGAGGGGCGCCCGCCATTGCCCAGGCTTGCTTAAGTAAACAAAGCAGCCAGGAAGCTCGAACTGGGTGGAGCCCACCACAGCTCAAGGAGGCCTGCCTGTCTCTGTAGGCTCCACCTCTGGGGGCAGGGCACAGACAAACAAAAAGACAGCAGTAACTTCTGCAGACTTAAATGTCCCTGTCTGACAGCTTTGAAGAGAGCAGTGGTTCTCCCAGCACACAGCTGGAGATCTGAGAACGGGCAGACTGCCTCCTCAAGTGGGTCCCTGACCCCCGAGCAGCCTTACTGGGAGGCACCCCCCAGCAAGGGCACACTGACACCTCACACGGCCGGCTACTCCAACAGACCTGCAGCTGAGGGCCCTGTCTGTTAGAAGGAAAACTAACAAACAGAAAGGACATCCACACCAAAAACCCATCTGTACATCACCATCATCAAAGACCAAAAGTAGATAAAACCACAAAGATGGGGAAAAAACAGAACAGAAAAACTGGAAACTCTAACAAGCAGAGCACCTCTCCTCCTCCAAAGGAACGCAGTTCCTCACCAGCAACGGAACAAAGCTGGATGGAGAATGACTTTGACGAGCTGAGAGAAGAAGGCTTCAGACGATCAAATTACTCTGAGCTACGGGAGGACATTCAAACCAAAGGAAAAGAAGTTGAAAACTTTGAAAAAAATTTAGAAGAATATATAACTAGAATAACCAATACAGAGAAGTGCTTAAAGGAGCTGATGGAGCTGAAAACCAAGGCTCAAGAACTACGTGAAGAATGCAGAAGCCTCAGGAGCCGATGCGATCAACTGGAAGAAAGGATATCAGCAATGGAAGATGAAATGAATGAAATGAAGCGAGAAGGGAAGTTTAGAGAAAAAAGAATAAAAAGAAATGAGCAAAGCCTCCAAGAAATATGGGACTATGTGAAAAGACCAAATCTACGTCTGATTGGTGTACCTGAAAGTGATGGGGACAATGGAACCAAGTTGGAAAACACTCTCCAGGATATTATCCAGGAGAACATCCCCAATCTAGCAAGGCAGGCCAACGTTCAGATTCAGGAAATACAGAGAACGCCACAAAGATACTCCTCGAGAAGAGCAACTCCAAGACACATAATTGTCAGATTCACCAAAGTTGAAATGAAGGAAAAAATGTTAAGGGCAGCCAGAGAGAAAGGTCGGGTTACCCTCAAAGGGAAGCCCATCAGACTAACAGCGGATCTCTCGGCAGAAACCCTACAAGCCAGAAGAGAGTGGGGGCCAATATTCAACATTCTTAAAGAAAAGAATTTTCAACCCGGAATTTCATATCCAGCCAAACTAAGCTTCATAAGCGAAGGAGAAATAAAATACTTTACAGACAAGCAAATGCTGAGAGATTTTGTCACCACCAGGCCTGCCTTACAAGAGCTCCTGAAGGAAGCACTAAACATGGAAAGGAACAACCGGTACCAGCTGCTGCAAAATCATGCCAAAATGTAAAGACCATCGAGACTAGGAAGAAACTGCATCAACTAACCAGCAAAAGAACCAGCTAACATCATAATGACAGGATCAAATTCACACATAACAATATTAACTTTGAATGTAAATGGACTAAATGCTCCAATTAAAAGACAAAGACTGGCAAATTGGATAAAGAGTCAAGACCCATCAGTGTGCTGTATTCAGGAAACCCATCGCACATGCAGAGACACACATAGGCTCAAAATAAAAGGATGGAGGAAGATCTACCTAGCAAATGGAAAACAAAAAAAATGCAGGGGTTGCAATCCTAGTCTCTGATAAAACAGACTTTAAACCAACAAAGATCAAAAGACACAAAGAAGGCCATTACATAATGGTAAAGGGATCAATTCAACAAGAAGAGCTAACTGTCCTAAATATATATGCACCCAATACAGGAGCACCCAGATTCATAAAGCAAGTCCTGAGTGACCTACAAAGAGACTTAGACTCCCACACATTAATAATGGGAGACTTTAACACCCCACTGTCAACATTAGACAGATCAACGAGACAGAAAGTCAACAAGGATACCCAGAAATTGAATTCAGCTCTGCACCAAGCGGACCTAATAGACATCTTCAGAACTCTCCACCCCAAATCAACAGAATATACATTTTTTTCAGCACCGCACCACACCTATTCCAAAATTGACCACATACTTGGAAGTAAAGCTCTCCTCAGCAAATGTAAAAGAACAGAGATTATAACAAACTATCTCTCAGACCACAGTGCAATCAAACTAGAACTCAGGATTAAGAAACTCACTCAAAACCACTCAACTACATGGAAACTGAACAACCTGCTCCTGAATGACTACTGGGTACATAACGAAATGAAGGCAGAAATAAAGATGTTCTTTGAAACCAATGAGAACAAAGACACAACATACCAGAATCTCTAGGACGCATTCAAAGCAGTGTGTAGAGGGAAATTTATAGCATTTAATGCCCACAAGAGAAAGCAGGAAAGATCCAAAATTGACACCCTAACATCACAATTAAAAGAACTAGAAAAGCAAGAGCAAACACATTCAAAAGCTAGCAGAAGGTAAGAAATAACTAAAATCAGAGCAGAACTGAAGGAGATAGAGACACAAAAAACCCTTCAAAAAATTAATGAATCCAGGAGCTGGTTTTTTGAAAGGATCAACAAAATTGATAGACCGCTAGCAAGACTAATAAAGAAAAAAAGAGAGAAGAATCAAATAGACACAATAAAAAATGATAAAGGGGATATCACCACCAATCCCACAGAAATACAAACTACCATCAGAGAATACTACAAACACCTCTACACAAATAAACTAGAAAATCTAGAAGAAATGGATAAATTCCTCGACACATACACTCTCCCAAGACTAAACCAGGAAGAAGTTGAATCTCTGAATAGACCAATAACAGGATCTGAAATTGTGGCAATAATCAATGGCTTACCAACCAAAAAGAGTCCAGGACCAGATGGATTCACAGCCGAATTCTACCAGAGGTACAAGGAGGAGCTGGTACCATTCCTTCTGAAACTATTCCAATCAGTAGAAAAAGAGGGAATCCTCCCTAACTCATTTTATGAAGCCAGCATCATTCTGATACCAAAGCCGGGCAGAGACACAACCAAAAAAGAGAACTTTAGACCAATATCCTTGATGAACGTTGATGCAAAAATCCTCAATAAAATACTGGCAAAACGAATCCAGCAGCACATCAAAAAACTTATCCACCACGATCAAGTGGGCTTCATCCCTGGGATGCAAGGCTGGTTCAACATACGCAAATCAATAAATGTAATCCAGCACATAAACAGAGCCAAAGCCAAAAACCACATGATTCTCTCAATAGATGCAGAAAAAGCCTTTGACAAAAATTCAACAACCCTTCATGCTAAAAACTCTCAATAAATTAGGTATTGATGGGACGTATTTCAAAATAATAAGAGCTATCTATGACAAACCCACAGCCAATATCATACTGAATGGGCAAAAACTGGAAGCATTCCCTTTGAAAACTGGCACAAGACAGGGATGCCCTCTCTCACCACTCCTATTCAACATAGTGTTGGAAGTTCTGGCCAGGGCAATTAGGCAGGAGAAGGAAATAAAGGGTATTCAATTAGGAAAAGAGGAAGTCAAATTGTCCCTGTTTGCAGATGACATGATTGTATATCTAGAAAACCCCATTGTCTCAGCCCAAAATCTCCTTAAGCTGATAAGCAACTTCAGCAAAGTCTCAGGATACAAAATCAATGTACAAAAATCACAAGCATTCTTATACACCAACAACAGACAAACAGAGAGCCAAATCATGGGTGAAATCCCATTCACAATTGCTTCAAAGAGAATAAAATACCTAGGAATCCAACTTACAAGGGATGTGAAGGACCTCTTCAAGGAGAACTACAAACCACTGCTCAATGAAATAAGAGGATACAAACGAATGGAAGAACATTCCATGCTCATGGGTAGGAAGAATCAATATCGTGAAAATGGCCATACTGCCCAAGGTAATTTACAGATTCAATGCCATCCCCATCAAGCTACCAATGACTTTCTTCACAGGATTGGAAAAAACTACTTTAAAGTTCATATGGAACCAAAAAAGAGCCCGCATCATCAAGTCAATCCTAAGCCAGAAGAACAAAGCTGGAGGCATCACACTACCAGACTTCAAACTATACTACAAGGCTACAGTAACCAAAACAGCATGGTACTGGTACCAAAACAGAGATGTAGATCAATGGAACAGAACAGAGCCCTCAGAAATAACGCCGCATATCTACAACTATCTGATCTTTGACAAACCTGAGAAAAACAAGCAATGGGGAAAGGATTCCCTATTTAACAAATGGTGCTGGGAAAACTGGCTAGCCATATGTAGATAGCTGAAACTGGATCCCTTCCTTACACCTTATACAAAAATCAATTCAAGATGGATTAAAGACTTAAACGTTAGACCTAAAACCATAAAAACCCTAGAAGAAAACCTAGGCATTACCATTCAGGACATAGGCATGGGCAAGGACTTCATGTATAAAACACCAAAAGCAATGGCAACAAAAGCCAAAATTGACAAATGGGATCTAATTAAACTAAAGAGCTTCTGCACAGCAAAAGAAACTACCATCAGAGTGAACAGGCAACCTACAGAATGGGAGAAAATTTTCGCAACCTACTCATCTGACAAAGGGCTAATATCCAGAATCTACAATGAACTCCAACAAATTTACAAGACAAAACCAAACAACCCCATCAACAAGTGGGCAAAGGATATGAACAGACACTTCTCAAAAGAAGACATTTATGCAGCCAAAAAACACATGAAAAAATGCTCATCATCACTGGCCATCAGAGAAATGCAAATCAAAACCACAATGAGATACCATCTCACACCAGTTAGAATGGCAATCATTAAAAAGTCAGGAAACAACAGGTGCTGGAGAGGATGTGGAGAAATAGGAACACTTTTACACTGTTGGTGGGACTGTAAACTAGTTCAACCATTGTGGAAGTCAGTGTGGCGATTCCTCAGGGATCTAGAACTAGAAATACCATTTGACCCAGCCATCCCATTACTGGGTATATGCCCAAAGGACTATAAATCATGCTGCTATAAAGACACATGCACACGTATGTTTATTGCGGCATTATTCACAATAGCAAAGACTTGGAACCAACCCAAATGTCCAACAATGATAGACTGGATTAAGAAAATGTGGCACATACACAACATGGAATACTATGCAGCCATAAAAAATGAGTTCATGTCCTTTGTAGGGACATGGATGAAATTGGAAATCATCATTCTCAGTAAACTATCGCAAGAACAAAAAACCAAACACCGCATATTCTCACTCATAGGTGGGAATTGAACAATGAGATCACATGGACACAGGAAGGGGAATATCACACTCTGGGGACTGTTGTGGGGTGGGAGGAGGGGGAAGGGATAGCATTGGGAGATATACCTAATGCTAGATGACGAGTTAGTGGGTGCAGCGCACCAGCATGGCACATGTATACATATGTAACTAACCTGCACAGTGTGCACATGTACCCTAAAACTTAAAGTATAATAAAAAAAAAGGAAAAAAAATTAATTTATCTTGCTTAACCCAAAAAAAAAAAAATCGTGATTAGGTAAATGATGGATTCCATACAATGGAATACTACTCAGCAATAAAAAGGAATGAACTAATGATACACACAACAATATGGATCAATCTCAAAATAATTAAGCTGAGTCAAAGAAGCCAGACAAAAAAGGGTACATTCTTTACATGTATGAATTTATATAAAATTCCAGAACATGCAAAGAAATCTATACTGACACAAAGCAGATTAGTGGTTGCCTAGCGATGGAGATGGGGCAGGGAAGGGGAGGAGGAGGGAGCTGAGGAAACTTTGGGGGGTGCTGGATATGCTTATGCTTATTATCTAATTGTGGTGATCGTTTCACAAGTTCATTCATCTTCAAACATCGAATCTTACCTTCTAACATGGACAATTTTTGGCATATCTATTATGCCTCAATAAAGCTGTTAAAAAGAGAGAAAAGACTTGGCTCATTCAAAATTAAGGGTGAAATGTAGATCAGAAATGACTCCCAAGGTTAGGCAAGCAGAAGTCAGTTTTTGACCTTTCCCAGGACACTAAAAGAAAAGAGATATTCAAGAAGTAAGTGATTTTAAAAGTATTAAAGGGCTCAGAAATGTCATCCCAAATATGATGGAGAAAGGCAAGTAATTTGGCATTTTTCAGGCACCAGCGATTTTCAGGGACACCATCTGATAAGAGGGATATGAAAGCAAGTTAAAATTAGCTTGAGAAATAAATGGAATTATAGAAGCAGATATGGTTAAAAACACCTTGATAAGGGGTTAAAAGAAATGGAATTAGGGAATACAGAATCCAGGACTTTGAAGGCGATGTACAGCCGCAGGAGGGATTTTCTGAGATGTGAATACCTGAGCATGTTTGAGGGCGGAGAGGAAGGAGCAGTGGAGAGGCACACGAGAAGGCAAAAGAAAAAAAAGAAGAGATGAAGCAAAGTTCTAAGTAGATAGGTGGATATGGATCTAAGAGTAAAAGTGGATCAGGACACCACAGAAAAGAGGAAACACTTGCCTTCCATTCAGAAATAAAAGAAAACAGTATTTATTTATTTATTTATTTATTTTTATTTTATTTATTTATTTATTTATTTTGAGATAGAGTCTCGTTCTGTCGCCCAGGCTGGAGTGCGGCGGTGCCATCTCGGCTCACTGCAAGCTCCGCCTCCCGGGCTCACCCCATTCTCCTGCCTCAGCCTCCAGAGTAGCTGGGACTACAGGCGCCCACCACCACGCCCGGCTAATTTTTGTATTTTTAGTAGAGACGGGGTTTCACCATGTTAGCCAGGATTGTCTCAATCTCCTGCCTCGTGATCCACCCGCCTCGGCCTCCCAAAGTGCTGGGATTACAGGCGTGAGCCACTGCGCCCGGCCGAAAACATTTTAAAAAGAAAGATGTATAGAAATGTAGGGTAAATGTGTCGGAGGAAAAGAAGAATTTGTGAAGGGGCTCTGTCCATATAATGAGAGTTTCTATCTTATCAGTGAAAAAGCAAGCCAAGACAATTTGCTGAATTGTGCTAGGAACTTTAGAAGAGGCCTAGAAATGTAGAATCATTTCTATGGGAACACCCAGAGATAAGTAAAAGTTTGGGGGTGTTATATTGAAGGCTCAACCAAGTTTATAACAAAAATTATTATAAAGCCGATAAACAAAGAAATGGGATTTTTTTTTTTTTATTCTAGAAGCAAAAGCAGAGAAAACAAATGTTTGGTTCCACCAGGAGTTGGAAGTTAGCCAAGTGGGTTCAGCCAAAGGTCAAGAAGGAGACAGAATTGCAGCTGCTTCTTAAAGTGTATTTGAAATGGTGCCTCAGTACTGACACATCCATCCACTCACTGAAAAAAAATAAAAATACTCATTTAGGATCTGGTAGAACTTGTGTTGTGGAGCATGTAAGAACAACTAACTATCTTCAATGAAGGTTAGCAGTATATAATCACTGGGAGAATAAATACATTTATTGATTCCTATGCTTTGTTGTGGACATTAGGCTGCAATTGAATCACAGTATCTTAGAACCAGAAGAGATTTTGAGGGTTATAAATTTCAACACTCTCATTTTATTGATGAAGAAACAGACACAGAAAAGTCTGAAGATTTTTCCAAAAGTAATAGGAAATAGAATAACATCTTTCTGGCTCCCAGTCAGTATTTTAGCCATTCACCAAACCTCTTTTTCAAACTTTCTGATCAACATTTAAAGGTATTTATATTGCACATTATACCTGAAAATACCAAAACAAGTCTGTTATTTTATGAAATAATTTTGATTAGGGAAACTCTGCTCTAACAGTGAGTTTTAAAATATGCTAGCCATGGCTATATCACCTACTATTTTCCAAGGTAGTTAAATTAAGTGTGTTTTAAATTCGAGACAACACCAGTATTAGACTATACTTATTCCTAGCATATTCCAGCTCTGATACTGTTTTTTTTATATTTACAATTGAAACTATAAGCCTATTTTAAATAGTGCTATTTTACTGCCTATTGTTTCCATTTTCTAACCAATTTCCTAATTAAAGTAAATGCCATATCAGGATCTGGTTTGAACTAGACACTTTGAGATGATAACAACAAAAAAGAAGAGCGGGAAGTTATTCCCAAATGGGAACATGAGATTATTGTAATTACTCCACCCTTACCCAAAGGATAAACTCCAAACTCATTATGATAATATGCAAAAAGCCTTTCATGACCTGACCTTATGACCCCTTTAGTCTCATCTCCACTTTCTCTCTGTTCCAGTCATATTTAATTACTTGCCACTCCTTCATGTGCTCAACTCTTGTATTTTTGTGGAGCAAGCCATTCCCCACCTGGGTCACAGCATAATAATCCCCATTCGTCCTTTAAGATCAAAGGCTTTCTGTGATACCTTGCCTGAGCTCCATGACACCTCTGGGAAGGGTAGACTACTTCCTATTTTGTGCACCTAGTTCTTTTATGAAAGCCACTAATATTCTTTCTTCCTTTCTTTTAGTATATTGATGTGTATGAAATTGTGATTCCTTAGAGGTCAAGAGCTATGTCTTATTCACCTTTAGTTTCATAACACAATAACACAGTTCCTGGCCCACAGAAAGTGCTTAACAACTGTTGAAAGAACAGATGATTGAATTAATGAGCATGTCATAAAGTTCTAGTGGATGAGAGAATGAAATGAGCAGAATGTTAAGGTTGAGAAGGTGAGTCAGCATGGTAAACTACGTAGCCTTATTTCATCCCGTGTCTGAGCTTTAATCTTCTAATTCAAATTCCATTAATATATAGAAGTCTTTGGCTTTGAAATATTAACCAGCAATAAAACCACCCTCTGGCACCACTGGATCTCACAGTGGGAGAATAGGGAATCAGCTGCCTGTAGAATTCTTTTTAAAATTAAATTTTCAATTAAAAGAGTAGGGAATTTCCATTTAAATAATTTTTGTTTTGCTAGAAGCCTGCAACCTAGAATGAATCAGTCTCAAAAATAAATAAATACCATCAATAATTTGAATTAGGAAGCTTCAATCCCAACTACATAAAGCTGCTTATCCTCTAGGAGAAGCTTTTGGTTTCCTCTACCAGTCAGTGTTTTACCTCACTATTCCAGAGCTCTGTAGGTCTTATCTTAGGAGGATCTTTGACTCCTTAAATACACATCAGATAAGCTTCAGAGCTGGACTGGTCTTTAGAGATACCTAGATCTATCCCTTCATCTTTACAGATGAAGAAATTGAAACCCAGAGAAGGCAAGTGCCCAAAATCATATTCCCTGCAAAGCCAAGCCTTTAACCTCACTCCTAGACCTTGTCCTCAATCCATCAAATGTAAAGTCAAAAGAAGACCAATGCAAATAAGGCAGTATGTACATCAAACCCAAAACACTACTGAACTCTGCCATTGTTGGATAACTTGCATCACCAGAAATGCTCTCAATGTTCCATCAGTCATTTTTCAAGAAGCTAGTTTGAACAAAAAATCTCACCCTTTACCATTTGTGCTACTAACATGCTTCTTTGTCCCACTCCTTTACTCAGTCTTCTCTAAAAAGGGGGACACTTCATGCTTCGTTCCCATTTACAAACTGAGAAATGACTCAATAAACCTTATAGCCCTTTGGTCTATAAAGTACTCGCTTTATATGAAATAATCACCATTCTTTTAACTTCACCACTCTTGAGTCTACCATCCTCCTTCCCGCTTTAAGGTGGTAATTATAGTAATGACCTCACCATCAGGTATTTCTTGGGAATTAATGATCAACTGAGGTTAATGGCCCACAGAATAGCCATGGTCCATCAACTCCACCCAGCCTGTCATTAATCCCCAGGAAATGTCTTGCTTCCCAATTGTTATGGCTTCATTTAGACTCTTTTCATTTTCATCAAGCCTTACAATATTGCTACATCCACCAAGAAGCTTTGTGTTGTATTTTATTAGCCTATGTTCTAATGGTTCAGCCAGAGTGGTTTCCCTAACTGCTGATTAAATAAAACTAGAATGTACCTTATTAAAAGTTACCTTAAAACCCATTAAACATCTCTAGACACTTTAATATTTTACACATTTTTATATAACTTTTAAATCAACAACTGGGTTAGGGTACTGTGTCCTTAAGGATACAGCCCTCAACACTCCCTCCAATTCACCCTTAGCATGCTCCTTTCTTCGCCTCACAGAATAAATCTAATCACTATTTTTACAAGTTACTCTCCTGGGCTCAAAGCAGTTTTTTTTTTCTTTTTTTTTCATTATTATTATTATACTTTAAGTTTTAGGGTACATGTGCACAATGTGCAGGTTAGTTACATATGTATACATGCGCCATGCTGGTGTGCTGCATCCATTAACTCATCATTTAGCATTAGGTATATCTCCTAAAGCTATCCCTCCCCGCTCCCCCCACCCCACAACAGTCCCCAGAGTGTGATGTTCCCCTTCCTGTGCAGTTTTTAAACACTAACTGATCCTTATATCCCTTACAAGCAGTTTGCAGACATTAAACAGCCCACACTGTTCCCACCTCTTTTACTTGCTTAACATAAAATGCTCATTTTACTCAGAGTTTCACAAAGCTTCGCTGGCCCTTTTTTTGTTTTATCTCCTTCTTTGGTGTGATGAATGGCGCTATAGTAAAGTTACGGAAAGTAGGAGTAGAAGGCATGGAGAGAGAGGTCTAGGGGCAGCATTTAACAAACCAGAACTCTTTCAGCATCAAAGTCAATTTAAAAAAAAAAAAAAAAGTACAACCAGGTTCCTACTGTGAGAAAAAAATATGTATTATCAACAAATAGTACTTAATAAAAATAAAGGTAAGGGCATCTGTATTGTCATCTTTTCTTCTGAATGTAAAGCATAAGGAGGAAAGTCTGGGGGCGGGGGTAGAGGAGAAGACCAATGCCACCTGTTAATTCTAGAAGTTATTTTGATACAATTAAAATGCAATAACAAATATTGAGGGATTCAAAAACAAACTGAAGGTGACATACAGAGGCATCAAGAGCACCCAGGAGACAAGACCTTTAGTCTTAGATCTGTCATTTATGATCTATATGACAAGTTATTTATTCTCTTTGGGTCTCAGCCTCCTCATCTAGAAAATAAGATGTTACACTAAATGTCGTCTTAGTTTCTTTTCAACAATAATATTTTATAAGTCTCTGAATTCATCTAGTAACTAACAGTCATAATAGAATTTGATTATATATGACATGCATTTTTTCAAAATATTTATGTTTTTTACTCCAAACTCATGTATTGACACATATATAGTCATATATATACACATATATGTATACATATATACATATACATACACATATATATCTATCTAATACATATATACATATATATGTATTAGACATATACATATGTCTAATATTTGTTTCCCAAATATTAGAACACATACTACTAGGTAAACAACGTATAATATACAGGTAATAGCACAGTGTTAATTTTTTTAAAAATGGTGATGGAAACATGTGACCCCTGCTCCCATGCAAAGTAGCTTAGACTCTAGCAGAGCAATCAGAAAATAATATCAGTAATGGCAAATGGAGATAAGTAAGAAGTAAAGGGGATAAAAACAGAGAATAAAGTGGGGCAGGAGGTAGCTGAGAGGCTGAGACAAAAAGCAGAAAAAAACTAGTCGTGTATTTAAGCTTAGGGTAGCTGGACCACTGGGTTAGAAAGCAAGAAGAAGGCAGGCAGGGTGGAGTTAAATTAGACCTCATAGTTCATAGCAAAGAATTTTGCTTTTATTTTAAGTAAAATGGGCACCTACTGGAAACTTAATTAATTTTTGAAAGTTAATTTTTGACCTTTCCAAGGAGAATATAAAAATTGTTTTATTTAACCAGAACATTAGAAGCAAAAGGTATTTCAGGTCTATCAAAGTTTGAACACAACTTTTAAAAATCACATTAAAAATATACATGTCAATATCTACATTAGATAAATGGCTACAATTTATTGAGTTATACTCCATCCTCTATGTCAAATTTGTACTTACATACAGAAGCCCCTGGTTTTTTACCTCCAAGAGGTGACAAAAGTATATAAAATATGTCACAATTTTTTGGAAAGGGTTCAGAATTCAGTTATAAGTCAAATGGATTTATCAAGAGAGAATGGAGTCAATCTGTACAGATATGCGACTAATAGAATGTTCAAAGACAAGAACAAGAACCAAACGTCAGTAAGGGCATTCATGAAGAAAAAAAGCGAACTATGTTTGGGCAGTAAAATCTCACAAGTGACAGCAATAAAGGAGCTTACTTTGGGTTTCAGGAACTGTTTGGTATGCTCCAGACTACTATGTGAGATAGAATCTTCCAAGGGAATTGATAAAAGCTTCAGCATTTGGGACTTTTAAACCCTGACTGGATAGCATATTAGGAGGGATTTTCAAGGAATCAGTTCTGCACTGGGAAGAAACTGAGCTCCATGACATGTTTCATCCTTCTACTTCTCTACTGTTCAATAACATTTTAAAGAATGGGGGAGGGGAGATTCTTCGGAATTCTTTTTATCTTCACAGATATTGGGTTTTATTTTTTTCCTCTCAAGCATAACTATACTAGTACAACTAATAAAAGTGAAAAATATAACTTGTATTATACCATTGCAAATTCAGATGTGTAGTGGATAAGATGACATCAACAAAATAGATGCAATTTGCAATTGACTGGAACTTAAGTAGTCATGAGTTTTTATTGAGACTTAAGGTAAATAATTTAGCTCCTTTGCAGCTCAGATTTTTCAACTGAAAAATGGGAGGACTAGGGATAGATCTCTATACAGCATGTTTACATGTTAATCATTGGTCTATGTTTATAACATATTTGCCAATATATAACATGTTTGCAACATAAACAAGTAATAAATACATGCATTAAATCAACATATGCATACTGTTCAGTCAAAACTCTTTCCTTAGGAAATTGAAATTGGCTTAAGCAAAAAAAAGGAAATATGTTAGTCATGAGGGTAGATCCAGGCACAGCCGGATTCAGGAGCTCAAATAATGTTTTCCTGAGAAAACTTTGAGCATGAGTATAAGGGTTGGGATTGAGGTGTAGTAGTGCTGGGAAAAGGCAGAAGATATAAAGGCATTCTGAGCAAGGAAAAACAATAAAATCCATTGCAAATTCAAACATACTTTTTTACTATGGATTAGGTTTAGCTGATAGTAACAGCAACCCATGTAAGATAGAATTTGATTTCTCTTTTTCCAAACAATCTAGATGTAGGCACTCCAGAACTGGCTTAGAAGCTCCTCTGTCATCTGCAAGCCAGGCTATTTCCAACTTTCTACTCTGCCATCCATATGGCCCTTGTCTTCCTTTTCCAGGATGGAGTCCTAGCCAATATATCCATATTCCAAGCAACAGGAAGGAGGAGGGAAGAAAGGTGGCAATGGGACTCAACAGCATTCTTTGAAAGAAACTACCTGAAAGTAGTCACACTAGATTAGACTCCCATTTAATCTCTTGACCACACTCAATGGCAAGGCATGCTGGAACCTGTAGCTTTTATTCTAAGCAGGCATGTGTCACCTACAAGTTGGGGATTTTCAGAAGGAAAGTCACATATTGGAGAAAGAAACTATTTCCCATAACATTGGTATACACACTCATGTAAAACATAAGTGCTGTGATCAGTATTTTTGTCTGTGTTGTTCACAATCTTGGTTAATCCCAGATTGTGAAACAGTTCCTAAAATATAGTAGGCACTCAATAATTATTTGTTGAGAGGATGAATTAGTGAATACATGCATGCATACATAAGTGCAAGAACATCTAAAATGTGTTACAGTAGTAGAAGTATACCAAAACTCCTTCATGGATTGCAACAGCATAAAGAACAACATAAAAGCAGATTTTTCATATTCCACCGACAATATGGAAAGAATGTCACACAGGTCTGGATTGCTGTTCCAGATTCACTACTTACTAACTTTGTGAACCTCGGAGATTTATCTCATCTTGCTGACCCTGAAGATGTAAAACTGGGTCCAAAAATCTAAATGTACAGGATAATTTAATGGAGTTAAGGGATACAAAAATGCAGAATAGACTTCCCAACACATAAGAAACCCTTAGTAATTGACATTTCTTTTCCTTTTTCAATTAAATTCTGTAATCCTCTAAAAACTTTGGCCAATTACTGCAGTTCTCTCTAAGATTACCTCCAAAAGATTTCTGCTTCTGAAAGTTATCCTTGGATGGGATTGATTGGTGCTCATGGCATATAAGAGCAAATGCAGATTTTCAGCCCAAAGCTCCCTTTGGTAGATTGTTATATGCAAATATGCTAAAGTTAAAGCCCAAAAAAGAAAGCCAATAATGAGCAAAGCCTTTAAAAAGAATGTTAAGTTTTGGAACCTGACTCTGTTAATCATGGACATCTTTTTGTTCTTAGATATATTCATGTGCATAAAATAAAGTATTTATTTTAATATGAATTGCAGGTTGTCATACTTTGCTACTAAGGTAGAAAAATCTAATTTGAAGAAATAACAACAAAATGATGGAGAAATATACCATAACATATTTCCTTAAAATTACAAACACAAAATAAAACATGAAAAAAACAGCCCACCTAATTTTTAAAATCATATTTTTTTAAACTGAAATAATTTCAAAAAGAAAAAAATAGACTACCAACTAAAGTAGAGTAGCCTGATCAAGATACATTTTATCTTTGAGGAGTCATCTAAGAAAGATTTGTGGCTAAGATGATCACTAAAGGTTGAATTTACTGGAAAAGCTCATTCTGAAGTAGGTCAAGAATTCCTCCAAAGCAGTAGATACAGTTAAAAACATCCAAACTGTCAACTGCAAATCGAGTAACAGTGTTGATCCTGCAAAATTTTCTCTCTGTCACTATGAAGTGAACTAAAAAATAAATAAACAAATAAATGAATAAAAGAAAAAGAAACCAAAAAAATGGTCAACACCATGAAAACTATAAATTGCTTTTAGGATTTATATTTTTCCATCCTTCTAAAGGTAGCATTTAATAAAATAATCTGAGTCTTTCTCCAATTCAATCATAGTAAAACAGAGATTCCCAAACCCAATTTGCTATTATTTCTTCAGCGTTTTAAGCACCCTTTATCCTTACGACCAGAGTCTCATTATCAGAAAAGGTATTTACCGGTAAGCCCAATAACTATTATGAATTTTTGAAGAAAAAGAACAATGACCTGCAGCTGAAAGGTTTTCCCTCCTAAGCCACTGTGTGGACAGCCTGTACAATGACACTAATCTCTGAGAATTTTCTGGGGCCTGTATTTGTGGGGAATTTGTTTCTTCATGGAGAAGGACAGAGAGGCAGCTGGCGTTTGTTGAGCACTCCCTCTGTGCCACACGCGTTACATACATTATAGCATTTTGTCTTCAAACAACCTGGGCAAATAGAAGTTAATATTCCCATGTTACATGTGAGAAACTGATGCTCTAAAAGAAGTGGTAACTGGCTAAAGATAACCCATCTAGGAAGTGTCAGATCCTGACTCAGGCAGGTCTTGGTCTTTATTGAGACAGGCCTCTGTCTTTCCAACGAAACAGCTAAATCAGCGTAGAAAGCTGAGGAAAGGTGGGGAAAAGATACACTTTGTCAGGAAGAAGTGAAAAGCCTTCTTGTCAAACAAACTGGTCATAACCAAAGGCTTTATAAGAACCCTGGGTTAGCAAAGAACTTTTCAGTCCCCCACAAGCTCTTCTTCCTGCCATCTCATGTATCCACAGCCACCACAGATACCAAATCAAACCGTGGAATCCCAGAGATCTTCTGGGGAGCAAATATTTACAGAGACTTGACGTCAAACTTGCAACTAAGGCAATAACAAGAGTCAGATTTCATTGAGTAGGCCCTTTCCTTTCTGTGATCAGGACGGTAGTAAATACAATGGTAATAACATCTACCACTTATTGAGAGCTTACTAGGCACTGTGGTAAGGCCATTACAAGCATTATATTATTTCATCTTCAAAAAGCCTTGTGGGGTAAGAACTGTGAGTTCATTTCTCAGGTGTAGGCAATGTGGCTTAAGATGCGAAGCAGCCCAGCGGAAGTCCCACAGCTGTCCAGCCTCAGTGTGGAGACGGGAGGTCTGATCTGTTGGACACCCGAATCCACATATAGGGGTGCTGGGTGCCTCAACCACTACTTGATCCCCTGTGCCACTTCACCCCACCTTCTCCCAAGGATGGGTTTATTCAGGCTTCAGGGTGGACACCACAGAAATTGTGGACAGAAAATTTTCTCTAATTTATGCCCTTTTTCTGTAATTTATACAATGCATATAATTTATACAAAAATGTCTTCTTTCAGCATTTCCTTTTATTGAAATCAGCTTTTTTTCTCCCTTTACCACCCTTCTAAGCTCTACATAATATGTGTTCATAATATTAAAAAGTCTTTTTAGCCTCAAAAGTAAGGTGGAGGTTTCATTCCCAGCCTCTCTTAAGCAATATGATTTGCAAACAAAAGAGACCCACTCATGAGAGAGGCACAAATCTTTTCCTATTCACGTTCTTCATTTATCTCCTTTGGAATATTTTTCCATTGCTTTGTTAGAGGAGTGTCTTAGTATCTTTCCCCCTTTTATTGCATTAGCAAGTTCTCATTTATTTTCAGTCTTCTCTTGTTATCAGCATTGTTTCCTATCTTAAAAGCAGAGTTATAAGTTCTCTGTCCCCTTAGACTTTATAAGATAGCAAAAATATAACTCTATGGAGACTTTTGCCTTACTCATTTTTTTACTCAGCTTGCATGTCAGAATCAAATCATTCTAGTATTAATTGATTGAAAAAACTGGTATACTAATTCATAACTAGAAATAAAAGTGAATGGTTTCGACCTTGTCTTTAAGGACACATATCGTCAAATCCATTTGGGAATTCTATTTTTAAGAATGAAAATAGCCAGGTGAATTTTGTTGGTGTGTCATTTCAATAGATAGGTGTCAGAAACATAAAATACATTTGTCTCCTTTTTCACAGAGGCTCTTGGACACTGTTCTGTGTTATGAATCTCTAAAGTAATGAAGCTGGCTCCTACGTGTTTCAGTTGACAATCTCCTTCTTGCTTTCACAGTGCTTTTATTTATACACTCATCTCTATCCATCAGTGGGAGTATCCATGAAATGTCCCACAATATTTTAAATCAGAATATTGTATGACCTCAGAAAATTTAACTGACAATTTTTAAAGCACATAACTTGGGTAAAGAAAATACAACCTCTGTTATCGATAGAAGGCATTCCTGTTTATCCTGCCAGTCATCCTGATTACTTGAATCGCAGGATGACTTCCTTTTAACTGCTAAAAATATCCTCTCTAATTTGGGTTTAAAGGGGTTTCTAAATTATCTGTATTTCCTTTTCACATTTGGAGAGTAAATACTCTATAGAAACTTGAAAATTACTTATAAAATTAAAGCAATGTTTTAGTGATGTGACTTCCTTGGTTATTTATTCATTTTTTACCCAGTGAAATAAAGGATTATCAGGTATATTTCAGGCACTCCTGCAAGACTGAAAACACTTAGCAGGCAAAGTAAAAAACTGTCTTAGGTGGGAGGCTTCCAGTCACACCTTTGATATAAATCAACCAGAAAGCCTCAAGACACAACACCGGGGTATTAGCTTATTGGTTTGGAATCATCCCACTGCAGACCCTAATATAGAGCTTCTAGAAAGTCAAATATGGACAGCAGGTAGTTTCAGTTGTGGCAGATCCCAGCTGAGAAAGAGGAAAGCTTCTGTTGTTGTCACAGATAATCTGATATTTCCGGCACTGTCACCAGCTACAAAATCCATGTTAAATCCTTGCTATATAGAACAGTCATGTTTTTAGGATTACTAGGGGAAGATCAGAGCCCTAAATATTCACTAATTGGATTCCAAATAGATGATCTGATGCCTATGACTTTAGAGTACTAACACAGAGGAGAAAAATCAAATCTATCAGCCCTTTTCTCGCTGAAAGAAGAGCTTCCATTTTTCAGGCTTTAGGGAGTGTAACAGGAGTAGCAAATGCTCTTAATCAGAGGTAATTAGCAGCACTTTAAAACCCCCTTCACAGGGCTCTGGGGGATTTTTGGCCTTAGCCTGTGTGTCACCATGTTCTCTAGTCTTCAAGGGCAAAATTTTCCCCCAAAATGTATTCCATATTCCTAAATAATAGATCAAAACCTTATCCTGTGTGACTTCAAGAGTCTAACATTTCACCAAGTTCTCCTCCCCACTGAGGGCCCTCTTAAACATTCAATAAACAATCAGTGGAGCAGAAAGTCATAGTGTTCTGCACACAGTAATGGGTGCAACAAACAATTTCCCAAGAAATGAATGAAAGCAGAATTCAAAGGCTATTCTCCATCAGCCTACCTATGACACTAAAATTGCCATCCATCCCACCCCCAGGTGGAATGAATTGTTCCTCTGTGCTCCCAGGAGGCAGCTACATTCCTCTGTTGCATACAGTACCTACCACCGTATAGTGTGGAGGTTTGAGTTTATGTGTCTCTCTTTCTAAAAGACCCTTCAAAGCTTATATAATATGTTCTTCTTAGTTGAATTGACACCTAGCAGAATTCCTGGCATACCAGCGGTGCTTTATAAATGTTTATTATTTAGCTATTTTATCTTTCAAGGAAAATCCTAAGAGAGTTAGTTAGCTGATATAACAACTTCAGCCAAGCACTTATTTGTGATAGACCTAAATTGCCTCAAATTCAGTATGCTGGTAGACTAAAATATCATATTTTCCTCTCTCTTAATGCTAGAGGACTCTTAAGGTTTTTCACATTCATGGAGGAGTCAACAATATGAGTGACTAATTTATTGATCTCCTACTATGTGCTAAGTAGGAGAGAGAGGGAGGGAAAGAGAGGGGAGGGAGAGACAAAGAGAGAGAGGGACACTCATTTAAGCCACTTAACATTGTAAGGTAAATATTTAGTGTGAGAGAAAATAGACTGAAAAAAGAATGTATTGTACAAATTAGACATTTTTGAGATTCATAGTAATGTATTTTTTAAACTAACACAATCACATTTTAAATATATTTTTGCTGTTTTAAAATCTTTAAAACTGTACTTCTTGCTGAATTTTATCTCATATCAGAACATGCTTTAAGTCTATTTCCTTAATTATTCATTTTATAATCCATATTTAAGATTTTTTTTAAAGACAGAAACAAAATGTCTACGCCCCAAATAATATTTCTGTCATCCTGCCTCATATTTCACAATGGTCATGAATGAGTTTACCGTCAATCTTCCTTTACCCAAATGTAAATCCTCTAGGTCACTATTTTTCAAATGTTTAATATAGACTAAGAATCTTTTCTTCGGACAAAATCTGGCCATATCCATTTTAAAACACACACACAAAACCACATCTCCACTTCCCAGGTTGCCGCCAGGGCTTACTGTAGAGGTGGAAGCTGTTGTCCTAAGGACTAAGTTGATTCTTACTAAGAAATGAGGCTCTTAGAGAGTCTTCTGCTAAATAAACATCAAGCCCCACCTCACAGATATTTTATGCTTAAAACAAATAGCCAGGAAAAGTTTATTTGCACTGATTAGTTTATTTAAATAACTCCTATATTTCTATACCCATAAAAATAGACATTGGTCCCCTTGTATCTGTACAAGTTAAAATTAAGAAAATTGAGCAGATGATTTAAAAAGTAATGTGTTCAATTATTCTTCTAATTGTGTTTGATTTCTTGAGATTGTCGCTGTAAGTCTCACTGGGTCAAAAATACACAAAAAGTCTACAAGATACTTAAATAGCAACTCCATAGAAAATAACAATGTACTATTTTTGTTTCATTTTAGAGTTTGCAAGTTTATTTTATGTGATATTTAATTCTTGTCCAATGCCAAGCATCCTCATTTTGCAGATAAAGAACTAATGCTCTTTCGTGTGGCTGAGAAGAAAATAAAACCAGTAAGAGTAGATTCAGAATTAAATTTTTGATTCCCCAAAAGACTAGTATTTTTCTACTGTTTATTGTTAAGGAATAATTGTCAAAAGGGTATAATCACAACTTTCAGACAAACATAAAATGAATGCATGTCAAGAGTTGAATATAACTCATTAATTAATGAGGTAGCCAGCAAGATGATAAAACTGGTCCAAAGATCATTGAAGAAGCTAGGTACACATAGACAATTTAATAGATTTCTGAGCTAGATATGAAATTGGTTAGTGTCTAACAGAGCCATAAACCAAAACGTTTAGGGTTATCGGTTCTACATGACAAAAATCTACAAGTTAACCTCTGCCAATATATGATTTTAAAATAACCCAATAATTTTTTTAAAAATCAAGTTCAATTCTGTTCTGAAAGAACACCCAGTATTCTCTTTTGCTTATTTCTACGTTCCAGATAATTTTCCTGACAGTATATTATAGCTGTCTTACTATAGACAGAAGAAAACCTAAAGACACATTGCTATGAAGTTTCAAATAATGGGGAATTGGTTATGAAATGTTGAGAAATTATAGTACAGAGAAAACTTTGCCTGAAGGCATTAGGAATAGTAGCTATTAATTTTCAGTAAGGGAATCAAGAGTGTCTGCCTAAAAGGAAGAATTGCAAATAATGCTAGGCTTGGAAAATAACAGCTACAGCCATAAACCAAAAGCATGCCTCTGTGAGTCTATTTTCATTGACTATCTCACAGGGTTCCTGCTCTGTGCCAGATAAAGCAAGTATTCAGACAAAAAAAAAGACAAAGTCCCTGCCTGCCCTCCAGGTTTCACCATACAGTGGGGAAACCAGTTCTTCCATAGTAATCTGTAGCAGACAAGCTCCTGGGGAAGCACAGGTGACGGGCATTGGGCTCCTACTGGGAGAAGCAGTAAAGGGATTAAGAAAGACTTCCTGGAGGAAGCAGCTAGCCCTTGTGGTTTGAAGGAAACAGAGCAGTTATTAGTGAGAAGGGAAGGGAATTCTATGGAGAACAGATGCACAGGCTTTTGCAGTGTTCGTGTGACGTGTGACGGAGCAGGAAGTTGGGAAAGTGTAGTGAGAAACAAGGTTGAGGAGCCATCAACAGGGGGACAAGTTGGGAGCTTCTCTGAGAAGATTCCTCCTTCCTGCAGGCAAAAAGGACTATTGTAAGATTTTACCTCAGGAAATAAAATGGTTTAACTGGGTCTCTGGCTGGGGGATGAAGAATATACTTAAAGTGGAGGGACCAGAAACAGGGAAACCAGTTAGGAAACTTAATGTGGTATAAGGTAAGGAGGTGACAATGGAGATCAGGAAAGTCTGATCCAAGGCTGTACTAAGTTGGGGGAAGATGTTACGTTTCCTGCAGATATTCCCCTAACTAGCTCTTTCTTCTCACTTTGTTTTCTTCTTTGGCAACAGAAAAATAAATGGTTTTCTGCTTCATGGGATGGGTTAGCTGGAGGAGAACCATGACCAACTCCCCTGGGAGCCGAAGGCAGGAGACAGCAGGCATCCCTGAGATCTCTGGCGAACCCTACAATGGCCCCTGCTATCCATGGCAGCCACCTCTCCATCCTCACTGCTCTCATTCTGTCCTGCTGCCCGACTTGAAGCAAGATACATGTATTTCTTTGCCTCATTTTTCAGTTTTCACACTGTGGGCTCCATCAATGACTTCTAGAAGAAAGCACTTGTTCGGAAAAGATCCATCCATGTAAACAGAGCACTGGGGCTTAAGCAGATTTATTCAGCAGTTTCTCCACAATTACCCACTTCTTTCTCAGGGCCAAAATGTTGAATCAGCTTTGAACTCCAAATGAAACCCCCCACGTATTTGCTGGGTACTTCATTTTGAAAGTAAGGGAGTCAGGGAGAAAAATATTACCTCAGACTCTGCAATAAAATAAATAGAAAATATTTTTCTCTACCCGAATCCATCAGCTACCCCTGCCTTAGTTCTTCCTCAAACTTTCCTGTCTTAACATACCCTAGGAAAAAACAATTGTTAGTCTGGTTGCTGTTTGTTTTTTGTTTGTTTGTTTCTTTTGTTTTCTTTCTTCTTCTTCTACTTTGTTTTTTTTCTCATTTCAAGGTACTTAGTAAAGTCAACAACAGTTACTGATACATCTCATTTGACATATTCTCAGTCAAGGGGTGCCTGAAAATGAAAGCACAAAGGCTCAGTTGAAATATAGAAACATCCCATAGGTGCTGAGTACCTCAAAGATGCTTTCTAATTTTGTACCCTTCAACACTTGAGAACTTTAATTAAGAAAGGATATAAATATAACAAATGTGGAAGAATTCCCTGAAGTTTAAGATAGGGACCCCAAGATTATTCCAGGGATAAAAACTGTGCCTTGAAAATTCTTGATTGACTCCACTAATGAGAGGCTGAGATTTCTTCCGCATAACCCTGTGCTTGTCTCCCGATTAATTTCCTCCTGTACTTAATCTTCAGTGCATGACACTTTAACCACTAGGCTTATTATTCTAAAAATAGTATTCTAACTGTGCCATCTTAGCAGATTTATATGTGAAGATCTCATTTCTACATGATTTCCTTAGTTGTTTAAATATTAATATCAGACGTGCACAAAATGAAATAAACAACCATACTCACAGATAAGTAAATTTTCATCCAGTTCAATTTCCCAACTCCTATATGTAAAAAGACTTTCACGTATTTTCCCACTCTGAAACCTCTCTGGAATTGGTAGATATTCTTTTATGGGAACAAAGAGGAAAGTCACTATGTTTCCATCTGAGAGCAGTTGTGTATCTCTATCTATACAAACAGATCAACGTAGCTCATTCCACACCACCTTGGGCTGTGCGTTGTCAGTGTATTTTTATGACAACTTCTAAGATAAAAGTAAATTATGGAGGATTTTATCGAGAATCTAGGTTAAGAAATTTATTATGCCAGGGGAACAAGGCAAGAGTCAGGCATCAAGACAGAATCAGAGGGAACAATTTAGGTGTGGTAATAAGATGAGATTTATGTTTCAATCCTCTTTTCTCTCTTGGCAGTGTTAGGTGAATAGATACACAGAAAGACATTTCAGTTTACATAAAACCTTTACCGGGAAAATGAGACATCCTAACACCTCACTGTACTCTACTGAAAGTACAGTACTTGCTGTCAGGAATGTGGTTCCCTCAGTGTATCAGATTTTCCTAAAATTGTAACGTGATCCCCGCTATTACCACCAGCTGGAAACACTGCCCTGATTCCTGGGCACACTGCTCCCTCCCTCACGAACAGAAGACTCAAATGGCCAGAATGCAAGATGAGCTTGGCTCTTTGCCAATGTGCCCAGGAACACATTATCAATAAGAAAACCACACCGACCTTGGATTTCTCCTTTGCCAGTGCTCAAAATAGAGGTTCTTACCTCACTCTCTGTCCAGAAAAAAAAAAAAAAGTCGAAAATTACCCATATATTTTGAGGCAGCATTGTTAAATAAATTTCTGAAAAAAAAAAATCTCAGTGGCTTATTACAGCACATTCTAAAAGTTTTTCTCTTCCTCAACATCATAGCTTTTTAACCCTCATGGTTTAGGTGTGAAACAGAAAACATTTAATCATCACTTCACAAGTCTGGGAAGGCATAAACACAGGTGAATGATATTATACTGTCAATATTTTTAAAATACTGATTCTAATGAGGTTCCAGTAAGCTATTTACACTTTCTTGTGCATTGTGCAAAGACCCTTGAAATTGCAGTACTTAATTATATGACAACAATTTTAAGATGGTCAGAAAAATATCACACTCCTCTGACTTTATCCTCTTACCAACCACAACAAAATAGAGAAAAAAGATGGAATATGTGTAAATTGAAAAATCTCTTGGCTGTATATTGCCTAACACAACACATTTGCTGCTATGTATCAGTAATGCCACAAATTCATCCATGTCATCTCCAGACCTCTGGGTCATTCTTCATCCTCTCAAGTCTGTCTCCAGCCCAGGATCCAGTATTATCCTACAAATAGGATGCAATATGCACATGATGGCTCATTCAATAATGTGGCTTCTTGGTTCCTTGTCGTCTCTATCTCCAGAGACATTCTCTTGCACTCATATGCAGCCATCCACTTTATGCCAGTATTAGAGACTCTGACTCCTCTACTTCTGAAATAAATTCAGACATCTCACTCTGCCACCACAACGTTGTAACCTTCCAGCATTCTTATACATTACTACAAATAAACTGTTCTTTAGGATCTCCAAACCACATGCCAATCTTTACTCTCTATTTTTTAATCAATTTCCTATCGGTTTTATTTTCCTATGCAGGTTAGTCCCACCACCCTGCAAATGTTGTTGACCATGTCATCAATTTCCTTTTCCTATTGTCTTTCTGTCCACCCACCTGGAAAAAATACAGAAAATTCAGTGTCTATTAGACTAGCCAGATTGTTGCCAACATTAAGTAACAGTCACCAATATCAACACTGTCCAGATACGATGCTATATTTCTCTGGTTGGCACTCTTTCCAATTCTCCGTTATAGCTATTTCAAACATTCTGGAACTGAAGAGACAATGCTTTTCTGAGATACAGATGTTGGGGTTATTGGCATATAGTCAGTAAGTGAAGCTAGGGAAGTGGATGCATTTGCTCAGGGAGAATGCGAGGAGTGAGAAGGACATGGGCCCAGGAAATAGCCCCGAGTAACACCAATAATTTAACTGATGTTTAATAGAAGGGAATACTAATTTGCAAATAAAACTCACAAGAAATGGCCTAAAATGCAATGGAAAAATACTAGGAAAATGTGGTGTCACGGAAGCCAAGTGAAGAGATTATTTCAATAAGGAGGCATTGGTGAAAACATCACAACTTACTGATCAGTCACATAAATACTGAATACCAGCCAGCCAAGTTTAAAGAGTCATGTCATGGATGACCATGGAATGGGAAGTTTCAGTGTGAAAGTGGGTGCAGATGTCAGATTTCATCAGGTAGAATTCTAAGAAGGAGCTGAAGAATTGAAAAAGAGCATAATCATTTCTGATAAGAGGTTTGACCAGGAACATAGCATGAAAAGTGCTAATCAGAGGGAAGTATAGACTCGAAAAAGAAGTTCAATATTACTAAAAGACCCCATCTTTTTAGTATTTAAGAGTGAGTGGAGAATTTATGGAAACTGGCTGAGATTGCCTCTAATGACAGAGAGAGAACTAGTCCACAGAGCTGATTGGAAAGGGACAGTGCTGAGAAAGATGGAATTGTATCAAGTGAGTGTCCATCAGTTGTTCCAAAAGCCTTTATGCTCTAAATCCTTCATTCATTTTCCATTGTCTTTAGCATAAACTCAAACCCTTCAGTGTAAATTAAAGCTCCTTCCTAGCCTGGCACCTGCCTAGCTCTCTCCTGGGAAGTCGTCCTTCCGCCCTCACCCCCTCTGCCCCCAGACTCCCTGCTCCAGCCACAATGACAGCCTCTTGTTTCTCTGAATGTCTGTCCTACTCTCTTTCACCTCTGTGGGTTTAGATACAGATTCCATCTTCCAGGGATGAGATCTCCACTATTTTCCTGGCCAGCAAACACTCCAACTTTCATCTTATAATTGTTTCATCAAGGGAAGCCTTTCCTGTTCCCACAAACAAGGTCAACGGCCCTACCTCCACGCGTGCATACAACTTGCACTTTCCCATCCCATCTTCCTTCTCATAATGTCCTACAGCTAGATCTGCCTTCACCACACATTAGAATTCCATGAGAGCAGAGACCACATCCATCATATTACCAAAATTTCTCCAACAACTAGTACATTGCTTGGCAGATAGTTGCTTAATAATACCATGTTCCAAAATGACAAATTAACACATTTTAAACAATATTCCAGTAAAAGCATATGCAATGTTAACTGAGATTCTTGAAACTAAGGGTATTTTACCTATTACTATTGTGGCATAAAGCATTTTTAATAATGTTAATACCTCATACCATACTTTTCTTTTTCATAACATATTTCATATTCTAACATAATATGTAATTTATTTATTCAGCATGCTTATTATCTGAGCTCCCTTTTTGTCTCCATGAGGGTAAAAATCTTTTTCTGTTTTGCTTATTGATGCATTCCTGTATAATGATATTCTGACACATGAATAAATAAAAGAATGAATGAAGTGTATAGGTAGTGGTTCTGCACATCATTTTCCTTAATTAGCAATTTTATAAGCTTTTCACAACTATGTCTGAAAGTGTATAAAATAACTCACATATTTAAACACAATACAACATAACATTTGTATTTCAAATAAGTTGAATATACCCAAAAGTAGCAGAACTTTCAGTAATTAAATTGGAGAATATTACATTTCTTGGACAATTGATTCAACACTAAGTTTATTAGTAGATAAGGTAAAAGAGAAACCTGTTGCATTACATTGTTTTTATTACCCTAATAACAAAAAGAATAAAACTTTCATCTGTAGAAATCTGCTTTTGCAACTATTCTCATGTAGGAATTTATGGTAAGAATCCTTGTATAAATACACATTCATACAATGGATAAAATCAAAAATTACATTTTTTTTTACCAAAGGCATAAATATAATGGGCAAGAGGACAATTCTCACATCAACAGAGGGCACACCATTTTATCGTAACTCAATGAAGGTATTTTTGTAAAAGTCTGATAAAATGGAGTCTAGCCATTTTGCTTTTGGTAATCTAACTATATAGAGAAAGATAATCCTTGATAAAAATGAAAATAGAGACAAATTAACTATAGTTAACTATAGTGGAAGTTTAAGAGACAAAACATAGATGGCTTACTTTTTAAAAAATAATTTTATCATATTAGAAAAGCAATACTTGCTCACTGTTCAAAGTTTGAGAAATAAAACAATGTATACACACGAATCACCTAAAATCCTGCCACTCCAAGCGAACTTATTTTGGTATACAGATTTCCATATAAATCCACCACACACACACACACACACACACACACACATACACACAAACACGCAATCCTTAGTCAGGTATAGGCAAAGTGAAATTATAGATCTCCCTTGAGTTAATAATTCAATATATTTTTACACAATTATATGTACTACTATGTTTTAACTGAAATAAGGTCATAATATGCACAGTGTTTTATAATCTGCTTTTCTCCCTAATTACAAGTACAACATGACCATCATCCACATCAGGCCAAAGGGCATGTGCTTTTATGCAGAATATATACATATATATATTTTTTTTAATTTTCTCATATTTCTTTACTATTGATTCATTGTGATCTTACCTTTCTACATCATACAGTGTAGAACGATAGAACCTGAGCCCGAAAAGGTTTTAATCCAACTGTCTCCTCCCTTCAATAAAGTGAAGAAGTATCAGTGGGTCTTTGCTTATTACCTCATAGTCTGAGTATGAAACAAGCCACTGAGTCAACGAAAATATTTTACCTGCAAAATACATCTCTAAATACCTAAGTAAGTTATCTGTTGACTAACACAAGCTAACATTAAAAATAAAGTATGCCCTCTGCCTAAGGGAGAATGCCAATCTTAAGGAATCTCTTTGGGATAACTATGCAGTTCAATATCCTTTACAGCTCCAATTTCCTTTTATTCATATACCATCAAAATATGGTGGAAATTCTAAAACCACAGTTCCAGCTTGACTCTAAAACATTACATGAATTGTATCTGTTTTGTGCTTCAAAGTGACGGTTATATAGCTTACAGTAAACAGAACCAGGTCTCTGAGTTGTTTATCAAGTTGTTTTAATAAATATTTTAAAAGAGTAGCATTAAGATGCCTGTTTGATATGATTTGGAATCACATCTCATGAGATCCTTTCCTCTTGTTATGATTTTAGCAGCAGTATTTAGAGACATACTTAGAAATATACATATATATTTCTAATATATATATTTCTAATTTACATTCATATTTCTACTTTGGAGAGAGAGAGAGTCATCTCTGGGTATCCATGGATTCAGGATCTCCCAAGGATACCAAACTCCACAGATGCTCAAGTGTCTGATATAAAATGGCATAGTATTTGCATATAACCTACGCACATCCTCCCATATACTTTATATCATTTTTTAGAATACTTATAATACCTAATGTGATGTAAATGCTATGTAAATAGATGTTATGCTGTATTGTTTAGGGAATGATGATAAGAAAAAAAACCTATACATTTTCAGTATAGACACAATTTTTTATTAATATTTTCAGTCCATATTTGGTTGAATCTACAAATGGGGAACCTACAGAGACGGATGGCTGACTGTGTGTGTGCATATGTGTGTGTGCATGTGTGAGTGTGTGTGTAAAATAGAAATATAACATTAAAATATTGAGTGTCTAAATCTGCCTACGTAGATGACTTCTACTTGTTGTATTAGTAGTTAATGATGATTTGATACTGCTGAAAACATTCTCAAGCTATTCTGACACTTTCATCAATAAGATGAAACCGGGAACATCAGTGATTAACATACCTAACTGTCTAAACTTAAGTCATTCTTCACACAAAGGATTAATTTGAGAAACCCCAGCCCTGCACTTTAGGCTACTGAGGGAAAAGGTAGCATGTATTTCTAAACAAGGTCTAATAAAATAACTGGCCAGCCCATCTGAGATAAAAAAGTATCTTATTTTTATAGATGAGATGGAGTACAATTTATATGAATTTTGAAGAAGTTAACTCGAGCCAATCGTTTAGCACGTGAAGGAATTCACTCCTTATATTAGTCTGCTTGGACTGCCATAACAGAATACCAGGCCACTTGAGAACCATTTGCAGGTGCTTCAGTTGAAAACCCCAGCTAAACTCTTAGCCAACAGCCAGCATCAACTGCTTGCCATGTGAGTGAGCTATGTTTGCTGTCCATCTCAGTGCAGACTTCAAATGACTGCACCTTAGCTGACATGTAATTTCAACCACATTGAAAGACCTCAAGTGTGATCACCTCTCAGATGACCACAGTCAACCCACAGAACTATGAGAAAGAACCACAAATCATTGTTTTAAGCTACTAAGTTCTGAGGTGGTCAACAGGAAGAAATGCTCAATTTGAGGTTGTTTATATCATTACAATGTAATTCTTATCTGGTTCCCCACAAATAAATAAATACACATTCAGAAATATCTCCTCTCAGCATGGATGTGTTACGTGTGTGCACACATATGTGTGTATGTATGTGTTCAACATGAGGAAGACAGTGGAAAGGTTGAAACTGTGGAAGAGACTGAATTTTATATCTAGGTGAAAGGGAAGCATTAAAAGCTTGCATGAATACAGGCAGTAGTAGTAATCATGAAAATATACACTCCCTAGGGAAATTTCTAGAAACATTTGGAGTTATTTAACTTCTGCATGATATGGTACTGGGAACTCAAATGGCAAGGAAGTATCAGCTGCCATCAGCTGAGGTTTATCCATTTCTCTACATAAGGGACAATCAAAGCTAAATATGATTTATCCACAACTCTGTCTTACCTGCCTGTCTCCAGTGCCTAAAATCATATGTAGCACATAATACGTATTCATAAATATTTGCTGGTTGTTCAGCACATAAGAAAGAAGATCATATTAAGAACTATTTAAGGACTCATTCCTTATGGACTCATGCCTTAAGGCTCAGTAAACTGAGATACTCCCATTCAACCTTTTCCTTCATATCCCCAAAAAAAATCACCACTGTAAGAATGAGACTAGGAAATGATAAATCACTAACAATCTGTTCATACAGATAAAGAATATGGATGCTGATGATTTGATAGTCAGTGTATTGGTACCACAGTTCAAAGTATATACCTATATCTATTTTCTTCTAAATTTATTCATGAAAATGTTATTTCTTTAAAAGAATGAGATGATAAAGCAATTTCAGAGGGTGCTTTCTTATTTGGTATAGTCAAATATTCCTAGAGAGTGCTTTTGGATTAACTTCAGATGAAGAGCTGATAGAACGATATTTCAGTTTAAAATTTCCAGAATTAGTAACTAATAATATTTTTAAGTACACACCCACAGACACATTTTTAATTTATTCCTTCTTCTATCCAAAACAGATTGGAGGCCATTGACAACATCATTGTGAAATGGGAAAGGTTCTCTTGTCCCCTCGCAGGGCGTGTGACAAGGGGAGTGGCTCGCTTCTTCAGTGCCCCGCTGCTCAATCCTCTAGGGGAGCATACAGATGTGCAGGCTGTGGGGCTCCGACCCCACAGCGGTGTCTAGGAGTGAATGTTTATAGCTGAAACCCCAGTGGGTGTGTGTTACAGGGTGCTCTTTTAGTTTAGCTGTCCATAGGCTGCGTGTGTTAGCTCAATTAAACCCCTGCCATACGGCAAAGACAGAGGGCTTTCTGTGTCCCGGGGTTCTTGTCTTGGTGTACGAGAAGAACCAGATCACACATGGGCTTGGAGAATGAGTACAAGGTTTTATTGACTGGAGTAGCTCTCAGAAGATGGGGAAGCCAGAAGGGAGATGGTTTTTCTCTGGAGTCCGGCAGCTTGATGGCCTGGGCTTTCCTCTGACTGCCCCAGCCAAACTCTGCCTTTTTCCACTGGTAGATGGCCTGCTGTCGTCTGTTGTGCACTCTTCTCCTAGCGTGCTACCCTCGACATCTTCTTGATGTCTAGCCAATTGTGTCTTTGTCCGCCTATGTGTTCCTCTCCACGTCTAGCTGCTTGTGTCTGCCTGCTAGGGTCTCGGGGTTTTTATAGGCACAGCATAGCGGCGTGGCAGGGCAGGATGCTCTTCGGAAATACAACATTTGGGCGCAAAGGCAGGAGTGCCTGTCCTCAAACAGGTCCATGGGCACAGGCTCAGGGGTAGAGCCGTAGCCAGGGACCATGCCCTTCCCTTCCCAGCACTTCCCTGCCCCCTTTCTATATCAATTCCATCAAGAATAAAATATAGAACCAAGAATAATAGGAGGACTCAAATAAACTACCCACAAAATAGTGCACAGGCATTGGGCCTAAACTTCAAATTTGCTTCAGAGTTTTCTAACCTAAAATTCAAGAAAAGATTATATAGATTTCATTATCAGAAAGCACTTTAAAGATATACTCAGAGTCTCTCTGATTGATTCCAAATGACTAAGGGATTGTTGCATAATGTATTTGATGCAATCTATACATTATGGATTTGTAAGAAGATGAATCAATACTGAGATGAGTAGGTTCACAGTGAAAGGTTCATTCAACATGGAGACTCTGGTCTTTGGCTAAAGATAAATATACATGAGGAATGCTCTTCACATGGCAGATCTGAATTAACAAAGCATTAAACATAGAGATAGGTGTTAGGAATGTTGGTACACTGAGTCTAATGGCATAATGGAAAGTTCTGCACTCAATTCTATCTGTTGAACAAGTTTTATTAAAGACATTGATACTCCGCTGGTAACATTTGAAAATTATGTGTAACTGGAATATCATTTAATATGTTGGATAAAATCATCAGAATTAACAAGAAAAAAGATTTTAGCAGATTGAACTAATGGGCTATCTTTAAGGAACATACTGATGGCCATGTAAGTGTCCTCAAGTCAAATGCAGATGTCAGATGAAAGATAAGGAGAAATGGGATCCACATGGGACTATCTATGCTTTCACTTAAGAGAAAGTGAAAGCTCACTGGGCCCCAAGAATGTATCTGAGTCAACTAATGCAGCCACGTGGAGAAAGAGAGAAAAGTAACCCAGGTCTCAGAGATGCAGAGAAATAAACTACATGGAAGGAAGAAAAAGTTCAAGAGAGCAAGGGAAAAACCCAAGTTTGTGCTTTTTAAAGTACAGTGACTGTACCTGCTAGTAATTTCAGACTAAATAATGTCTTAGTGCTGAACAAGCAGATTGAAAACTTCCCCCACCTCTATTGAGAGAAGGCTTAAAAAGGGTGATCTCAGTTGTTTGGCCCTAGAGCAGGGAGAGGGGCATTCTTCTTCCTATGTGCCTTCACATTTTTCTTCCTTAGCCCATTGAACATGACAAACAAGCCAATGGCTAAGCAGGAATAGGACTAATCATTTCCAGGAAAGAGCCCATGATTATGGCTGGGGAGACCTGGTCCCACTTTACTGAAGCCATTTCTCAGTATCTACATTATTCTTATGTCCTTCTGAGGATGCTGAAATGGGTGGTCTAGCTGTGGTGATGTCCCAAATGTCAAAAGGAATAATTTAATAAGTATTAACATAAATCAAAGACAGAGTCAACAGGGTGTTGAAAGGTCATAAAACACATTTTACCTGAAAAATAGCTAAGGGAACTGAAGATGTTAAGTCTATAGAAAAGAATGCACACAGGACCCAAAAATCTTGTAATATTTAATAAAGTGTCATGTGGTATATGGAAGGCAGATTAGATATATTCTGTAAGATCCCAGAGAATCAAAATAGGCCTTCTGGATAGAAGTTAGAAAAAAACAAATTTTTATTTTATTTAATGTAACAGTGCTATGATGGTTTAATCATTCTTTTAGGAAACACACCATAGTGTCAGGCAGTATACAGAGTTCTGGCACACAGCAATGCTAAAGGCAAAACTCTTGCCCTTACAGTATATTCTGATGATGGAAATCAATACATGTAAAAACAAATAAAGAAATTATAAGTAGTTATTATTGTTATAAAGAATGTGATCAGGGTGTTGTAAGAGCCTGTAACTGAAAGAGGCCTTTCTTAGGAGGCCAGGGAAGTCTCAATGAGGAGCAGAGGATGGAATCAGCCAGCCATGGAAAAAGCTAGGAGAAGACAGAACAATAAGGAAAAGAGCCAGAAGCACAGAGAGCTTGGTTTGTTCAAGGCACAGAGAGAAGGCCTGTGCAGCTCAAGCAGAGTGAGCAAAGGGAGGGAATAATATGAAGTGCAGTCAGAGAGGAAGGCAGGAGCCAGGTCCTGCAGGACTTTGTGGGAATGGTGAGGAGTTTTGATTTTATCCCAAGGGCTTTGTGATGCTGCCTCTTATGAGCTCTGAACAGAGGAGTAAAATCATCTGAATGTGTAATAGGAAAAGAATAACAGAAGACCAGCAGGAAAATTGAAGACCATAAATAACTGTAAATTACTTTCTTGTCTAGACATAAAAGAAAAGGAATGAATAAAGATAACAGAGTCAGTAGGAAACAAGAGAAATATGGCAGCCATCCATGAAAATAATTGAGTTAATTCCCACCTGGTGGAATTAACAAGGGTTCTGTGACATAGAGACAACAGAAAAAAGCAGGGAAAGCAATCAGTGATAACTGCAGGGCACATGAAAGGAGGCTGAGGAAAAGGAAATTTTCTAGGGTGAATTAGAAAATATTTTTATCCAACTATATCACTGAGGTATATTGGTGTGAGGGGCTCAGCTCTGGGGAAGGAGTAAACTACTGTTCACCCCAAAGAAGAAACAGCCAACATCAAGCTGAGAATGGATAGATGTCCTTATGGTCAGGAATGCCCTGGAAACAATGGGAGCCTGAGTAGTAAATCCCAATGGCTCATGCCCACTGAGAAAAGAAATAAAACATTTATGTTGCTGCTTCAGAGGTCAAGTTGATTGCAAGAGGTGGGAGTGGGTATGCTATGAACTAAATTGTGTCTTCCCAAAATTAAAATGCTGAAATTCTAACCCCCAGTGTGATAGTATTTGGAGATGGGACCTTTGTGGGGTAACTAAGGTTAGATGAGGTCCTGAAATGAGGCTTTCATAATGGGATCAGTGCCCTTATAGGAAGAGACAACAGAGAGTCTGCTCTTTCTCTTTGTTCACACAAAGCAGAGGTCATGTGAGCACACAGTGAGAAAGTGGTCATCTTCCACCTAAGGGGAGAGCCCTTACCAGAAACCAACCATGCTGGCACCCTGATCTCAGCCTTCAAGCCTCTGGAACTGTTGGCTAAGTGGAGATGAAATAAAGTTTTGTTGTTTAAGTCAGCCAGTCTATGGTATTTTGTTACGGCAGCCCACGCAGACTAATACAGGGTATTTGTTCCAAAATGAGGGTTGCAATGCATTCAAACTTGTCTTTTGGGGCATAGTACATGAAAATGGAATGCACGATTAAAGTCAGCTTCTAAGCAAAAACCCTAAAGCAAATAACTACCTAATTATCAGTCAGTTATGTTAATTTTCAAAATATTAGCTGCCCATCCCTGGAGAAGGATTATGCTTTGGTGTCTGAGGTGGCCTTGGGACTATATCTCTGGCAAATAAAATATGAACAAAAGTGACATGTGTCATTTTCAGATAGAAGCTTTAAGATCATGGGTGTAGTCTACCACAGTTCATCTGTCATCTCTGCCATGAGACCAACAGAGTTCCAGATAGTTGCAGCCATCCTACAATGGACACATAGCATGAGCAATTTACAGATGTAAATCACTGAAATTTGGGGTTATTTTTTACTGCAACATAAATTACAATAGTCTGATTTGTTCACCATTCCTCCAAATAATACATCTAAAAAGATGAGAAACATACTTAGACATAGAGCATCATTGCTTTGCTCAGGTCCATTCTTGGGGCCTAACAGTCCTTGATTTCTTTGTGTGGTTAATGGATAATCCTAACTCATTTTGGATGCAGAATGTATTTTGTTTTGTTTTGTTTACTGGGGGACTCATTACTGATGTTGGCTCCAGTGCTGGTAGGAGCCAGAACTTCTCTAAATAAATATTTGTAGGGGGCTGGGCACGGTGCCTCACGCCTATAATCCCAGCACTTTGGGAGGCCGAGGTGGGCGGATCACCTGAGGTCAGGAGTTCAAGACCAGCCTGACCAACATGGTGAAACCCCATCTCTACTAAAAATACAAAAATTAGCCGGGCATAGCGGCTTGCGCCTGTAGTCCCAGCTATTCGGGAGGCTGAAACAGGAGAATTGCTCAAACCCGGGAGGTAGAAGTTGCAGTGAGCCGAGATCACACCACTGCACTCCAACTTGGGAGACAGAGAGAGACTCTGTCTCAAAAAATAAAAATTATAATTGAAATTAAAAATATTTGTATTTCCTGTTCAGAGTAATCTTGCCTAATGAACTTTATGGAGTTTAGTGCAGTGGAAGCATTGATGAAAAAGCTTAAAGGGGGCCACTAGAATCAGAAAGCCACAGGATACATACATTTATGCCCTCAATGAATTCCATGATATAATCCTTAGGTTTCCTTAGGCACAGAGTCATAAAAGGAGAGCCAAAAATCCTTTCTATTTATATGCCTTTTTCTAGGATTTATGCAAGTGAACACAATTCCTATATAACTCTTGATGATCCAGAAAGTGGCTGCTGTGGTTTAAATGTGCCATCCAAAGTTTAAGTGTTGGAAATGTAACCCTAACGTGACAATGTTGAAAGGTGTGCTCTTTAAGAGATGGAATAATGTCATTATTATCTCCATGATTCTCTCCTGAGAATGTCATTATCATGGAGATAATAATAACATTCTCAGGATAGTGGATTTGTTATAAAACCAGGTTCTTCTCTCTCTCTCTCTCTCTCTCTCTCTCTCTCTCTCTCTCTCTCTCTCTCTATCTATCTTGTGTGCTCTCACCCTCTGCCTTCCATTATGGGATGATCCATCAAGGAGGCCCTCACTAGGTACTAGCCCCTTGACCTTGGACTTTCCAGCCTCCTCCAGAACTGTGAGAAATAAATTGCTTTAAATTACCCAGTCACTGGTATTCTGTTACAGGAGCACAAAATGGACTAAGACAGTGGCCTCAGAGTCAATCTGGGTGGCCCAAAACTTCCTGGGTACTGATGATATTAGAGCATCAATAAGCCAGAAGAACATATGAGAAGTAGAAACTGTGAAATATGATATCCTAGCTGCAAAGTTGTAGCGTATTTTATATACAAATAATCCTATAGCAAGATAAAGGGACAAATCATGCTACCAACAATGTCCCTATCTACTTGGTTGATGTGCTCTGTTTGGGTATCAGTCTGTGGGTGGTGGGCTGAGGGAATGTAACCTAAGGATCTGAAAGGTTTTCTCACCCATGTGAGAGTGGCAATTGCCTCAGCATTCCATGCCTCATTCTACACTTCAATAGCACTATGAGATATGTTGAGTTATTATTCCCCTTTTAGAGATGAGGAAACTGTTGTTCTCTTGAGATTAACATCTGCCTTGGGCTAGCTGCCTCTGGGTAGTCAAAACTTTTTAGGAGATTCTCAGAAGTGGTACCTTGTACCTTTTGGTATTTTGAAATTCTTATAGAAGGCATCTGCCTGACCATTTGGACTACCTGATAATGAAAAACAGAGTTTCAAAGAATGATATCCAATGCCTCTCCAAGCAAAGTACCTAGGCTTCTAAATTCAAGCTAGGCTGTGGCAATAGGCCAAGATAAGAAAAGACTTACTTGCTAGCTGTGATAAATGAAGCCAAGGAGGATGATCCAGGAGGTGTTATCCAAGGACAAATTCAAAATAAAGGGCAAAGTTTTTAACTGATAACAAAAATATCATAGCAAAATCACTTTCATGTCCCCTCTCTAAGTAAAATCCTGCTGGAAATTCTAACCTTTGGCCTTTGTCTTTCCTCAGACTCAGCTGTTTTGGGTTTGTTTTGTCTTTCTGAGCGGGGAGAGGGCCAGCTATCCCCCAACAAGATATGAGATTATCTCTTGGGGAAGTAAAACTCAGAGGCAACTTCATGTTAGAAATTCTCTACACAATTTTTGAGGTTCTGTTTTTCACTGTGACTTTCTTAAAGACTTTTGTTCCATAAAATCATAAGCTTCGCTTTGTTTTTTTTTTTTTACTTTGATGGGATGTTCCTAAACTTCATCTGCTAATAAATATTTGCCAAATTAAAATGAGCCTAACTAAATTGAAGACTAAAATTATTCAGTGGAGGACCAGACCATTTGCTTTATTTTCAGGGTGAAGAAGACCTGGATTGCTCTATTCAGGTCTCTTAGAAAAACAGGCATACACATGAGTTTCTAGTATCCTCAGCAACACACTACATCATACCTTACCCTGGGTAATCCTTCAGAGCACTGTCAGCAATCACCTCAAAATCCCTTCCCTAAAGACACATACACTTGGAGATTTACTCTTATCACCTACTCCTCCCTACTCTTAACATGAATGATCTCAAGGCTTTTGGGGGGAAAAATCAAAGTATCTATCTTTTTTTTAAGTTCCTTTCAAAATGCTTAGGGACCAGTGACAGAAGGAAACAGCACTGTTAATAGTTCCCCTGAAACCTCTTTTTGATCTAAGCTGTCCTCTTAATGGAGAGCATACCAATGATAAGTATCTGCATTTGCCACCTCCAAGAGAGTCCATGGAGGCACATCAACCATGCCAGGTAGCAAGTTGGGTTCAGACACAGTCTCAGGGAGCTACCTGGAGGGAAAAATAAATCTAGTCTCCCCTGTTTGGGACTAAAAATTATTAAATGAAATAAGGTTGGTTAAGATATGTGGCACAATACTCAGGGGTATTTTCATGTTTAGAAAACCATGGAAATAATAAAATGGATTGAGGATCATATTATTAATAGCAATTGTGTAACAATAAATGACTAGACTAGAAATCTAGTATTTTAAATTGATTAATATGAATGTGTCAGTAAGGGTATACTAGGGAAGCACAGAAAATATAGATGATACTGACTTCATATGAATCAACCATAAGGCAAAGAGCAGCACCAAACTCTATAGTTTACTTAACTTAATTTGGATATTAGCAATTACAGCTCGTGCTTTCAAATTCCATAAAATGCAAAGCTACCATGAAATAGAATTAACAGGGAGCTTTAGAAATTCATTAAACCAAACTTTAGTAGCAGCATCATTTTTTTGTCTAATCCAGGAATATATGTCTGTGCATACACTATTTATGATACCATTTGAGACTTACATAAAATATAAGTTGAGAGAATGTGTTGCGTTCAGTAATTTACAAAGGAAGAAAATAACAGCAAGGGGAATTGAGAACAAACCTTGTCTTTTCTCTTACTGTAATATACAGATATTGCATCTGTGGCTTCTAATACAGATTCTTAATTTGAGCACAGACAAGCGTTGCACTGTGAAGAGATTAAAGGGGTATCAGAGGGAAGAAGTATAGATGCTGTTTCTGGTGCATAATCATGTTTGCAAACATGTTAATCAAATCTGGGTGCTTGCTAACTTGATAATTAAGTTTACAAATGATTGGAAATATTTGCCACAGAAAGATTTAAAGTCATTCCAGAAATCCTAATGACAGCTCTAGCAATATGTGTATGCCTCTTGAAGGCCCAATGAGGATAGATGGTATTAAAAATATAATTGGCTTTAAAGCACATTAGATTAAATTTTTTCCTATGATTCATTCTCTCTTCTTTGTATTCACCTTTCAGGTCATTTTCTGCTTCCTGAACAACATACCCATAACTCAAATGAACTACCATGTGAATTTGCTTATTTTTATTCAGTCCAACTAGTTCCAAAATATTTTGTTTTCATTTAAAACTATGAGCTCTTAAATTAAAAGGTTAAACCTTCAAATTAAGTAATATTTAGAAAAAAAGCTGTCAACGGTATTTGAAATCTGACAAAAGGCACATTATTAAAAAAATAAAAAAGAATTTAAAAGACCAAAGTATAAAGCAATTGGAAAATTAGTTGAGGTTGCTATAAATTTACAAAGAAAGGAAACTTCACTTACCAGGTCCAATTTTAGCTTTTCCATGTAGTTTCATAGCAGACCTGACATATTACATTTACATGACAAATAAAAGCATTTTGGGTGAATCAGAGTTTTTAAATGATGCATGAACATTCAACTGCATTAAATGAGTTTCTAACAGAATTTCCAACCCCCTGTTGGCAGAAAAACATGCCAACTTCCCAATTTTGTGTGGCTGCAGCTTGCAATACTGCATGGAGTATTCTTTTGAATTCACACATTAAAATGAGGTCAAGGGTCTTAGGAATAAATTGGTTGGCAAACAATAACAATGGTGCCCTGGTCTGACCTTGTTCATAATTGTTTGCACAACAGAGCTGAAGAGCAACAACATGGTTAATCTGTGCATGTTTATTTCTAGCCATCCAGGGACCTTAAGGGTCAATATGATTTACTAACATTCACTAAAAGTTATTAAAATTGTTGTACAAAGTTGATGGAAAGGTGTTATTGCTTTTGTAATAAAAAATGACTTTCATGGAACAGTTTATACATAACTTTTATTAGATTTTGCTTCCCATCCTCCTCCTCACCCCTTTAGAGTTTCACAGTTGGTAACAGTTGATTATTTGTGCTGTCTAGTGGCATTCTTTATTTTTTATTTGTGTAGTACCATGAATGTGGATAGTACGTTCCAGGACTTAAATTATAAATGAGGGAGCTCTCTGCCCCAGATAGCTCCAAGGCTCCTGTCTTTACAAAGGACACCAGGAGGAAAGCAGTTCGATTTGCCCTCAGAATAATATGATCACGGTAACTGTCCAAATTAAGAGATTTGAATGATACTAGAACTTTCATACTTCTCCAGATTACTCCAGGCAGCCAAAGAGGGCTGTTTGAAATTGCATCAAATGAATTGTTAACTGATTTTTTTCTACTGAAAATAGAATTATCAGTTTAAAAAGATCCCATAGCCACCAGCAGACCTGGATAGAACAGCAAAAATGAACAGCACAGAAGTCCAGCAAAGACTACATACAGGTGTAAAAAGAGAGTGGGAGAAGAAAAAGAAACAGAGATAAAGGGCAGAAGGTAACAGATTATCCTAATCACAAAAACATTTATTAATCACAGCATCAGGCTAGATAAAACATAGATATGGCTCCTGCCAACTGGGAATTTAACATCTAAAATGTTACTCGAAGAAAAAAAATAAAGTTATTCAAGAACAAACTTAGAAAAAATAAGCCATATGAGGAAAACATAAATGCAGTAACTAGCAGAAAAGACCAGTTTTAAAAATTTAGTTCAATTAGAATACTCTAATAAGATATGACAATTACAGTCATACGTGTCCAATATAATCTATGTGATGTGGTCTCATTGCTACCATGCGTTTTATTGCCCACTGCTTCAGACCAAAGCATAAAGCAGAAAAAGTATCCTATCTAAACTGTGTTTGGTCTTTAGGGAAAAATAATAGGGCCACATGATTCTTATTCAGGTTTTAGCAAGTACCTAATAACAGTGCAATATATTCTTAAAAATAAACAAGTGACTCCAAAATTAAAATTATTCATAATTCATTATACGGAACTCTAGATTTATTTTTCACTTTAAGTACATTTTAGTAGTTTACATTCTCTCTCACTGGATGCATAATATTTCAGATACAAAGAAATACCCATCACGTTTCTATCATTAGAACTCAGTGCATAATCTCAGAAAACATAGTTCATCATTATAAAGTAATTTTAAATTTTAATTTAGGTTGTAGGTTATTTTCTTCTTTAGGAATAAGAACAAGAAACTGTAATGAGATTCAGATTAAGCTAACGTTTATTGAACACTAAATATGTGCCATAGACTGTTATAAGTGCTTCTGCAGTAAAATCAAAACCAACAGAATTTTTAATTTGTCACTATGAGAAAATGCCAAGAGAAGTATAATTATCTAGCAAGAAGAAGAAAAAGTAAAGGGAACAATAGTATCAAGGATTCCCTATGTCTACCTAAGGGAGAACAAAAGAACATATCAACATACCTGAAAAATATTAATGAGAAAATAAGGAAAATTTCAAAGTAGGACTTATAACTTAAAAATAAGCACATGAAGTTAAATTTCTTTCCATTCTTCTGTGGGAACTCATTTTAAAGCAGGACGAGGAAGAAGAGAGAACAATGCAAACACCATCCCCAGTGAATCTGACATGCCTGAAACTCTGAATCACAAAATAGAAGAAAACCCTAGCAAAGCACTGAAGTTCAAAAAATCATGTGGGAAGGGAAGCTATAGAAATCAGAGAAAACTTGCCAAGGACAAATCTGAGAGTGGCAGATACTGAAGTTTAAAACAATACAAAGAAAACAAACAAAAATAACATATTTGCAACAGTGGGAATAGACAGTGGAGACTAGAGGCAGTACTTCACTTGATCCCACTTGGCACAAACTCTAGAGAAAGTAGAACAAGAGGGGGTGGTTCAGCCTCTAGGGGTGTGTCTGAGGGACAGGGGTTGGCAGTGGTAAAAGAGGAAAGATTTGGCAATATGAACAGCCTTGGAGTGCATATAAAATCTCTTTTTTTCTCTCTCTCTCTCACACACACACACAAACACACACACACACGCACCCTATAGGAAGAATTCCAGCTAGCCCTGGCCACTCTCTACCATGAATATCCTGCAGTAGAAGGTTAAGGAAAAACTGTAGTCAAGAATGAGAAATAGTATAAAAGGAATGAGCAAAGAAGCTACACAATACCACAAGGATAAAATTATGGAATGCTGAAAATAGAAATGGCAGATGCAAAATGCTCACACACACACAACACTCAGTAATAAGCAAATAAAAAAATTTGACCTTGAATTTTCAAAATCCAATGAAATAATTTGCTTAATAAAAGAGTACACAGAAGAAAACCTGTGCTCAAGAAAACGTGTAGTGAGTATGTCTGTATGGGTGAGTGTGAAGCAATGATGTGGACAATCATAATAATGAATGTCTGAGTGGAAGCAATACAAGGGGACTCAGAATTGGCGAAATCATAGTAAGAATAATAAAAAGACAAATTTGAGATAGCAAATATAATAAGTGAAGTGAAAATAAACAAAGAATTAAAGGGAATCTGGAATGAAAATTATTATATTAAAGATTGGCAAAGAGAGCACCAAAATACAAAATAAGTGTTTGTAAATAAGAGAACCAGGAAGTCCTAGCCAGAGCAATCAGGCAAGAGAAAGAAGTAAAAGGCACCCAAACAGGAAAATAAGTCAAACTGTCTCTCTTCACTGATAATACAATTCTATACCTAGAAAACCCTGAAGGCTCTGCCAAAAGGCTCCTGGAATTGATAAACAACTTTAGTAAAGTTTTAGTACAATAATCAGTAGCATATCTATACACCAATAAAGTTCAAGCTGAAATCAAGAAGGCAATCCTATTTACAATAGACACACACACACACACACACACACACACACACACACACACAAATAAAATACCCAGAAATACATCTAACTAAGGAAGTGAAAGACCTCTACAAGGAGAACTAAAAAACACTGCTGAAAGAAATTGTAGATGACACAAACAAATGGAAAAGCATCCCATCCTCATGGATTGGATAAATCAATATCATTAAAATGGCTAAACTGTCCAAAGCAATTTACAGATTCAACACTATTCCTATCAAACTACCAATGTCATTTTTCACAGAATTAGAAAAAAACTATTCTAAAATACATATGGAACCAAAAGCAAGAGACTGAATAGCCAAAGCTATCCTAAGCAAAAAGAACAAAGCAAGAGGCATCACATTACCCAACTTCAAACTATACTGTAAGTCCACAGTACCCAAACCGCATGGTACTGGAAATAAAAACAGACACATGGATCAATGAAACAGAACAGAGAACCCAGAAATAAAGCCACACATCTACAACCAACTGATCTTCAACAAAGTCAACAAAAATTAAAAATGGGGAAAAGATACTCTATTCAATAAATGATGCTGTGATAATTGGCTAACCAAATGCAGAAGAATGAAACTGAACCCCTACCTCTCACCATACACAAAAATTAACCCAAGATGGATTAAATACTGAAATGTAAGACTTTGAATTATAAGAATCCTAGAAAAAAAAAAAACTAGGAAACACTGTTCTGGACATCAGCCTTGGAAAATAATTTATGACTAAGTCCTCAAAAGCAATTGCAACAAAACCAAAAATTGACAAGCAGGATCTAATTAAACTAAAGAGCTTCTACTTATCAAAAAAAATATGAACAGAATAAACAGACAATCTACAGAATGGGAGAAAATATTCGTAAACTATGCATCTAACAAAGGTCTAATATCCAGAATCTATAAGAAACCTAAACAGTTCAACAAGTAAAAACAAATAACTTCATTATAAACTGATCAAGGACATAAACAAGATACTTCTCAAAAGGAGATGTACAAATAGTCAACAAACATAAGAAAAATGCTCAACATCACTAATTATCAGGGAAATGCAAATCAAATCCACAATAAGATAACACAATAAGATACCATCTCACTCCAGTCAAAATGGCTATTACTAAAAAGTCAAAAAACAATAGATGCTGGCGAGGCTGCAGAGAAAAGGGAACACTTATATACTGTTGGTGGTAATGTATATTAGTTCATCCTCTGTGGAAAGCAGTTTGGAGATTTCTTAAAAAACTAAAAGTGGAGCTATCGTTAGACCCAGCAATCCCATTACTAGATATATATCCAAATGAAAATAAATCTTTCTACATAAAAGACACATGCATTCATATGTTCACTGCAGCACCATTCACAATAGCAAAGACATGGGACCAACCCAGGTGCCCATCAATAGAGGAATGGATAAAGAAAATATGGTACATATACACCATGAAATACTACACAGCCATAAAAAAAATAAAATCATGTCCTTTAAGGCAATATGGCTGCAGCTGGAGGTCATTATCCTAAGTAAAGTTAACGCAGGAACAGAAAACCAAATACCACATCTTCTCACTTACAAATGCAAGCTAAACGTTGTGTTATTGTGGACATAAAGATGGCAACAGTAGTCACTGGGGACTACTAAGCAGGGAGTGAGAAAGTTTGCAATGGCTGAAAAACTACCTATTATTGGGTATTATACTCACCACCTGGGTAAGGAGCTCAATTGTATGCAAATCTCAGCATCACAAGATATAAACATGTAACAAACCTGCACATGTACTCTCTAAATCTAAAATAAAAATTGAAATTATACATATAAAAGAAAACCAAAGTAACAGAGCAGTATAAGTATTTAAGGATATAATTCAAGAAACTTTTCAGAAACAGAAAGGATTTGAATCTATGAAATATAAACACGCTATGTCCCAGGAAAACAAAAGGAAAAACTCATACAGAAAAATCAATCCAAAGGCATTTCTTAATAAAGTGACTGATTTCTGTGAGACAAAAAAAGATGTCAGACAGAATAATAATAATAATAATGTTACCTATAAAACTTAAAAAAAAAAATCTGACTCATACTAGATTTCTCCCTAAAAATACTGAAAGAGAATGGGTAATTCCTGCAAAGTATTCAAAGAAAAAAAGTGATTCATAATTATATTTCTAGGCAAATAATTTTTCAAGTAAATGAAAAGACATAAGCATTTACACACATTCATTTAAAATAAATTAAAAAAATTCAGCCAACAAAGTAATGAATGGAAAAACTTTTTGAAAATGCCTGGCAGTGACACAGAGTCCATTTCAGAGTAAGAACTAAGATTAAAGCAAATGTGAGGATGATGCTTAAGTAAGAGAATAAAAATGTCATATATGCTGGGAAGGACAAGGGGAAAGCAGAACTTTTAGAGCTGGAGGAGGTCAAGACATTTTAGTTGATAAATCAAATAATAGAGCTTAAGTTTATTTGAAGTTATAAGCATGAAAACTGAAAAGGAAAGAAATGAACAGAAATGAGTTCTGTCATTATTTAGTAAGTATAGCATAAAATATGACAACATACCTACAGCAAAACATATGTTTCATATAAAAATACAAATGAGATAAACTTACCTATTAAAATAGATTTTCAGATCAGACTACAAAGCAAATCTCAATTACATGCTATATTCAAGAGAAATACTCAGAACATAGTGACTCAGAAAAATGATAGAACTAATAAATAAACACAAGAATTGGCTATAAACACACACACATATGCATACGCAGAGAGTTAATTGATACATCACTAAATATCACTCAAAACAAAAACTGAAAAAGCACAAATATGCAAAATAGAAAATAATTATACAAAAATAACCCCAGATACAAGAAATCAAAAGAATCTTAAAATACCAATGTGCTTGCTTTTTGTAAATAATTTTAAAAACTAGGTTAAAATGGATCATTTTCTGGAGATTATAAATTAGCAAAATATCACAGAAGAGAGAGAAATTGTGATAGCTCATTACAAGTTGAAAACATTACTAAAGCTCAAAACCTCCTCAGTATACTGAGCCTAAACAGGAAAGATCAGAGGAACAGATAACTCTAATACTATTTTAAAAGATCTAAGACATATTAACATAATAAAAACTTCGAAAATATTTTTAGAACAAAAGAGTCAAAGATATTTAAAATCAATCTCACTCTGAGTATGGCTGCAAAAATACTAAATAAAATGTTAACAAATAATATAATAATAGATAAAAAATAATTTTCCATGACAGCATATCATTATTTTAAGTATATGAAGGAAGTTCAGTGTTAATATTAATTTTCATACTAACAGATTTAAAGTGAAAATTTATACTATTATCTTTATGGAAGCCTAAACTCATCAAGTAAAATTCAACAGTCAATCTTGATGAAATAAAAACTTAATAAAATAGAAAAGCTATATTTTTTCTAATATTATGCATATCTTAATATGATAATATGCATACCATATTTGACCTAAAAGCAAACATCATATTTATAGGAAAATATTGAAAGCTGTTCCATTAAAGTCAGAAACACAATTAAGTTATCTTTTATCACCACTATTATTTAATATCATTCTGGAGTTGCTAGCCAAAGCAGTTAGTTAATATAATTACATCAGAGGGATATGATTTATAAAGTATATAAAATTATAATTCTTTACGGATGATCTTTTTAATCTGGATATTTGAAGAAAATGAACTCTATCATGAAACAAAATAATTCGATGAGGGGATGACTTGACAAAAAATAATAATAATTGGTAGAATATAACCTTCATGTTACAAACAACAATCACTCAAAAGCTATAATGGAAAAAAAAGTCTATTTTCATTAGCAACTAAAAAGATAAAATTTACAAAATTATTATTTTTCCCCCAACCCCAGTACTTATTCTTTGCTTCTACTTTAAGTAATAGAACTCTCTGAGTTTAAACCATAAGCATGTTTGCTCACCTGAATACCCGGACACTCCATGTGCAAGCCTTTCTTTCAGCTAGGTGTGCTATATGCTTATTTTGGGAGCCAATAAAGGTAAGCAAAGGTAATATGGGAAATGTCCTAATCATCTCCTTGAAGATCCTAGACCACTCTTTTTCCCTTTCCAACAAGATCCAAGATAGATGTGATGGTATTAAACTGACTTTTACCAAAAGAGTAAGTACACCCTATAGAACAGTAAAGCAAGAAGAGAAAAGCAACCTGAGTCTCTGAAAAATCTAGAATCATGAAAATAAACTTACCTTGTTTGTTTTGCTTTGTGTGTGTTGTTTGTTTGTTTGCAATAACAGCTGAGCCCATACCATAACTGACACCAAAAAAAGGGAAAAGTTCTATATGCTGTATATGGAAAAAAATGTTTAAATACTACGAAGTGACAGAAAAAGCTTAAATAATTGGAGAGTTGAAAGTCACATCATGTCTTAAATAAGATGTCAACATCACAAAGATATCCATTCTTCTCTGGTTAATCTACAAATTTAACATGATCTCAACTAAAATGCCAATATATTTCCTTTGGAAACAATAAACTGAAATGAAAAAATTGTTGTATAAAATTATCCATGAAAATTTGTAAAACAACATTACCTGTTAGATAATAAAATATATTATAAAGTAATATGGTACTGCTATATGAATGGAAAGACAGAACAGTGGATTCGAATAAAAATTCCATAGCAAATTTCAGTGATAAACTTGATATTTCAAATAGTGAGAAAAAGATGGATTATTCAATAAATGGTATGGAGATAACTTTTCAGCCATATGGGAACAAATAAATTGGATCCATATCTCACATCTTACACAAAGATAAATTCTAGATGATCAAAGATTATTAAAAGATTAAAAAATGAAGCCCCAAAATGTTTGGAAAAAGTATTTCTTATAATCTAAGATTGGGAAAAGATTTGTTAAATATGAATTAAAACTAAGTGTCGTAAAAGAGAAAAATTAATAAACTTTACTACATTAAAAAATATATGGCATAAAAATGCCTTAAATGGTCAAATGGCAAATAGCAAATGTGGCTAATATTTCGAGTTTATATCAGAGACATTGGCTATTTTTTACCATAACAAAGAAATCATATAAATTAACTAGAAAAAAATAACCCTTTAGGGAAAAATGAAAAACACTGACTTTAGAGAAAAGAAAATACAAATATCTTTTGAATCTGTGAAAAGACAATGACTTTCTCAAGAAGAGAAATAAAAATAACAATTCCAATGAGTAATAGCTGATTCAAGGTCTGGGGGCAGAAATATACAAGATGTACCTGAGAAATCTTGTTGTGCCAGAAAGCAATGAGACTATCAAGGACTAAATGGGCCATGTCAGAGGGACACAGGAGGAAACATGAAGGGGATGGGATTGGCCAATATGTGACAATTTGAGCTTAAAAAAGAGTAATGGGCCGGGCGCGGTGGCTCACGCCTGTAATCCCAGCACTTTGGGAGGCCGAGGCGGGCGGATCACGAGGTCAGGAGATCGAGACCATCCTGGCTAAGGTGGTGAAACGCCGTCTCTACTAAAAATACACACACACACACACACACACACACACACACACACACACACACAAATTAGCCGGGCGTAGAGGCCGGCGCCTGTAGTCCCAGCTACTCGGGAGGCTGAGGCAGGAGAATGGCGTGAACCCGGGAGGCGGAGCTTGCAGTGAGCCGAGATTGTGCCACTGCACTCCAGCCTGGGCGACAGAGCGAGACTCCGATTCAAAAAAAAAAAAAAAGAGTAATGAATGCAAATGATGGAAGAACACGAAACAAACAAGGGTTCATATTGATAGCGCCCTCAAAAAGAGAAGAAGGAGAAACTAAAATTTAAACAAAACTAATTTGGACACCACTGAAAATAACTAGGGCTCTAAATCCTTATTCTGAAAACAGGCAGTTAAAAGGAAATAATTTTTTCTGCCTTTCCTGGATGAGGTATACTTCAAGAAAATTAATTAGCCCTAATTGGTGGGGGAAGGCAATCCTTTACGAAGAATTCTAATGAAGAAATGTGGAGGCCGGGTGCAGTGGCTTACGCCTGTAATCCCAGCACTTTGGGAGGCTGAGGTGGGAGGATCACGAGGTCAGGAGATCGAGACCATCCTGGCTAACATGGTGAAACCCCGTCTCTACTAAAAATACAAAAAATTACCAGGCGTGGTGGTGGGCGCCTGTAGTCCCAGTTACTCGGGAGACTGAGGCAGGAGAATGGCATGAACCCGGGAGGCAGAGCTTGCAGCGAGCCGAGTTCATGCCACTGCACTCCAGCCTGGGTGACAGGGCGAGACTCCGTCTCAAAAAAAAAAAAAAAAAAAAAGTGTGGAAGAAAAGGTAGAAGTTTTATTAAATCACCATTCTACAAATCCTCATAAAATAATGAATTCAACCAGTGATCACATGGGTAAAGCCATTTTATAAAAGGTAAATGGGAATTTTACAAGAGAGATAAGCCTGTGACTGCTTGAATCCACTGATCAACAGGCTAATTGACACACAAAGTGACAAAAGCAGATGTTATGTGTCTCTTGCTTCGATGCATATTGTAATGTCTATTACATCACTTGTCTTTGCCAAATGTTGAGCCTGAATCTAATCAAATATCAAGTGCCAATTTTTCTCCACAAAGGATAGATGAACAAGTTAAATTATACCACAAGGAAGCAAACAGACAAACCAAATGTGGACATTCTGCATACAATTAATCCAGTTGTTACTAGACAATGGCAGGTGGTCAAAAGGAAAGGACACTGTTCTAATTTGAAAGAGAGTTAAGAGACATAAAAACCAAACATAATGGGTGAATCTTATGATGATCCTATTTCAAACAAACCAGTTTTAAAAGAACAATTTTTTCCCCACATCTGAGGAAATTTCCTTACAACTTTTTTTAGATGATATAGAGCTATACGAGTATTGCATTGTGGTTATACAATAAATGTCCACATGTTTCAGAGATTCACGTTGAAATACGGGGTGAAATGAAATAATGTCTGGATCTTCAAAATACTTCAGCAATGAAAAGAGAAAAAAAGAAAAAAATAAGACGAGGGGGATCACTGAAACAAATATGGCAAAATCCTGATAACTGTTGAATTTGACAGATGGCTATCTATCTGAAGGTTCATTCTTTCTGTTTGAGTATCTTGGGGTTCATTTTTCAAACCAATCAGTTTGAATTTAAACCTGTGTAAGAAAAAGTTACTCTCATGAAGCTAGTGGAAGGTTAAACCGATAAATCCTATATGGAAAATATGGTAACATTTATAAAAAATTTAAATGCACGTGCCCAGCATTTACATTTCTAGGTGCTTATTCTACAGATATATTCTCATATATGCAAAGTGCCATTCATTGGAGCAGTTTGTAGTGACAAATGATTAAAAACTACCTTAAAGTCCATAACTAGAGACTAATCAAAGTATCGTGCAGCCAGACAAGGGAACACTCTCCATAAAGCATGAGGAGAGAACTAGCTCAAGCAAAACAACAGGCAAGATCATCTAAATACTACATATTTTTTAAAGTGATTAAAATAATTTTGAGGTTCACTTAAGTACATGAGTAAACTTTCTAGAAATTAAGGAAATCCCCAAGACTAAGCAGTAGAGTTCAAGGGACTTAAGCTAAAGCAACTGGCTTCCCTGAGGGCACTTACCAAGCCTGTTGACCTAGAATGAGGTTTCTCAGCCTGGGCACTAGATAATTCTTTGTTGGGACTGTCCCCTACTTTGTAGGATATTTAGCACCTCTGGCCTCTACCTACTAGATACCAGCAGCACCTTCTAATTTCCCCCAGTTGTAATAAACAAAAATGTCTCCGGTCTTTGCCAAATGTTCCCTGGGGGCCCCACTTTCCCACCCCAGGACTGAAAACCACTGCTCTAGGATATCAGTACTAAAGGATCTTTGGAGGACAAGAGTAAGAAGACCTCCCCCCTAAATAAATCTTAACACCAAGGAAAGGAGGAATAAATATGAAATCTAACCAGTGAAGAAAGAGAACAAGGAAAATGATCTATCTTTGCTTTGGCTATGAGTAGAAGGAAAAAACCCTCCCATGAGAAATTATGATCATGAACCAGTTTTCACATGGATTTTAATGCCCATATTGATTCTATCTATAAGATTTAAATAAATAAAACACAAGTTAATATTTTAAAGCAGACATGTTTTGGAAGCGGCAACTGACAAGCAGAAATACTCTCAGAAATATCCTGCATTTCTATCCTCAGTAGAAATGCAGTCTTCAGGTAATTCTCACAGATAAAGTTCCAATAAACAGAAACTCTCAATAAAAAAAAGCTAAATACTTGATTAAGCAAGGTACCATGAGCAAGGTCAGTAGAAACAGCAATCCACAAAACCAGGCACAAAAAGACATATAAATATAAGAATTATCAAATATAGACTACAAAATAAGTATTTTTAATGTATTTAAAGAAATAAAAGAATTGAAAACAAATATTAAAACAGCAATTATCAAAAATTACCAGAAAAAAAGAATAATTAAATAAAACATCTAGAAATTTAAAATATCTTTGAAATTAGAAATTTATTAGAATAGGATATGACAGTAAATTAGACTGAAATGAACAATTAGTGAACTGGAAGCTAAAACAGATAAAAGTTACTCAATGAAGCACTGAGTCAGAAAACATGAAATATGGTTTAAGAATAAAATGAAGGATAAATGAGTATGTCCAATATTCATTCATCAGAATTTCTGAGGGAATCCATAGAAGAATGGAAGCAAGGTAATATTTGAAGAGATAATGACTGAAATTTTTCCAAAATTGTCAAAAGACACCAATCCTCAAATCCATGAACTACAACATATTTCAAGCAAGTGTAGTTGATATTCTGAGATGTCATAATAAGAATAACAATAGTAGCTACCATATTGAGTGCTTTCCCTGCACTATATATTAAACCATAGTACATACATTATCTTAGTTGGTAGCTTTTTAAAAACAGAAAGGCAGATGGAACTGCCTGATAAAGATTAGACATTAAAAGAATTTTATGAGACAACCAAAACCAAATGCAATGTTTGGACAATGTCTGAAACCTGATTCAAGCAAACCAATTATAATTATATTATTTTGTCTCTCTCTGTGGCAAGATTTAAACCCATACTTGGCTGACTACACCAACTTTGCCCCAGAGTTATGCAATGTATAAACCACACAAATATCTGAAAGTTTCTCAGGTTCTGTACTCTTTCTTTTCTTAAAGAAAAAAAAAAAGTAGTTTGATATAAAAATATTTTTTCGAGCTCCTACTGGAATAAATGAAAATGAGCATAATGACAACTAAGGTCTAAATTATGGACAGGGTAAAGATAAAGAAAAATTTATGATGAATAAATTATCAAAAAGCAATCAAACTAATGACAGACATAGTTGATTCATTTCTATTTACAAAGAGTTATCCCATAAGAATGTAATGCACTTGGTAGTTCTGTCAGAGGTTCTTATAGCAAAGATGCAAGAAATCTGTTTTTCATGTTATTATTTTAAACTGAGATATAAAATGGTATGCATAAGGAGACTGTATTAGTCTGTTTTCACACTCGCTATAAAGAACTGCCTGAGACTGAGAAATTTATAAAGGAAAAAGGTTTAATTGACTCATAGTTCTGCAGGGCTGGGGAGGCCTCAGGAAACTTACCATCATAGTGGAAGGCAAAGAAGAAGCTAGTACCTTCTTCACAAGAGAGAGAGCCAGGAGGAGGAACTTCCACAATCTTTTAAACTATCAGATCGTATGAGAACTCATTCAGTATCACAGTAACAGCATGGGGGAACCGCCTCCATGATCCAATCACCTCCCACCAGGTTCCTCCCTCCACATGTGGGGATTACAATTTGAGATGAGATTTGGGTGGGGACACAGAGCCAAACCATGTAAGACACAATATGTCTCCATAGACAAAACGAAAAGCTTTTTACATGCCTTTCTTACAGCTTTGCTACAGAGAGATGAAGAACACATCTCTTTCTCTTTCCATCACCACTATATTGTTCTTGTGCCTGAGCAAAGATAAGTTCCAAATTGAGCCCTGGAAAGGTATTTACTGTCAGGGACCCCAAGGGATGAGTGAAAAGGCAGAGAAGACTCAGGATCACCATCAATGGACACTGAGGTCTACTTTTTCAACAAGGTACCACTAGGAAAAGAACAGCTGTGGGCAATAAGGAGGTTGGAAAGTGAGAATAATTAGAATTTGGTTCTAAACTGAGAACCCAAGAGATGGGTACCTCTCTCCTGTGATTCTTGTACTGGGTATTAAATAGGTAGCCCTAAATAGCTTATACTAAACTGAGATAGATCTGATTCGCACACCCCATGAATTTTGCATGCCCAATAAACATTCCCAGTGCTGAATCTCTAGTTGTATTATACTGGGCTAAGTCGCCTGAATCCAAAGTTAAAGAAAAATAAAAACTATCCAAATGAATCTAACTTCTTTACTAATTTTATTTGGATAAAGAGCCAAACTAGACATTTTATTCAGAGTACATGTAAACAGAGCAAGGTAACTGTCACATTAATTTCATTTGCTAACTTTTTATTCCCTTTTCTCTAACTGGACCCTTCTGCTTTTAATGATAAACTTATTTAACTTTCTATTTAACAGCCTAGATAGGTATAAATGTGTTTTAAAATATTTGATTTGATTACCCTAAGGGAGAATTTGGTAGAAAAACATTCTGTCAGAAAGGGGAGAGTGTTGCTATGAAAACAGGCAACTTGGTTAGTTTCCTGCTCATATGAGTGTGTGCCTGCACTCAGGGAAAGTGAGAGCACCAGGGCAGTGAGTAGGAAATATTTTATTAGAAGAAAGTCAAGAGGAAAAGGCATGAGTGCTGTTAGTATTCCCCATTTTGTAGACATACACAAGGGAGCAGGAGAGCATAAACACCTTTCATTAATGCATTTCTGTTGTTGAGACATGCAAAAATTACACCAGATCAGAAACGTATAAAAGAAATTACCCGAGGCTGAGGCACTAGGATCATGAATTGATTTGTAACAGATTTCAGATGAATTGGAAAGAAGCCACCTACTCAGTAATGAGGAGAAAAGATTAGGTTAAGTTGCCACTTGTTTGTTTGTTTGTTTGTTTGTTTTTAATAATCTTTTTTTTTTTAAACAAAGATGAGATAGAAAAGGTATGCTTTAAATCTTATTTATTTCCAACATCGCAGGCTCCTGGTTTATGCTTTAGCATTCTTATACATGGTCATGTTTCTGGCATCTTTAAAAAGAAGAACAATTAAATATAAAAAATATTATTTATCCATGGGATCCTTAGTGTTTTAAATAAAAAGTTATTAGTTAGAAAATGTCTTGCAGGCTGGACACGGTGGCTCACGCCTGTAATCCCAGCACCTTGGGAGGCCGAGGCGGGTGGATCACCTGAGGTCAGGAGTTCGAGACCAGCCTTGCCAATATGGTGAAAACCTGTCTCTAGTACAAGTACAAAACAATTAGCCAGGTATGGTGGTGTGTGCCTGTAATCCCAGATACTCGGGAGGCTGAGACAGGAGAATAGCTTGAACCCAGGAGGTGGAGTGGAGGTTGCAGTGAGCAGAGATTGTACCACTGCACTCCAACCTGGGCCACAGAGGACTCCATCAAAAAAAAAAAAAAAAGAAGAAGAAGAAAGCAAGAAAGCAAGAAAGCAAGAAAGCAAGAAAGCAAGAAAGAAAGAAAGAAAGAAAGAAAGAAAGAAAGAAAGAAAGAAAGAAAGAGAAAATGTCTTATGGTTGGGAGAGCAAGGAAGCAGGAGGAAGGGGAAATGAGGAGTAGCACATACCTTCTGTGTAGTGTGCTAGGTGTTTCACATAACTCTCACAACACTGCCAGCTGGTAAGTATCCTGCCACCCATTTGAAGAACAGTCAAATGAGACAGAAAGAGGTTAAAGAATCCACTGAAATCATTCTACAGTAAGTGGTTAAAATGCAATTTAAACCTTGATTATCTCTAGAGATCTTTCTGTCATTGGCTATTTGGGCAATTTGCTTTTAATAAATAAACCTTAAACATGAACCTGAGTGGCATAGTCCTAAATATGTGAAAAGGCAATCGGTGAGAAATGGTTTGGTGGTGTCTGTTGCAAGTAGTTTTCTCTCTGGTTAAAATCATAAGTCAACTGTTACTGCTATGCCACTCACTATCTCCAATTTACATAAATTATTCCTTCTAGACAAAAAAATCATTTTTGAAAATTGTTCATCTATTCAACAAATATTTATTGCGTACCTAACTATTCCATGATTGTGCTGTATATTGGAACATTGACAATAAATAAAACAGACCAAACAGACAAAACAGACATGGTCATGTATATCTTACAGTCTAGCAGGAGCTGACTTTATCATCTATTCAAAATGTAGAAAAACATATTTTCAAATATTGACTAATGCGTCTCCACAAACCAATAGTGTTTTCTTTCTCTGTTTATCAATATAGTACTACAACTTTTTGCAATACAAAGAAAACTGAATGAAACAAAATCAGATATTGTGACCCTCTGAATATAGCTAGGTCCCTTATCTCAAAAGATTGTCTAACACAAATAACAGAGAATAACAAAATCTAGTTTGGTCATCATAAGTCTTTCTCAGACTTTCCAAATTGGTCATATTATCAACAAGATGCTTTTTCTGACACAATTAACAATACTTCTTAACTTTGAATTTGGAATTTTCTGCATTTCAAAAGCATAGTATTAACAAATGACTACTTCATTGACTCATTTAACAGAAGTGTCACTAAACTTATATTATCCATCTTAGTCACATATAAAGAAAAGAGATTTTGGCAAGTACTGATACAACTGTGTAGGAGGGAGATTAATGGAGAGCAAATTGGGGAGTAATTAATCAACCCGCATAAGAAAATGAAAAGAAGAAACAAAGATGCAAGATTTGACAGGAAAATTCTAAGCTCTTTGTACTTGGCACCAGTCAAAAAAAAAAAAAAAAAAAAAAAAAGAGGCATAATAGGGCTGAAAAGTTCATGAATATGCTCCAATTAATCTGTATGTGCACTGAAATGCTTTTTAGTTTGGTTCATTTAAATCTGAAATTCCCTTCCCCATTGATGTCAGCCAGTTAGCCAAGATGGTGCATTACTGTTATGATCACTGCAGCGCACATAATTTAGATTTATCTCTTTGGGGACTCGACTCCACCCCCTGCTAGCTAATATGCTCACCATGTTTAATGATGCAAAAAATTTCCCTGAGTACAGGTTATTTATCTTTATCAGGGGCTGCGTTTGGCTGGCTGGCTGTTATCAGCAGAATATTTGTTCCTAAGTGGTTGGTTCTTATACATATTCCGGGGCAATCCTGAGGCCCATATTATCACTTAGATTTGCAATAAAAGTGTTTCAGTTCTTTAGATACACCTTAGTAATACTGATTTGTGAGTTTGAAACAGCTGAAATTATGATCCAGTCTATGAACCCTGAAATCATTGTCATGAAATACAAAATCAATCTAAAATCTGAGAAAAGAATTTCTTTGGGGTACTTTGGGATATACATACTGAACAACACAGGAATATGAATATTTAATAAGGAAAAGCGTTATAAATGATCTTCCAGTAATTATATTGTCAAAACATAATCTGAGAAGAAAAACTGAGGGATGGGCAAGCAGGTCCAAATACAATAGTCAGTAACCACTGACCCTCATCACCTTTCCTCCAAAAATAAATGAGGAAAATAAAATGAAGGGTCCTTGATAAGACAGTGAACAAACACAGGCAACTGGCGCCTTTCCCTGAACCCAGACTCAGAGATGTACAGGATCAAAGGAGATGTGGATAGTTCTGAGAGTACAATATTTTAAAATAGCAACAAAATGCTAGAAAGACAGAAAATTTTGATTTATAAGAGCATGAGAGGGTTTGGGTGAATGGTCTGGGTGTCAAGAATTTTTTAGTTGAGCTCTTTTTAGCTCTTTAAATTACCTGTGTGGATTACTATCCACCCACCTAAAAATCAAATAGAAAATGAGATTTTATTCACAATATAAATAAAACTATCAAACATCTAGCCATTATTTATTAAAAAATGCCCATGACCTTTAAAAAGAAACTTTTAAAACTCAGACTCAGAAAAAAATGGAGGAAATATTATGTTTGTGAAAGAATGACAATGCTACCTGAATTAATCTATAAACATAATTATAATTAAATTGCATAGGAAATTTCTAAGAAAACTAACAACTTATTTAAATTTATATAAAAAATGAAAGATGCATCAGTAGGGAAGTCCATTCTGGAAAACAACAAAAAAGACAAAGAATGTACCTAACGAAAGATCAAGAAATTCTGCAGAGCCCTAGAAATAATTTTTAAAATAATAACAATATTATACTAAAGTTTATACACCAGAAGAAAATGAACAGACTAGAAAGCAAAAAAACTCATTTAAATACCGAAAATAAAAGCACCACAAATCAGAGGGAGATAGCTTAGTAGATGGAATCGAGAAAACTGACTCAATATAGAGAAAAATAAAGCCAGACTCCTATCTCAATCCATGTATAGTGGAAGGGCTGATGGGTTAAATGAACAAATGTGAAAGGTAAAACTCTAAAGATAAAAATTTTAAAGGCAAAAAAGTAGGAGACTTGCTTTGTAACCTTAAACAAGACCCCAAGATGACAAAGCATTAGGTTAAAAAAAAATCAAGTATCAAAATTAAAATTGTCTTAACAAAATATCTCAAAGTTACAAAATGTGATATGCTAGGAGAAAATGCTTGCAAAGTCTTTGAAACACAAAGGATTAATATCTAAACTACTATAAAAGGACTTATAAATTAACAAAAGAAAGACAGAAAATCCAATAGATCAATAGATAAAAAAGCAGGCTGGCGCGGTGGCTCACGCCAGTAATCCCAGCACTTTGGGAGGCCGAGGCGGACAGATCACAAGGTCAAGAGATCGAGACCCTCCTGGCCAACATGGGGAAACCCCGTCTCTACTAAAAATACAAAAACTAGCTGGGTATGGTGGCACCTGCCTGTAGTCTCAGCTACTTGGGAGGCTGAGGCAGGAGAATTGCTGGAACCTGGGAGGCGGAGGTTGCAGTGAGCTGAGATCACGCCACTGCTCTCCAGCCGGGTGACAGAGCGAGACTTCTCAAAAAAAAAAAAAAAAAAAAAAAAAAAAGCCGATATAAATAAAACATAAAAGAAGTAGAAACCCAAATATCTAAAATGTATATGAAGAGACACCCAACCTCACCGATAATCAGAGATATACAATTAAAACATCAATCAGAAAACATTTCACATAATACAGATATTTGGCAAACATTTGGAAAAACTGATATTCACACTTATCGCTGGTACAGACATGCTCAAGAGAAGCTTGACAGTGTTTAATAAAATGAGGTATTATATATGTTAAGTACTATAGCCCAGATGTATCCCAGAGAAGGAGAATGTCCATTGTCAACTTATTTATTGGAATAGGAATAAAATGAGGTATTATATATGGTAAGTACTTATAGCCCAGACATATCCCAGACAAAGAGATTGTCCATTGCTAAGTTATTTATTGGAACAGGGAGTTGGAGTCAGCGGAGGTGACCATTATTAAGAGGAATAAATCAGTAAGGTGTGGTTATTGCATATGATGGGATGTAAAATTGCCATTTCTACAAGATCTCTGATCACTTGGTGCATTTGGAATACCCTTCCCATGTTTGCAAGCATCTCTCACTATTTGAGTCCCACCGCATCAATGTCAGAAACTTGCTTTCTCAGCATCCTTTTCAGCTAGGTTCAGGCATATGACCTAGGCCCTGATAATGAACTGCACCTGTGCGAGACTGTGATTCAGAGGACAGTGAAGAAAAGGGTGTTAAGAATCAACTCATGTGCAGATGGTAGAATCTTGGAAACAACATGCGGATTTCAGAGGCATCATTGGCAGAGGTCCAAAAGGCAGCATCCCGTGCCCACTGCAGTGAGTTGTGATGCCCATGTAAATTGCTATGGCAAATAGAGTATCCACTGGGCCATCCAGGATTGTATTAATAATTGGGACATCATTTCTGCTAATAATGCTGGCACCTTGATCTTGTACTTCCAGCCTCTAAAACTATGATAAAATAGATTTCTGTTGTTTAAGCCAACCAGTCTACGATATTTTCTTATAGCCGCCCATGCTGACTGAGACAGCACATATTCCTCTAGAAATGGAGGGATACTGAGGTGGCATAAAGGTAAAAATTTTCACATTACATTGTTGAAGGCATTAAGCCATACACTAGAAAATACTATTTCTCTCTGCTCAAATAGTGAAATTTGGTAGCAATTTTTAATGAGCAATGATTACAAAATGATTATGGTTTTTTTCCTGGTACATTACAAATAAAAATATTTGTTATAAGACTCTTCGAGGAGAAATTAAAACTGGTTATGACTCTTTAAAATGTCAAGGTCATGAAAAACAAGGAAAGACTGAGAAACTGCTACAAATTTGAAAGAGACTCAGGAAACATGATGACTCAGTAAAACATGGTATCCTGAATAGGTCCTAGGACAGCAAATGGCCTGACATTACTGTTTCATGTCATTTATTACTGTGATTCATTGTGACTCAGAATGAAGCACCGTCTACTTGAGGTCCCCTCCCTACTACCCTGCAAACTCTCCCAACTTTAGCATTAAGAGCCCCAACCTTCTGTAATCGTTATCCTGCAATCTAAATTTTGCAGGAACTTAAGGCACAGCTAAAGTTCCATCTCTTCTATGACACTTCTATGATTAGCACAGACCATGATTTCTATCACAGCTTGGAAATCCAGAAAGCAGTTCAAACCTTCGATATATCTTGAATTGATTGTATGTTACCTTTTGCTTGTTTCTAGAAGTTCTTGAAGTTATATCTGGATATCAACATATCTTGAAATCCTCAAAGTCAGTTATCTCCTAGTTTTTGTTGCATGTGCATGTGTGTTTTAATCTTCTATCGTAGCTAATCTGCTACTGCTGTACAATCACCATATAATGTTATTTTCTTCACTATTTTATTGCTCAGAAACGTATATCATTCATATTTATATTTGTGAAGGAAAATAACTGATATAAAGATGTAAATTAAGTGCAGTTTTCAGCAAAATTCTCATTGCCATTTAGTTCGGACAAAATCATGTCCAAATTCTGGGGAAAACACCTAAATGAAGCAATCTTCACAGGAAGCTGTTGACCTGTTAAAACACCATGAAATACAGATTATACTGAAAGGGGATTTAGTTGTTTACTCTTTGATTCAACTGTTCAGATAATGTACTTTCATTTAAATCAGAAGTTAAACTTGAGAAAGGTAGTGGTATTTTTTACACAGGCCTAATGAGACATTAGTTCAGTGGCACAGGTAATATAAAAAAGGATAAAGCGATACTGAGAAGACTTAGTTACACTGACTCATGCCACGTGGCCTCCTACAGAATTATTCTGGGAAAAGGCTACTTTTCAACAAAGTTGCCTATCTCATCAACCTATATATCTGTTCTTCTCCAGACTCTGCCACCATAGGGTAGAATATTGGCCATTGCAATTGCCAGCCCTTTTCTCAGAATTTTTCACCACCCTACATCCAAAGGTTTATGTTCCTTCCAAAAATGTGCACAAGAAGGAAGCTCGAATGGCTGGATCCTTGCCTCCCCATGTAAAATGATCTCAACTTAGAATCCTTTTATAACCAACATATTTATATAATGGAGGCATTCTGAATTCCTGTTAAATAAGCTTTTAGCAAAACTAAAGATAACAACTAGATATTTTCCATTATTTATTTATTAACACTTCAGAAAAAAATCTAATTGTTTGCATATTGAAAAAGAAAAATAAAGCAAAGTTTGTAAATGTACATACTTTGACGAAGAGGAGAGATTAAAAGAAAAAACACAAGTTTAGTGTTCAGATGGTATGTGAGAAGTTTATTGACCTAGTTAGGGCAAGTCTAACACATAAACATGTGCAAATATCTCAGTTATTTAACGTGATTGGATGCTGGTTACAGACCAGGGTCTATCTGTAGGAATGCTGGTCCCTGACTGCAGTGATTCTGCCCCCTGTGAAATACAATCTGCTTTCCCTTTGACAGCCTGATTTATCTTCCATTTTTCATCTTCCTTTGATGTGGTTGGCAGAACAACCCTTGTCCTATGGTCTTCTCCAAACTACCTGGAACAAACTCCACTCCCTTTACTTTTGGCAAAGTGTTAAAAGGGAGACCCTCAAGTTCCCCTCCTGATATGATTGGTGATTACAGTTGTTGTGCCATCAGACTCCAGATGATGTGTTCCCTTCTCTAAGCTGAAGGTATAAAGCAACAGAGCAAGGCCACATGCACCAGCAGATATGTCTTAGATGGCTACTTAATATGTAAGATGCCCACATTTAAAAATCAGGAGACTTTATATAAAATACAGATTTTCAACTTATTTTGAAAAAGGGAAGCATATGCAGAAGTCTACCATAGCCCATGCATCTGCAATCAGGAGGGATATCCCCCTTAAGCAGGATGGGCATACCACAGTGGCCACAGCCCGGTCCATTTGCTGTGCTCCCTCACACTAAAGCTGAGTTTCAGCTGCCAGTTACCACTGAGTTTTTGTTGTGCCTTTTGTTACATCTGATGAGCTTCAGTTACTATATTCCATGTCTGGCACCTGAAGGCAATTATGTTTATGACTTCTGACCATGACTATAATTCAACTGTCTCTGAACATCAGAGACCTGGCCATTGGGTTATAAAGGTAAACTGAGCATAGTCGAGAAAGTCTAGTTTGTTCACCACTGTATCCTAGTGCTTGCATAGTGCTTGGGACGCAGTGCAACATATATTAGATGGGACATCCCATTGGATGGGACATATATTGGATGAATGAACCTAAGAGTAAGGAATTATGTTTTCTCTCTAGCCTGTTTCAAATCTTGTTCCTGCCTAGGATTGCTTAAGCACCACCAGCATAGTCTCCTTGCCCAGGTAACTTCAACTCTGTAATGGGTTAAATGGTGAACCCTCAATACTTTGGACTGTGACATTATTTGGAGATATAATCTTTAAAGAGGTAATCAAGTTAAAATGAGATCCTTAGAGTGGGCTTTAATCTAACATGACTAGCATAGAGACAGACTCACATACAGAGAGAATGTCACCGGAAGGTGAAAGCAGAGGGCAAGGTACTGCTTCTACAAGCCAAAAATGCCAACAATTTCCAGAAGCCACCAGAAGCTGGGGGAGAGACAAGGAACAGATTCTTTCATAGACCTCAGAAGGAACCAACCTGCCAAAGCCTTGATCTTGGGCTTCTAGCCTCCAGAGCTGTGACAGAATAAATTTTTGTTCTTTAGCCACCCAGTTTATGGTACTTTGTTACACTAACCCTAAGAAACTAATACGAAAAGGGACTAAAACTTCACACTCCAGCCAAGTTTACCTTCTACCTCCCTACAAGACTCTGCTTCCCTATTCTGTAGGACTGCTGGATCACTCCCTTCCTGGTCATTTTTCGATACATGGGAATATTCAGTTGGTTTGAACCTCTTGTTAACAAAACACTGTCATCCTGATCTGTTTCCACCCAACTCCAAAGTCTGATAAAGCAGAATTCTTAGAAATTCCTGAGATGTACATACTTTGAGGTTGGAATTCCATGCTCATAGGTAGATATAATTTATAGGTGTGTTTCAGGAAGAGTAGAGAAAATAATAATGTTTATGCATCATGGCAATGATGAAAGGCAAATTCGTGTATACCTTTAAGCATTGTTGTCTATTTATTAAAACATACCATTGGTGGAACAGGTCTGAAGAGACTAGATAATTTCAGGAAAATCTTGGGATAGCTTTGCAGTCTTCATGAACTTTTTGAATTTCTATTAATTATTCTGGCTTTTAATTTTTACATTAATTTTTGTCATTTACGCTTCTTCAAATTATTTGGCAAGATTTTTAGGAATGTTAAAATTTTGCTTCTGCCACTAAATGAAATGATCAAAAGCAAATTGGTCACAAATGAGTGGTTCTAATCATGAATTAAATAACACTTTTGAATACTAAGCTAATTTCCCTCCCCAACCCCAATTTTATCAATTTTTAGCAATATTACATACTGACTAAAATTTATTTGTCAGCAAATGATTAATTCTTTTACTAAACCATGCTTCTATTTTCCCTTAAATTTCAGCAGCTAAAATAAAGCTTCCTTCATTTAAAAATATGCAACGGTAATGAAAAATAGTTACAGTTTTTTATGTAAAGACAGCATTAAGATTTTAAGTTTAGTTTTAACGCTGGAATGTGAACAAATAGTGAGCCATAATTGTCAGGATCATCTTCATTAATCATAAGCATTACTCTTTCATTTATCCCAAAGGCACCAATTCATAACTGGAAAGTCCTTTTTGCTTATTTCAACTAATCATTTAATAAAGGTCAAGCATGTGTCAGTGGTTGGTTGTTGTCAATGTAAAAACAACGACAGAGCTATTGCTTTACTTTGATCTTTGAACAGGTCAAATAAACGTCACCAGTCAAGTTTTTAAGTTACCAAATAGTGACTTAAAATATTCTATTTTTATCATTTTTCTCACTTCTGCAATTTAGTAGACTAACAAACGGTTTCCAAATGTATTGATAACTGGCGATAGGTTTGAGCCATGGGAGTGAAAATTAAGGAATAAATATGTGCCGTAATCAGTTTGAGTAGACCAGTTTTTCAAATCAACCTAAATGGTTCTATGTGAAACTTAAGTAATAGTTTTCCCAAATTTGACAAGCCTAATATGACAAAATGGAAACTGAAAGTCAGTGTAAAATTCGGTGCCTCTTAGTTAAGTGAATGACATGCAAATTATAACTAAACTTTGGATATCTTGAATCTATTATTATATAGTCAAAATCTCAGGGATAATAGTCTTTCAGGCCTGGAAGAAGCATAAGGATTCAATGATTCAGTGAGCCCAAAGATAAAAAGATAATCATTTTAAAGTGACTCTTGGATGTTTCCCTGGGAAATGAACAACTGGAGTGTCATCTTCGATGATTAGCAAAGTTAAATGAAGGAAACACTTGAAAGACAAAGGCATTTATTCTGGTTTCTGGCCTCTTAATCTTGAGAAAGTCTTAATGCATTCAGGTGGACACATCCTTTACTAAAAATGGACTTCAATCAACAAGAAAATTTAGGAGTTTGAAAGAAAAAAATGGCTGTTTTTCTTAAATAGATATTAGAGAAAAATAAGGACACTTCAAAGATCATTTCTTATAATATGCCCAAACATTTTGAAAGGCATGACAATGGGATGATGGCTGTCACCTTAGGCTACCTAAGGACCACCAAAGAGTGTCATTCAGAGTCTAGCAACACTAGCAAATGAAAACGCTCAAATAACACTTACTTTGAAAGGAACTTCTCTCTGTTTTGGGAAAAATGATATACAGCAGCATTTTCAAAATGTGCAGAGGTGGAAAAATAAAGAGTTCAGCTAAAATGTTTAGACCATTGTGGGAAAAGGCCCAGTTTAATGTGCTTTTCAATTCTGAACACATTGGCAGTGCTCAAAACACATTACAAAAGTAATAACATGATAATGGAGTTGGGAATCCTGTAAAGGTTACATAGAATTCAATTTACAAATCAAAATGCCTAAAAATCAAACTTGGGCCAACTGCCTAAAGGTATTGGATTTTTACCACATTGAATAAGACAAGCATCTCATAACCATGAAAATAAACAGTGACCAATATGACCAGGGCCTAATTTTAAACTATTCAGACTCTCTTTAGCTATTCTTCCTCACTCTTTAAAAAAAAAATTCCTGCAATTTTTATTGAAATCTAAGCTGAGAGTCTAGAAAATCTGAGTGTTTGGTAATAGCCAAATATTTCTGAATGTGAGAAGCCAGAAAATGGGATAGCCTGAAAAGAGAAAGAGACGCAGTGCTTGTCAAACCACGTGATCCCAATATGATTGTCAGCAGTGGAATTAAACTCCCCTCAAAACAAAAACAAAAAAACACTGAACTTGAAACCAGTTAAATTAGGTTATTTAAGTTATTTTAAAGTTTTTAAAAATTATTCTTGTGAAAATGATTTGTTTCCTTTGGCAGCATATGGCCTGGGAGTTTGTAAGGACCAAATGAAGGTGCTGGGGCTGTTTAACAAAGAAAGAGAAGAATCTGAAGTGAAGCCTTCTCAGTGTGAAAGTAAAAAAGGAAGCTGAAAGTAACTTTTCCGACCAAGGACAGGGCAGACAAAGTTCTGACTGCTGGGAAAGTATCATTCCACTCCATCAATGAGATCTGCCTTTCTTTTCCTCTATTAATGGATCCAAAGACAGGGAAACTGAGGCAGAGGAGAAAGATATGACTGGAAGGCCACCCCCTGCACTCTGGTATGTGGTGAGAAGAAAAGGTAGGCAACTTCAAGGTAGAGGACAAGCTTCCGGAAAAACTTTTGGCCCCCAGTCTTAGCTAGGATTTTCTAATGATCCTGGGATGTGTACATTCAAATATAAAGAGGCTTCCAACAGAAGAAAATTCAAGGAAAAATTTAAATGATGTTTCTGAAATATGTTCAGGTTTAGAGTACTTGCTTATGGCAGAAAATCGTCTGTTCATTTAATGTAATTATATGCAATTGGGGAAATTTTATTCCTCAATTTATAATTTGGGTAATATAGAATTAATATCACAGGCATGGTTGTCCAAGTGAAGAAACAAAATGCTGAACAAAGAAGCATGGTTGTTTCCTAATTTCATTTGTATTCATTTGATACTGATTTGCAAATTTTATTGTCTCCCAGGACAATAAGGTAAGTGAAAGTAATTAGTTATCAGTAGTTAAAGAAAAAAATGTAATATTTGGAGCGCACACATCAGGCACTATTCACAGCACTTTGCACTTTGCATATCTTGACTCATTTAATCCTTTCAACAAGAATAGGAGACAGCTCTTAGTGTTATCCACATTTTAAAGATGAGGAAACATTAGGAAACGAAGAGAAATATACATTTAGAAAATGATATCCATTAAAATAATGCTTTCAGAAAAGTTAGGAAGATCACGTATTTAATTAAGTAGAAGAACATTTATGGTTCGTTTTGTGGAATAATAGTACGTAAGAATTACTGATTTAAGCAATAATTGATAATGTTTAGAGGAAAAGTTATCAAAAAGACTTAGGTACTTACTGGATTTAATCATTTGTTTTCTTTTCAAAGTTCTGCACATTTGTTTGGGAAGTAATCTTTGACTTTTATATTTTACAAGACGTTAACCATGAAAGTCATTGCATAGAATCTCAGTTTCAATCTTGGCCTTGTCAAGTTCTGGTTGAGGATTGCACTTTTGTTCTCATGCTCACCTCATTCTCTTTGAAGCCAAAGTTAACTCAGGAAAAACAAATAACTTCTATAATATGTATCTTACAAATCAAACTAAAAAGTTTCAAAATATTATAGCAACTAAAACTTTAAAATACGTCTATTCCCAAGAGAGTGCACATGGATAAATTTCATGCTGATAGGATGCTAATAAGATACATAGCAAAGTCCATGGAAAATAGTGAGTCAAGACATTTTGAAAGTAAAATGCAGACAGAAAAGGTTGTCCAGGATATCCAGATTATATCTGGCAGAGTGTTTTGTATATTTGAATCACTTAAATATTTATTGCATTAAATATATGCATGAATAAAGGAGAATGAGAACCAAGTCCCCTTTTCCAGGTGGGAAAAATACAAGTAAAAGTCATTCTGAGAAACTGCTCTCTCCCACCAAATATCTTTATTATATTTGGAGAGCATGATGCCTAATGTCCATGACATCCAAAATCACAACAAAAATGACCAAAAGCCCTGCTCCTCTGGGAACCAGGCTCAGAGATTGTATAGAGAAAGAACTATGGAAAGTTCTACTTAATGCTGTAGCAGTGACTTTAACTATATAAGAATAATTGCTTTGATGATTGGTCAACTTGGTTCTGCTGATTTTTGAAGGATTAAAAAAGAAAGTCACTTCTTCTAGCTACAAATTTATGTACATATCTTAAATAATATCCTTAAGATGTATTCTAAACTAAGATGCCAATTTAGTTAAACAAAAGGCTTAAATAACGACAACCCTCACTTTCTGATAGTACATTCTAATAGAGACTTAAAAAGTATGTTATGAGAATTAATTCAGTTCTCCAAAGAAAAAAATCATACTTTTAGAAGTTTTTCATCTTTTTGGTACTTATACTGGGCATGTACAATTATAATAGCCTTTTACCAATTAAGATCTTGAGAGAACAGTGACTGTGTATGCGCCTTGGGGGTGAAACATAGGGATTATGTCATTTACCTCTCCCCTTACATATTTTTATACTCTCCAAATTTTCTTTATTGAAAACATTTAACTTTTATAATAAAACATAAATATATGAACTGGATATGTATCTAGATAGAGAAATTGATAGATACATCTCAGAGGAAAGAAATCTTGGATGACAGGCACTTCTCCCTTTAGCTTCTCCACAAAGCCCTATCAGTATAAAACCTTCAATCATGTGCTTATGATTTCTGTATATCATTTATTGAAATCATTATAGGTGTACTATTCTATAGCATTATGACCCTTATAAAACTTTTAATATAAATTAGAAAACAATGATATAAAAATAAATATTACCGGAAGTTCAAATGTTTTCTTTTTTCACTACAATGCACTATTTTGCCTCCACAAAGTGACATATATTCCACTTTGGGTTCCCTTGCATTAGACTGTAAAGCAAAAAAAAGAAACAAAATAAGAAAGAAGAAGAATAAAGGAAATGGTATGACACTATGACCTTGGAATTTTCAACATAGAACTCATGATAATTGGAATGTGAACTGGACTGTGTGTGTATGTCTGTGTGTGTGCACACACGTGTGGACACACACATATATATGTTTTAGAATTGACCTAGATTTTAAAAATCTAAAAATATTGCCCTAGTCTGAAAATATGTTATAAAATTTCAAGAGAAGAAGCTAAGATGGTATTAGTTTTATTGAAAATATGCCTAAAGGTGTAGTATTTTCCCACAAACTTCAATGGTTTGCTGATTTCCTGGCTTTTGAAATCTATGCCTTTTAATTGTATTTATTCCATTTTCCATTTCTTCAGTTTGCTATGACTCCCCTCCTTTAATCTGTTACTCGTAGGTTTCGATTTAGACACCACCAAATCACAACTCAACACATGACCTTGGAGAGCCTCTATCACACTTCTTCATTCCTGGAGAAGTTAAGATTCTCAAGGTCATACAGGTAGCAAATGGTAAACATGGGTTTAAAACTCAGGTTTTCTGTCTGTAAATATAGTGTCCTTTGGAATACTACAGATTAAATTTCCTTTTAACATTTTGAGCTCATCTGGGGAAAAAAATCATATATTTACACAAAATGTATGGCACTACCTCATTCTAGCTAATCTATGCCGACTGAAAGTAGTCTCTAAAGATATTATAAACACCGTTATGTTCTGGTTCATATAAAGCTAGCAATTTTTAAAGTTAAGTACTTAATGCCAAGTTTCCTGGGAATAATTTTCCCTTTATACTTTAGGGCAATGCTGTGGAACATATTGAAAGGCCAAATTTTGCTAAACTATTCACCTTGCTTTTTTTCCTCCTTAAACTATTCTTGGTTTATTTCATTTAAGCATAAAAGTTATATTCTAAGATGCCATGTATAAACCCTTCCCAAAACAAGGTTTGAGTCTTTTGTCTTTATTCAGGGTCAAAGCGGAAAGTTCTAAGAAATAGGAATTTTATTGAATGATAATGATGTATTTGAAAATCCTTGTTTTAAACTGAGAAGCGTGTTAAAAAGAGAATATTAATGGCCATTAGCATCATACATTTAAATGCTTTTGTTTGAACTAAAATTCCACTAACCATAGCTATGTAGTTCTTGTGAATAACAAAGTGAACTTAAAGCAATTATCTGACAAACATTAAGGTGAAGGGGGTATTTAAAAGGAAATATACTATAAACACAGGACAATTCTGTCATAAGATTTTATGAGTGCCATCAGTTAATTCATTCAATGAACATTGCTAGTGATGCTTTGCCTCCTCACTTTGCACTCAGAAGCAGGCCAAGCTCATGTGATAGCAGACAGAGATGTAAAACCAGAGCCAGAATAAAATATATGTGCAGTGACAGAGTTGGGAAGAAAATGCTGTTTTCTTTCTGTCAGCGAATGAGTAGCTGGTTGCCACGTACAGCCCAGGAAAAGGACACTCCAGATCCAAAGATGGCACACAGTGTCACAGAGGAGTGAATCAACTTTTGGTTTCCAGATTTAGAGAGAAATTTAGAGCACTTGGAATGCAGGAATTAGAAGGGCAGTGGTGAGATAAGAGAATAGAGAGCTTGTTTGTGGCCAGGCCGGCAGCAAAAGACTGTGAGTTTTATACTCTAGTCAGGAGGGATCTTTTAGGGATGTGCACACAACAAGTGCATCGATTGTAGTTGGCTCTATATTTATTCAGAACCACTCAGATCTGAGGGGAGGGGAAATGCAGCTTTCCTTATTTCCTATAAATCCCTTTATTTCCTATAAATCTCCATACTAGCTGATGACAAAAGTAAAGAATAAAATTGTGCCAGTTAAAGATCACTGGTTGGAGGAGGCTGTGTGAAGAGGGAGGCAGGGATCAGAGGGACATGGTCACAGGACCGGGAGTGCCTGGAGCCACCAGAAGCAGGAAGGGGCAGGAAAGAGCCTCCCGGAGAGATTCCAGAGGGGATATGACCCTGCTGACCCCTTGATTGCAGACTCCTGGCCTCCAGGACTGGGAAAGAATCAATGTCTGTTGTTTAAGCCCCGAGTCTGTGGCACTTTGTTACAGCAGCCATCGGACACTGACACAGATGCTAAGCTTGGGAGGGGCAGTGGAAGGATTGGGGCCTGGTAGGGGCTGTCCTGTAGGATGCAGACAGCTGAAAAACACTGGACTCTCAGGCAGGGTGGAATATGAGGACTGTAAGGTGATCTGGAAAAGCAGGAACCTGGGAAACATGCAGGCCCAGTGAGGATGGCGGGATTGGCTGTAGGAGGCCTCAGGTTCACCCTCACCTAAGGCTTGGCCTGTGGGAGAGAAAGACAGCAGGAGGCACAAAAAGGCAGCTGGAACATCTGGAAACCTGTGGTGGAAAAAGAAAGGGACCCAGAGTCTGAGAGACATGACTTATAGATCCAGCTCTGCCAGGAATAGGCCATACAGCATTGGGTAGCTTACTTGTCCTCTCTGAGCCTAGGTTTTCCAAAGGTTCTTTTATTAAAGACTGCAGATAGACACAAAGGAAAACTGGGCACAAAGGAAAACTGTGTGTGTGTGATGTGGTCAGGGCCTGAGTGAGCGCCCTTTGGACATGGAGCAAGGGTAGAAAGAGGGCATGGGGGAGGGACGAGGGGAGGGAGGGAGGGAGTGCTCATGGGGTGCTGGAGAGGGGGTAGGGAAAAGGGAAAGAAGAGAGAGAAGAAGGTGGGAGGTGAGATGGGGAAGGATGAAAAGGAGGGAAACAGGGGTGTGCAGGGAAGATCTGTCTCGGAAAAGAGTCAGCCAGTGACGCCCCCGCTGTGGAGCTGGGCTTGGGCCTGTCTCAGAAGAAGGAGGCAGCTGCAGTGGCCAAGGTGGAGACTGTGGGTCAGGAAGAGCTTCCAGGCAGGAGAGAGAACTGCTCTCGCGGGTGGGTGTCCCAGCTGAGCAGCAAAGACACCAGGCAGGAGGCTGCACCAAGGGCGGAACCTGCACTCCAGCCAGTGTTGGGGTCTGCTGGTCTTATCTGGCATTTGCTCAGATGATGACACTGCCAGCAGCGACAGGGGAGCCCACAGGTGCCTCAGACACCAAGGAAGGGAGCCTTCCTTGGGAAGGATCTGAAGTCCCGAGAGGTTGGAACAAACTCTGGCGTTTCCTTTTCCTGTCTTCCTATCCCTTGGCTCTAGACTCAGGTGTAGTCCCAGGAAATGGGCAGCAAACAGATTGCCTCATGCCCAGGCTTTTGGCCAGAAGATGGAACAGGTGATGTCCTAAGAACTGGAAAGTACTACAGACGCAATAAAGAGAGAGGGAGAAGAACTAGGGAAACCAACCCAATAAAGTGTTTCTGAGCTCCCGGTCTCATCAGGTTGAATGTGCATGACATGATCCTAACCAGCACACCAAAGACATTGAAAATGCCGCCAAGGGACAGGCCCATCTCAGGCCCCAGACTGGCCACTGGGTGGTGCACACAGGGCAAATCTCAATGCTGCTGCAAAGACTTCAAAAATGGAACTGACATCAAAACCAAAACTCAGAGAAAGCTGGTAGAAACCTGTGAGCTAGTTTCAACTGGATCAATTTCCTACAGAAACAAATATCAACATTCTCCATAGGATTTAAACAAGACCCAGAATCTCATAGCATAAAATTCTAAATGTCCAGTATATGATCCAAAATGACATGGCCCCTGAAAAGCAGGGAAAACTTCAACTAGTGGAAAGGACATTCAACAGCTACCAATGCCAAGATGACCTCGATGTTGAAATTAGCTCATGAAAGCTTTAAAGCAAGTGTTACAAAAATAATCCAAAAAGAAGGGGTGAACACTATTGAGATGAAAGGAAAGATAGAAGGTGTCAGCAAAGAAACAACCTATAAAGAACCACATGAAAAACTCAGAACTTTAAAATACAGTAATCGAAAATTTAAAAACTCACTGTATGGGCTCAACAGCAGAATGGAAATGACACAGAAACATATGAGTGAACTTGAAGATACAGCAATGGGCCAGGTATGGTGGCTTATGCCTGTAATCCCAAGACTTTGGGAGGCTGAGGTGGGAGGACACTTGAGGCCAGGGGTTCAAGACCAGCCTGGGCAACACGGCAAGACCCCATCTTCACAAAAAATAAAAAAATTAGCCTGGCATGGTGGCACTTGTCTATAGTCCCACCTACTCTGGAGGCTGAAGCAGGAGGATCACTTGAGCCCAGGAGTTCAAGGCTGCAGTGAACTATGATTGCACCACTGAACTCCAGCCTAGGTGACAGAGTGAGACAGTATCTCTAAAATAAATAAATAAATAAATAAAATAAAGCAATAAAATTATTCAACAGGAACAACAGAGAAAAAGATTTAAAAATGAACAAAAAATCCAAAGCCTTTTCATGATAAAAATACTTAATAACTAGGAATAGAAGGCAGCATCCCCAACCTGATAAAGAGAGTTCGCAAAACATTCGCAAGTAACTTTCTACTCCATGGTGAAAGACTGGGCGCTCTCCCCATGAGATCAGGTAGAAAGCAAGATATCCATTCTGGCTACCTCTGTGGTACGTTGTACTAGAGGTTCTAGCCAGGACAATTAAGCAAGAAAAAGAAATAGAAGACATGAAGATTGTAAAGGAAGAAGTAAAACTCTCAATTTGCAGATGATATAATCTTATATATAGAAAACCCTAAAGAATCTACAAAAAATCTTATTAAAGCTAATAAACCAGTTGAGCAAAGTTGCAGGATGCAATGTCAATATACAAAAAATCAGTAGGATTCCTGTAGACCAGCAATGGATAACCCAAAAATAGAATTGAGAAAAAAAATACCATCAATAGCATCAAAAAAATAAAATACTTAATAAATTTAACCAAAGAAGCACAAGACTTATTCACTGAAAACTGCAAAACATCGTTGAAAGAAATTAAAGGAGATCTAAATTTTTTAGAAAAGATCATTGGTTTCTTCTGGCTTAAAAACAATGCTACATATTTAAATCAATGCAAAGTTTAAACTCTGTTAGGGCTAATTCCTCCTTTTCAGGGTCTCTTTTCTGTATTTTCTGTTCTGAGTTTATGTTTGGTAGCAGGACAGTAGAGTTCATGCATTATCAAGGAGAAAGAAAACAGAAATCTAGTCAGCTCCCTTCCTTCTTAGTCCTTGCCAACTTCATCGAGAGCTGTGTGGATGTGCACTCAAGTGTGGGTGCTCCCTCCTGGTCTTTTGGGTTATCATGCTTTTGACTGAATCATACCAAATCATGCCCATAGAAGAATCACACAACCATGCCCTTTGTCATGAGTCCATGAGCTGTTTCCCAATTGTCTCCCACAATGGGCAGAGAACATTCTGGCCATGGGTAACTGGGAGGCTACTATTCTGCTCCATGTGTCTTGATACCTTTCTCCATCATCCTGCTGGTAGCAGCCTAGAGCCTGACAGAGCTCTCCTCCAAGAGATTTGCAGTTGCCCCAGGAATATACAGGAAGTGGGGGCTCTAGTTCCAGCTTTCCTTGATTCGTCAACCCTATCTGAGTTGTTCTATAATTTCTTCATTTCAAGAGTTGTAACAATTAAGTATGAGCCTAGACATACACATCCCAGCACCTCCCCTTCTCTTTTCCCCTCCAAGTTGCTCTCCTAGCACTGTAATAGGAAAATTCAGTCAATTTGTCCATGTTGGAAGTTTTCTCAGTGAAAACAGAATGCATAACCATTCATTTAAGTGAAGTATGAGGCTCAACTATCAGTGAAATAGTCATCTGTGCCTACAGATATATAAAATTCTATATGCTATGGTTTGTCCAGACAAACATAGTGTGTAAAAGCCAAACCCATAGGGGGATATTTTTGAATCTAGAAAACCCTTTCATCTCAAAAGTCCAGTGAGTTAATAGCACATAAATGCCCTTCTAATTATATGAGATACTAGGAAGTGTCTAGGCTAGGAATGTGGTGATAGCGTTAGATACGGGTTGTTAATAAAATAAAGCATGCAAGAAATAATGGGGCCACAATTAAGAGGCGCACAATAGAGTTGAGGAAAGAGGCAAAATCTGAGTGATATTTAAATATTTAAAAGGTGGAGTTGACAGGGTCTGATGACTCACTGGCTATGGAAATGTGGGGCTAAAGGGATTTGAGGGTTAGTTGAAGGTGTGTGTGTGTGTGTGTGTGTGTGTGTGTGTGTGTGTAAGCCTGGTGGGTAACAATACCATCAGTCTTGATTAGGGATATAAAACTGATGGATGGGTTGGGGAAACAGGTAAAAGAGGTTTAAGTTTAGTTTGAGGTGTTTACATTTGGGCCTCTAACACCACAAGGTGACCAGTAAGCATATGTTATATGAATGAACAAGTATATCATAGGGATGTGAAAATGCATAGTCAATGAACCAGTGTCTAAAATTGGCTTCTCTTTCTTCTCCAAGTAAAATAGAATACAAAACCATTCATTTAAGTGAATTATGAGGCTAGCCTAACAGTGGAACAGCAATCCGTGCCTACAAAAGAAAAGCAACAAAAAAATGATGTTATGCAGATATTTCCAAAAGCTCAAACATGGACTATTAAATGCAAATGTCTTTGCCTTTTCTATTGCATCCTAACATTTACTCAAGAAATACTTCATAGGGAGTTAACAAAAATAAAACTAAATGATAGGCTTTCTTTTCCTCTATCTTTCATATTAATAATTCACCCAAAAGGCCTAAAAACCCAAATCATCATAATTTAAAGCAATTCATTTTAACCTGCCAACAAACTTAGAATGAGAGCCTAAAACCTAAAAATGAAAATGGGAATGAGTTAACCCTAAGTAGGAAACCAAAATAAATTAACATTAGGCTTTTATTTAGTCCTTTGTTGAAAATATAGGGCTAATATGACAGGGCCCTGAAGCAGGAGAATTAAGATGAAAGTAGCAATATCACACAGGGAAAAAAATTCACAGTATTTCTCTCCTGCCGGACAGTTTAGTCCCATCATTCATTTCATATCCCCAGGACTCATTAATGAATGAAATGGAGATACCCAAAGGACACAGTGAAATTCTTCAACAGAAATTAAATAGAGAAAATAACAGGTTATGGAACCCACATTCTTTCTAGTAGTACATTAGGGTTCCTGGAGCTACAATGGACACAGCTGGCCTTGCATTTTTTAAAAATTGCCTTTAAAAAGTCATATGTTCAAAATCAGGTTTTGATTTCTGTTTTTAACTCTTTTATATTCATTATTACTAGAAATAATGAAAGCTTAGGTATGTCTAGTGTATTTTCACAAAACTATGAATGAAGGATTAGATAGCAGAAGCCTGAATTTGGACTATAATTGATCCTACTGTCGATTATAGCTTTAAGGAATATGGCACTTTTAAAAGGTAACTAGTTTATAGTCTGTATCTGAGACAGCCTTGGGAACAGGAAATGAGAACCGACTGTGGCTGAGTCAAAACACTGGCCTCCTCTACCCAAGGCACAGCTCAGAGGGGTCACTCAGACTACAGCCTCATAAGCCAGAGACATTCAGTGTTCGTTTCCTAGGGCTGTCATAACAAATTACCACAAACCTGGTGGTTTAAAACAACAGAAATTTCTTCTCTCACAGTTCTGGAGGCCAGAAATTCAAAATCAAGGTGTCGGCTGAGTTGCTTCCTTCTGGAGGCTGTGGGGAGGATTACTGTCTCATCCCCAGCTCCTGGTGGCTGGCAGCAATCCTTGCTGTTCCTTGTTTTGCAGGCACTGCACACCAATCTCTGCTCCATCTCTACGTAGCCTTATTTTTTTTAGGCTCTCATCTCAATCCTTGTTAGTTACATATGCAAATATCCTGCTTCTGACGTTCCAGGCAAACATGCACATTAGGGGACATTTTCAACTTTTCAACTCACTATAGATGTTTACCAGAAAGAAAAGGCAAAGCTGAGGGAAGAAACTTAAAGGACCAAGAAGACATTATCATGGTTAATAACTGAAAGTCAGCAAATTATCAGCACCAAAACATGCAAACACCAGAACTTCCACATCAACCCTTTCTACAAGTAGAAGTGCCAGTAGAAAAAGTAGCAGAAGTACAAGAGGTATACATTGATTAGACCCCTGGGACCTAGATGGCTTAAATCCTGATGAAATCACACAGAAACATAACAGGCTAGAAGGAAAGATACCATAATCAGTTTAAATAGAATGGGTGCACATATTTGGGCAAATAGGATTTTTTTAAGTATTTGTCTAACATAATTTGGTCAATTTATTTATGCTGATAAATAAATTAATTGATGTTGAAATTATAATTGAATGTTTTATCATTAAACGGATACCCACATACTATTTTTCCAGGAATTGTTAGTTTTTTTAATTTCTAAAACTTTCCAGACCTAAGTCACTCTGTGTCATGTCTTAAAGCTCTACACATTAGTAGGTATGAGCTACAATACATAAAGAAAAATTTTGGAGAGGAAATTTTCCAGATTCAGTTTGAAATTTTACTAAAACTTTTATCATGCTAGATTATCATTTTGTATATTTAGCTTGACTTCTATCTACTTGAGGATGCTATAACTTATAATCTTAATGTCTTTTAGGAGATTCAATCATTCAGCATGTAAACTAATCAATCATTTAGATGGTAGGAAATGCTATAAAGGAAATATAAGAGGGTAATGAAGGAAAGAGTGCAGTGTGGGTTGAGGTGTGAGGCTTATAATAGTCAAGCTAAGAAGTAAATGATGCAAAGATCTGGAGATAAAGCATTCCAGACAGAAAACACAAGTGCAGGATCCTACAGTGGAGGAGTCGCTGATGAGCTCTCAACAGCAAAATCCCACCAAGAAGCTAAAGGCATGTTGGCAAGCCTGCCATCAGGTTCTAAGGTCAGAGATGAAATGGAAACTAGCTTCATAGAGGAGCAGGGTTGGCACCATGAACTCCAAGAGAAAGAAGTGCACTGGCCCACAGGCTTGCCCAGGATAAAAGAAATCAAAAGTTCTAAAAATATTAACATGACTCAAGGCCACAGGTCCAGGAAGAGCTGATCAGGTCTAGCATGTGGTGCAGACACCTAACTCCTGGAAAGAGCTGCTTGCATAAGTCAGGCTAAACTGCTATGACAGAGTCCTTAAATACAACAGATTAAATTAGACTCTCATGCAATAAGCCAGAGACGAACATTTCACGGTAAATGGGGGAACCTTACCATCCTTAACACATGCCTTCCATCTTTGGATGTGAGATGGCAGCTCCAGTTGTCACCACTTCTCAGGCAAAAGGAAGAAAAAAGTGAAATGGAGGAAAAACAGTTCCTTTGCTTAAGGGCATAATACAGAAATAGAACAGATTTCTCTCACTTTAATTTTTTTTTTCTTTCCAACTTTCATTTTAGGTTCAAGGGGTACATGTGCAGGTTTATTCCATAGCAAATTGCATGTTGTGGGAGTTTAGTGTACAGATAATTTTGTCACCTAGGTAATCACACAATTTCATTGTCCAAATTCCCATTTCATGTGTCACATAGCCACACTGAAATGCAAAAGGCTAGGATATGTGGTTTCTTGTTAGATGGCCTCCTGCCAAGGTCAAATGGATACTGGAGGGCAATTAGCAGTTTCTGACACAAATACGGAGACAAAAATTTGTAAAAGAGGTTATAGTTATGACTAGGGGTAGAGATGAGGATGAGCTGTCCCCAAAGCATCATCCCAGCTCCTGAATAATGTCTGTCCCTCATCTGTCGACAGATGAGGATGACAAGAATAGGAACACTAGTAAGTAGTGACCACAGTATGTGGCTACAGTTGTCACTGAGACAATCCCAGGATGGTCAGTAACCCACAGGGAAGCAGGAGCAGAGGCCTATATCAGATTGAAAGAAATCTCCAAGACCAAGCATACAAATTAGAAGGGCTGTGTTTTCAAGCATCCAGCATATGGGTGCTAAGCCAGGGAATAACTGTAGCTTTTATTTTTATTAATTGTTGTGTCCTCTAGACTGAGGAAAATGTCCTGGGTAATATTACTTATATCAGTTAAAATTGTTTATTATATACACATATTCCTCTCTATGCAAATCTATTTGGTTCTTGAGTATAAATTGCTATAGTTTGGATACTGGTTTCAGATAGAGAGAAGTATTAAGTAAGCCAAAAATCTGTCCTGAATTTTACACAAGGAGACATCAGGCAGCAAGAAATACCTATAATTAAATTATGGGACATAATATCACATGTCCTACTGCTTCCATGTTTCACCATGAAAGTTTTTTATTGGCATAATTTTTATTGTATTCCATTTTACTATATTTCTGGTAACTTTCTCTAGTTGGTTTTCATTACTCCAAGTAAAACTACCTATTTCTTGTTCATTCATTATTCTAAGTTGTTAAGAAAATGTTCAATTATCTTGCTATTCGTGTATCTAGGCACAGGACTTACAAATTATCTAAGGATGACACATCATTTTTTTCTCTTTATAATTACCACCAAGAATTTACAAGGCAACTAGTTTATATTTTATATTGTTACACGTTTTATGAACCTGTGTCACATTCCTTGAAAAATACATCTTCCCCTATCCCTTAAGTCATTTGATTAATAGAAGAGGTTGAAAAAGATATACAACCAACAGCTCCCTCTCCCACCTCAGTGCCTTAATGGCTGGTCCCAGAAAGAGGCAAGACAAGTGAAGTAAGTACATAGGGGCCGGTTTATAACCAATTGTTTCAGATTACACCTAATTCTTGCTGGGCTTGGAAAGTGCGCTTATATAGGACTTAGATTGGAATCTAATCTAATTTAGTGTCACAATCCTAAAGAATTGAAATGACCTCAATATTAGTTCTCAAGTAATGACAATGACCCTAGTGGTTGAGCAGTTGAGATGCCGCATAAAGAAGCTCTATCATTGGCTGGGTCAACCAGTCTCTCTCTCTCTCTCAATCTTTTCCACCCTGCACTTTCCTTCTCTAACCTCCCACTGCACCCTTTGGTTTCCCTATTGGAAACGCAGGATTCTCTCTCACCCTGAGTCAGCCTTGACTAAGGTAAGCTATAACTAAGTTGCTCTATCAAAACCACTTTTAGATGCATGGAGAACTCTATACCCTCTACTTACTCCTTTGAAAATATACAATGAGCACTCACTATGTACCAGGCTATTTTCTAGGCACTGGAGAGGCAACAATGAAGAGGCAGACAAGATATCTTCTTCCCATAGAATCTACATTTTAGTGGTTTTGCTCTTTAAATTATCCATACTATAGATCTAATCTGGATGTTAACCTTTGGCTTCCCACACTGATTCCCAAATGTTGGTTGATATGCTTTCTCCTTCATCATAAGAACTCATTTGAATAACAGGTCCTATATGTTTGAGTTTCAAAGCCAAGTCCCATAGTTCATAGGATAATTTCTTAGCTTTTATCTTTGTTCTAAGATTCTGCTCTGATAAATCTATTTTCCAGTCTTTTTCTATGGCTTGAATTCCTCCCAGCTCTTGCCAGTTTCCTGAGTTAAAACCCAGAAACATTTCATTAACACCAAATATTCGAAAGTTTGGGACTGGATACCCACCAATGGTTGGCCCACCTGGTCTCTGAACATTATATCTCTGAGTCCTACTGTTATATTCAAGTCACCAGATGAGACCTGGTGATACCATTGTAGGACTTGTAAATGCTGTTTTCCTGACCATCACTAGAGATTGCTAAACTCTCATGGACTTTATGCCTTTACCACTTGGCTGGACATCCTTTTTCACATTTGGGAAAAACATCCTTATCCTCACCCAAGTGTCTGTTGTTAATCCATACACATCTGTGTCATCAAATAGAAAACTGAAGGCAAAACCATAGCCCCAGAAACTCCTGTATCTGCTTCTCTATCTCTTCAAGTACATAGACTACACACTATTTGTAAATTGCCATCCAAGGTTTGTCACTGCACAAGGGAATGTAAATCTTTTCAATTATGACTGATAAACACCATAAGTTTCTGTGGACCTTGGCTCTGTGGTAACAGCTGTCCCTTTGGAAACACCCTACTCAAAATAAATGTGCAACAACATTGGTCCAAAAGCCATTAAAAGCAGCAGTTGGTCATGAGCTAACATTTTATTGAAATCCAACATATTGGAAAAACACAACACATCAAAAAAATTAACCTTAAAGTGAAATACTTAATTAAAATTATATTATCCCTTGCTCTCTATTTTTATCTGTAAGTGCATTGCTAACTGATGCTATAACTTATTTCAGCTCTTCCCCTAGTAAAGTGTAACATATCCATCATCCTGAAACACTTAAGTTACAGGCAGTTTACTCACATTAGATCTCATTAGCAATTATACTAGTGTTCAAAATACATTACCTCATTTGTCTCATAGCCCATATAGTTTTTACATAATGAATTAGACCAATTAGTCTCACATGACATAAGGAAATCTTAAATAACACTGTCCTTACTTTAAGACAAGCTTGACTGAAGTGCAATGAAAGAAACTATAAAATTAATTTGTTTTGTAAGATAGTAAAGGGAATTAGATAACCAAATTTCAAGCTAAATGATTGTGGTTGGGATTGGGCACAGAGAAAAGTAGCCAAAAGAAGGACAATGCTTCACTCAGTTCGGTTTTTGCAAGACATAAATTCATTATTTGTATAGCTAAGAGCCATGTCTAAATGTCCAAACTAACTTGCTTATAGACTTTTCAATTGAGGCCATTATTGTCCTTTGGGAAAAACCTTGCTGATTGTAATCAGCCAAGAAATTTACAGCTATTGCACTGATCAATAGCTAGAAACTTTTGGAAGCACAAAGCCAGCCCTCTATTCATGTGTTTATTTTGCCAACACAAAGTTGTTTCTCAGTGTCCCTGATACTCCCTTCAAATGACTCTTTCCAACATCGAATCCAATTTCTCATCCACTGTTAGTATCTCTATCTTCAAACTTCAGATAGAATCATAAAACACACAGGGTTAATAGGTGTTACTCAACCAAGGGTACATTTTACTCTTAGGAGGCAAATCTTAAAGGCTCCCAGCACTCCATCTGTGCTCTCTGCGACCCTGGAAGGGTCCTGTGCCTTGGTGCTCATCAGTATAGTAATTATCTGTCGTCTTTGTAGATCATAATTACTTTCCTCATTGTTCTATCAAGGACTGTCTTTGCAATGAAATGACTGTGAGCCTGTTAACTAGTCAAAGTGCCCCTAGTCTTCCATTTATGGGCATTATAAATTGTGTCACCTAAGGAGTCAACAGAAGATACAAATCTGGTAGCAAATCGGTTCCTAAAAATATGCTCAGGAACCTAGAGGCAAAATTTGACCCAATCATTCCTCTTTAATCAAGGTGACTCTTAATATGTCTCTTTTAATGTCATAGTAGTTAAAGATAATTTAGCACTGAAAGGGAAAGTAAAATAAGGATCCTGGGTCAATAGGAAAAGAGGTTTTCAGAGAACTCTCACATTATGAGAATGAATCTTCCTCTTCCTTCTAAACCAAGCCTCCTTTTCGAAGGAAGTGTACATTAGAGAAAATAAATCACCAAGACAGTAGAATTAGAGTCTTTTGAACACGACCATTCCTACCATTTTCTTCTACTTTTACAAAAATATTTCACATACCAAGTTATCTACCAGACTTCACTAAAGCATGTGCCTTATGTTCCAATTGCATCTTTTAAACTGGCATAATTAAAAAAAATAGGCTTTTAAAAATACTTATCACTGGCAATTTGAAAAATGTTCACTCCAGCACTTGCTATTCAGAGTTGAACTCAGAAAGTCAAGAACATTCCAAGTTAACTTGTCTTTTTCTCAACTCCCACAATTCCACCATATTATACCTGGTGGGCAACTCAGGGAATCTTGTGCCGCTGCCTTAGGACAAAATAGAAATGTAAATTCTGAATTTGCATCCTTAAGAGAACTTTAGTATTGCTTTAAAAGCTCAAAAATAACCCAGTTTTACCAAATGAAAAATGCAGAATGTGCTCTACACAGGTGGTTGGAAACTTGTTTTAATTAGTGGTTTTTTTTTTAAATAAATTCCTGGTATTTAACTTTTTGATGGTCACATTTGAAGATCCCTAAAATTACAAGAAATGAAATAATCACTGCCCCCCAACACACACACGCAAATTTTGCAGTCTACATAAAGAAGTGGTTTATGCATGCAAAACAAATTTCAAGACTGTATCAGAAATGATAACCTAAGGTAACAACTGACACTATTAGGGAGAGAAAAGATCAAAGTGAGACAAAGAAGATGGCAAAGATGGAACTGAGTATCTTTACTGCTAGGGAGGTTTGGCTATTTGGATATGGTTCAGAGATCCCATATGTTCCCTCAAGAGAATTTTTAACTTTGTCTAATTGATCTCCAAGCAAAACTCAGTCCTTCTCATGTTTAAGAGCCTCCCTGGCACAAAGTGGCCTGTGGCTCCCATCTGCCCTCAATAAGTGACTCACACTATGTGGCCCAAAGTCACACAATGAGGCTGTCTTGAAGAACAGGCAGGAGCTGCTTTCTTCTTTCAAAATACTATGGTCATTAGAAACAGCAGATCTGAATTGCTACTCTTACCCTTATTCCAAATACTTATCCCTTTATTATTATTTAAATTATAAAGTTCTGTTGGTTTCCTTGCTTTCTTTAGTGGATGTCAAAAGCAAAACAAGGCAGACAACTCTCTGATGATCACTCAAATGCATGGCCTCCCTGTGCAGTTACTTAGCATTGTGTATGCTTGGACAACATAGCCTTGAAAATCTGTTTAAAGTTCTCTATGTATTAAGATGCTGACAGTGTAAGTACCCTCTCCTGTCATTTCTAAGCCCAGTGGATTTGCAGTGAGAGATCTATGTCATTTGGGTTTTATTATCATGACTCTAGGCCCTCCACAAAGACACTTTCTTCAATCTTTCCTGGGCTTTAATCATTCAGTTCTCTAGTCCTATGAGTAGCCTGTATGCAGGGAGATCCTGTACTTCTAACCAAATCTAGACAGGAATAACTGCAATAAAAGTAATGAACATTTATTGTATGAATATTATGTGCCAATCACCGCACCATGGAATTTATGTGTAATAGCTCATTTAATCCTCACAACCATGCTGCAAAGTCACTATCATATCTCTATTATATGGATAGGAACCAAGGCTCAAAGAGTTTAAATGACTTACCCAAGGCCACTTAAAGATGATTCTAATCCATCTCTGATGCTGAGGTTCAAATCACTGTAGGGCCTTGTTTGGGAATGAAAAACAAGTCTCTCTTGTTCACACTCTCCCAGAAAAGTGTCTGCCTATTTTCTGTCTGTTAGAGTCCCATAACATACAGGAGAACGTTGTTTCTGCTCCACATACTCTGAAGACTGTGGAAAGGGCTCCTGAAAACCTGGCCAACATGGCAAAATCCTATCTCTACTAAAAAAAACAAAAATTAGCTGGGCATTTTGGTGCGTGCCTGTAATTCCAGCTACTTGGGAGGCTGAGGTGGGAGAATCGCTTGAAACCAGGAGGCGGAGGTGGTGGTTGCAATGGGCCGAGATCACGCCACTGCACTCCAGCCTGGGTGACAGAGCGAGACTCTGTCTCAAAAAAAATAAATAAATAAATAAAAGAAAATCTAAAATCTCAAAGCTGAAAGTGACCTTAAAGTTTAATTAACTCCAAACCCTTTTGTTTTTAAAAATGTTCTTAGTGTCAAGCAGTTCCTTATTGGCAGAACAGGAATTGGAAGCTATAAACTTATTTCAAATCTAAATAGTTACTGTTTTCCTGTTACCTCATGTAGCTGCCACATGATTTTAAATACTTTTCTTGTTGAGTTATTTAGAATAGTGAAGGTAACATGAGCTTTTGTAATTAATAAATACCAAAATTTCATGGGCTCAACATATTCATCATTCATTATCAGTTTAGTGTGGATGTTTCTGCGTGGCAAGTGGCTTTTCTCTAGAGGGTAACTGAGGAGCCAAGGCTGCTATGGATATCGTGGATTCATCTTCTGGTATCTCAGTGTCCTCTGTTTCTGGCTAACATAATAGGATGGAAAAGATATTCTTGGACTTCAAAATGGAAGTGAGGCTTATTTATGCCCACATTGCATTGGTGAAAACTAGTCATGTGTCCATACCTGAATGCAAAAGGGACTGGAAAATTTATTCACCATCCGATATCTGCTTTCCAGCAAAATAATCACTCTGGGGAAGGGAGAACATAAGTTTTTCGTGGATAGCTATCCATCTCTGTCATATTTGTTTTTCTGCCACATCCCTCCTAGATAACAAATTCCACTTTCAAACATCTACTAGTGAGTTGAACTAGAAGACTTCTAAGTTGTCCTAAACATCAAAACCTTGTAGGACAGATTGGATTATTTTTCCCAAACTTTTCTTCCCTCCATTAAGAGAATCAGACTTCCATGCCCTTGGCCATGAGTACTTGTCTTCCACTATGGGCAGAGAAAACATTTTACCACCTCATTGATACTGGAATTGATAAGATGACTGGCTTTGGCCAGTGAATGTGGGTGAAAGTGACAGTGTGCCTGTTCTACAGTTAAGCTTTAAGAAACATTACATTTGTCTGCCAGCCTCTTGTTTCTCTGCCACCCACTGTGAGAAGAACACATACCACAAGTAGACACTCTTCCCAGAGCAAGTAGTTATATGGAGAAAACCTGAACCCAACCTCAGTCTGGAAAAAAGCACAGCTGATTTCGGCCAAACCCAGCCAAATATGAAGCCAAAAGAAAAAAAAAAAAGAAAAGAAAACAACCACCTCGTTTTATAAGCCACTAAGTTTAGGGGGCTTTTTTGTCATGCAGCATTACTTCAGCAATAGATGACTGATGCAAAGAAATTTGATCATTCTATAAGTAATTATCAGCTGGCCTTCTAGGAAGGAATCTGTATGCAAAATGACCAGCTTAGATTCAAGAAAATCAAAAGTTTATTTGACCAGAAAAAAAAAAAAGCGGGTTTGTTTTCCATTGATGTGACTAGAAGCATTTCATTGTTTTCAATAGTTTTAGGAAAATGATATCTTATTATCTTTTATTACTAGAGGAGAGTAGTTCCCCTCCAGGAATAAGTCCAAGAACCCATGGAAAAGAGGTAGGAACGCCAATTGAAAAGTCCATGTTTTTGCCCAAGGTGGCATAAAAGGCATTCCTTGGGCCAGTGAGGAGGAAATAAAACTTCTCTGGATTTCTTGCTCAATTTCTTACTGAACCATTAAAACATATAAGCTCTAAAGATGGAAATTGTTTTCTTTTAATTATCATAGAAACATTTTCACATATATAAAAATTAGCTCTGTAGCCATGTGTTTCCCTAATTGTACTGATTCAAAGGATAATAAAATTTTTCTTACCTCTGGAAAAGCCAAACAGTTAATCCCAGGACAGGCACCTAAGTTAGCACTGAAAACAGGAAACATGACCTTTCTACATATTTACACATCAAAGGAGAGGAAGACCAGAACTTAGAGACATCTCTAGGTTGGAGACACCTGGACCTATCTGGCTCCTGGACACATTTTATTTCCACACCAAAGGGTTTGAGTTAGGACTCAAGACCTTTACACTTCCAAGGAAACCTGTTTAGGAGGGAAGGGGCAGCTGCCTCTCTACCTTTTATAAGCACAGAAAAATCCTTTTGCCTCATTTCTAACCTATGGAGTGTCTGGCTACTCACACAGGGTATTTGACTTGGTTTTCATCACTGTGTCCCAGGGATAAGTCCTGAGGCAAGAAGACCAATGCACTTATTATTTACTGTGAGGTAATTCATAAGAAATCTGTCTCTGATCCATAATGTTTCATGTGTGCGTTGCTGATAAAATTAATAAAGATGAATATTAGAAACTCAACAACAACAAACTAGACTTAAAGAAGTAATACATAACCTTTGTCCATTTTATAATTTTTCCTGACTTTGGCCCTAATCCCAGGGCAATTAATGCTAAATGAAGTACCCTCTTATTGTCTGCAAAATCTTGAAGAGGTGACGAGCACAGACTGCATATGGCGTAAGTCTCATGCCACAATAGCTAACAAGAAACTGAGAACGCCTTCCAGCAACCAAGTGAGTGAGCATGGAAAGAGCTCCAGCCCCTGTCAAGCCTTCAGATGACAGTATTCCTGGCCAACAGCTTGGCTGCAACCCTGTGGAGACTCTGAGCCACAACCATCAAGCCAAGCCACTCCTGAACTTTTAACTCTCAGAAATTGTGTGAAATGATATACACACTTGTTATTTCAAACTGCTATTTTGGGGTAGTTTGTTATACAGAATAGATAACAAATACCTGCATGTAAAATACTTTTGAGGACTATATGACACAATCTAATCTCAATAAATATTAGCCTTACTACTAGTTAGCAATGACTGTGCTACTTATCTCATAATCAGGATGCTCTTCCCTCCTGGACATAGTATCTCAGAAGTCCCTGAAAACCAAAAGAGAATGTAACAGAGCTAATATTTGAAAAAATACTGTCTTAGAATATTTCTAACTAACAAAAAAAGATGAGACTATAAATTCAGGAAAACCAAGAAATTCCAAGCAAGACAAATTTTAAAAGTATTCATACATATACACCTCACAGTGAAACTATAAAAGGCTGAAGACAAATAAAAAGTCTTGAAAGCAACCAGAGAAAAAAGATCACCTTCCAACATGTAATTATTTGACTGCTGACTTGTTCTGTAGCAACAATGAAAGCCGTAATAACAGAGTGGGTTATCTGTCATCTTTTAATTTCTAAAGTAATCACATGGAAGAAGAAAAATAGGGCATAAATTTCAAACTATTATAGGAAGAAATGTAAAAATTTTAAAAATCAGTTCAAAAATGCAAAAACAAAAAAAACCCCAATCAACAGTGAGACAAATGGAGAGCATAAAATAAAAAGCTGGATTTAAACTCCAACAGATAAATATGATAAATATCCAGGTGAAAACCATGGTTTCAGAATGCAAAAAGAATCCCACAATACAACTATATGCTCCTTACAAGAAATATTTTAAAAAGAGCAAAACAAAACCTTAGAAACTTGGAAAGTAAAAAGATGGGAACTGTTACAGAATGCTAACACCACTGAAAAAGCTGTCATATCTATACTAATACTAGAAAAAATACACACCAAGATGAAAAGTTTTATTAGAGTTAAAGCCACTTCATACAGTAAAAAATTATTACCATGAAGATATAACAATTTTTAATATATGTGTACCTATCTCAGAATGTGCACAAAGAGGGCATGTGAGCACATGGAAAGATGGCAGCCACCTACAAGCCAAGAGAAGAGTGAAACCTACCTTGTCAGCACCCTGATCTTGGAAATTTCCAGCCTCTAGAGCTGTGAGAAATACACTTCTTTATTTCAGCTACCTGGTTTGTGGTATTTTATTATGGTAGCCTGAGCTGACCAATACACTGAAACAGACTTAAGGAAAAAAATATATATATATTATATATATATCTGAAAGCAATTGAATCAGTCCTCAAAAGTATTTCCACAAATAAAACTCCAAGCCAAGATGGCTTCTCTGACAATTTTTACCAAATACTCAAAAATCTGTTGTTCCAATCTTACCAGATCTCATCGAGAAAATAGGGGGAAAAACAGAAGAACCTTACAAGTCATTGAATGAGGCCAACATTACCCTGATAACAAAGCAAACATGAACAATATAAAAAAGAAAAGTACAGGTCAATCTCACTCAGGAAGTTTGATCCAAAATTCCTAAACACAATAGTAGTCAATTAAATTCAGCACTATAGAAAACAGATACTATATCATGACCAAGTTGGGTTTACTCAGGAAATTCACAGTTGATGTAACACTTTAAAATCAAAGCAATTTACCACACTAACAGAGTAAAAGAAAAAAAATTATATAAAAATCAACACAATAGAAGAAGAAAAATAATTTGAAGAAATAAAAATGCTTTAATGATTTATAATTAGATAACAATATTAAGTGACTAGGCAGCAATGTTACACAAATATAAAAATCTCTGAGGGGAAAAAGATATAACTTTATTAAGAAATATTAAAGGATACCTAAATGTATTGGGAAATAGATTACCCATGGGGGTTGAAAAAAATCAATATTATAAAAATGTCAACTTTCTTAAAATTTATCTTTAGATTCAGTGTAACCCAATCAAAATTCTAGAAATTTTGCCTTACAAAAAAGGAAAAATGGCTCTGAAACTTTATATGCTGAAAAAAGCCAAGAATCAAGACAACATTAAATAAGAAACACAAATTTGGAAACTTATCCAAATCATATATAAAGATTGATTATAGAACTTTAGTAATTAAGGCAGTGTAATAATGGTGCTAAGATGGAAAAACAGGCAAATGAAACAAGATAAAAAGCCCAGTACCTCCATGTTTGCTACAGCACTGTTCACAATAGCCAAGATTTGGAAGCAACCTAAATGTCCATCAATAGATCACTGGATAAAGAAAATGTTGTAAGTATACACATGGTGGAATTATGCAGCCATAAAAAAAGATTGTTATCCGGTCATTTGAAAAAAACATGTATGGAACTGGAGGTCATTATGTTAAGTGAAATAAGTCAGGCATAGAAAGACAAACTTCCCATGTTCTCATTTATTTGTGGGTGCTAAAAATGAAAAAAATTGAACTCATGGAGACAGAAAGGAGAAGGATGGTTACCAGAGATTGAGAAGGGTAGTAGGAGTTGGGAGAGTGTGGATGGTTAATGGGTATTTATATATATAAATACAGTACTTTTATATATATAGTATACATATATAGTGTATATATAGAGTATATATACACTATATATACACATATATACATATATTATATATGTATATATACACACTATGTATATACTATATATACATACTATATATACTATATACTACATAGTATGTATATATACTATATATAGTATATATAGTATATATATACACACACTATATGTAGTATATATACTATATACACAATATAGTATATATACTATATATATACTGTATATGGTAGATATATGGTATATATACAGTATATATACACCATATATAGTATATATAGTATCATATTTATATATGTGTGTATATATACTATGTATAGTATGTATATACTATACATAGTGTATATACATATACAGTATATATACTGTATATATAGTAAATATGTATATATAGTATATATACATATATGTATACATAGTATATATACAGTACATATATAGTGTATATATACAGTACGTATATAGTGTATATATACAGTACGTATATAGTGTATATATACAGTACATATATAGTGTATATATACAGTACGTATATAGTGTATATATACAGTACGTATATAGTGTGTATATATAGTACGTATATAGTGTGTATATATACAGTATGTATATAGTGTGTATATATAGTATATATATATACTATATATATAGTGTACACTATATATACTATATATAGTGTACACTATATATAGTATATATAGCATATATAGTATATATAGTGTATACTATATAGCATATATAGTATATATAGTATACACTATATATACTATATGTAGTATATATAGTATACGCTATATATACTATATATAGCGTACTATATATATACTAAATATACACTATATATACTATATATACACTATAAATACTATATACTATATATACTATATATAGTATACATAGTGTATATATAGTTACTATATATAGTGTATATAGTGTATACTATATATAGTATGTATAGTGTATATAGTGTATATATACTGTATATAGTTTATACTGTATACTATATATAGCATATATAGTATATAGTATAGTATATAGTATATATAGTGTATAGTATATAGTATATATAGTATATAGTATATCACATATACTATATATACTGTATATATATACACTATATGCATACTATATATACTGTATGTATACTACATATACATATATATGTATATATACAGTATATATACACTATAGTATATATACTGTATATATATACGCTATAGTATATATATACACACATATATAAATATGATACTATATATACTATATATATATGGTACCCAATATATATTTTAAATGTTAAATTATTTTAAAATGTTACATCAACCATGAATTTCCTGAGTAAACCCAACTTGGTCATGATATATTATCTATTTTCTATAGTGTTGAATTTAATTGGCTATTATTGGATTGTTCATAACACAGAGGATAAATGCTTGAGGGAATAGGTATCTCATTTTCCATGATGTGATTATTATTTATTGCATGCCTATATGAAAATATCTCATATACCTCATAAATATATGCACCTACTATGTACCCACAAAAATTTAAAAATAAAATTTTTTTAAATTCAATGAAAGAAAGCCCAGAAAGAGACTATACATATATATATGGACATTTCCTTGAGAACAGAAGTGTTAATGCCAATCAGTGAAAATAGGTCAGACTTTGTTTTAAACAGATATTGGCAGTGCTCTGTGGCTCCTGTCTATAATCCCAGCACTTTGGGAGGCTGAGGCGGGCAGGTCACTTGAGGCCAGAAGTTTGAGACCAGCCTGGACAACACGGCAAAATCCCATCTCCACTAAAAATACAAAATTCAGGCAGAATTCAGAATTCATTAACCAGGCATGGTGGCACACACCAGTAATCCCAGCTACTTAGGAGGCCGAGGCATGAGATTTGCTTGAACCTGGGAGGCAGAGGTTGCAGTGAGCCAAGATCTGGGCAACAGAGTGAGACCGTGTCTCAAAATAAAAATAAGCAGATATTATTGGGACAATTTGATGTCCATATGGGCAAAAATTAAATCATCATTTCAAAGCATACACACAAATTAGTTCCAGGTGGAATAAATATCTAAGACTTAAAGGCAAGGTACTAAGCTTTGGTGTGATAATAGAGGAGAATATCTATACAACTTCAGAGTAGGGAAAATTCCCTAAGTAAATCACAAAAGCCCTGATAATAATGTACAAGATTGGTAAATTTAACTCTAGTAAGCTAAGAACTTCTGCTTATCAAAAGCATCACAAAGAGAGCAAAAAGGCAAATCACAGAGTGGAAGAAAACATTTACAATACATACAAATATGTATATTTTAAATATACAATTTATATACATACACACACACATACACAATTTAAAATTGAGCAAAATAATCAAAAAAGCATGTCCAAAAACAAAAGCACCAAATGGCCAGTAAACATATAAAAGGAGATTGACCTCACTGGTAGCCTGGGAATTACACATTCAAACAACTGCAATGAGATAATACTATATGCCCACTGATTCCTAGGTATCTACCCTAGAGAAAACATTTTGGACATACGCCCCCAAACACCCATTTAAACATTGTTCTTAGGAGACCCAAATTGAAAATACCTAAATATATACTAGCAGTAGAGTGGATTAATGACTATGGCTTTCCAGAATGCAGTATTAGGAACTACCCTTGTGAATTAACTGTGGCTATATACAATATCAATGGATCTTACAAATGTGATATTGAGTAAAAGAGGAAGACACCATAGAATTCAGACTATGATTTAATTTAATAAAGTTCAAAAATACATAAAAATAGACTATATTGTATAGGCATGCATACATAGGTGGTAAAATACAAAGAAAAACACAGAAATTATCACACAATTCAGAGTAGCCATTTCCTTTAGAGGAGGGAGAGAGTTATCACAATGAAGGAATGCGTAGGAGACATTTCAGGTCTTGGCAGCATTATATTTCTTGACCTGGGTCATGGAAACTTACAAGTTCTCTTTCTATTACTTATTAAACTATGTATTTATGTTTTATATATTTTTCTGTATATATGACTTACTTCACATGAAAATATTTTTTAAGTTTAGATGAAAATATTATCTTATGTTTATTTATTTTCTCTAGTAAGTCAATCCTAAAAGCCACACTATTATTCTTTAAAATTTCCATACAAGGTAGCTATATATGTAATATATAACATGCCAGTTGGTTTCTTACTGAGTCAAGGAAAGAGATGAAAGTAATGATTATATCAACAGATTCATCCAGACACTAAAAATGTAAGTGTAAAACCCTTTGGATAAGTATACTCTTTGGATAAGTAATCATGATTTTGCAGCATTTTAAGTTTCCTCTGAGGTAGTTCAGTGATGTGGAACTGAATGATTAGCCAGTTCTTCAATGTGTAACTTCTCTTACCTGTGAAGAGAGGCAGAAAATGAAGTGTCTGGAGTAGAACAAAAAATTCTCGTTAGCTGAATGCTGAGAGAATGGCACAAGTGGCTATTTGTGAGATTCAAATATCACTTAAAGAAGTCCCGAGGGATATGGAAGTTCCTATTTCTCACAAGGTTGATGGCTATTACCTGGAGATCTTTAATAAGCACAGCTGGTAGGCTAATGGGACACAGAAATGTAAAGAGGCACAAAGATAATTCCAAGAACAGTTATGCTTAGGGAAGTCCCTCTGCCACCCTTGTTTAAAACTATCTTTTCTTTCCACCTCTCTTCTTTGCTGTCTTGGACTGACTCCTCACTAACTACTGACCTTTCATTTATCTGCCCAGTTTGCAGTCAAAATGGTGATGAAGAACTAAGGAAGAAAAGGATATCAAATGACATCAACCAAAGATTTCTGATTCCAGCAACAAAGGAGAATTAGGGACCACACTCATCTTGCCACATTAAACAACTAGAAAACTGGACGACACCTATGAAACAATGGTTTCATACACTCATCTAGAGGGAACACAAGACCATGACACCTGAGAGAAGGGAAACAAATAAGGTGAGCCCTGTCATTGCACAGGCTTCCTGCCTGAAGAATTTTCAGGCCACAGAGCAGAGAGGAGGAACTCCAACAGATTTCAGTTGCCCCACTTAGTTGAGGAGACAGAGATTACAGTTTGGAAAGACCAAGGCAGTTAAAACGTGTAGGGCAAAGTAGCAGAGAGGAGGAGGCTGTCCACAGACTGAATGCTGCCAACATGCATGAGGGTTACTCTAAGACTGGCTGAGCTCTGCTTTGTACATGTAGGAGGAAAGCTACCTGAGGATAGGGAAGAAACCACCAGAAAGGAGTAGTTAATACCTAGAGCTTTCACAGGGTTGGGAATCGTTTTGCTGTCAACTACTAGAGGGATAAGACATGCGTCATTGAGTGGAATATTCAGAGAGTATTACCTCAGCAATGGACTAAATTAGCAGTACACTAAAGCTGCTCTGGACTTGCCCTGTCAATGCTTAAAGGAGAGTCTCAAAAAGATCTAATTGAGTCTATAAAACTTACCTGCACACCAAAATGAACACATCATTATTTAAAAACATGTAATAAAATCCAACAACCAATAGTATATGACTCACAATGTATGCCATCCAATCAAAACTCATGATGTCTGGCATTCAAAGAATGATAACACTCTGCAGGTTACCCGACATGCCAAGAAGCAGGAAAATATGATCCAAACCAGAAAAAAAAGTCAATCAATGGACACAGACACAGAAATCACAGTGAAGATAACACTAGTAGACAAGGATGTCGAAACTACTATATGTACACTTTAAACATTAGAGAAGACAGAGGAAAGCATGAATATCATGAGGAGATAAATAGAAGATATTACAAAACACAAATGGAACTTCTAAAGAGGGAAAATATAGTATGTGACATAAAAAATACACTGGATATAATTAGCAGATTAGATACTACAATAAAAAAATCAATGAATTTGAAAGCATAGCAATGGAAACTCTTCAAAATGAAGCTATGAATTGGGAAAAAAAAGACTTAAGAAACTGAACTCAGCATCAGGGTTCTATGGGACAATACAAAGCAGTCTAAAATATATACTTGAAGTCACAGAGGGAGGCAGAAAACTATTTTTTAAAATAATAATATTGAAAATTTCTCAAATTTGATGAGAACTCTAAACTCTTTAAGAACCTCAACAAACCATAAGCAGAGTAAATCTATGAATTTAAATAGAAAACTAAATAAAGGTGAACTATTTATATAAAAAGAGAAATAAATATTATTATATATAATTCTATATAAAGAAATTGTTAAGAAATATGCAAAAGTAGAGTGTATAAAAGAAAAGAAAACCTAATTTGCCTCAGTATATGACAAAACAATACAGCATATGTGGTAAAACACTTCTAAAAGAAAATGAGATTAAGGAAAACGGCCTCCATCTCCATCCATGTCCTATCCTTAGCAAGCTAACCCAGAAAACCAAATACCGCATGTTCTCACAAGTGGGAGCTAAATGATGAGAACATCTGGACATAGACGGGAGCAACACACACTGGGGCCTTTTGAAGGGTGGAGGGTGGGAGGAGGGAGAGTATCAGGAAAATAAATAATGGGTACTAGGCTTAATACCTGGGTGATGAAGTAATCTGTACAACAAACCCCCATGACACAAGTTTACCTATGTAACGAACTTGCACTTGTACCCTGAACTTAAAAGTTTGAAAAAATAAGTGTGGCAAATATTTCTAATCATTACAACAGAGAGAAAATACTCTTAATGAAGAAAATGTTTGTCCTAAGATTTTAGGGTTTTTTGTTTTGTTTTGTTTTGTTTTTTAAGATGGAGTTTCACTTTTGTTGCCCGGGCTGGAGTGCAGTGGCATGATCTCGGCTCACTGCAACCTCCCCATCCCAGGTTCAAGTGAATCTCCCACCTCAGCCTCCAGAGTAACTGGGATTACAGGCACCCACCACTACACTCGGCTAATTTTTTTGTCTTTTTAGTAGAGATGAGGTTTCACCATGTTGGCCAGGCTGGTCTTAAACTCCTGACCTCAGGGTGATCCACCTGCCTCGGCCTCTCAAAGTGCTGGAATTACAGGCGTGAGCCAGCACACCTAGCCTTAAGTTTTGTTTCACAGAATCAGATCCTGAGACAAGGATTTGTGTAAAAGTCATTAGGAAAATTGTCAAGGATTGAGGCAGAAGGACAAGAAAGGAAAGGAAGCCAGGCAAGGCTGAAATATCAAGCAAATACGTGCAGAGGGTAACCTAGGGTCATTCATGCAGGAGACTTCCGACACAGTGCAAGTCACACTTCAGATTTGTCTCCTCCCTCATGGGCTGAGGGAGTTTTGGTGTTTATAGCTATGTGCTTGCCAGTCAGCCCTTGGTTGAGGACACCACTGCCCACCCCTTAGGCACACAGCAAATCTACTTCTGGAAGCCCCTGTGCAGAGAGATAAATATACTTCTTGTTGGGAGAAAGAACATAATCAAAGCCAGTGTCTGAAAAAATGGGAAAGAAATCTGAGGGCATGTGGGTGAAGTACCAATGTTTTCTGCTACAGTGTTCTTTAAACTAAACTAAAAGAACGACATTCTTATAAAAAGAAAAAGTAATTCGCCAAAATAAATAGAAATAATCAATTGACCTAACAAAATATATTGACTCTCACAAGTAAATATAATGAGAACAATAAGGAAATAACATGTTACACTTATCCACTGGAAAAATTTTAAAAGTCTGTTGATACTCTGGGGGAAACGGTACTCTTGCTAAATGCTAGTAGAAATATGGGTTGAGGTAAACTAATCTGGAAACATACCTTAAATGATGTATTCCATTAAGCCAGCAATTCTAATTCTGAGAACCTGAACTAGGGAAATAATTACACATGTGTATAAGAATGTGTGCAGACGTATGCTGAAAAAAATATTATTTATAATAGGAAAAGGTTGACAAACCTAAATGCCTCAATTTAGAGATTTGTTTTTTAAAATTTCAATGCATTTGTAAAATAGAAAATTAACACACCCATTAAAGTGATGCTATCAATTTTTATTTGTTAAAAAAAGATAGCACTAACGAACTCTATGATTTATAAACACATGCACATACATACTCACCCTGAATTGCTTCTAGAATTGTTTCTTACTCACCTATATTGTGTCTAGTCAACGACCATATTTTCAGCAGTTCCCAAAGTAACTTATCTTTGAAAGAACTGAGTCACTTTACTTAATTATAAGGCAATTTGAAAATCATCCCAAGTGATGTGATATAAAAATGTACTTATAATTAAATTAATTAAAATGATTATTGTGTTTAGAAATTCAGAACATCCTTTCACTCAACAAAAATATTTCTTGGTAATCCCAACATTTCTTCTGCTTCATTTGAAACCAAGGTTCTCCTGTGATTATTTCATTTTTCTCCTGATTTTGACTGATTCTGTGGGCCCACAGCCATCACACTAAATAAACTGCATACAACAGCAGAAAGCTGCTGCCTCTCCTAGGAGATATGTTCATTGCTTGCTGATCCTGTCAGGGGCCTCCTTCCAATCATGTGAACTGGGACATTGTAGAAACACACCAACAGAAGTACATGCTATATTTGTTTTTTCCCAAAATAACCATCCTTCAGACTCTTAAATCATGACTTTTATGACCTCCTAATGATCAGTGCCTGAAATCTCCAGGTTCTCAAAGCCCCTTCTAAAATGCAACACAAGATGCATTGAGCGTGGCTGGCACAACTGATGTCTGACATTGCTTGACTTGGGAAACCTACATCTGTTCACATAGTCCAAAAGTATACAAAGTCTTAGAGCAAAAGTGTGCCTGTTGATTCATTTTGAACTTGTATTACCCAAAATGATAAGGTATTTTTATATGAACTACCATCAAGCAAAATCTAGCCAAATACTCCGTGAAACTAACTTAAGATATTGATCTCCTATTAAATTTCTTTCTTTTTTCCTTAGTCCATCAGTATTATTTTAATTTAATTTCCTTAGTCCAACATATTCACTATTTGGTGATTTATAATCACAACTTTTATAAACAAGCACTCTTTGTCTTCCTTAGTATTTGTAGTATGATATAGGTTTAGGTTATTAAATAATGAGACAGAAAAAAATTAAGGACAGAGAGCCTTAGAGATATTGATACAAGAGAGTCCAGGCAGTGAAGAAGAGGAAGACAGGGGCTTTAAAATGCTGGTAGAGAGCAGAGACTCCAAGTTACACATTTGATCTTTGGAGTCCTTGTTACCCTTAAGTCCATATATGTTGTTTAGTTTAATTGATCTTGACAAAGCAGTGATGCTCTCTCCTCCAGAAAAGGACAGAAACAGGTTACAAGATTACTTGGCATTTACAAATAAAGCTAACTCTACCCGAAGATAAACTTTAGCCAGAATTTATTTTTGCAATTTCTAGTACATTCAGAGAATAATAATGGGTAATACCACCTGCACATTTACAGAATTAATATATTTAATAAAATATATTGGCTGGCTCCTCCTGCCACAAGGAATAGTTTCTTGTATGAGTACCGGTGAAAAGACATCTGTGTTGGGTCACTCTTCCAGGGTTAGATTCTAGCTCTTATACTTAATATGTTAATCTCAGATAAGTCATCTTAACCACTCTGTGCCTCAGTTCCTCAGTTTACGCATCTGTAAAAATGTTTACCTCTCTGTAAGAGATAATCAGCACTAACATTTATTGAGTATTATGTGCCAGGAACTGTTCTGAGAGTTTTAGATATTTTAATGTATTTAATCATCGATAAAGATAAGTGCCCGTTTCACCAATAAGAAATACAAGACACAGAGAGGTTAAACACTTGCCCAAGCTCACACATTTAGTTAAGTAACAGAGCCCAGATTTAAAACCCAGTCTGGATCCAAGACATAAGCTTTTATTTACTGGACTATCCTGATTCTCTACGGGGTAAAAATACCACATACCTCAAAGGGTTAATATGAGAATTATAAGAAACATTATAAGAAAAATACTTGGAATCATTAAAGTTCAAATATGTATCTATTGTTACTATTGTTTTAAAACCAGACATTTTTGTGCCTCCAATAGCACATTCCCCACACACCTTTCAAGGGATTTTCAATGCAGCACAGGACAGCTTATCATTTTAAAATACTACATCAATTTGAACAGTTTCAAAATGATAACAATTCATTTCAAATATGTTTTACATCTAGTATTGTAATTTGCTATAGACACGTGCTAATTCATACCATACCACATCTACTGAATATCTAAATAGAATTTTCACAAATAGAATTAATTAGAGAGATATTTGGAGAGTTTAACATTTAAAGAAATCTCAAGATAAGTGCTTTTTCAGGCAAATAGTTCTTTTGAAACAAAAATACTTTACCTCACCTTCCCACGTAAACCTATGCTTGGTAGTCTCAGGGCAGAGCAAAACTAAGGTGTCAAATGACAAAGGTGGATGTGTCTGAGCTGTTAGCTACCTGAGGCCACAGAGCAGTGATGGAGGAGTGTTTGGGTCACATGTCTACACTCATAAGCAAGCAGCCAGCCACCAATTCCAAAGAAGAACCTAAAAGAAAAGAAAAAAAAAATGCCATCAAACTAGCAGGCCAAACTATGCGCTAGTGCAAAGTGTAAAAACGGAGAGATAACACAAAGGTTAGAGAGAAAAATACAATCCCCTTGCTTTGTCATTGTGTCATCTGTCGGCGAGTATGAAGATTTCTTTGCTAAGGAGTTGCCTAAGCCTCTGAGATACTCAAAGGCATAAAAAGTGTAGTACTCTTTCTTCACAAAGGAGAGGACTGAAACACCAACCAGCATAACCAATAGGCTTAGTGACTCAAAGTACAGCATGGACAAGGAGCCAGAGAAAAACCAAGAAGTAGGTTTACGAGTCCCTGAACAAGGCCAATAAATCCTTCAGCACATAGGTGTCAAGGCCTCAGTCTGTGCACCAGATGCAGCTTGATGGATGGGTTTATCTGCCCCAAAAGGCATATAGAGATTGTTCTGCCTTTGGCCCCACACATAGGTGAGACAGAGTTCTAGTGTTTTCCCCCTCCAGCCTTTTTAAAATGTATTACATGTGTCCCACTCAGTATTTCCAATTCTTTGCCTTCCAGTTTTAGCACTAAATCTTAGATCCAAAGTATACAAGGAGTGTGTTTACTATGCTTAGACTTCCAGGACATCTTACTTTTGAACAAAGTCCAGAAAAATATAATATCTCTATTAATTTGACTCACTTGAAATAGAATGATATCTTTTCCTCCTGTGTCTCACAATAATCAGGATCAACTTAGCACATTTTGGAGATGTTTCCAGTGTTCTTCCAATCACTTATAAAAGATAGTATTTAGCAGCACAGACCCAGGAAATAGTCCAGTGTGTCTCAGGCATACTTTCTGTTCACTCACCACTATCTATATAGGTCAGGTTCAAATGCTGGCCAAAAAGGTCCAGAAGTGAATTATAGAATTTTGTCATAGGAGAAATTCAGCCCACAGAGACGTAGCTTTATGAATTAGAGAGAGCACAAAGTTTAGCTCTGCTTCCAAAGAGCAAAAAAGGGTAACATATGTGGTCTGAATCAATAGAAGAATTAGGGTAGAAGATAAAGGGAGATGTTCAAGGAGCACACTGCCCTGATAAGCACTGAATTCCTTGCCTGGATAATTTGTCACCAGGGATGTCCTAGATGGAATAGTACTCTCATCGGACCATGCTACTCAGCCATCTTCCAAGTAGACCAAACATCCTGCTAACTCAATAGCTTCATACTTGCTGACCTCTCTTCTTGGACTGCTCTTCTCTGAGACCTTTACATATCCCATCCCCTACATCTTCATCCATGCCCATGTTTCATTTATCCCAGGAATGCAAAGATAGTTTGTATAAAAAATGAGCCATTAATGGAAAATATTATGCTGACAGATTAAAATAGAAAAAACTAAATGATTAGCTCAGCATATGCAAAAACAAGTTCAACAAAATTCAAGACTCATGATTTAAAATAAAATTGTTAGAAAGTATAATGCTGTTCTAGGAAATTTTCTTGACCTCACCAAAGGCATCAATCAAAACCCACAGCTCCAGTATACTTAAAGATGGTTAAGAAAGATGTGTTATGTGTTTTTTACCAGAATAAAAATTTCTGATCTTAAAAAAGTAAAATAAACCTGCAGCAATCAGCAGCCTGTGACTGCATAATACTGACATCAGATAAAAGACACAAAAGCCTTCTATTATAGTTTCCATTCAACTTTGCACTATATATTATAGATGATGCAATAAGACAAGAAAAATAGAAAACATAAAGGCTGAATGAAGAAATAAAACTGCTTGCCTATGCAGAAAATTGAAGGAGACTTACAAACTTATGATTAGGGCTTTAAAAGAATAGAGTACTTCTATATACCCATATATACAAATCAAAAATTATAAATGAAAAAAATACAACCTTCCATTTAAAATGGCAAGCAAAATCTTTAGCTTCTTCAAAATACACCTAAGAAATAAGACTCAACATTTTTATGGATAAAAATATAAAATATGAGGAAAATATAAGTGAAGCACATAAATTGTGACCTAAATAGAGCACTATGTCATGCTAGTGGATTAGAAGGCATATATAAAGATATAAGTTTCTCCAAATTCATCTGTATCACCAGTGTATTCAGCTTATAATGCCAACAGAGTTTTTCATGGAACTTGACACAAAAGAGCAAAATGTCAAAAGTAGTTTATTTTTAAAAGAAACAAAGTGAAAAAAACCGTAACAGATATTAAATGTATTTTAAAGCTATTTTGAAATACGCTATTGATGCAAGTTAAACACGTTGATGAATCAAACAGAATAGGAAGCTCAGAAAGAACACTTTGCATATATGGCTACCTTTTACATGACAGAATGGACATTATAAATCTATGAAAAAATTAAAATAGAGCACTCAAAACTTTTGTTGAGATAATTGGTTATCAATACGGAAAAAATAGAAACATACTTCACACCATAAATAACAAATTCCACCTGAACTAAAGATCTATGCATAAAAACCAAAACTCTTATAATTTTCATTAAAAAATGTAGGCATATGCCTTTACCAACTTGGGTGAGGGCAGAATTTTCTAGACAAGTTGCAGAAAAGCTCAACCTATAAAGGAAACAACTGATGCATTGAACTAATTATAAGATTTAAATTTTTTCACAAAAAGATAGTATAATCAAAGTTAAAAGACAAGTCACAGACTTGGAACAGTCTGTTACATCAATAAAACGAATAGATAATTAGTATCTAAAAATACTTAAAGAACTCCTTCAAATCAATAAGGAAAAGAAAACTCAATAAAAAATGGGCAAGGGATGGATGGAAACTGAGGAGGAATAGCAAATGGCCAATAAACACTTGAAAAAGGCTCTCAGCCCAATTGATAATAAAATGTAAACAATGAGATGCCATTCATTCCCATTTCACACCCACCAGATTGGTAAAAATGTTACAGTTGGCAAGGATGTACAGCAATGGAAATTCTCATGCACTGACATTAGGAGCGTGAATTAGCCTGACTGTTTGGAGAGCCATTTGGCAGTAACAAGTAAATCTGTTGGTGTTCATACCCTGTAAGCCAGGAATTCCTCTTCTGAGTGTTCTTCTTCAGATATTTTTGCATATCATATTCAGGCACTGCACGCAAAAATGTTCATTTTCTTTTTATACTTCTCATTGAAAGAAGTAAATACTCATCAATAGGAGAATAGATAAATATATTATGGCATATTTAGACAATAATATATGATATAGCAGTTAAACATAATTTTAACAATAAGAGCAAATACATAGTGCTTACAATGTATTTGTAACACAAAGCCTTGTGTTGTTCTAAGTGACTTATATATGTTAATTTATATAATATTTAACTGTATTCTTATTAATATTTAATATTAAGCACAAGTCACAATAGTAGCAAGCCTGAGAGATTGGTATTATTATAATCTCATTAATAGAGGAGGGAACTGAGGCACAGAAAGAGCAAATTATTTACCTGGTCATACAGCTAGTTAGTGGCAAAGAAGTATTCCAATGCAGTCTAGCTCTTAACTTCACTAACCTACTACTTCCAAACTAAAAACAAAATTGTATAGTATGATACCATTCATATTTATTTTTAAAACTGAAAAATAATATAAAATTAAAAGATATGGTTATACATTGCAGAACTATAAAAATATAAATCACATTTATATTTATTATATAATTTATAATAATAACATTTTATAATAATTTGCAATATATAGTCCACATTCCAAATGTCTTATGCCATCCTTTACTTCTGATTCAAATCTCTCCCAGGTAAAGAAACATGAGGTCATCAGCTGCGATAAAACACCTGATGATGTACTTCTCGCTTCAGTTCACTCCCTAAGGCAGTGAACAGATATGGTCGGGTAAAGCAGTCACTTCCAGCCTCAGTGTCACTGCAGCCATAGTACAGTGGTCTTTGATATGTCTGTGACTATAGCAGGAGTGTTTGAAGAGACTAAGAGTGGAGAGAGGTGGGGGTCAAGAAAGGGAAGCGAACACCACCCCTTCTCATATCAGGCTTCAAATCCACCTGTCCCAGCTTTACATGGGTTTGTGCAGTCAAAACCACCAGTTTGGGCTTCACTACAGGTTCAGCCTACAATGTGGACACTTCAAAGACTTCAAAGGTAGGGGACACAGTACTGTATCTGGAGTGAAACCAAAAAATGTGAGATTTAGCAAAGCTTTCGGAGGGTGGTCCAAGGGCTTGAAGTGATTTCCACTTAAATACACTGTAAGTGAGTGAACAAAAAAAGAATCAAAAAATAATAGGCCAGAGAAAGAAAAAAAATCTCATTTTTCTCTTTTGTTAATGCTATAGAAATATCAATGCTGGGGGCTTGGTGAGATTTTATAAAGTCTGATCCACATATCTGAGCCTGACTTTCAGCAGCAAAATTCAGGAGGCTCTACTTTCATGCTTTTCTACCCAGTTCCATTTTTAAATAATTGATAGGTAAAAGGAAAAGAAAGGAAAATCTAATAGGAGGCTGCTCTATGCCAAGTTACATGCTAGGTGTTCAATTATGTTTTATCTCATACTCATAACAACCCTATGAGGTAGCACAATTATCTCTTATTTACAAATGAGTAAACTGAGGCTTAAAGTGGCTAATTCAATTTGTTCTTCTAAGGTACAGAACAGAATTCAGTCCAACATTTTTGAAGCTGCGAAGCTCATGCCTTTTCACCATGCCATGTGGCTTTATGATATTTGAATACAAAAATGGCCTAATGTAAATAAGCCAAAATACCATAATTACTACTAGTTAAAAATACTCATTTTTTAATTTATGTACAAGCTAAAAATGTTTCTTTGGATCTCCTGAAGAACTCACTGGGGGTGTATATTGTTTGAATTTGGTTTCCTGCAATATGCTTAGTGGTTTCATAAGGTTTTAACTAGTGCCCATCAGTAGTAATGGTGTGTATTGCAATGGGGGCTTGGGGGCTCTGAGTCCATTCTCTGAAGGTTTTCTGGCTTCTAGTGTTTGGGTTCTAAACAACTAGGAAAACAAGACATGGTTACAAGAGCCTTTCTAATTGGAAAATATAAGGTTTTTAAAACCAATTTCTCTATGAACTGCCCTGGCAAAATGAATATTGTTTAATTTTCATTTTGTATTAAAGACCTGGAAACCTGAGTAATATAGAAACTAATGATGAACTGAGCCAAGCGGAGGCTCCTTTGAGAGCCATAGCAATGTATTAAAACAAGAATTATTTTGTACACTGTGCTGTACTTCAACATCGGATCCTCAGCAGACTGCAAAATAACTTTCTAGATAATGAAATTATAAAAGAATTTTAATTTCATGTTAGAACTTGTATTACAAATTATTAGGAAAAGAAACAGGGGAGGAAATAATTCAAGCAAATTCCTCCTGTGGATCACCAAACTGGAAGGACTTTCTGCTTAGAAGACTTGTGAAAAGTTTCATCAGAAGCAGCAGAAATACTTTACATTTTCTAAACACAAAGTCTGTTTAAGAGCCATAGGAATGCATGTAAATGTCAAGGACATTTGAGGGCTATAAGTCAATAGCACGAAAAAGGGTCATTTTCACAATTATGCTAGACAAACATCACACCGTTTTAGGTATTAGGTTGGTGCAAAAGTAATTGCAGTTTTTGCCGTTACTTTCTCTTTTTTTTTTTTTTTTTTTTTTTTTTTTTTTTTTTTTTTTTTTTGAGACGGAGTCTCACTCTGTCGCCCAGGCTGGAGTGCAGTGGCACAATCTCGGCTCACTGCAAGCTCCGCCTCCCGGGTTCACGCCATTCTCCTGCCTCAGCCTCCCGAGTAACTGGGACTACAGGCGCCCACCACGACACCTGGCTAATTTTTTGTATTTTTAGTAGAGACGAGGTTTCACTGTGTTAACCAGGATCCACCCGCCTCGTGATCCACCCGCCTCGGCCTCCCAAAGTGCTGGGATTACAGGCGTGAGCCACCGCGCCCAGGCTTTGCTGTTACTTTCAATGACAAAAGACACAAATACTTTTGCACCAACCTAATACCATCGTTGCTTATTAAAAGGGATCATTGGATCAACAGCGAGGAGCTAAACATCATCAAGAACATCACATTCACGTTTCTGTAGGAGTTGATCCTGCGCAACCACATTCTTATAGAGGTAACGAGCTACCCCATTGCCCACAGAGCTGCTTCGCAAACATAGCTGATTTCTCTGTATAGACTTGGGATTTAGTCTATATGGAATAACTTGTGTACAAACCATCCTCAGTTTAATGAGGCAAAAGGTATTTCCTCAAAAATCTAAGGCAATCAGAGCTGATGCTGTAATAGAAGAATGTTTAGGTTGTTGTCCAATGGTTGGAATCTTCCCCATCCTATTGCTCTCTCATTTCAACAACACAATTGAGGGAAGTAAGTGTTCCCCTGGTGACTCCCTCACACTGTTACAGGATCCCTGGAGTGTCACTTTTCTGGCCAGAAACCTGTGGCCGGTGGCACCTTTGCCCGACTTTTGCTCAGGCCTGCTGGGCTCATTCCACCCACTCAGCCAGGCAGGCTGTGCTAGGCTCATGCTACTGACCTGGATCCACACCTGCCAAGGGTGAGCCAGGCGTGGAGTGGCGAGGGGTACACGAGCCAGTGTGAGTTCTGGCCACTGCGCATAGTCAGATGCTACTGCCGCGGGTTGGGCAGCTCCATGTACCGTCACAGGCACCAGCTCTCTGCAAGGCTGTGGCTGGACCAGGCACACTGCAACCAGCTTCCCTGGCTGGCAGCAGGCTGGCAGCAGGGAATACAGTGGTGCTTAGAAGCTTGGAGATGCCAGGAACTGCAGGGCCTCAAAGAGGGCATTACAGCCCTGGCTCTGAGAGCTCCCAAAGAGCCACAGCTCTTCTCTCCTCTTTGCCTGTAACATGGAGAGCAAGGGGCATGTTTCAGCCCTGTTTGTATTATCGCTCTTTTAGTCTTGCCATTCAGCAGGTGCCAAGTTCTTGTCCTGCTACCAGGAAGAATGAAGTATGCAGACAAGTAGGGGGTGAGCAAGATGAAGAAGAGCTTTATTGAACAGTAGAACAGCTCAGAAGAGACCCGCAGTGGGCAGCTCCTCTCTGTAGCCAGGGAGTCCCGACAAGTGTTCAGCTCCCAGCAGAGAGGGTAGTTGCTCTCTACAGCTGGTTGTCCCGTAGTCTCCTCAGCTCTCCTTCCTCTGAGTCTGGCTGAGTCCAGGGTTTTATGGGCCTCAGAGGGAAGGAAATGCACAGATTTGTCCGTGGGCAGCCATGGGCTGGCCAGGAAAAGGCACCACAAGTTCCCACTTCGGTCTGTAGGACTGGCACCCCAGCGTCCAGCCTTCAGGCCCTCTCTGGCATGAAGGTGGGGCCTCACCAGGGACCCACTCCCTTTGCCCAGAAGCCTGTCTGCCTCCTGCCACTGTCCATGGTGCCCAGGCTGCTCACGCCAAGGGGAACCTGCAGGCCAGCAGGTAGCCACACTTACACTGCCCTTGGGTTCCTCCCATACTCATCCATGCCCAAAACCTGGAGGGGCCAAGGCAGCATGGCGTTGGTGTGTCAGCAGTGCACCAAGTCTGTGCACACCCAGCCAGGCTGTGGCAGTGACTGGGCTCAGCCCCAACCCCACTCTGAGATTGGACAGGGCACCAGGATTAGGGAGAGGCCAGGCGGCGGGAGAAGACACTCCCCAGCCTGCATGGGAAAGGGGGGCCTTCCCAGGCACTCATGGGTGCAGACTGCAGAGACGCCCGGGTCCTGTGCCTGGGAAGGCAGAACTCCCATCAGCTCAGTGGAGCATGCGGGCAGCCCTGGCTACACCTCCTCCAGCCTGGGGCAGGAGCTCCAGGTTCTCTCTTAGGCCCTCTCTGCCCGCCCCTCCATGCCCTACCTTGCTGCTCCCGCGCTAATAGGCGGCTCCGCCTGGCCTCATTGCGGCGGCTTCCGGGGGCGGTGGGCTCCTAGGGGATGGCTCTCGCTTGTCCCCGGCTCCCGCTGGCTCCATGGAGCGCAGCACCACCCTGGGCCCAGCTCTGCCTCCTCGCTGCACCCTCCCCGCAGCAGCAGCCGGGGAGAGCAGCAACATGGGGCCAGGGTCCGAAGCAGCAGAGGGTCCAGGCCTGGGAGCAAATCCCGCCCCACCGTGCGAGGGTAGGGGCGGCTCAGTCAGCTGCATCGGGGATGTGGGGCACAGGGGACCAACCACTGCCATTGCTGCTCCTGCAGCCACCCCTGCTGCCACTGCCCACGCCTTCCCGGCTGCAGCCAGCGTGATGGCAGTGACGGCTCCAGATGGCCGGCAACTGCCATCAACACCAGAATGAGAGAGTGAATGAAAGCCCCTTCTGGTAGTTGGTCAGGATTTTTGCTGGCCTACAGGTAAAGTGCCTAACAAAAATCCCAAGCTAATTCCAGCCTGTCATAGATGGCTATCCCACAACAGGACAAAAGACCACTTTCAGGGTATACAGTATATTTCATCAAAATGTGCTCAATACCCATTAGAATAGTGTGGGTCATAAATAGTCATAGCTATTAGATAATGTATCATTGAAATTACATTGAAATTAATAATGATATTATAATATCATGTATATATTGAAACATGCCAAGGAAAGCAAACACATTTACCTATTTATATATATATATGTGCATATATATGTATATATACATGTATGTACATTTATATGTATGTATATTAAATTCAGTATAATTTGAAAGCTTTGAAAAGTACTTGAGGTGGCAAAGCAGAAGGATAGTAAATTAGTTTTTATTGACATTGGTAGATTTAGGCTACAGCTTGTTTTTTCATTCATTAGCCTAAAGAGAAAAATTACAAAATTATGCATAGTGTTTTATCTACAAAACAAATTTATAACTAAGTCGTCTAATGTTAAAACTGACGTTAAATGTCTTACATAAGTCCTCACAGGGCTAAAAACTTGATCTAGACTGAGAAAACATGTAGACATGAAGATAAAAGCAAGAATAGTACATTCGGTTTCATGTTGGAAAATATATCTACCTTAGAGCCCATGTTTCAATATCAGCTATGTAAACAAGTCTTTAAATCAATTTTATTCTGAATTCATTGTTGTATTCTGACCACCTTTAACAGACCTTCAGGAGATGTGCAATCTACTGGAAATGTGCACCAAAAGAACTTTGGTGGCAAAAAAAAAAAAAAAAAAAAAAAAAAAAAGCATGCTCCTCAAGTTCTCTCCTGTTGCTTTGGAGCAGACAGATGGACGTCTATCTTAGTGAAAAGCTTTAAGAGCGATTCCTATGAGACGCAAAAGCTGAGCATAGGGTTGAGAGCGGAGCCCCAGACACTGACCAATTCTAGCCCCCTACAGAGGACTTGTAGGACCTTGAACAAGCTACTTAACCTTTCGAAATCTACAATCTCCTTATCCTTAAGGTAAGGACAATAGTGCCTGCCTTTCGGGGCCATGAGGAGAAAATGAGATAGCACCTGTTAATCTCTCAGTGTCATTGTGGGCTGGCCTATGGAAAGCATGCAGGTGCTGGGTTTTCCTACCTGCTATAATTTTCATCATTCTTTAATTATTATTATATGCATCTCCCTTGCAAAAATGAACACATGTAGGTTGGGTAATCTTTGACATTTTTAAGTTAATTCTTACTGCGTTTGTCCTTTTCCCAGTCAGAGTTGTGTCCTGTGTTTTAGGGCTGAAAGCAAAAGTTGACTAAAACATCCCTGGGCCACCCCCTGGCTTTGGTTTCAAATGCTTAAATTCATAAAGGACTTTCTCAAAGACTTTTCAAGGTCAGGTAGAAAGTGGAGAATAGCAGGGCCTGTGTCTTTCTCCACAGTGTGTCCCAGGAACATCTCAGGACCACAGAAAGCAATTGCTTTGTGGTGCCCCAAGTGAAGCTGGTTTGGAGTTCTCAGGCTCAGCAAATATTTCTGAAACCAACCTGGCCTGGAACAAGAAGAACCACCATTTTTTGAGAACCATAATGACATCAGTGTGACCACTGTGACCTGAAAACAAGAGGGCGGTCTGTGAACATACTACTGCATATATTAGGTTGGTGCAAAAGTAATTGCTGTTTTTGCCATTGCTTTAATGGCAAAAACTGCAGCTACTTTTGCACCAACATAATAAAATTCCGGGCTTTTGTATCAATCTTCCCAGGAAGGGAGACATAGTAACGAAGGAGACTAAATTCCCTGCCACCCTGGTGTGGTGGGCACTCAGGATAACAGAAAAATAATACAGAAAAATACAGAATAATACAGAAAGATAATATGACATTTCTTGCACAACTGCATGTGTTAGTATACATATGCTCATATATGTACACGTGCACACACATTTATACATAAGGAGAAACATCCTGATTTTGGTAATTCTGGCAGATGATGGAATTCTTACTTTACAGACTGAAGTGAAAAGATGACAACAATAGCAGTATCTATTCTGTGCAATATCCATACAAACCAGAATTAAACTGATCTAACCTCCAAAAAATTTTCACCATTCACATTACTGCATTTAAAAATATCATATCTCAGAGGGCTCAGTAAGTTGATTGCTTATTGACTTTCCGGTGGGTCCATATAGTGTAATGAGTCTTTATATCTCTGTTTTTATATTGCTTATTGGATTTTTAAGATTAAACAAAGCCTATGAGAAAAATTATAGTGTTGGAAATTAGAAGAGGTGGTCAAGTGAGTACATTATTATCCTATCAAAAATACATTTAAATTTTCCAGAATAAATATTAAAACACTAGAAAGGTTACTTTTTAAAAGCTTCTTTTATAGAATTTGAAGAATAAAGCTTCTTTTAACAAGCAGTTCTTTATAAATTGACTATCTTTTTACAATGTTAGTTACCATAATACAAATTTCTATCGCCATGTAAAAGACTAACGGCCTTCTCCAGATTAGGTAATAAAGTCAGTTCCCAACTTGAATGAATTTGTGCCATTATATAAGAATTATAATGAGACTTTCCTCCTGGAATTTAGAAATAGCAGAAAAATTTCATGTTTGACTATAAAACAGTATAATCAGAATATTATTATAGAGGCAAAACTGATGACGACACCCCTCTATTTAAAATACTTTTAAGTGACTCCATAGGTCAGTGGCTAGAGCAATGGTCTTGTGAAACACTTCTAAGGTTTCCCATTATTCTTAGACTAGAGACCAACATTTTCAATATGGACTGTAAGTACTGCACTGGCCTCACCAGCCCAATCACATGCCACTCTTCCTCTTGGTTTCTGTCTCCACAGGCTTTGTTTCCTTAGCCAAAAACACTTATCTCCTGCCCATCTGGCTCCTCACTGGGCTAACTCTGTCCTATTCTTTCTCCTATTGTGTGTATTCTAAAGTATGCTACACTGGTCAGGCACAGTGGTTCACACTGTAATCCCAGCATTTTGGGAGGCTGAGGTGGGAAGATTGTTTGAGCCCAGGAGTTTGAGACCAGCCTGGGCAACAAAGTGAGACCCCATCTCTACAAAAACTGAAAAAGTTAAAAATAAAATAAAGTATGCTACATATCACCACAACATTCATTCTTCACATAATCAGTCATTCAGTGTTTGGCTTCCCCTAAGTGGTTCACTTATTCACTGCTGTATTGAGCCCTAGATTGAGCAGCAACAACTCAGAATCCTATTTGCTGAAGGAGTGACTGATGTCCCCGTGACACCTGATCCCAGCTTTCACTCCAGCCCTCTCCTCCACCACATAGAGACATTATGAAAGCATCCCCTTCTTGCAGTGAGTGAACAGAATCTCACTCCTCACCATAATAATTGCTCATGTGTTAGGGACCCATTCCTATGTTATTCTCAAATACTACATTTGCTTTGGGAAGAGTTGTTGTTGTTGTTGTTTTTAATTTCACCAAGCCAGCTTAAACTAAAAAATAATAATAAACTAAAATAAACCTCTACTAAGATTTAAATCTTCTTCTACTCTCTGCGTGTTTTTCTTGATAAAAATCATCCTTGAGAAACAATAGTGCTGAAGGGTAGAAAAGCCTCACAAAGAAGACACAGAACAGAGCACAAAGAAGATGATTAAAATCTGTATGGTCCCTAGACATAAAACCTTTTTTTTGAACCAAATCACCTTTATAGAAATTTTTGAATCAGGGAATGTACATTTGCCAGAACAAACAGCTCAGAACATGAATGAACTACATAAATCAGAATATAATCAGTTTTCACTCTGCCTGTTTATTGCTTCTGATGAAATTCTCTTACCAAGTCCTACTGAATTTGCCATTATCTGCTGTACCTGGGAAAAAAAATGATCCCAAAATACCCTAAATAATATTTGAAATGTATTTTAAATCTGGGGTCTATTTGGTTAGTGAGCTATATTACATTTTAAATACGATGCTAGACTATTACGTATTTATTTTCATAGTTTTCTTTACTGATTTGGCACAGTTTAGTTCAAATTGTACTCATAAAACCTAAGACAGACAAATGTTCAGGTCACATTTATTCTGGTCTTTTAAACTGCTCTGTTGTAACTACACAATGAAGCTAAAAGAGACATGGCTTTAGTAGCTGTGAGGATTTCTATTCATTCATGCCAAGTTCCACATTATATTTATCTCCTTGCTATCACTCAAGTACAGGCTCAATTCATTAAAAAATGGTCTTTGTGCTACCCCTATGAATCCATTCTTCTGGCTATATAAAATTAACTCCAAGTTCCCTTTGCATTTGTCTCAAAGTTTTTTGTTTCTTTGCATTCTTTAGTTGTATTTCTTCTATTGCTGAATGAATGGGAAAGAATTTAATTTGTAAATTCTGAGTCTCAGGTCCTCCGGGAGCCTATCTCTGCCTTAGGTTCCTTAGACCAAGGAATTAAAATGTTCCATAAGGTAGATGTTTCTGGACTGTATAAAGGGACCTTTTTTCTCTTAGCCTTAAATTACTGGACTATGAGAGTCAAGTTAATTTTCCTTCAGCTTTTTCTGCTGGGAGTGAAACATTTCAAATTTAAAACCATTTTTCTTTTTGTAAGCCTCAAGTGAATTATAGTTCTATGTGTTCGAGTATGTAAGTCAAAGAAAAGTAAAGTGACAATTGATTGTGTCATCTAGCCAAAAGATAGCAGAGATTTACTCACTCTGGTTGAGATTCAGGGTTAGGTCATGTAATACGATGACCCAACCTATCATAAGAACCAGGACAACTGCCAGTTTCATAAATCAGGACAACCGTGCCTGAGGGAGCGGTACCTACCAGAGTGATATCGCTGCCCCAGCCCCGTCTGGTACAGCTATCTTGCTGAGACAGCACACAGGATCGCCAGTGAAAGGCCTTCCCCATTTCCAATTACTCATTCATGTCAGTAAAGGAGTATGCCACTGTGGGGAAAAGCTACTTTTTTTTAATGGGGTATAATTACATTAAAATATGTGTTAAATTGCTCAAAATGAACTCATTCCTTCCCCCACATACCTATTCCATGTTTGGAGGACCCAGGTCCAGGGTGGCAAGGGGTTTAATCTGGCATTTCCTTTCATGAGCAAGTTATCCTGCAGCAGAGTGGCTCTGTGAGTAGCTATGAGAGAACCATAGTAGAGTGGCTATGTGATTGCCATCATCCAGCCTAAAACCATCAGGAAAATCTGCAGACTCAGAGTCAGGAAACAGAGGACCCAAAAAAAGGGAGTTCTAGGAACTCTTATGTCCTTCTGTGTTTTGAGCTCAAAAGAATTCACTCCCAGGAAGAGTGAGAAAGGCAGCCACCACTTTAGTAAACTCATTCTCCTTCTACTGCTGATTTGTAAACAAGCAGGAAATCATCCATGAAGAGGCTTCTGAGAGAACTGTTCTCAGGCTGTTTGACTTAGGATGAGGAAATGTACTTATAGGGAGGTTTTTCTGAACAAAAATTGCATTCATTTGTATATTTCTGATATCTCAACAGGCAGCCTAAAGTCTCATAAGCACTTCTGAGGTGAGTAGTTTTAGGAATCCAAAAGGATGAATGAGAGAAGTGAGAAACAGGAAGTGGGCATCAGGAGCCTAGGCCTGCCATTAAAGCCTCAATAGATTTATAAATTGCCTAACATATAAGTAGGATGAAAAAAGGAGCTAGAGTTATTTTTGGTTTCTTCTTCCATTTGTGTTATTTCCATGATCAATTACGTATGTTTCATGGATAGAGTTTCATTAATCATACACCGTATTTATTAAAAGCTGAGCAAATATGAAGCCTGAGTGTCGACCTTGGCTAAGATGAGGAAGACTTCTTCAAATTGCAACACAACATCACCATCTAGTGTCCAAAACCTGAAACTTAATTCAGTATCACTGACCTATAAAATCACGTACAGCAGCCTCAGGAAGAAACCATATTCAACAGATAAGGAAACTGAAACCCAAAGAGCTAAAATGATTTGCTCGTGTTCATAGAGCTGCAACTAGCCCAATCCTGGTTGCCCAAACTCAATTCAGTGTGACAAGGGAACATAACAGCTATTAAGCATTCAGATATTCTCAAGACAAAAGAGAAGATTCTCTTTTATAGCAGTCTTCACCTTTAAACAGATCTACCCTCAAGTTAGTGTATTAGAAGATAGCTACAACGGTATCAAATGTGGACAACTAGTTAGGAGGAACTTAATATAGATATAATTAATATAGATATAATTAAACAAACATCCAAGTTTATTTAAACAGAATAAAACAATAAGAACAGACAAAACTATAACAGCATTAGGTAAAGTATTTCCCAAAGGGCTTTAGTTAATAGCCTGTAAGATTCAGTACATCAATATCAAAGGAAATATATACCTTACTCATTTAATATTTTGCTTGGAAGTCAAAAGAAATGTTTTGAGTGTTTGTTTATCATTACCAGCTGTTCTGTCTAAACCCTCAAGAGATAGATTATAAGAGGAACTGAAAACAAGGACTATGGTGAGTCTCCTAATATTAATTGATGACTCTCTTAATATTCTATTATACAGATAAATTCTTCTAAACATCACATTTTAGCCTCTTCTAAGGTTTGTACACATCTATATCATTTATGAACCCATATCTAGCAGGATGTTTCTGTATCACAGACCTCAGGTTACTGTGGACTAGATTGGAGAAAGTGGGAAAGTACTTGGATGCAGTTTACTTTTCCATCTCATTCACAGATCCAGCATCAAGCAGATTAAATGTCAGTCTCTGTCCCTGCTTGCCCCAAAGGCAGGTTTTGTTCTGAGGTCTTCAGCCTCCTTCCTCCCAGCTGCTCCTGGGTTATCAGCAGCTAGTGTTCAGTACATACGGTGGAGACAGCTAATCATGCTAAAAATGCTTATGGCAATCTTCTGCCTTATGCTTGTTGGCTGACCTGTTATCTTTGTGCTTCTTCATGCCTTAGCTGACCAGTTGTGACAAAACCCCCTGCCAACTTGCTTAGCTGGAGTCCTGTCAGGGCCTCCACTGCCCTTCCCGCCCCAATTCCACTCTTGCCTGAGGGTTACAAGTTTTTAATCAAAGCCTTAATGCCAGGATTCTTAAGAAGGGGCAGGGAGCTTATCAGAATCACCTGGGGAGATTTTCCTAATTATAGCCCCCCACACACCTCATCTTTTCCTTACAGAGGGAGTGTTCCGTAACCCTCAGGTACATTGAGGAGGGAAAAAAGAAGTTGAAACCCATTGGCTTCAAGCAATGAGAGTAGTGAGGTTAATCTTCTTTTGATTCAGATGGAAAATATCTCAAAAGAGGGAAATGAAACCTTGTCTCCTAAGGATGAAACTATAATAAAACCTTAATTAATTTGGACCCCATTAATTCAAAACGTGTGATAATTAGAAAAATGGTTAGGTTAAAGTTTACCTTTCCTCTAGCTAGGGGAAAAGTGGCTGAAGATTACTTCCCTGTACCTAGGAAAAGTGAATTTGCTAAGCAAATTAATATTTCCAAAGAGAAAAATGTTTAACTGATTGAGCAAGTAAGTAGTTTTCAGGCAATTTAGGTACATTCAGCAGACAAACAAATGCTATTGTAATTATAAATGATCCCTTTCTAGTAATAGAATAGGCTTGCCCAAGGTTCTTTCCTAGGCAGCATTCTAGAAATAAAGTTATCCATTGGAAGTAATGAAATTAAATTTATTTTTGGACTCTACACAATTCTGACTGATGTTTTCTTCATTTAGAACAAACTTCCATGGTTTTACTGAATCCTACCTACTGATAAACTCAGAAAGCAACCCAAGTATCCCTGGCGCCTTGTTTCAGCCATCAAATGTGTGCAAGTAGTATATGTTCAAGTTCTTATTTCAGCAAAGAGAAATAGTCAACGCTTGGGAAGGAGTAGGAAATCAGGGGCAGGGGGTGAGGGGAGGAAGGCTTCACAATATATACATATAATTGGTTGAAAAATAAACATATGTGTTATCTGGAGTTTCTTTTTCCGTTCCATAGGTTATAAAATGGTCTTACTTGGGGTGAGAGGGGAATCAGAAGCTGTGTGATCAAAACGTCTTGAAAAACAGAAATGATGGTTTAGACAAAGTCAAGTGGGTTGCTTTATGCAGGACTTCTAAGAGCCTTTCCTAAGCAAGTGGGCAATGTCTATTTCTGAGAGAGTGGTGTGATATTTCCCAAAGTTATCTTCAAAGGGAATCCTGTCTTCACTGAGCATCCTGGGAACATTATTCCCAATACTACAAGGCCACTCTGGGAAACACTAAACCAGTTGTGTAGCAATTTATAAATAGCCTCAGAATTCCAATAGTTAACTAAAGATTTTCAGTTTACTATTTCTGTTGCCTAATTACTTTAACGCAGTTAACAGAAATAATAACAGAAAGTTATACCCCATATTATTATATTTATCCACCCTATTCCATTTGAGTTTCTTACAATTGCTGGCTGTACCCTGAGGCTCTATGAACTGAAGTTCCTGTGGTTTGATTTAAAATATTTTAATTAAGTGAAGCTTTCTGCCCCCAGGCTTTCTAAAGCAATTTTCAAAACCTCAGAAACAAACAAATAAACATCATACCAATGGTGTTACCACTGAAAAACCACAACCATTTCTAGGCAGGCATTTCTTGCTTTGTTGTACTAAGCATAGAAGTATTTTATTCCAAATGACAACAATAAATCATAAAGTTAGGCAAAGCAGTACCAAAGTTATATGCCTTAGGCATCATGGGAAATACAAAGCTCACCACAAAAAAACCTTCTGAAGCTGAAGAAGTCATTTTATATAGCGTGTATTGTGACTATCTAATTTAGGACTAGGGTTATCAAAGTTTTTCTGATGAAGATTTTTTTTCTGATTTCCCATAAAAGTGTTATGTTTTCATTTTAGGAATATACATGTGCATTTTCTTTTGGTTTCTGGAGGGAATCAACAAGGGTTTCAGGACATACATAGTAATGTTTCTCAACTGTAGTCCCAGTACCAGAAACTTTAGCATTCAGGGAAACAGAAATGCAAATTCTCAGACCCCCAAGTCAGACCTACTGAAAGGGAAATTTTGGAGATGGAGCCCAACAGTTGGTGTTAACAAGTTCCTCCAGGTGATTCTGATGTTCACTAACGATTGAGAACCACCCAGTTAGAGCAGAAGCTTTGATATCATAAAGACTTGGATTTGAAGTCACTTAATGGTTCTAATCCTTAGTTTTCTTGCCTATAAAATGACTTTGAAAAACAGTAACATCACCTGCCTCAAAGGGTTGCTTTCAAGAAGGGAAAAACGAGATAGACTCTACAATGCCTGGCAGCAGCCAGCTTGAAGACAGAACAATTAAGTCATTTATCAGCCCACTATTTAGGGTAGAAGGGAAGCCTTCATTTAGGGAGAAAACTAAGCTTTCGTCTTTTTCCTGCAAATATCATTCTCGAACAGCCAGCTCAGGGACCCCTGGTATGCTGTGAATCCTTTCAGTTATGCTCCCAAATTTTGTTCAGTGTATGAAATTGGTCCTTGCTACTCAAGTGCATATACTTTTATTACCACGGATGTCAGAAAGAATTTTTTGCTGAGTGGGTCTTGTGATTTAGTAAGAGCAAAACTACAGCTTGCTGTGAGTAAGGTAAAAGACAGTGCACCTTTGCCCAAGAACGATTTCATATTGACTGGCCAGGCAAGAACTTGGCCTCTGGAGCACTGCGGGAGTGTTCTCAGGGCAGTGAAGAGGGGACAGTGACAGGTGGGAGTGGGGGTCCAAGAGGCCAGCGTCAGGATGAGCACTCACAAGGGCCAGGGGCAGTGACCTCTCCATCTCACCCCTCTGAAGGGGTCCACTCTTCTTCCTCATTTTATAGATGCAGAATCTGATGACGAGAGTCATTAAGTAAGGGGCCTAGTGTCACTGAGCCAGTACCCAGAGCTCCATCTGTCTACCCTTCACGGCAGGCCCGTCTAGCTCCCAATCCCTGGGGTGCTATTATGAACACGGTGCCATTATAGTCACACCATAGCGGTGATTGGGTTGAAATTATTGCTGAATTGCTTAGTTTTGTTTTGAGCTTTTGAATTCCTTCAAGTACACCACTAAAATTTCTAATATCCCAAAGTGTGCCAAGAACACAGAAAGGATGATAAGCAGTGGGCTAGGTTTTAATGGTAAGTTTCTACTCAGTTATTCTGCCCCGGTGCCTTGCCTTTGGAAACCACATTGCAAAGCTTCAGCCTCCTTTGATCCTGACTCCCACTAAAATGAGTTTCTCTAAAGCGGGTTTAAAACTCATATTTGTATTCTACCTTGAATGCTTACAGTGACCCATAGTCTCATTTCCCATCTTCCCCTTTGGAATTCACCCTGTGGCTTCTGTTTCCTGCTTCCCCAGTCTGAATTCTTAATTGGCCTTATCTCCCCCTCATCACCTCTGGCCCTGCTGGTAACCAGTCCCTAGAGAAGAGCTGGCAATTGTAACAGAACAGGGAGTGCTTTCCTCTCATTTGCTGGAATGATCCGGGGACTGGGTTCTGCACGCCAGAAATCAATTGAACCCATACAGCTTAGCACTTTGGCAGCTTTTCGACCCCCACCTGCTTTTCCAATATCATCTTATCCGTTCCCTTCTGATCCAATCCATTACATGAAACTGAAGTATACTTCATTTATTAGCTGCTCTTTTAAAATTCTGTTAAGACAGGGAACGGAAAAAGGCAGAAAGAAAAATGCTCGAAAATGGAAATTTTGGTCATTTTGGGAAAGGGGTGTTGAAGTCTCCGTACTTGAGGGGTTTCATTATATACTTCAAAGTAAAATTAACGCTATTGCTGAGTTTTATTCATTCCTTTCAAAATACATATCCATGCTGGCAGCATCCCACCTCTCACTCTTAGTAAACTCGCATTTAAGACTGATTGATCCTCTTATCTTTCACTAAGACTTCTTGGCCTTTGAAGAGCATTTCCTGTGTCATTAAGATTTTGATTTCCAGTTCTTGAAATCGACAACAAACACCACTTTCCTAGTTTTATGGGACAGTTGGGCCCTTGTCATTAGCACACACTTCAGGTTTCTGAACTGACATTTTGTTCAAGAGTATAACAGAAGAGCTAATTATGCTGCATCTCTGCTGTAGAGCTTTTGGCCTTGTAGAGGTATTCAGAACTTCGCAACTTGGGTTGGGTGGTTCTCAGGCCAAGGAAATCCCTATAGTTCGATGACACAATTAGAACGGCCAAGGCCTCCAGGATGTTTATCAAAATTACCCTCAGAATTTATCTCCAGAAACAATAAAAATAGAGATAAAGACAAGGTGAAGTGGGTGGGGTTTTTTTTTCCAAGTATTTCCTCATCAACTTAAATAAAAAGTAGAAGACAGCAAATTATATTCGCAGCTGAGGTGTTTTTTCTCTATTGCACATAGTTATCTGGTTTCAAAAACCAGTCACAGCACACACAATGTCAATTGCTGGAACTTTGGGGAAACAGAATGAGAGCACCTTGTTTTAGGAAATTATCTGTCTTAATTTTGAATCCACCTTAGTCGTCATCACTGGGGATTTGGAGAATGCTAAGCCCCTCTGATTTCTGACCCAGAAGGCATACAGGGGTTTTTTATGCTGAGGTTAATGTCACAACCTACGTGTTGAAAAGCATTTCCGACACTTCTTCTACAAAGTTAATCAGAAAATCCTAGTTCCTCTAGCGAAGCGTTAGCTGAAGGCCTCAAACGTGGCGATTAGGCACCAGCTGCATTTCTCATGTGCCCTCCTGCTGAACTTCCACCCATGTCTTAAAAAGAAGCCTCCAGCATCTTAATCCTAACTTCATGTCACTATTTGAAAGGTTACTATAGTCTAGACTTTCTTCATAATCTTCCAAAACAGAGTGAGTATTTTTACCCAAGCTGGAGATAGGAAGAGAAGAACAAAGCTCTTTTCTCTGTCCATGGCTCAGGCTAATCAAAGTTTCAATCACCTTCCAGCAACTTCCTGAACGGAAACCAGCCAGGTCTCTCATTTCTTTATCTATCGTGGCCTCGAGATAGCACAAACCAAAGTGCCATGGATTGTTTTCCTTATGATTTACGGAATCTTTCTGCTTCCTCTCATATTCACAGTATCCTCTCTTTAACTGAACAGCAGCCCCTACAATTGGGCGGCAGCATTCCTAAAGATTTAAAAAGTCTACAGCCCGAAAAACAAAGCCAATAGACATTTTTCATGTTAAATTCATGAGCTAAAAGAAACGTACAATGTTCCTCATGATATAATCTTTTTCCTCTTAGAGCTTCTATTCCTAATAGAATTTTTTTTTCAATTGTGATTATTATTTTTGTTTTCAGTAAATGTTACCTCGTCCCATCAGGGAAAGGTGAAACCCAAGACTTTCAGATGTGAATTTATTGTTGCTTCACTTTTCATTATGTGTTTAAATTGATATCTGGTAGATATATTTATAGTCTTGACTATTTCTGTTAAGACAGCAGCAGTATAACTGGCTTAAAACAGAAAAAGTAGAAAATGGTAATCTGTGATTAAACTCACATTCCGTAGCCTTCCAGCCAGCCACAGGCTAAGAGAAAAGGTGGTTTTCAGTTGTAGAGAAAAGAGTCAAGGGACACGGGGCAGGCAGGCTATGGTGGGGGCACTTTGAGGTATTTTAAAGCTGTGTCGGAATGTAATGATAAGCTCTCTCACAGAAGCAGCAAAGATCTGTGAACAATCCCTTTCTCCGAACTGCTTCAATTTATATCCACAATTGGTCATTTACGCTACATGTAGATGTGGTAATTTCCTTGACCATTTTAAAAAGTGAAATCTGCTAAGGATTTTTAAGAATTATTTTGAAAACTTATTACAACACCGGGGCTCATTCAGGGGCACCAGCCCCAGGCTTCTATTTCCATAGTTTCTCTTCACTAACCAAGGAGAGTACAATTGGTGTTCACCTATCAGCTAAAGTGACACATTTTGGTTGGATCCCTGTGAATTTATACCTATTTAATTAGGATTCATATACAATATGCTCTCTCTTCTTAATATCTTCTTTTCTAGCTTTTGATCAAAAAAATGAGAAAAAAGACAAAGCATCTACATTTTTGGCATATTAAAAATATTTGTTCTCATTGACAGTTCTTTCCATGGCAAATGGCATTATTTTGAAAGAAAGCTTGATTTCTTTACCTTATATTTGCTGGGCTTTACAGAATAGGATCCTGTTACCATTGAGGAAATGTTTTGGGACAATAGTTTTTCATGAGCTCCAGGAAAAAGTTATATAAAATTGTCAATCTCAAAATTTACATGAGTATTTTACATTAACATTTTTTCCCATAAGATTTCTCTGTTCTTTCTTCATTGTTAAGCAATTGTCTGTCTTGCAAAAAAGTATTAGCCAGATTTTCATAGTTAGTATTCAGACATTCTGATGCAAAACAGTACAGTTAGTACTATTTCATATGAAACCATTTGGATTTGTATCTGGTAAGATTATTTTTACTCATTTTTTTAGTCCCTTGTTCACAGTACCCATTTAAAGTCATTTATGGATTAATTAATTGACAAATGAATGCGTGCATGCCTTATGGTCCATCAAAATTTTTTTTAGCTTTTTATAGTATATGAACTTTCTGTGCTGTTGCTGTTTCTTTACAAAAAGGCCTTCTCATACTCAGAGGTCTATATACTTAAAGAACTTTTAATAATGTCATCAAAGAAAATGGACACTTTGAATTCAAATTCTAGCTCATTCATTTACCAGCTGTGTGATTTTTGAAGTTAAAAAAAAAGGAATAATAATACCTACATGGTAAGGTTGTTCTCAGAGCCAGAAATAATGTGTTTTAAATGCCTGTCACACAGCAGGCATTCTATATATTGATGTTGGCATTTTTTTAGCACTAGAAAAAAAGTCTTAAGAAACCCTGAGCACCTGCCACACTCACCAACTCCTTCTGAATAAAGCATCCATAAACACTTCCTTAGGCATGATCCTTGGTTTCTGAGACCCCACTGTTTTTCCTAGATGCCTAAATCAAGGGTTAGTATCTGAATCTAAAGCAGTCTGACATGCATTGGCCATCAGCCTGTGGCATCACCTTGTGCGAGAAGAAATTCACACAATAACAAGACTGCAATAAATAAGGACAACCGATCAATCCTATCCTCTCTTCTCTCAGGGAGTTTGAATGTAAGTCACCCACAGATCAGATGTGGAGCAGAGCTGATGTGAAATGGTTTGTGGAGAAAAAGCGGCATGCAGAAGCTCTCAAAGAGCCAAAACAAGAGGGGGAGTTAGGAATAGCATAGAAGCAGATTCAGTAGAAGAGGCTGAAAGAAGGTGACTTGAGAATGAGGAAGTGATGGACAAACCCACTCCAAGGTGCTGCCTCCTAGAGTGGCTACTGCTGTCCCAGAGCATGTCAGATCTCCTAGCTGTTCAGCTGTGAGCAGCCAGTTGCCTGTGCCTCATTATTTCCCATTATATCTATCCCTTGTAATAATTCACCCCCCACAGGTCTTGCCTCTGTTCCTTGTGACCAACCTGTGTATTACCCACATGGTAATAGGGAGCAGAAGGTAGAAGCCAGAGCAGGAGTGAGGGGTGCTGACCGATGGTGGGGGACATCTCACTTTGTCAGCTTTTTATTCTTTCCCCTCTTGCTTCCATCTTTCACCTGCACCACTCAATCCACCACAGTGTTGAAAAGGAGCACAAAGGTCACTTATGCTAACTGGTCATGGGGACATTTGTAATTCAACATTCAACATTAATCCCCCTTCCTAACTATACCCTAAATTTTCTTCTTTGAAAACTTTCCCCTCCTCCTTTAAGAAGGATGGTGAATCCAACTGCCCTGATCCCCCTCCCATGATGCTAAAAAGGTCTCTATAAAATTCTTCAACTATCTTATGCCTCTTCTCTTCCTTATTCCGCTAAGGAGTGAGCACAAGTTTTAAGGTCAGCTAACAGATTCTTTCTCCAGAGATTTTAACCCTTAAGCGGAGAGACCGAGGTCAGAGGAGCAATTGACACTCTTATTTTCCCATCACTTTGCCCTTCATACTCTCTATCTGGCCACACCCTCTCCTTATTGCTCCTTAAACACATTTTGCAGCTCCTTTTCCTTCTTTCTGCCAAACTCTCCCCACAGGGTTTCTAGTACCTTCCTCAGTATTCTGTTCTGTTACTATATTTCCTTTCAGAACTCTTCTTAGCACTTATCACTTCTTGGAGTATTACATACTTATTTATTTATTAGTTTTGTGTCTATTTACTCACTAAAATATAAGAGCACAAGACCAGGACTCTTGTTCATTCCTTGTAGTATCCCCCTGCCCAGATCTTATGAGTACCCAATAAACATTTATTAAATAAAGTAGGAATTTGTTCTTTCCATTGATGGTGTCTTGCCTGTATTGTGGAGTGGTTTTGCCAACTAGACCTTTTGGAGTTGCCTGGATTTTTCTTTTTTCCACCATAGGTCTACTAGACTCTATTAGCAACTCCAAGCTTTCACAAATCCTTTCAATACATTCCCTTCTTGCATAAGTTGCCTAAGATATTTAATTTTGCTTTTAACAAATGAACCCTAGTTTACACACTTCCTAATCAATGCTTGAATTACAAAACCCTGAGTTCTCACCTGAATTCTGGGCAGGCAACAAAAGAAATGGGAAACTCATCATCCCACAAGTTTTCATCTTAGAAAATGTTTTTGTTCCATTATAGATCCTACTTCTCCCATCTGGGACAAAGGTAAACCAACTTAATGCCTCCTCCATTGATCAAAGTAAATCAACTTAAAGCAATTGCCTCCAAGACGGTATGAGTTATTGGTATCTTTAAACTGTGGGCACTAACTTGAATTCCAAAACAAGGAACTTAGAAATCTAAAAATAATTTGTAGTTTTTTTATGAGCATTGGATGACAAAGGGACAATTTACTTAGGTTAGCTTCCTTGTGGTGCTTCATTCCTACTCCAACTTCTGATATTTTCCCAACATTTTATACCTCTTCCTTTCTCCTTTATTAGAACACCAAAAAGAGAGAGAAGAGAAAGCACACTAAAGAAAAGAGAAACAAAGAAAAGAGAAGTAGTAGAGCAACCCGAACATTGTTTAGCAATTTCCATCCACACATTTCTCTTCACATGTTACTTTATCATAAGTCTGAATGTGTACTATTGTGATGGTTTGTGTATTGCACCTTATACGTAATATATATTACATAATATATAATATATATTTCATATTTATCTATATATTAAAATATATATATAATATATAACTTGGCTAATTGTGACCTCATTCATCTAACATACATTTATAGAATGAATAAAATATCTTCATTTCCTAGAAGACTTAAAACTTTGAAATTGTAAAATTAGAAAAGATTTAAGCTCTTTGGCTCAGAGAAGCAGGACAGATAAATAGAAAAGTAACCTGATTCCAGGGTAAATAAAATTATGCAGTAAACTAAGAAATTTGGAACAGAAAGAAAGTTCCAGACATATCTGTGAGAACAGTCTCCAACATGAAACAGGACTAGGTTTTGTATCCTAAAACTGAATATACCTGTTCTTTATGTAGTTTGCATTAGGTTATCCTTACATTTGTAGTAAAGAGGTTTTGATTGTACTAAAGAAAACCAGCCCAATAGCATGTAGCTGCTGTGATGATTCACCACCTGGAAAAGTAAAAGAAAACAAAAGGTCCATATTCCTAACGCCATAGCCATGAGAAGAACCTTAACATGGCATGAGCAGTAAATCAGCATCAAAACTGAGTCTCCTCTTTCCTTTCAAAACCCTAGCTTCATGTTAGTTTACACACCCCTGGCATCAGTTGCCCTGGACATCTCTACTTAAATTCTGCTCCACTGCCCTGCTTTCTATCAGACATAAATAATTCCTATTCTCACTACTTCTAATCCTCTTATTTCCTTCCACAAAATTATACTAATCTGAATCTTCCTATTCAAATGTTTCTTAAAACCACTTTTAAGAAATTACAGGTTGAGAATCCCTAATCCTCATAGCAAAATCCAAAATGTTTGCCAATCTGAAACTTCCTGAGGGCTGACATGATGCTCAAAGCTTCCGATTTTGGATTTCTGGATTAAGAAAGCTGAACCAGTAAGTATAATGTAAATATTCCAAAATCTGAAAAAACATCAGAAATCTGAAATGCTTCTGATCCCAAGCATTTCAGATAAAGGATACCCTACCTATATTAGCTAACCCACTTACTGACATAGTTTTATCATGTTGCTAACAATAAAAATATGAAAAGCAACAGTATGCAGCAAAAGCATTGGCCAAAACTTGAAAGGAAAATTTGTTTTTACAAAAATTTATCTCCATGATATCTATACTCATCTTCTACTCCTATAGCTAGGTCTGGCTTAGAAGTGACAAACTTCTAAATGCAACAACTATCAATTCTAACTCAACTTTTAAACTGCCCCTCAGTTATAATATCAATAACCTTCAATCTGTCTCTCATAACACTAGGCAGTCTTTCTAAAATACAAGTGGAGAATACAAATTCTGGTCCATGAACACAGATATGCATATGTAAAATAAAGGACCCCCATGAATATGGACCCTTTTGTTTTCTTTTACCTTCCCAGGTAGTAAATCCTCACAGCAGCTATATGCTCTTGGGCTGGTTTTCCTCACTACAATCAAAACCACTTTATTACATTTAAAAACTTCTCAAATCTGCTGAATAAGAATCTTAATATTTTGGAATTTAGAAAAAAGAGGTCAAGGCAAATTTAAAAAAAAAATCAATAAAAAACAGTTTAGCTGTGGTTTATAGGGGACATAAATAAACAAATAAATCTGCCTTGTGCTAATGCCTTTGTAACTATTGTAAGATGCCACAGTGTCTTGCATTCTGCAGTCTTCAATCCCAATATTCATATTTAGTATACTGCTATCCTATTAATGTTCACATACATACAGTAAATTTGTAGAAAGTTCAAGTCAAAAATACTTCCCCCACCTAAATTCAACTCAGTAGCTAAAAAATGGGAATAGAACATTGATTTTTATTCTAATTTACTATTTTAATTTTGGAACCTAAATTGTTTTGGTAGCAAAAGCAACCATACTTCTGATATCCATCAACATTCAAAGCAGGATGCAAGTCAGGAGCTTGTGGTAGTCATCTGTACTACCAGATTAGTACAGATGCTATCTGAGAATGAAGACTTCAGGAAAGAAAGCAGCACCTGCAGAAGGACAGAAATGGATTCCTGCTTAGATGATCAGGGTAGCTAGACCTAGCTGTGAAACCCACATATTATCCAAACATTAGGCGAACTCACATATTATCTAAACATTTCATGTGTATCAGGCAATACATTATATTTTAGCAATATGAGTTCAATTTCTAGCACTGCAACCTGAAGAATTAGGACTAATACAGCAACCTATTTATGAAATATCAAAATGAACAAAGAAATCTAGAAAAGGAATGGTCATTCTCCTACGAAAAACATACCCATGGATATTGGGGACTTGCCAAGCTTTCTTTGTGGAAGTTGCTAGAGATTAGTCACTACCTCATCTAATCACTGTAGTCTGCCCCAACCCCTCTCCTAATAGAACTTCTCTACACCCCTGAGAATTCAGAGTCTGTTTACACAGCCCCAGTGAATGGCGGCTGAGCTGCAGGACCTCTTCCCAATCACAGCTGACTTTACCAGGAGTAGTCACCATACTCAAACTAGCCAGTCCAGTTCTCTCTCTGTAAAAACTAAAATTATGTAGTCTCTGGTGATTCTTAAACTAAAAGGACACAGCTTGGTGTGGACATTTTATACATGTGCTCATTTTAAAAAATCAGATGAATAAGAAAAAACAACTTGCTGCAGAAATAACAAAGAATTAAGCTAGTATCCAACATGCATCAGAGAGACCCGGAAAAACAGTAGCTCCCTTGGTCTTAGACTTATTCTCCTTCTATATTCTGGCTATAGGTCTAAGTTCTGGTTACATTGTTTGCCCTTCTAATAATTCAATATATTTTTCCTTGCAGCTTGAGCTAGTTTGAATGGGTTTTGGCTATTTGCAACCACTCTCTCTCTGAAAAACAGATTACCTAGTATATGTAAAATATTTGAGGTATTTTAAAGAGAAAGTTAAATCAATTCAGAGTATGAATAAAGGTGGTCCCAAATTTTAGGTTCAATTTATGCTTTTGGCAACTTCAACTTTAAGAGAAATTCCACAAAGGTAAATCCCCTTGTCCGTGCACTGTGTGTTTGCAGGTAGTTAAGTGCAGGTCCTTAGCTTTAGCTATTTGGACATTAATGAAAACCATTCAAATGATTCAATACAGGCAGAGAAAAATGCAAAACAGTGATAGGGACTATATTTTTAAAGCATTATCTCAGACAGACCTATGAGTACTTGCCACCAGAGTGATCCTTCTAAAACCCTAAACTGATCGTGCCTTTCCTGCTTCAAATCCTCTTATAGTGCATCATTTATTTTAATAGAAAATGCAAACTTATTGGTTTAGTGCTTACCTACTTCCCCAATCCCATGTCTCACACTCAGTTCCTCACATATACCTTACAAGCACTCCTCAGTCTTTCAACACAGTATCCCAACTCTAGAATAAAATGAACACATTATCTTGGGGTCTAAGGGCATTGCCAAAACTGCTCTTGCAAGCACAAAATTTATATGAAATACTCATGCTTGGTTGCATAAATTTTTACATTCTTTTCAATAACATATTCAAATATTTTGAGATATATTTCCCAAGAATTGAAAATCCATGAGTTTTAAGATTGTCTAATTTATTAACTATCCCTGATGTCTGTTAGAGTGCCTAGCACAGATTAGGTCGTCAATAAATATTTGTCAAACCAATAAAAAGTAAATTTTGGGGGGTAAATAAGGTCACATCTATTCTGTGGCCTTACATACTCCTGTAACACAAGTTTGTCTGACAGCTTGAGAAGAAGTGCTCTGGTTATTCTGAGTTGTATATTTCCTGACTCATTCCTACACACTCTTCAAGATACCATTAACTATCATCTATTGGGAGCCTTCCTTGCCTTCCTGAGGAGCACTTCTCCTGTGCCCTGTAAGCATCTCTAGCATAAAATGCAGTATACTGTACAGTAATGATTTGTCTACTTTGCTATCTTCCCTACAAGATTAGAAACTCCCTTAGGTTGTGATCCATGTTTTGTTCCCATCAGTAGCTCCAGCACCTGGCCCATTGAAGGTTTGCATGAACATGGTGTTGAATAAATGAATGAAAGAGTCAATGATTCAGATCACCTGGAATAAACACGTGGCTGCCACCATTATACTTTTTTGTTGGTCACCACTAAATGCAGATATCAGCAGTATGAGACATGGTAAAACCTGGGATATCCCTCTGGCTGATCCATCATCTCTTACCTTTCCTTTAGAAAAACTGAGTAGAGGATGAAGTTATATAACCAGAACACTTTAGATGCAGACACAATAATTTTTAAACTGTGTTTGTGCCAAGAGCCACTATACACTACTATTTCTTCCATGCTTATAGGGCTTATAACAAAGTAGTCATGAACTAACAAAACACTGATGCCCTAAGAACAAAAGTGCAGCCCTCTCCTCTGATCTATTCCTTCAGCTGCTTGGCCTGTTACTCAAAGAGGCCCAGTTACCACAGCCAGAACCTATACCCAGTTGTGACCTGTCATAAAGGAGTGTCAAACTTTATTCTTAGCACAACTAAGTATTTAAATATGTTGGAAAATTAAACACTGATGAATTAATCTGACATCCCAAATATTTATCTTTTGCTTTAGAAACACCAGAGGGAGAAAATCAGTAGTTTATGCAGTATGGGTCATGAGTACATAGAATAAACAGCCAATCTCCAGTGCAGCTTGCACCCTTCTCAACAGCAGGAAACCCTTCCAGCATTACTGTGTCCTTTATAATCTATAACACTTTGGGGAATCTGGAAATTGTTTTGCCGCCAAAGCATATAGGGGGAAGGAGGGGCAACACGCCAGCACCTCTTAAAGCAAGCACAAAAGTGCCATTCTCTCATCCAGCAAAACAATGAGATTAGCTCTTTTATCACTAATTTTTTACTCTCCTTGCCTACTTTGTAAACACGGCATGGATGACTTTGCTCCTTATCAGCCGCAAACTGAATCTGCCTTTGTCGAAGCACTGTCAATCAGCAGCCTCTCTGTGCATACACTCAGTGATATACCCAACTGAAAAAAGACAGACTTTCAATTTCCCCGCAATAACAGAAAAAACATAAAAATAAACTGAATGAAAAACAGAAAAGACTCTTCTGTACAGTGTAATCTAGGGTTCATTTACTCTGCTAGACAGAATGAGATTAAAAACCAATGAAGGTCAAAGCTATTAACATTTGGATCAGAGGGCATTTTGCCTGTTAGGATCTAGTTAGACTGGGCCTTTGTAATTGCCCAGTTTTTTTCCAACATGTCATGTAAACACTAACATTAGCTAAAGCCTGAGTGGGCTCAGGCTCCACATAGGCAGCTTTATCTTTGATTAGCAGCAAAAACACGTAATTCTTTATATATCAATTTGAATGGTCAATGAACCTCTTCAGTTTTGCTAGTACCACTTGATTGTGACATTTCCAAATGGACCATAATTTGATTTCCCTTTAGAACCCTTCTGCTGTTCATTTTTTAAAGTATATGATTGACAGCTTCCTTGCATACTAGGCAACTTTGAGGGCCAGCACATTAGACTTAACAAAGAATGCCCTTGATCATCAGGAAAGACTAAGGAAATTTGAGTGCTAGTCTAGAAGATAACCTTTCATGATTAAATTACTGTCAACATACCATGAAACAGCTCCTTCCTCAAGCTCTGGCAGTAACATCTTTCCTTTGTTCTTATGTTTCCTGAAAATGAAAGCTGAACTGTGAGAGCACCTTCTAGACAAAACTTAGCACCCTCTACTCACATTGTCTATTCCCATTGCAAGCAAATAATGCATGGGAACTGTGTGTGTGACTTTGAATGCATGCCCAAGCCCTTCAAAAAAAGCTGAACAATATTTACATTTCTATCAACATTGTTACACGTAAAGGAAGCTTTTCCACCTTCCATGTCTCCATTTTCTTCTCTACCCACACAAACACCTCTGTCCTCATGTCTCAAATCCCCTTGAAGTCTTCCCTGACATCACTAAATATCAGGAGCTTCTGATGTTATGAATGTACATAACACTTCCAGACTTTATTGTAGACTGATGTGGTTTGCTTTTGTTTCTTGTTTATTCATATAAGAGTCTAACATTATAATTATTTGTTAATTTCCATTTCCCCTACTAAGCTCTGAGCTTAATAAGGTAGGACTATGTCATCTATGTTTTTAATATCAGCATCCAGTCTTGACACTGAATCATTGAATAAACTAATCCTTAGAAGAGCAGAGACCATTTCAGAGTACTATTCTTTTAGTCCCAATGACACTTTAGTTATTTAAACTAAGCAGGATGGCTGTATGTGTTACCCATATCTTTATACTATTCTTAATAAAAAGTTACATTCGTATGTTACATACAAATGTTGTATTGTAATTTCTGTAGAGTCAGCTTACCTTTTAGATTATGGTTTAAATTAAATGTCATTTGTTGCATTATTCTTACTGCTTGCTTTGGCTAGACAGTTTCATTGCAATGAATTAAATCCCCAGGAAAGCTAGCTTTGAAAATAGGAATTCTCAAAAATCCCAGCCCAGATTGGGAAAAACTATAATAAATTCAAACATCTACCTTTTGTCCCTGTCTCCACTTTTGCTTCTCAAAGGATCATTCCATTCTCTCCTTCACTTCTATATGGGACATCACTGCCACCTCAATAGGGTGGCTTCAGCCGCTGAGTCTACATAATATTGCAGAGCCAGAACCCAGAAAAATATGAATTGCTCTGTCCACATCACAATTCAAACTTTGGGGATGAAAAAACTAGTTGGCCCACTTTGGTTTATGCTTCTACCTCTAGTCCAATCATTTATGGACAAAGTCACAGGATACATACGCCTACACATTCTTTAAGAAGGGAATGGAAGAAAGCACACACCAAAAAGACATCTTCATTACATGTATTTCTGAACATTTCTACCACACACAGGAAAATCTGAATTCATTGTTTCATTATTATTAATCCAACCAATATTTACTGAGTACTAACTGTTCAAGTTTCTAAGATAGATTCCCACACACAAAGATGATTTGTAGACTCAGGGCAGGAGAAATACATACTCCAATGTATGGAGTATGCATGGAAAAAGATAATTAAAATATATTGTGATGTGATCAAGAGTACTGTCATCTTTTTAACAAATAATGCTGTTGGAATGTTTGGACGTTCATATGCAAAAAATCACAACTTTGACCCAAACCTTACATTTTACACAAAAATTAGTTCCAAATGGATTATAGACCTAAATGCAGAATGTTAGACTGTAAAATGTTTAGAAGAAAACATAGGAGAAAATCTTCTTGACTTGGAGCTAGGCAAGGAGGTCTTGTATGTAGTACCAAAAGCATAATCCATAAAAGGAAAATTTAATATATTAAACTTTTGCCCTACCAAAGACACTGCTAAGGGAACAAAAATGCAAATTAGAGATTAAGAGAAAATATTTGCAAATCACATATCTGATAAATGACTTACATCCATAACATATAAAGAATTCTCAAACTCAATAAAGAACTCTCAAACTCAATAGTAAAAAAAAAAAATTTAATTTAAAAATCTTTTTTTAATGGTCATAAGACTTACATAAATGCTTCACCAAAGAGAATATATGGATAATGAATAAACACATGAAAAGATGTTCAACATCACTAACCATTGAAAATTACTTAACATTAAAAAAATTCCTTAATGTAAAGATGAAAAACCACATTAGCATCTCAATTGAGGCAAAAACACAAATAAGTAAAATACAATTCAATACTTCTTCATATGAGAAAATCTTACTAAGCCAGGATTAGAAGGACAATCTGATAAAGATTATCTGTCAGAAGCCTATAGCAAAATCATACTTAATTATCAAATATTAAGAACATTTTCTTTACATAAGAAAGACAAGAATTGCCACTTTCATCATTTCTATTCAACATTGTCTTATGGATCTTAGCCAGCAATGTAAGAAAAAGAAATAAAAAGATATCAAAATTAGAAAGGAGGAAACAGTCACTAGTAACAGATAATAAAATTGCCTTGTTACCTACTTTTTAAAACATATTTTAAACTTTGTTTCTGATAACCCTAATATCTGGACCACATCTAGGTATGATTCTATTCTCTGAGTTTTGTCCTGGCTTTCCCTCATTTGGTTTTGTGTCCTGATATGCCTGATCAGCATTTATTGAATGTTAGACATTATAAATGCAAAATTGGAGAAACTCTGAATGATATTTTCATCTTCTAGGGAAAGTTCACATTTCTTCCAGTTGGCAGTTAGGGTTGGAGCAGATCACCTTGACCTAATCCAGGAAAGAGTGATTTCAAGACTAGATTTCAGGCTTCCCGAGTTTGTCTTTACTCTTAGAGTATAGCTTACAGAGACTTAAAGCGTGAAGCATTCACTAGGGCCTCTCGTAGAATTCATCTACAAAATAATCTAGGCCTATTGTTTTCTTGGGAGAAATTGGTTAAAATGCTAATTTGAATTTCAATGATAGTAGGACTATATAAAGCTTACTTTTCTGTCTTGTCAGTTTTTAATACATAATTCATATTTTCCCAGAATTTTCCTCTATAGTCTGTTTTAAAATTTATTGAAAATAATAAAATCATGTTTGCAGTATTATAATATTTTCTTCTTATCTCTGTGGTAGCTGGTTTCCTGTTTCATTCTATAAAAAATTGTGTCTTCTCTTTTTTTAAATGTTGATCAATCTTTCCAGAAATTTGTATAATTTATTAATCTTTCCAAGAACAAATTTTGACATTATTGTTTCACTTTATTGTATCTTTGTTTCCCATTTCAGTTGTTTCCCTATTTTTATCAATTTTTTCATTCTACTTTCTCTATGTTTATTTGGGAATTAATTTTATAACTTCTAATATTAGCAACTTAGTTCATTAACTGTCTTTTTAACTAACATAAGCATTTAAAATTATAAATATCCCTTGAAACACAGTTGTATCTCTATCTAGCAAGTGATGAAGTGTTTTCAATTAACATTCAGTTAAAAGTATTGTTAATATTCATGTTTTGTTTGGATCATAACTTTTTTAGATGAGTAGTTTATTATTTTTTCTAAGTATAGAGCTGTTTGGGAGTATCTCTTTGTTACTGATTTTTAAGTTGATTGCATTTTGATCAGATAATGTAATATATGTGATACCAGTACTTCGAAATGTGTTGACATTCACTTTATTGCATACTGTATATCTTTTATAAAAGATCTGTGTTTGCTTGAGGAAAACAAATATAATTGCAGGCTCATTAAATCAATCTTATTGAGTTGTTCAATGTCTTATATCCTTACTAAAACTTTTTTACCAATTGGTTATAGAGAGATCTTTTGGAAAGAGTTGATTTGACAAAATTTGCTTTATGTATTTAGAGGTTCTTTTATTACGTGCATGTAAGTTTAAAGTTTTCAATCCCTCTGGTAAACTGAACCATTTATTGTTGTGTGGTCATCCTCTTTATTGCTGTATATGGTTTTGGTCTTTATGTCTAACTTTTCTAATGGTAGTTTAGATAACTCAGCCCTTATTTTGTTAATATGTACTTGGTTTATATTGTTTCTTTTATCTTCAGCTTTTCTGTAACCTTAGATTTTAGTAGCATCTTTCATAAAGAGTATATAGTTTGATTTTTTAATATATACTACTTGACAATCTCATTTATTGGTGAGCTTAACCCAATACATTTATATATCTGGATTTCTTTCTATCATATAGTGTTTTTTCTTCATTTATCATGCTTTTATACTGCTTCTTTCTTCTTTGGGATTGTCTGCTTTTAAACTTTTTCTTACCCTGTTTTTTCTCTTTGCTAATTTGAAATTTATAGTTACCATTTCTATTCTTTCATTTTACCAAGATATTTAGAATAACAAAATCTACAGTTAATGTATATCTCTACCCTTCTTCCAAAAATTACTGGGATTTTAGAGTGTTCTGACTTGTCTGAAACCCCACACCTAGATTACATGCTACTTTGTCTAATTCTTTATACTTCCCTTGTTAGTGGTATTATTTCTGATTTTTATTATTTATTATTGCTGTTTTAGCAAACTCTTGTTTTCTAGGTTATTCATAGTTATCTCTCAGCATTTTATACATTTTATGTTATTATAGATCCCCTTTTGCTATTAAATGTTTGCTTTAATTTACTATTGCTTTATAGGGAATGTCTCTTTTCTCTCCATTTCTGTTTAATGTCGCCTCTTTGCCTTTGCTATTCTACATTTACACTATGGTCTCTGGGTATGTATTTCTTTTTATTTATCCCACTTCTTACATTGATGGATTTACACCTATTAGACATTATCTCTTTAAATATTTACTTGTTTCTATTCTATTTTCTTTTTTGGCAACTCACTTACTTCTGGGTCTTTTATTGAAAAATCATCCTTTATATTTTAAAAATATTTCATAAATTTTATTATATGTTTCTATTCAAATATAGTCTTTTTAAAACAAAATTTATGTTTTTCTATTGAAGCTGTTCTTATCAGATTATGTTCTTATACATTTGACTGTTTTTAATTGTAAGTTTACATTTGTCTAAATTTAATGTAGGTGATTCCTAAAAGGCCTGAACTAGGAATATTTTTCGTCAAGGAAGATTCACATTTGCTTCTTCTTGATAGGTTGGGATACTACCACACTGAAGCCATGCTATTAAATTTCCCCAAGTATAGATTCTCTTGTCTTTAAGGTAGCATAAATTCAAAGCCCCAACTTGCATTCTTAGTCAGAATATGTTTCTTGATCAAGTCCCTTCACAGATTTGCAAACACTGTATTGCGCATCATTTCATAGACCTATAGGTCCCTCATGTGTCCTAGCCTTCTATATGTGTCTCAAGTAGTCTCAACAACCCCTATCCATTTGTCTGGGCCCAAGACTTAGTCTCTTCTCATTCTAGGTGACTACTAATTTTTGAAATTCTGGTTTCTTAGTATTGGCTTTTGCCCCCTAAGACAGCAACATCTTCTGCATCAGTGTTAAACTATCTGTATAGTTTTAGCTCTTCTTCAATATTTCCAGTGTTCACAAATATTAACTCTCTTGTAAGCTTAGCAATACATCTTAAATTATATTTGTTGTCATTTAGTCAGTATCTGAGTGTTTTATGTTAATGCAAGTCTTTATAGAATGTCTTGTCTGCCATACTGCCAGAAGCAGTTATGTGTTATTACTAGTTTTTAAAATGTATTGTCACCTAAAACTTTACATTTCTGTTGCTATTCCCTGAGCATTTAAAAAAAGAATTTTTTTTCCTCTTGTAAATTTAGTGTTTGGTACCTATTAATTAGACCTATCCTATCCTATTCATTATGATACTTAGGTCTTCTTACCCAGACTTTTTGTCTACTTCATCAGTTATGAAGCAAGAGCAGTGAGTTAATATTTCCTACTATGAATGTTTCTGTATATTACTCTTTGAATTTCTTGTCATTTGTTTTATAAATTTTCATGCTATGTTACTTAGTACAGAAATCTTCACTGTGAACTAACTTTATAGAATACCTTTTTCATGTTATTTAATGTTTTTGCTCTAAATTCATTGCAAGCTCATATTGATTTCAATCCTCTTTTAATGGCAGTCCCTTACAATGCTTTTGCTTATCATTTATTTTCTAATATTTCTTTGCTTACTTTGTTTTCCTCACATACAGACATAGTTAGATTTTAGCCAACTACCCTTAAACCTTTCTGTCTATGCGACAAAAAAAAAGAGAAACTGCTAGGTTGTTTTTTCCTTTTAGAATTTGATAATGGGATAAGGAGCATACTTAGATCTGAAAATAAATTTCAGTATTGATATTCTTCTAATTAGTTTTCTGACTTTTAGCACTTTCAGAAAGCATTGGCTTATATTTTCCCAGAAGTTAGATTAGAAAAATAACACCTTCCCTGTTTATCATTCAAGGTTTCTGAAATATGAATACAGAAAAGCTGCTATGCTTTAAAGTGGTATATTATATATAATATACTACCACTTTCAAAATACATTTTATCTTTCCCTGTTAACTTAATCAGGAAGAGCTAAATTTAATCTCTCATAAATTCATAGCCATTCATGAAACAATCCAGTAACTTCCCCATTTTACTATGTCATAAATCATGGTAGGAAAGCTGTGACCACCACTCTGAACCACCAGAAAGTAAGACTGCTTTGAGTATAAGAGACACAGCCATGCAATGTGTCCATTGCATGATAATTGGTGAATTGTTTCTGTGTTACTGATTAAATTGGAAAAAATACATTTTGAGGCATTTCTTTATTCCAGATACTAATTCTGATTTATGTTTTTGGAGTATTTTATTTGTATTGTCTGAGGGTCTTCCTGTAAAAATGTTTTGACATCTTACTTCTGTATGTTTTATGCCACTGATTTCTTATACAATGTTCTTATGATTCATGGTTTCCATCTTAAGTCCTTGTTGTTCTTTCCCTCACAAATATATTGTGCTCGCTTTATGTTTCTGCCTAGAGAATACTATGTGAATACATGTGGTTTCTGGTATATTTCTTAGGCTATTTACCGAAAAATTTATTTTGGCCTTTATTTCATTTCTATAGTCTACGGCCATTGTTATACTCAATAAGGAAGATGGAGTTCAAGGAATTTATTGGCCAAGAAGTTTGAAAATACTGGCCCATGGAAGGCCTATATAATTTTTTCATTATCCCTCCCCCAAGATATCTGTGGCCAAGAATTCCAGGGTAGATATTAGGGAGGTAAATTGCAACTTAGTCAACGAGAGTTATGAAATCTAACACAGAAACATTGGAAAAATGATTATATTTTTGAAACTTTTAAGCCTGTTATAAATTACAGTTTTACAGAAAAGCACAATCTAATTTCAATTTACCTTTCTGCTGGGCAAAAGAAAACAAAGTAAGCACGCAGAAATAAGTCTGGATGTTTCTAGTCTTTCTTCCCCCCATGAAATGGAGTTTTCTTCTCTAAAATTGGAAGCATTTTCTAACAGATTTTCTGTCAACATTTAAACAGAGTTGCAGGTTAACAATCCAGGAAGTCCTGTGTGATCATAGAATACTTGAGTCAGAAAGGTTAGGCCTGAAAGGACCTTTGGGTGTCATTTAGCCCAGTCTTCTAGATGGCAAACCTGAGGTAAATTATTAATAAAGAAAAGTTTGTGGTTAGATTTCTAAAGAAATCTTTATGAGAAAAATATTTATAAGGAAGCATATTGTAATTTGTGAGAAATGTACAAGTATGTGAACAAGGATTTAGACATCCAGTTCTTAATTGTCTGCTCCATTCCAATTTACTTTTCCTAGTACACAAGAAAGCCAAAGTCAACGGAAATTGTAACAGCAGGAAAAGAAACCATCATCTAAGAAATCTGATCACAAGTTTAATCCCCCAACTACTATAGACTTGGATCACAGATGTTTTTAGTACTTCCAGGGAGGTTGTGCCTAACACATTTCTCTCAAGCTGATAAAGGCTCACAGTTTATTTATTTTAGAAAAACATTCTAAAATAAATCATGTTATGGCACTACAGCAAAACAATATTCTTTTGAAGTGGGGAAAGTTTTGTAATGGGCCTCCTGAGTCTCTTTCCCACATGGACTCTTAGCACCATTAGTAAGGCATCATTCTTTCAGATGACAGGAAAATGCTTATGCTGGTGGACTTGTGGCACCTTAGTTCCCATGTTTCTGTTAGAGGTTGAAGTTGCTTGATGAATTACAGAAGTTACATACAGCAATCGATATCTACAATATGATAGGAGAAACATACAATGGTGGTTATTCATGGTAATATAGGGAGAGACTCTGCTTTTACCATTTCTGCTGTTAACTTAGTAAGTGGCTCTTTGCACTCTGTAGACAGATGCCCATGAGTCAACCACTTCTGCCTTAAATCTCACCCTGAAAATCACTTTGAAACAAGCTTTTAAAAACAGATAGGAGTGTATTAGTCTGTTTTCACACTGCTACAAAGAACTGCCTGAGACTGGGTAATTTATAAAGGAAAGAGGTTTAATTGACTCACAATTCAGCATGACTGGGAGGCCTCAGGAGACTTACAATCATGTTGGAAGGGGAAGGGGAAGCAAGACACCTTCTTTACAAGGCAGCAGGAAGGAGAAGAGTAGCAGAGTGAAGGGGGAAGAGCCCCTTATAAAACCATCATATCTCATGAGAACTCACTCATTATCATGAGTACAGCATGGGGGAGGCCACCTCCATGATCCAGTCACCTCCACCTGGTCTCTCCCTTGACACGTGGGGATTATTGGGATTATGGGGACTACATTTCAAGATAAAATTTAGGAGAGGACACAAAACCTAATGATATCATTCCACCCTGACCCCTCCCAAATCTCATGTACTTTTCACATTTCAAAACACAATCATGCCTTCCCAATAGGTCCCCAAAGTCTTAATTGCAGCATTAAACCAAAAGTCCAAGTCCAAAGTCTCATCTGAGATAAGGCAAGTCCCTTCTGCTTATGAGCTTATAAAATCAAAAGCAAGTTAGTTACTTCCTAGATACAATGGGGGTACAGGCATTGGGTAAATACCCATTCCAAATGGGATAAATTGGCCAAAATGAAGGGCTACAGGCCCATGCAAGTCCAAAGTTCAATAAGGCAGTCATTCAACCTTAAAGTTCCAAAATAATCTCCTTTGACTCCATGTCTCACATCCAGGTCACACTGACACAAGAGATGAGTTCCCATGGCCTTGGGAAGCTCCAACCCTGTGGCTTTGCAGGGTACAGCCCTCCTCCTGGCTGCTTTCATGGGCTGATATGGAGTGTCTGCAGCTTTTCCAGGTGCACAGTACAAGCTGTCAGTGGATCTACCATTCTGTGGTATGGAGGACAATGACCCTCTTCTCACAGCTCCACTAGGTGGTGCCTCAGTGGGGATTCTGTCAGGGGCTTCAACCCCACTTTTCCCTTCTGCACTGCTCTAACAGAGGTTCTCCACAAGGGCTCCACACCGGCTGCAAGCTTCTGCCTGGACATCCAGGCATTTCCATACAACCTCTGAAATCGAGGCAAAGGTTCCCAAACCTCAGTTCTTGACTTCTGTGCACCCACAGGCCCAACACCATGTGTAAGCTGCCAAGGCATGGGGCTTGCACCCTCTGAAGCAACGGCCTGAGCTGTACATTGGCCCCTTCTAGCCACAGCTGGGTCACAGGGCACCAAGTCCTGAGGCTACACAAAGCAGTAAGGCCCTGGGCCCAGCCCAATAAACTATTTTTTCCTCCTAGGCCTCCCAGCTTTTGATGGGAGGGGCTGCCATAATGGCCACTGACATGCCCTGGAGGCATTTTCCCCATTGTCTTGGTGATTACCATTTGGCGCCTTGTTACTTATGCTAATTTCTGTAGCCGGCTTGAATTTCTCCTCAGAAAATGGGCTCTTCTTTTCTATTGCATGCTCAGGCTGCAAATTTGCCAAGCTTTTATGTTCTGCTTCCCTTTTAAATATAAGTTCCAATTTCAGATCATCTCTCTCAAGTTCAAAGTTCCACAGGTCTCCAGGGCAGGACAAAATGCTCCTAGTCTCTTTGCTAAAGCATAGCAAGAGCAACCTTTGCTCCAGTTCCCAAGAAGTTCCTCATCTCCATCTGAGACCACTTCTGCCTGGACTTCATTGTCCATATCATTATCAGCATTTGGCCAAAGCCATTCAACAAGTCTCTAGGAAACTCCAAACCTTCCCACATCTCCTGTTTTCTTCTGAGCTTTCCCTCCAAACTGTTCCAACCTCTGTCTGTTACCTAGTTCCAAAGTCATTTCCACATCTTTGGATATCTTCATAGCAGCAACCCACTCTCTGTGGTATCAATTTACATTATTAGTTCATTTTAATACTGCTATAAAGAACTGCCTGAGACTGGGTAACTTATAAAGAAAGCATTTTAATTGACTGACAGTTCAGCATGGCCAGGGCGGCCTCAGAAAATTTACAATCATGGCAGAAGGTGAAGGGATAGCAAGGCACCTTCTTCACGAGGCAGCAGAAAGGTGAAGAGTGGCAGAGTGAAGGAAGAATAGCCTCTTACAAAACCATCAGATCTCATGAGAACTCACTATCACAAGAACAGCATGGGGGAAACCACCCCCATGATCCAATCACCTCTACCTGTTCTCTTGACATATGGGGATTATGGGGATTACAATTCCCCCCATGATCCAATCACATCCACCTGATCTACCTTGACACGTGGGGATTATGGGGATTACAATTCAAGATGAGATTTGGGTGGGGCCACAGATCCTAACCATATCAAGGAGCAACAGAAATTTCCAATAATCTTGAAAGTTTAGGCAATGCTGTGGAATGGGCAACTTCTACCTTAAAGAGCTGTGACCTGGATTTTTATTTGTCTTACTTGTTTCTATTCCCCCTTTGTTATTTTCTCTCCCTTTAGTATAGTCATATCTAGTATTATTCTAGGAAACACTCCCACCTCTCCATTAAACATATTCTTTGAAAAAAATGTAGTAGACCATTTACCCTGAAGTATAATGGACAGATAGTTTATTGTGCCAACCTCCCTAAAGGGAGGGGATTATTTTAAACAAGCAATGTTAAAAATCCTTTTAAGTATCACAGTACCCCAGATTATAACTGCTTACTACTAAATCAACAATGCTACTAACACACCAAAGTTGAGTATTAATAAGTAAAAGGGATCTAATAAACAAAAAATACTCTTTTTAGTATGAATCTGAAAAATCAACAACCAAAAAACAAAAAAAAAAGAAAGAAAGAAAAACTTCAGGAATACACTCATTCTCTGGAATCAAAGTTCAGTCTCACCCCTTTTATTTCTAGAATGAACAGTCTCAAGAAATGTCTATAATGGGCTCTGAGATGAGGTCAAGAATGAGGCCACATGCACTGTTCCCCATTTCTGGCTGTGAAATGTGCTATAATTCACATACATCTCTCCCCACAGAGGTCTAAGGTGAAGGAAGCTATATTTTGATACAGTACTTTGGGATATAAAACAAGTATGGAAAATACGACCAAAGATATTTAGCTCAATAAATTAGTTCTTCTCTGAACTCTCCCTTAAGAAGTAAATAACTATGTATTAGATATGCTTTATGTTCCTAAAAGCTTAGTTTGCTGACTCTAAGTGGAAACTATATACATTGTTCTTTATGGTACTTTTATACAAGAAAGTATAAATAATTTCCCAACACTAGTTCATTAATCCTTGAACACCTCATCAGGGGGATGGTGAGGAGGAGGGCGAGGAGTATGAGAAACACATGATAAATGTGCTCAGTGGGGTGGTTAAGTTTCCTAGTACTGATTTTATTTTTGTCTTGAAACATAAAATAGTGCATGAGTCCTGCTTGAACTAAGAGTAGGAACAAGAACAGCCCCTTACTGCTAGCTTTGAACAAGTCACTTTGATCCCTATGTCTGAGCTACACACACCTCTGAAATAGCAGGGTTTTGTAAAATATGTCCAAATTTCATCAGGCTTTGATATGTTCAGATGAACTAAATTATTGCAAAGGCACTTGGCCCCATAAGGTGATCTCAAATGGCTACCAAAACTTCATCTTAAAATACGCATGGAAATTATAAAATACTGTCCCATAGAAAGGTCAATTTGTTGCTAGATCCACAAATTCTAATATTCCCAAACACTAGCACAATGCAGACTACGTAATTTGCAGGCAGGATACAAAATGAAAATGAGAAGTCCCTTGTCCAGAGAGCAGAAAGGAAGCTTTTCCTTTCTTTGGCAGTCTCGTCCTTGACCTATCATGGTGTTTTGCGTTTGCTCTAGTACTGCACTCCCTCAGACATGCCTAGTTCCATTCTTTACAGAGATCCAATATGGTGTGAGCTGCTTGAGCTTCAGCTCCTGCCCACTACTCTAACTTCACATTTCCCCGTCCATGGATATCCCACTATATGTTTCAAGATAAATTTCAAAATCAAAATTATTATTTCAGTATACTTTAAAAGCATTTATGTATGTTAGAGAGGGGAAGAATATGTCCTTCTACTCAACTACTCCATCAGGGAAAACTTCTACCCAAACTTCAAAAATGCAAATTTTAAAAACCAAATGAAAACGCTGATTGGAATTATGTGCTATAAGACATGAATTAGTACCTTACATTTGATAACTGAACAGAAGCCTTAACTATCTGAATTAGTTAAGTTTCTGAATAATTTTCTCTGTTTTGTTTGTTGTTGTATTAACACATGAAAGAGCCCTGAGTCCTTAGATCACCCCTGGGAGGGTGACTTACTATAAAACATAGAAGTTATTTTCTCCCACTCAGGGTAAACATGTCCTTGGTGTGTCTAAGATCTGGGTTCTCACTCCTGTGGGACATCAGGCATGTCCCAGGTCCCATCCCTTTGGAGAAGAGTTATAATTAGATTCACATTCCTTTGAAAGGCCCAGCAGACCTGGTCCAGGAGTGGTCTCACAGAACACTGGTGCAGGGTAGATAAGCAATATAGGCAGAGGGAGCCACAAGGGTGACTCGAGATGCCCACAATAGGTAGCAGTTGCATGGGCCGGGGGACATAAAACTGGTTATAATTAAATTGGGGAAACTAGCCTGAGTATTATACAACAGTTCATATTTGTTTTATTATGGTAGCTCTTCACATTTGAACTAAATTCTCACTATCTGAACCCAGAAGCTGAAAAAATTCAGAAAATGAAGAAGTACACACCCACAAGGATGAAGTGCTTTGTCCACCTCCCATAAGAAGGAAGTGGCTGAGGCTATCCCAGAACCTAAAGCTTATTATTTTAAGTCTGTTTATATGCACAGGAGATAAGATTTCATGACTTTTCTCTGAGTAAACATTATACGACAGAAGCTAAGTGCTGCTACAATCACTACAATTGCTGAATTGCTGTCCATCTTTTACAAATGATAGATAAGGCTCATTTATCATTTAGTCATTTATTTTACATACCTCTGTTTTCTTCTCAGGTGTCTGCATCATTCCCAATATTATCATTATAAGGATATACATAGCAGATTGAAAGCTAATGATAAAGAAGTGTCCATTTAATTTATATTTTGTACATACAAAATATACTTACTTTTATACAGCTTCATCGTCATAAACATTGTTTTCCAACAATAAGTCCAAGTATCTGGTGATTTTTTTTTACCTTCCAAGTGCAGAAATCTTATCTTTAGAGAGCCATATACAAGTGGAGAAGAGTTGGCTATTTGTACAGTGTGACTTAAGAGATTAACAGTACCCCTACTGACATCTAAGAAAGGAGGTGCCATTTCTTCCCAGAGGCTGGACCACTCAACAAGAGAAAGTGGGAAGGAGACAGCAGGCTTCTGTATAAAAAATCAGAGGCAAGTGGAGGAAGCAGTGTTTAGTGAGCCCCAGAACAGGGCAGGTATGGTCCTCAGTCCTTTCCTGCTACCTCATTGAATCCTCAAAACACCTTTCCAGTCTGACAGATGGGGCAAAGGGCAACAGGGGTCTGAGAAGATCATTAATATGCCCAGAGCCATACATAAAGTGAGGGCAGAATAAGAGCATAAATCAATGTATGATTAAATCTCAAGCTCTGCTGTTTCCATCTAATCCTGCTGCTACTTCAACAGCAGCATAAAACACATGTGCGCACGCGCACACACACACGCGCGCACACATTTGCCTAGGAAGCAAAGAAGAGTTCTTGGGGTTTTATTTAGCTTTCTTACAACATCCAATTATCCCAATTTCATTTATCAGATAAGGGGTTGTCCTGTCCTGGAAGACAAAGAGAAGCTGACCCCAAGACAACTAGGTAGAGAATAAATCAGTCTAAATGGAAACGATGATGCCAAGGGGGCCTACAAGGCAGAGGTTCCTCAGCAGATGGAGGTCGGAGGGCCCTAAACACAGTCTTTGCCTTTTCTTCCAGGTGTGGGCTCCAGTCCTTACTGCATTTGATATTTCCACCTACGCATCCCTCCAGCTTCTCCTGTATCCATCCCTTAAGCCCCACAGCATCCAGACCTAGAAATCTTCAAGGGCTCATACCCATATTTCTTTTTAAAAGTTCAACAACAACAAACTCTCAATATGAATATGAACCTTTTATTTCTTCCTGTATGCTCTTTTTCTGTTAGAATCATCCTAAAAATAAAAGGAAACGAAATCAATCCTATTTCATGTTCGGATTTCAGCAATGTGTGAGAATTATTTGAGCCATTTCCTTGTCCTATATAGGGAAATATGTTTTCCATGACATGGTTGGCTGGAACCACATAGGTAAAATAAAATCTTTAAACTACTTCCCTTCAGATCCAGAAATGATGAGCAATTTGACATCCTGTATCCCCCCAACTACAAACTAGAAACCTCTCTGTCAGAAGCTATTCTTGCAATATTATACCTCTAATGTTATGGGAAGTTGTTTGAGGCAAAAGGCAGCCGTAATAATGGGATTGTGTTTTGAAAAAGAGCTGGCTCTAAGGCCATGCTGTAAATGAAAAACATCATAAAAGGAACGTTACCACTCTTAAAAAACAGTGAGACTGCTGGAATAACTCATTGCAGTCTATTTTTATAGTCCCCTAATTCTGTTTTTAAAATCAAATGCAACTCTAAAAAAATAGCTCACTTCAAGTTGGGAAGAAAGCCAAACCTATGCAGTTTATAGAGAACCTCAAATCTTACCTGTTAAAATTCATTCATACAAACAAGCATGTATTGAGTACTAACTATATGTAAAGTATTGAATTAGTTGGTGCAGAGCACTGCCCATGCAGTATTTGATAATCAAGTAGAGGAAATAAGACCTATCCATAAATGAATGATAGAAAGTATAAGGAGCTAAATGCCCTAAGAAGAAAACAAAGGAGTAATGGGAGTGAGAAGTTGGAAAAAATCATTTCTGGCTGTGGGGATTCTGGAAGGTTTTATGAAGGAAGTGCATTTGGGCTAACTCTTGGAGGATGGGGACAAAAAACACCATTGGCAGGAGACACAGCTTGAGAGAAGGCAGACATGTAGTTCATGTCCATAATCCCAGCAGTTTGGGAGGCTGAGGCAGGAGGATTGCTTGAGCCTAGGGAGTTCAAGACCAGCCTGGGCAACAAAGCAAGAATCCATCTCTATAAAAAAATTAAAAAATAAAAACTAGTGCATGCCTGTAGTCTTACCTACTTGGAAGACTGAGACAGGAGAATCACTTAAGCCTGGGAAGTCAAGGCTGCAGTAAGCTATGATCGCACCCCTGCACTGCAGCCTGGGCAACAGAGAGAGACACCATCAAAAAAAAAAAAAAAAAAAATAGGAAAAGAAAACGAAAGAAAAGATATGGCAGATGTGACAGTGTGGAAAGGCAAACAATTTTATTCACCTGGAGTCTGAAATAAATTCTGGAGACAAGGCTAAAAGATAAACTAGGGTATCATCTGGAGAAGACAGGATGGTGAGGCCAGACATGCAGCAAATCACCTAAGCAGAAAGCAGACTAGGAAGTTCTAGTTGGCTGCTTGAGTCACCTGCTTTTAAGGAGAACACAATGGGGACTTACAAATCTAATACATAGTCAAATAATAAATATGAAGGTATGAAAACAATTTTTTGCTTTGGTTGTTATGATGTTCAAAGTTAACTCTGAGGCCCTTCTGTAGCAAAGAAAGAGGACTCGTTGCACTTACTTTGTAAACTCCCTAGTTTCTGGTTTCATCTTAGTTTTCTTAGTCTCATTTTCCTATTTCCCCACATAAAAATATATTTCACATTACAGATTTTTATTATAAAGCAATAATCTAATAAACAGATACAACATAGAGATATAAAAGGACAAAGGAGGGAATGGGAGGGTATGCCTCCAAATGAGTTCATTTTCCAGAAGTTATGTAAGTAACACTTTCCAAACATTATATACTGTTCTATGTAGTATTCCCTAATAATCATTGACTAACAAGTTCTATAATTGCTGAAGCCAGAAGCTTGTCCCATATGTAATTTTATATAGCTCTTGCTCTATAAGTACAAGTGAACATTACTTTATGTAGTACCATGTCTTTTATAAAAGAAGAAGTGAAATTCTTACCATGGCATTGTTAGGCACTGTCAAGCAAAAACGTTTTGTTTTTGTTTTTTTTTTACCAGATTCAAAGCAACAGCCAGATCTACTTCCGCAGTGCCCCAAAATTAATGTCTACAACAGCATTCTGATACTGCCAAGTCAGAACAATCTGGCATGCCCAAACATGACATGACCATTTTAGTAGCAGTGCTGATGGATCATGAACCATGCACTCTAGGACATGAAGGACCTATGCAGCTCCAGCTGATTCATCCTTCATATCCTCCTAAATGAGTGGGTATTTTGTCTTCATTAAGATATAAATCTGAGTACTAAATATTCAAACTTGGATGGAGCAAGGTGGCAGAATAGAAGCCTACACATTTTTAACCCCGACAGGAACATCAAATTTTAACAACATCTGCACACAGAAAAGCACCATCACAAGAAACAAAAATCAGATGAGCAACCATAGTACCTGATTTTAACTTCATATTGCTGAGTCATTCAGGAAGGTCAGAGAGACAGTCTTGAATTCCAATGCCACTGCTTCCTTATCCCCTGGCAGCCGCCAGTCTATGCACCTGGGGGAAAAAGAGCACAGCAACTGAGGGACTTTTTATTGGACTCAGTGCTGCCCTACCATAGTGGAGAGTAAATCTGTGCTGGACTCAGCTGGTTCCCATGCATGGAAGGAACATCTGGACCAGTCCTAGCTAGAGGTGAATCACCCATCCCATCAGTGGGAACTCGAGTTTCTCAGCAAGCCTGGCAACCGCAGGCCAAAGTGCTCTGGGGTCCTAGGTAAACGGAAAGGCAGTCTAGGACACAGAGATTGCAATTCCTAGGCAACTCCTAGTGCTGGGTCAGGCTCAGAGCCACAGGACTACGGTGGCACATGACCTAGGGAGACACCAGCTTGAGGGCTGAAGGAGTGCTTGTGCCATCCCTCCTCCAACCCCAGGCAGTGCAGCTTGCAGCAGTGAAGGTGACTCCTTCCTTCTGCTTACTAGGAGGGAAACAAAGAGTAAAGAAGATTTTGTCTTGCATCTTGGATACCAGCTCAGCTACAGCAGGATAGAACACCAGTGAGAGTCATGAGGTCCGCATCCCAGGCCCTTCTAAACACACCCTGGGCCAGAAGAGAACTTGCTACCTTGAAGAGAAGGACCCAGTCTTGGCAGAATTCATTACCTGTTGACTAAAGAGCCCTTGGACCTGTAATAATCAGCAGCACTACCCAGGGAGTACACCGCGGGCCTTGGGCTCTGAGACATGCTGACTACAGGTGTGACCCAGAACATTCCCAGCTGTGGTGGCTATGGTGCAAGACTCATTCTGTTTGAGAAAAGCAGATGGAAAACTAAAGGGGACTTTTCTTGCACCTCAGAGACCAGCTTGGCCACAATGGGGTAGAGCAACAATCAGGCTCTTGGGACCCCTGAGTATAGGCCTAGGCTCTTGGACAGCATTTCTGGACCTGCACTGGGCCACAGGAAAGCCCACTGCTGTGAAAGCTGAGTCCCAGGCCTGGCAGTATTTACCACAAGCTGACTGAAGAGGTTGGGCTTTAAGTGAACATTGCTAGTGGCCTGGCAGAACCCCTCCATGGGTTGTTGGTGGTGGTGCCCATAGAGAGAGGCTCCCTTGCCTGTGGAAAGAGAAAGAGAAAGGAAGAGCAAGAAGGACTTTATATTGTGGTTTGAGTGCCAGCTTAGCCGCAGAATAGAACATTAGGCAAATTTCTAAAGTTTTTATATTCCAATCCCTGGCTCCCAGACAGCATCTCTGGACATATCCGGGGCCTAGGGGAACTCACTGACCTGAAGGGGAGGATACAAACCTGACTGGCTTTGCCACCTGCTGATTAGAGCACTAAGGCCTTGAGTGAACATAGGTGGAAGCCAAGTGTAGGTACAGCAGGTCCTGGGTAAGATCCAGTGCTGTGCTGGCTTCAGGTCTGACCCAGCACAGCCCCAGTGGTGGTGGCCCCAGGAGTGCTTACATCACCTCACCCCCTATTCCAGGTGGCTCAGCACAGAGAGAGAGACTTCGTTTGGGAAAATGTAAGGGAAAAGAACAAGAGCCTCTGCGTGGTAATCCAGTGAATTCTTCTGGATCTTATACAAGACCACCAAGGTGGTACCTCTACGAGTCCACAAAAACCACAGTGACATTGGGATTGGGGCCCATGTCCCTTTGGATACCTGGAAGCCTTCTCAAGCAGCACAGTCATAAGCCCAGAATGTGACAACTACAATAAAAACCTGACTCTTCAGTGCCCAGACACTGACGAACATCTACAAGCATCAAGATTATCCAGGAAAACATGACTTCACCAAACTAAATAAAGCACCAAATACCAATCCTGAAGAAAGAGACATGTGACCTTTCAGAGAATTCAAAATTGCTGTTTTGAGGAAACTCGAAAGAAATTCAAGATAACACAGAGAAGGAATTCAAAATTCTATCAGATAAATTTAATAAGGAGATTGAAATAATTAAAAAGAATCAAGCAGAAATTCTGGAGTTGAAAAATGCAAGTGACATACTGAAGAATGCATCAGAGTCAAGAGCAAAATTGATCAAGCAGACGAAAGAATTAGTGAGCTTGAAGACAGGCTATTTGAAAATACACAGTGAGAAGAAACAAAAGAAAAAAGAATAAAAAAACAAGGAAGCATGCCAAAAAGATCCAGAAAATAGCCTGTAAAAGAGACAAATATAAGAGTTATTGGACTTAAAGGGGAGGTGGAGAGATAGGGTAGAAAGTTTATTCAGAGGGATAATAGGAGAGAATGTCCCAAACCTAGTGAAAGATATTAACATTCAAGTAGAAGAGAGTTATAGAATACCAAGCATCTTTAACCCAAAGAAGACTACCTCAAAGCATCTTATAATCAAACTCCCAAAAGTCAAAGATAAAGGATCCTAAAAGCAGCAAGAGAAAAAAAATGAATTTTCAAGCCACTCACGTATGCCCCTAATACTTTCTGTTTACTTCAGCATTGCTTTAGTTGTAAACTAGCAAACGTCAGGGATTATATCTATTTAACTGTATGCATGCTGAGACAGGTTAAAAGTAAATATGAAACCAATGACCAAGTGGTTTGCCTTGTTCTAGTTGAAACATTGTTGTATCCATGTGAAGCAGTAAGAATGAAAATAAAAAGCAGGGATAATTAGAGTTGAAGTTCCTCTAGCTCTATAAATATTTGCTATGTGCATTGGGAAGAGATAGTTGATTACACACATGGTCGGCTGGTTGGCTGTTCTACCTATTGCACAGTATCTTCACAGCTATTGAAATAGATGCTTAGTTGTGAAATACATGCCTGCACCCTGGGTGTGTATGAGAGAATAGGGGGAGTGTAATGTACTCCTATACCAGCCTACCCAGGGGCGCAAAGATAATCCCTACTTTTAAACATGGATACATTTCCTTAAGTGATTTTCTTGCATTTTCTTGCATATAGATTCTTCAGCCAATATCGTCCCCAAAAAAGTAATATCAAAAAAATAAAAGCAGGAAGCTTTCACATTTCTACCTGCATTAACATGGCAGAACACAATAGTTTTGAAACTGTTTCTGCTTAATAAACACCCACATTTGCATTTGAAGAGTACCTCAGGGTGCCATAAAGTCAATACAGCATAGATAATTCTGAAGCCAACCCTTCTCCTTCTCTGAAAGGTCTTTTGACTATAAAAACCAATTTTAATAAAAGGTATCTGTGTCCATTACACAATATACTTCATTATAACATGTTTGTCCAGAAGACCAACTTTAAGAAATTCACAATACATTAATTATTAGCCATGACTGAGTACAAAAAAAAAATCATGTGCTCACGGCTCTTCTAACAATGGGTAAAAACAAGAAATGGAATTAAGTTAATGTAGGATAATTCCTTAGTTGCCCATCTACTCTGGTCATTGTAGGAAGAATGGGGTTAAAAATGAAGGTCTTCTCATAATCTGTTAAAGACACTAACAAAGATATTGAAGAGAAAGCCACACAGGGAACACTTTTGGCTAGAAGTAATAAGATTAAATGACAGTACTCTAAATGAAACTCCAGAAATGTCTCTGTTCATAGCAGGAGATGGAAAAAACTAGGATCCTTCATCCAACATGCCCCAAACTAAGATTATCAGCTCATCTGAAGTGACGAAGCTCATTGTATCAGTCCATTTTCACACTGCTGTAAAGAACTGCCTGAGACTGACTAATTTATAAAGGAAAGAGGTTTAATTGACTCCCAGTTCAGCATGGCTGGAGAGGCCTCAGGAAACTTACAATCATGGTGGAAGGTGAAGGGGAAGCAAGGCACCGTCTTCACAGGAAGGAGAAGTGCAGAGTGAAGGGTGAAGAGCCCCTTATGAAACCATCAGATCTTGTGAGAACTCACTATCAGAAGAACAGTATGGGGAAAACCACCCCCCATGATTCAATTACCTCCACGTGGTCTCTCCCTTGATACGTGGGGATTATGGGGGTTACAATTCAAGATGAGATTTGGATGGGGACACAAACCCTAACCATATCACTTTTAAATGGTGAAAATTTATAAAGCACACATTAATATCAGAAATTTAATGTGTTTGCAATTAGAGCTATTCTTCCACATTTTTGAAATATTACTTCTTCAGAGAGGCCTTTCTTTACCACCCTATCCAAAAGTAGCTACTTCCTTCCATCTTAGTCTTGAAAACCTCTTTTACTTTTCCTCATAACATTTATCTACCACTGACATTTGTATGCTTTTTATGTTTAGTGTGTGTCTTCCAATTAGTTTGTAACTTCCAGGACAGTGAGGATTTTACCTGTTTGCTGTGCCTAGAACAGTGCCTGGCACATAATAGGCACTCAATATTTGTTAAGTGAGTGGATGAATTAATCAAATTGAACAGGAATTAGGTCAATAGGAGTCTCTCCCTCCTTGTCTCCCACTGTGAATTCCTCCAACCGTGAGGGCAGTGGGGCACCTAGTCCCTAAGGAGTGCTCTGTAACTATTTTGGAGGTGACTGGTGTATAGACTTCCTACCACTCCTGTAACAAATTATCATAAATTCTGTGGCTTAAAACAACACAAACATTATTTTACAGTTCTGTGATCCAGAAGTCTAAAATCAATCCACAAGCTGAAAATCAAGGTGTTGGCAGGGCTTAATTCTTTTCTGTAGCTCTAAGGTGCGTCTGTTTCTCACCCAGCTTCTAGAGGCTGCCTGAACTCCTTGGCTGGTGACTCTCTTCCACAGAGCAAGTCCTTCTCACATCTCATTCTTCTGACCCTGTTTCTGTGATCACATCTCCGACTCTCTTCAGCCTCCCTCTTCCACTTTTAAGGACCCTTGTGATTATGTCAGGTCCACCTGGATCATCCAGGATAATCTCATCATCTCAAGATCAACTGATTCGTAACCTTAATTCCCACCTGCCATGTAACATTCATACTCACGGGTTCTGAGGATTAGGATGTAGACTCCTTTGAGGGGCCATTCTTCTGGTGGGTCAATGAGTTGGTGAGTAAAAAAGCAAGTGAGATCTGAGAGAGTGAGTGCATGCACCCACAAGCCAGTGAAAAGACTGAACTACACCGTGGCTGAGTAGGTTATATAAGGCTGGATTAGCAAGGCCTAAAATACTCAAAGATGTTTTGTTGTTGTTTGTTTTTTTGTTTGTGTTTTTTTTTTTTTTTTTTTTTGAGACTGAGTTTCAGTCTTGTTTCCCAGGCTGGAGTGCAGTGGTGTGTTCTCGGCTCACTGCAACCCCTGCCTCCAAGATTCAAGTGATTCTCCTCCCTCAATCTCCTGAGTAGCTGGTATTACAGGTGCGCACCACCAAACCTGGCTAATTTTTGTATTTTTTTTTTTTTAGTGGAGACGGGGTTTCACCATGTTGGCCAGGCTGGTCTCGAACTCCTGACCTCAGATGATCCACCCACCTCAGCCTCCCAAAGTGCTGGGATTACAGACGTGAGCCACTGCGCCCTGCCCAAAGATGTTTTTACTTAAAAAGGAGACACGGGCAATCCCTGAATCCACTTTTGGTCAAGGAATGAGATAATGAAATCTGAGTTTCCCAAACACTAGTCAGTGTTAGATACTTCAGAGAGAAATGGAACTAGAGGCAGTGAGACCAGAGAGGAAGAAGGTGTGAAGAGACTTGGACATAAGAGAGATGGGTCTGAACTAGGGAAAAGAAGAGGATCAATGTGAGACATTCTCCAGAAAATGACTGAGTGATGATGGGGGACCAAAGAGACACAAGTCAACGATGTCTACAAGACTTTGAGCCTAGGAGATTGATGAAGAGACCAAGAAGTAGAAAGTGGAACTAGCGTTCAGACATGAAAGGTATTTGGCTCTTGGAACTTGAGGTGACAAGATCTCTAGTTCAGTTTCTAGCCAACCAAAATTTGGATAAAACGTCAGGGCAGAAAACCATCACTTTAGACTTGGAAGTAAATAATAGTCCCCAAGAGGTAATGTGATGATAAAGAAGCTTCCTGGCCTAGCTGCAGCCAGTCATCTTGAGTTTGGTTTACTTGGAATGAATCTCACCTGCATTCTAAGCTCTTCACTCCATTGTCTACCATGCCTGCTCTCACAGCTCAGCACAGTCATCACAGACACCTGTAGATGGGCCATTCTTAAGGAACAGTCACCTGTGCTCTGATTTCTGGTGCTCAGCCATATCTTGATATCCTCCTGGGCTCCAGCCAAGTTCAAATGAAAGTTTGGGTTATTAATTTCTGTTTCTGATCTCTGACCACTGTCACAGATGTCCCTAAGCCCTTGTTAGAACTCCTGTGTGTGAATCCTTGCTGTTTCTTGCATCTACGGAATGCTTTTTCCCTGACCTCTCTTTAAACTTTATGGACTTTCTGCCGTTATGATCTCTAGTGCTTCATCATGGTTTTTCCCACTATTTGCCTGTACCTTGATTTTCTTATCCCGTATTTACTATGATCTGGAGGTAACTCAGCTCCCTGCAATGCATAGAACAAAACTCCCAATCAGTATGCAGAAGCACATGGATGTGCCCCATTGGGTTACAGGTGTGCCAAGAGATTGCTATCCTCAGACCACATTCCCATCACCTTCAGAATCAGGCAGCCTCATCTGGGAACCCCCACGTGCCACACAATTATCATCACTTTCAGCACTATAAAGCACGAGTCTGTAGTAAAGATTGTAGAGAGGATGAAGAGCAGAAAGTAAAGTCAGAGGGGAGAGAAAGAACCAGGAAATAGAGTGTCATGGAAGCCAAAGGAGAAAGACATTTCAAGAAAAAGGAGGAGGCAGTAGTGTCAACTGCAGCAGAGCGGCCAAGAAGAATGAAGACTAAGAAAAGGCCACTGGGTCTATAATTTTGTAAGTTCATTTTTCATGTCAAGCAAACAGTAGATTCAAAAAGGAAGTGTAGGGCTAAAGGGAGCTAGAAAAAAGGTCAACTTGATGCCTGAAGAAGCAAAAGAATGTTAAAAGGTATCAGTAATGCTTTACTAGTAAGTCCCAAAAATATGCCAGAAAACTTAAAGCTATCTTCAACTAGCAATAACATAACTAACAGAAATCATTTACATAACTGAGGCAGCTTATTAAGCCAACCATAACCGTCAACATTTGTTTAAGTATCTCAAAACAAAAAGGAATGAGAGGCAAGAGCTTAAGATACATAAAAATTAATCCAATTCACAATCAAATGGAAATGCCATGGGCCCAGAGAACATTTATGTGTGGGATTTTGTTTCAAGACCCTAAATTTAACAAGCTGAAATTAAGTACCATGGCATTCAACAGTTAGAAATAAGGAACTTCCCTTTAATGGGATATTTTCATTTCATTTTTAAAATGAAGAAGAAAATAGGAACAAAGCATCCTTAGTCTCCAGAGAAGCAAGTATTTCTTGTGCTATAAAGATAAGCTTTGTAATGGGGTAGAAGGGAATTGAAGTTATCCCTTCTCAGCCTGCTTCACAGTCCCATCCAGGCATTCCAACCCAGACCATGTTTCTTGCTTGCAAATGGAGGCTTGATGCTGCAAGTTGTACAGGCAGCTATGTAAGCATGAGTGAGATTACATGTCTTTGGGAAAAAAACCAACTCATATTTGCAACCTGCATCTCAGTACACAGGAGTGTTTTATTAAACACCCAGTTGCCTGTCTCCAATGGGAGGCAGAATGATAAAACAGAATTGAGTAAGAGCTTTGGATTCAGACAGAACTGAGTTCAAATATTGACTTCAATACTTAACTGCGTGATCTTGGGCAAATTACTCTCCCCAGATCTAGGTGTAGCACTTTTAATATCTAACTTAGAGTGTTACTGTGAGTGTTACTGTATATAAATGGCTTAGCACACAGTTATTTGTACTGGTTCTTACCCCCTCCTTCACCTTAATCCATTTTCCACTCCTGTTCCCTGTAGAACCATTTTTCAACCTTGGCCCGCCTCCTCTGACCTGACCTCTGTCCTCTTCAGCCCCATGTTCTGAATGGTTTAGGGCTTTCCAGTAGGCCTCTCATACTCTGGCCCCAGCTGACATTTCAGTCTGAAGATCTACTAGGAGTTGGCTCTCTGGGAAGCTAAGTATCAAGGGAGACAAAATACCAAGAAAAGAGCAGTTAAATGACGTACACACCAATGCCCATTCAACTAGAATTGCTGGAATGAAACCAGCGTCACTCAGTGAATGAGCAGGACAGTTTTCAGCAACCCAAGTTGCAGTCAAAAACCCAAGCAATGCAGTCTTTTATTATCTGGAAAGGTACTCTGGCCAGCTTGTATCTCCCAAGTCACTGCAGTAAGCAACCTTGCAAACCTAATAAAACTTCAAAAGACCCAATAAACTTAGGGGAAAATAAGTCTCCTGATATACATCACATCGTTCTCACTGGGCTTGGCTTTCCTCATCTTAGTGCAAACTCTCAAAGAATTGATCTAAGACTTGATTACTTGATTACCTAGAAGCAAAGAAACAACATGGAAAAATGTTAACTCATTTTTCACCTTCTTATGTATTAAATTTATTACTGAAAATATCAACTGATGACAGGAAAAAAGTTAGAGGAAAATGTGACTGGATCAATTCAAATACAGGGTAAAGCAAAGCTACTTTGCCACATATGATCAAGCAATGAAACTGAGCTCTCTGTAAAGTTTTAACTTCCTGCTTGCTTTAAGGAAATTTAACAACACATTCAGAAAACACCTTAAATCAGTAATAAGTAGCTCAAATTGTAAAAACTGATGGAAGAGAATGTGCTTTAAATCCTATTCCCAAAAGCTTGAACTCTTTTGAACCATTTCAGTAATTTAATTAAGAAATCTATTAGTGATAAACTAACACATTCTTAAGTCAGATTAACAGTACTCAGGACATAACCATGATTGATGGCTGTTGGGTAACACAAAGATCATTCCTAGAGAGAAGATATTATTCTGAAGTAGCCTCTTAGATCATGTACCCAGGGTTGTGATTCTAGGTTCAAAAGATTTATAACTATACATATCTTACAAATAAAAATAAGACAAGGAGAATAATAGAAAAACAGAAAGTCAGTGTTAGAGGAAGTCTAGAATTGAACGCTTACGATCATTGAGGAGGAGACTGAGGCCTCAAACTTGCCCAGTAACACAACCAGTTATTGGCGAAATCACAACTAACAGGTGTTCTACTGACACCTGGTCCAGGCTGTGGATGTGTCATATTGTTACTACCGCATGGCTCAGGCAACATCTAATGACTGGGGTCTCTGCTGAGTCTGCTGGCTCAGCCAGTCAGTCCATGTAGGGTTCAGTCACAAATCCCCAGTCTATTCAAAGCCTGGCCTGCCTTGTCCATCTGTCAGCTCAGACAGTCATGGGGTTTTCATGATATACCAACCAGTCTATGGCAGAAATGAAATAGCAAAGTCCCACTGATTAAAATTTAAAAACACTAATATCCATTATTTAAAAATCAAATTATACAGAATATTTAAAAAAGGAAAGTTTTCTGTCGTACTCCCCATTCTGAGTTCTGCTACTCTTTGGAGTCACAGTTTAGTCATTGGTGGTCATAAATATGTCCAATGTCTCTTTCATGATTTCTCAATTATAGATATTAACTTTTTGACTCAGTGATACAAAAGCTGAGAAAATTACCTTAATTATATTTTCTCCCTTTCCCTCCCCAACAGGTGTTATTAGCACTATTATTTTTAGTTTTTCTACTGCTTAACTTTATAACTTTAAATAAGATCTCTAAGCCTTCATATGTTATTTCATTAGCTTTTAATTTTCTCTCTTGACCATCCATTACATTAGATGAAGAGATTACAGCCCCACCCTACATCACATCTCCTGCCTACCATCTATTCCTACCTCCTGACTTCTGTCAACTTGACCATTACTTTCACTTCACAGGGTTTATAGCATTCACATTCTGTTCTGTAACTATAGTTTAATATTCAATGTTTTGTTTGTAGGCTGATGTTAAAAAGTGATATTCAGTTGAAATAGCACTCAAATATTTTGATGATGATTATTTTTCACTACAGAAACAAGGCATGTCATTGGACCTGAAGAGAATGAAACACATTCTTAACAGCACCAAATCTCCAGGGAGAATGATGCAGTGTGAGCATTTGAGTACTGAGGCACCCCAGTCTCAGAAGAGCATTAGCATTAGAGCCCACTAAGAAAATCTTCCTTGTGATAATTATCTAGGAAAAAAAAAGCTTCTTACTGCCTCAGTATATTTTAATGTTCAGCAGACATACAAAACTCTGCTCACTGCAGCCAAATCTAGCTGCAGATATTTAAAGCAATATCTCAGATTTTGCATAAACAAATTAAAGTTTATAGCAAAAGAACTGCAACAAAAAGCGGGAGCTCATATTCTACAAAGGGCTTGTACCTTCAAGTTCAACTTCTGTTTTTGCTAAATAAATCATTGTGAATACATCAATATATTCCCTGAGCCTCAGTTTCCTCATCTTAAAAAATGAGGTTAAAACCACCCTTCACATAGGCACATTGTGAGGATTAAGTTAGAAAATATATGGAAAAATGTATCACAAATTATAAATTGCTATGCAAGCACAGGTATTATAAGGAGCACAGGATGCTGCTTCCAACAAAATTGAAATGCAGTACAGATGCCTAACATCAAGTTAAGGCCATTTGGAGATAAAACAATCAAAATAGTAGGTGCACAAATTGGTGTTACATTCCAGGCAGGAATTTAAAACTGCTCAACTTGACATTAAGAAACCTGCTGTTTTAGATAACTTATTCAATACATCAATAATTTTATGCAAGACACAGACTCAGCAAGGAGCCTTGTTCCTCCCTGCTGATTGTCAAGGACAGTAGTTGCAAGAACTACCAAATGGAGCATTTCATTGGTCAAGAGAGGACAAAATAAAAATGGGCTTTAAGGTTTTGTGTCATGAACCTACACCTGAGTCCATGTCAATAGTAAAGAATGAACTCAGAGATCATTTCAAGTCTCTTCAAAGAGAATTTTTAAATGTCTAGAAATGTAGGTTTGTTGAAAACACCGTTAGTGCAGCTCTTTGGACAGTCTTCCCAAATGTTAATAACAATCCCTTTTATCAGTTCCAACACATACAATACACAATCCTACAGGGTTGCTAGAGTATCATTCTAATTCAAAGGACTATGAAGACCAAAGAATCAGATCCAATTACCCTAGGGATGTAAAAGTGAATCCTAGGTCTAATGATAGAATTATCTATGGCATAGGTTACTTTGTATTCCACTAAGAACCCCCAGTTCCAAGAAAAGAGAATACCGAAGAATATTATTCCTCCAACTCAGGGGGAAAAAAAAAAATTTTAACTTAAGGGTTCCATGTCAGTGCTAAGAGTTTTCCTTCCGTATGTGCCTTTTCGTAAGGTTAATACAGACAACCCTGGGGACAGAAATCATTAAGCTCTTTCTAGGGTCTGCTGAGACCAAAATATGCCCAAGAAACATCTGCATACCAATAAGCCAGTTGCCATCCAGTGCAGGAAGATCGGACTCATTAGAACTACAAACCTGCTGAACTCTGGTCATCTTCATTCATATTAAGAGGATGTCTCTTTTACCCTTTATGGCAACTGGATTTTTCCTCAGCTGTTGATGAGAAGAATCTCCGTCTTTATTGAGTAGATATTTCCCTCAAGTGTTGCTCTCCTTAATGGCAATTTTACCCTATTATGTGTATTTCCCAGGGAGCCAAAGAATGTTAATGAATGTCAAGCCCACATTTCTCTCAGTGGCTGGATTTCCAAATGTGGTTAGAGCAGTGGACTGCTGCAAGCGCTGATGCTAATCAGGCTCCATCTGCACAGGAGGCTGCTTGCAGAAACAGACAATTATTTTGCTCCGTGCAGGGCTGCTTGGGGAGGGGGAGCAGCTGCAGAGAAGTAAATTCCCAGGGCTTAGGATGATTAGGGCCCCCCCAAAGTACACTTAAGTCTTTGAAATAAATACCAAAAAAAAAAGTTTCCAAAAAGCATGAAAAGAAAATCTTACTCTTTGGGTCCCTTTACCATTTATTTCAAAGCCTTTCCATCAGAGGAAATATTTCTCTCCAACTGATTCAGGGACGAGGGCCCAGGCATGGAGAGCTATCCCACTGAGTACTCAGTAGTAGGGGAGTAGCTTTCCCTTTCAACTAAATGAAGAAGTTCTGGAAAAGGAAGCCACAGAAAATGCTGTGCCATTGACACTTGAGAGTGAAGAATATTAAATATCTCACCCGTTGAGTAATCGTTTCTCTACTGCAGTGTGCCCAAGGGGGGAAGTCATAAATGAATTACTGATCATCATAGGAATGTTGAATTTACAAACCACCAGACATGCTCTCTGGTGGCCTCAGTTCCTCAAATGGACAAATTTATGGCTCTTTAGATACTGGGAAACTCTAGCCCAAGTAATCATTTGACATCATTATTTTGATGTTGAGAAAATAATAGATGATTGTGCTTCTCATGTTTCACCTCAAGCCTTGAAATAATTTGAGGGAGGAGAGGGACACATGCACGCCACCAGACTGCAGGGATCACAGAGGCAATCTGATAACTGCAATGTTGGATAATCTAAAGTGCTGCCCGTTTCACCACATACCACTTCAATACGAGTTTGACTAACAGAAAAGAGCAATTGTCACATCATCCCTCGACCCTCAGAAATTCCTAACACACTATTTTGGGTTCCTGAAGAAGAAGCAAGATCAGACCAGAGTGCCAGGGTTTTTGTTCAATTTGGAAATTTCTAAAAGCCTCGTGTGAGCCTCAAAGAGGAGAACCCTTGGAAGGTCAGGGACTTGGCCCGTCCTAGGTCAGTGAGGCATTCATTAGCTTTTAATTTTCTCTCTTGACCATCCATTACATTCTGGAAAACCAGGGCAGAGCTGGAGCAGCACAGAGGCTTTCCTACATTCTGCAGTTTCCCTGGTGCCCCCAGATGCTCCTGAAATAAGGCAAAATCCTTACAGGGCACAGCTTTTACTGGTGCTCCAGAAAAGACTAGAATCCCCAATCTACTCCACTCTGAATGATTTGGGGAGAGGCCTAGGGTCAGAGTAACAACTCACTAAGGCAGAAAGAAAGAGAACAGAGAGGTCTCCACACACAGCTGGGTACTTGGCACCACCAAACAGAGACTCAGTTCTGAGATCCACTCAACGTCAGTGAAGGCTTCCCTGCCAAGGAGCCTGCCAAGGCTTTTCCTGAATGACTATTTAGCAAACTGATAAAATTGGCAGGGTTGTATTAACACCTCCTCTGGAAGGATGGACCCGATAGCAGCTGACACAGAAAAGCGGATAGAGGGGGGAAAGATCTGCCCACTAACCAAGAAAGAGGAGAGACTGGAAAGATGACAAACACCTGTAACCTACCCCCTACTCCACCAGCCTTGAATAAGAGCAGAAAGAAATAAAGAAATTAAAGTGAAAATTCGTCCTCCAAGAAACAACAACCGATGAGGAAAATAACTCAATTTGCATGTATAGATAGAAATTATAGAAATGTATTGCTCTGATGTATGGTCCAGAAATACAGAGGGAAATGATGTCACTGCCTACAGCAAGTCTCCTTGCATCCCATGCGGATGACCTGGCCACAGGAAACCCTGGCAGTGTGACAGCACAGACGCTTATCTTAATCTCGATCCCATGAACTCACCTGGCTTTATGCTAACTTCACTTCTGTGCTCTATCCTTAATCCTGAGTGACGGTTGTGGAGCTAGACTAGGAAGCAGACAAAGCTTCTGTGGACTTGATGCAAAATGTTTTAAGAGAACTTTCACTTGAACTGCACTCTGATGTTAAGGTTTAATAATATCTTCCCGTTTGTTGCCTCCTTTAATCCTCACCATAATATTCAGAGGCAATTCTCCTGTCTGTGGGGTAAGGATTACAAGTCTCATTTCTCAGGTTCAAACAATGAAGCAAGGAAAACATAAGTGAGTTTTCTGAGATTACTCAGCTTCTTAGTGACAGCAATGGCATCGGAAACTAGACCATCCAAAGCCCAGTCCCACCCTCTCTCCACCAGCTCATTAGCAACCCAACAAAGAAATCCCCGAGACTCCAATGGGCAATGAAAGCAAGAAAACAAATTAAATGTGAGGTTCCTTATGGTTTTGATGTTTATGTTGTTATGCTTTGTTTTATTTTATGCACAAACAAGAATAGCAAAAAAGGAAACTAAATGGAGGCTGAAGCCTCCTCCTCTGTTAATGTTACAAATGCCATTTGAAATCGGCCTTTACTGCACATAGACTTGGAAGCCACAGCTGACCACTGAACAGTTGACGAGGCATAAGTGAGATGATGCTATAGGGAAAGGCCTAGCCCTAGAGCATGGTGCTTTTGAATTATTAACTGGTTTACTGGTTTTGCATTTCATTTGTCTGGTGGTTCTCCTCCTGTCCTGTCCTGCCTTGCACATTTACAATGTTTCCCCTTTCCTCCCTCGAGTAGCAAGGCCATCTGATACTTGCTTGTTGCACAGAAGAGGAAGCAGCCACTCAGCAGCCCTCCACAAGCCCTTTCCCTCACGCATGCCACAAGGCCTCCTTGGAGGGATATCGGGGTGTAAGGGAAGCATCCTCCAAGTCTCGTTCTGGCCACTGAGTTTTCAAAGTTCAGGCTTCCCCAACAGATAGAGAGGCCTCCTCACTCCTCCCAGTCTTAAAGAGTCCCTTGTGCCTTGGCTGAGATAAGGGAAGAGCAGACAAGAATCTGTAAAAACTCATCTTTGGTGAGCCAAACTTATCTTTGGTGAGCCCTTTTATGAGCTGAATTGTGTCTCCCCAAAATTCCTATGTCAAAGTCCTAACCTCGAATGCCTCAGAATGTGACTGCATTTGGAGATAGGGTCTTAAGGAAGCAATTAAGTCATTAGAGTGAGCCCTCATCCAATATAACCGCTGTCCTTATAAGAAAAGGAAATTTGGACATAGGTTCAGAGAAATAACCATGTGAAGACACAATGAGAAAGCAGCCATCTGCAAGCCAAGGAGAGAGGCCTCAGAAGAAACCAGCCCTCCTGACATCCAGCCTCCTGAGTCGTGGGAAAATTAAATTCTGTGGATTAAGCCACCCCATCTGTGGCACCTTGTTATGGCAACCCTAGCAAACTAACACTAACCTCAAAGAAAGAAATCATTAGTCTTCCCAGCTGGTTGTAAGCCAAGGCCCTAGGGTGAGAGAGACACTTAGAAAAGTGGCTTAGCTTTTTTATACCTTCTTCATTCATCATATAGCAGACTCTCAAGGATTGTTTACTATAATTGTTACTCAGAATGAAAACCAGATTGTCAATTTTTCTGTGACCCCTCAAGGTACCTCCGGGCAGTAAATTCTCAATAAATGACAGTATTGGTCCACTCTCATGCTGCTATAAGGACATACCTGAGATGAAGTAATTTATAAAGGAAAGAGGCTTAATTGACTCACAGTTCAGCATGGCTGGGGAGGCCTCAAGAAGCTTACAATCATGGCAGAAGGGGAAGCAAACACATCCTTCTTCACATGATGGCAGCAAGAAGTGCAGAGTGAAGTAGGGGAAAAACCCCTTACAAAACCATCAGATCTCTTGACAACTCACTCACTATCACGAGAACAGCATGAGGGTAACCACTCCCATGATTAAATTACCTCCCACCAGATGTCACCCCAGCACTATTCAGATTACAATTCAGATTACAATTCAAGACGAGATTTTGGGTAGGAACACAGCCAAACCATATTAAGAACCAACTAAATGTTCCAAGATTAACTGTTTTAACAAAGGGGAATTTAAAACATAATACTCATGAAAAATAGTAAGTTCATATAGCTGCCCGAAAAGCAGGTGTTTTGAATTGCTGACCATCTAGCTGTTAAAACAGGTACAAATAAAACAGAAGTCATAGCTTAAGACAAATTGGAGTCACCTGTTTAAAATAGATTAAAATGGGGCTCTAATGGTGTTCACATACCATTATTTAGCTGTTGGTATGCACTCAAAATATCATGGAAAATGAAGCACGTTTGGACTCAGAAACACAAAATATCATTATCTAGCAAATGCTACCACCTCAGAAAGGAAAATAAAAAGCAAGGGACTGCATTTTATTTTGCATTAATATATGACATTTTCTGTCTCAGGGAAGTTCAGAGCTGTGGTGCTCTTTTACTGTTTATGTTTTGTGTGTGTGTGTGTGTGTGTGTGTGTGTGTGTGTGTTACCTTTTTTCTTCTTATGCATTATGGTTGGATGTAATGATTGTGAGTAAAGTTAATTCTTAGAAAGGAACAGTCTTACCTCATACATATTAATAAGTGCTTTCTTTGAGAAGCAATGACAGCCCTTGATACATTTTGACGAAAATGAAAGGGGAAAAAAAAACTGGCACCACTATTAAGAACACCCCTGAGGTGATAGAGAGCCACATCTTTGATACATCAGCCTTGGTCTCAATGCACACACTTATTAACTCACCTGTGCACCAAGAATTAGAATGAGCTCCTTCTTTAGACACATATTCTTAACAGCGGTCCCAACAGACATGCTGGAACCAAAAGCAGGGCTTCCATGTGGGTTGGGGTGTAATTTTCTCACAGTCTCACAGTACAGTTTGTACCGACAGCATCTCTCAGCAGATTAGAGACAAGCAGCATGGAAGTGATCGTTAAAAAGCTCAGCAAGGCCAAAAGGGTGGAAAAAAATATCTCGGCTCCAAGCAAAATGCCGTCCTTTACTAAGAGAAGGGCATGAGGTTGTGCCTTCCAAATTATTGCCTCAAAGATACCAAACTATGTGAAATAGATACACAGGGACAAACGAGTGCCAACTCCAGATATCCACATTTATATGACTAACGTGCCTTTTCCCTCAGCGAGCCTCGGAGTGCTTTGCAAACACTGTCTCATTAATCCCCTCCGACTCCCTGAAAGGAAGTTGGGTGCTGGTAAGTACTATTAGGTCACTGTAGTTAGAGATGCAGCAACACAAAGAAACCCAACTAAGTGCTGAAAAGGTTTCAAGAATGTAATGCCTTGACTCTCGGGCCAAAAGCATCCACTGCAGCAGGGTCGTAATTTAGAGGAAATAATAAAAAAGAAAGTGGATGCAAAACACCCTATAAGTATTTTTCCTCCCTTTACTATTTGGCTCTGTATTAGCCCAGATCCTTGAACTCCCTAGAAAGTGACACCCACAGGGATGACAGTTGATTGCAGGAATGCTGGAAAGAGGAGGCAGCCTGGGGAGCTGCCTCATCAGCTGCCAGAGCATTAGAAGTCCCGGGGCTTTGACTGCATGGAAACTGGGGATGGGGGCTTAGCAACATTCAAAACCACCTGGCTCAAGGAGCCTATTTAATAGTCCTTTGTTCTTTCCCCTAATAATACTTTTTTCCCCTAAAAGTAGAATAGTAATAATAATAGCTAACTTCACTGGTTAGCTGTTGCTGCATATCAAACCAATCAGCTCTTCGTGCTTTTAAACAATGATCATTTACTATCACTCATACATCTATGCATTGGCTGAGGTTCGGCTGGTCGAGGCTGGACTCTCTGGGCAACTCTGCTTCAGGCTGCAGCACCTGGTGGCCCCACTTCTCCTTTGACCACGTTTAGGAAACCAGATGACTCCATCTCTAACTCAGAATGTATTTCCAGTCACACCTCTGTTTGTACTAGGGGTTCAAGAGTTAAGCCATATAAAAATGAGGGTATCTTCCAATAACTAGATACTGAAAGGAAAAGATTCTGTTTCTCAGGGGTGTTTGAATACCTTCAGTTTGATATTATTTAACCAATATAGACAAAGGAGTCAAATATCTGGCTTCAAACACCTTGCAGTCAGTTATTGGCTTATTAATAACCCACTACAAAAGAGGAAACGGCAAACATAAATAATGGAAGCAAGAACTAACCCATTCATTCTGCACCAGTGCTGTGGCATCACATCAGGGTTTAAATATATTATAAACATCTAGTCAGAATAAGAGGTGATCCCACCCTGAAGAAGCTTAAAATCAAGTAGGTTAATTTTGTAGCTCAAGCCGTTCATTCTCATGACATCAGATTCCTTGGTAGTTTCTGGGGCAACAGCTAAAAGCTTCAAAGCCCCTGGCCTAGAGCTCTACATGTCTCTAAGAATAACTCTCCCATTAATTCTCACACAGTTTCATCACTTTCCAGATCTATAACAAATTAAGAAAAAGGCATTAAAACATGAAAATTAGGGGAACACAACCCCTCAAAATAGTGGAAAGCACTGTGAAAGATGAACAGTGAGAAAGAAACTGATGAAAGAAAAGCGGAGTATATGCATTCACAATGCTCAAAACTAGAAATGTCCCCGAGACACGTGTGATAAGAAGCCTGTGGACTCGCTATTAGATGCATGTGGCAGATACAAACTTCCAACCTTAGTTTTCCACTTCATTCAAATATTTTAATTGGAAGTTCTAACACATCTTAAGTTCAAGTATTTATAGGCAGTATTATTAAAATTCACAGATCTTTTTTAGAGTACCTCACATATACAGCGATATGACCCATGAAATGTGATTTGCAAGTCCAGATGCTCCAGCTGTGATGGAGGCCATATCTCCCTTCCTACACACTCCCATATCACTGCTCACATTTTTATTTCACTGCGGTTGAACAGGGCCCTTCATTTCATTTAATTAAAGCCCGAGGCACCAAATAATCTATTTTAAAACTAATTCTATAACTAATTTACTTTAAGTAGGTATTATTGAAGAATTCAGTTCTTACTTGCAGCAGTTCTTACTTTTTAGTATAATGAACTTTCACACAAATTGTATGGTACCTAGAACCCATTACTTGACACTTGTAAGCAGGTGCCCAGATTTATCAGCCTGCTAAATAACCACACCCGGTCATTCACTCCTAAGAAATTAAACAAATGAAGCAAGTCTGGATAGGCAGATACATTTTCAAACCTGTTAAATTCACTCAAAGCTGAAAATTATTATAAGACCATTGGCAATTATTATCATTTATCATGTTCATTTGACAGCAAAAGAGATGATGTTGGATGATTAATTAGATAGATTTTATGCACTTAAGTGAAATTGAAAAGAAGAAAATGAGAACTTCAAAATGCACTACAACTTCTGAGAGAACACACTGCTGGAGGATTCATATATTGAGATATCAGATCCAGTATAGTGAAATATTTATTAGAGCTAAGACTTAATGTCCTATATAGTTCTAATGACATGGGTTTCCTTATAAGAAAATATGAGACTAATTCTTCTTTCACAGTAATGCAAACAATAGCGAGATAGTTTAGTGTGAAGAATAGCATACTTATTGAATGAGTTATATCACATAAATATGTTTGAAGATTTCCTCAATTTAAAAATGACATCACATGCTTCATAATTTTTTAAGACACTACTGGCTCAAAATAGAACTCTTACTTCATAGCCATTATACTTTCTTTCCACCCCCTGTCATTGATGTGTATTCTCTACTGCAATCTTAAAATTGGTAGGAGCAGAAAAACCCAAATTTTGAAGAAAAACACAATCTCAAGGTCTAAGCCTACATGGCAAAAAAAAAAAAAAAAAAAAAAAAAAAAAATGCAGATATCACCCTACTTAGAATCAAGTGTAAATCAAAGTTGCAAGTTAGATACACTAAGGAGAAACTTCCCTGAGCCATTCACATAAGACTACAGCCAGAATTGAGGGACAATGAGTTACAAATTAAGAAAACACTTATCAAGCCATTGTTCTCAGAGAGAGACTTTAGAGAATAGTAAAATATAGTACAGACTCCAAGGTGCGAGTGTTATATACTAATGACATGGGTTTCCTTATAAGAAAAGATGAGACTAATTCTTCTTTCACAGTAATGCAAACAGACAACTGTAGCAAGGCCTGAAGCTGGTAAGAAACAGAACAGCTTCCGAACTAGTCCACAAGAAGAGAAAATGATGAGCTCCACAAAATGTTTCAAAGTGACAGAAATTGATTTGATCCCAACAAGAGAACAAAGGCCACCAAAGAGATGGTGGGAAGAGTGTTTACATGCTGAAGAGCTGAGTATTTGCATCTTTTCTATCTAAAATAAAACTACTACAAGGTTATGCATAGGATCTTAAAAAAAATCAATACTATAGTATTGCAACATTATGCATTCCCTGCATGGTCAGCAGAATTGCTTTTGATGCTGTATCTGCTTTCCAGGTATGCAATGAAATATGGCTAGAAAAAAAACTGAGTCTTAATCATTAAAAGGTTATTTGTCAATAATCATAATAATAATAATAATAAACAACTTCATCTCCCTTATGTAGCAATTGTATGCAGCAATTAATGATATGGTTGGATTTCTCAATAAACTGCCATGTTGTCACTCTCTTCTGAATCATTATAATTCCCATATTACATTCCCTATTCTGGTTTTGTATAACCACCGGGTTAATCTTTTCTGGAGAGAAATTCTTTTTTTTCCAATGCAGTTTAAAACAAAGGAACTGTTATGTGTTGTGTCTGTTTTAGATAGCAACTTTCTGTGGCAATGGTTTTATTATGTGACTAAAATGACCACTTTCTAAAAGAGCAACAAGAGTGTAAATGGCATAGTTCAAAATCAAATACCTGGCCTCATGAAAAAATAATAATAACCTCAAACCTATAGTACATTTAAGCCTCCTAGGGAAAATATCTTGAAGACTCATTGGGGACAAATTCTGGAATACTGCTGTTAAACATATTATGGTTCTCATGGTCCCACTGCACATGAGATATAACCCTCTCCATCAGAGCCACCAGCACAATTTGAGTGAATCTTGATTGTTGCACCTCAATAGTGGAAATAAAGAGGAAAGAAAATCCGTATGCTACTTGACCCTGTCAGGCAAAAGAAGATTCATAAGCCTATTATTTTATAAATGCAAGAAAGTGCATAAGAACATAACTCATCTTCCAAATCCCATTTATTAAAGTTAAGTGAAATCTTTTCCTTATAGATCTTTTGTTCAAAATATTTTCCTTTCAATTTTTATGAATAGTCATTTGTTTTCATATTTTAACATATTGAGATATATTTGGTGGTAGTTTACTAAATAGCATGATTTATTTCACAGGTGAGGAATGCACATTTGTTAAATGTATTCATGGATTTTTCTCTTCTAAGCAACAGTATGTTTTCCCTCTGTAGAAAATACATAGAAAAATCTCATCATATAGAAAATCTCTCTCTCTCTTACGCAACACACATCTTCAGAGTGACCCATAAATCTCTGAGATTCAAATGCCCAGCTTCTTCAAAACTAGGTCTGTTTAGGTCTACCAATTAAAATCGCCTTAGAAATTACAAGAGACATTTTCTGCATTACGGAATGTAATATTGGAAATCATAAGGCCATATCTCCCCTTAAATGGCTGAACTATATAAAAAATAAAAATCAGACTTTTGAACACAGCTATCTCTCAATGAGTTAAAGACATAGATGTGAATCATCCAAAACAGAATTTAAGCCAAACTACTTATTGTTGACTCTATAATATTATCTATTATAGATACTTGCCTATTCTGATGTATATTTATATCAGAATTGTATTCAAAATTATGTAAGGTGGGATAACATTGTGGAATATTAATAGATTATTTTCTCTCCCACCAATTTGCCTATCTAAACAGCTATTCAACTCTGTATCCTCACCTCAAGAAAGGGCTATGGTCAAAAATAAAGGATTCTTTATGATTTGGTTTCCAGAAACCTATACCTATTAAGAGATAATACGATGGAGCAATTGGATTCAGGGGATTATGACGGACGGGAGGCAGGACTAGATTTCAGCTCCGGACAGAGCAGCATGCAGAGGCTTGCACTGTGAATTTTTAGCTCCAGATCAACTGCAAGAACAAATCAGCAATCCCAAAAGGATCCACAGACCCTCTGAAGGAAGCAAACTGCTCCTGCAGGACCCGGGAGACCCCCCCAAAACTGTGAGTGCCCCAACTGTGGATGTGGGAAAGGGAGACCGTCCTCTCCTGAACACACACCCTGACGGGAGAAGCTGAAGGTCTGTTTGTGGGAGAAGTTTCTGAGTCAAGTTAGAGATCTGAGCGAAATACAGGGGTAGAGGAAGCAGCAGAAAGGCGCTGGGAGCTCGCTGGATCTCCAAGCTGCCCATTCCTGCTTGACACCATAGAGATCCATCGGGAGGGTGGCCAGAGGAGCAGGGGGTAAAACTCCACAGGGAAAAGGAATTCTCTAGCTGAACTTTGTAACAATTTGAATGGGGTGAGAAACATCTTGGCCAGAACTCAGGGCAGGGCATGAATCAGGCATGCAGACTTCACAGGGAGGGAAGAACTAAAGCCTTTTTCTCTTGCAGCTGGGAGGCGGGTAGCCTCGGGCAAGTTTTCAAGCCACCTCACCCTCTGCCTGGAAACAGACTCGGGGCTGTCCAGGCTCGGGGCTTTTGGCGGGGGGCACAGTGGGCTTTTGGCGGGGGGCACAGTGGGAGTGAGACCAGCCCTTCAGTTTGCATGGGAGCTGGGTGAGGCCTGTGACTGCCGGCTTTCCCCCACTTCCCTGACAACCTGCATGACTCAGCAGAGGCAGCCATAATCCTCCTAGGTACACAACTCCAATGACCTAGGAATCTCACCCCCGTCCCCCACAGCAGCCGCAGCAAGACCCACTTAAAGAGAGTCTGAGCTCAGACATGCCTCGCCCCACCCCCACCTGATGGTCCTTCCCTATCCACCCTGGTAGTGGAAGATAAAGGGCATATAATCTTGGGAGTTCTAGGGCCCCACCCACTGCCAGTCCCTCTCCACACTTAGCTGATGCTTTCTGGAAAGCACCACCTCCTGGCAGGAGGCCAACCAGCACAAAAATAGAGCATTAAACCACCAAAGCTAAGAACCCTCACAGAGTCCATTGCACCCTCTGCCACCACCAGAACAGGAACTGGTATCCATGGCTGAAAGACCCATAGGCGGTTCACATCCCAGTACCAGTCTGGAGCCAGGTAGACCCACTGGTTGGCTAGACCCAGGAAAGAGGCAACAATCACCGCAGTTCAGCACACAGGAAGCCACATCCATAGGAAATGGGGGAGAGTATTCTGTCAAGGAAACATCCTGCAGGACAAAAGAATCTAAACAACAGCCTTCAGCCCTCAACCTTCCCTCTGACAGAGCCTAGCCAAATGAAAAGGAACCAGAAAACCAACCCTGGTAATATGTCAAAATAAGTCTGTTCAACACCCTCAAAAATCACACTAGTTCACCAGCAATGGACCCAAACCAAGAAGAAATCCCTGATTTACCTGAAAAAGAATTCAGGAGGTTAGTCATTAAGCTAATCAGGGAGGGGCCAGAGAAAGGCAAAGCCCAATGCAAGGAAATAAAAAAAATAAATAAAAAAAAAAAAAAAAAACAAGAAGTGAAGGGAGAAATATTTATGGAAATATATAGCTTAAAGCAAAAACAATAAAAAATTCAGGAAACTTTGGACACACTTTTAGAAATGTGAAATGCTCTGGAAAGTCTCAGCAATAGAATTAAACAAGTAGAAGAAAGAAATTCAGAGCTCGAAGACAAGATCTTTGAATTAACCCAAACCAATAAAGACAAAGAAAAAAGAATAAGAAAATATGAACAAAGCCTCCAAGATATCTGAGATTATGTTAAATGATCAAACCTAAGAATAATTGGTATACCTGAGGAAGAGGAGAATTCTGAAAGCCTGGAAAACATATTTGGGGGAATAATCAAGGAAAACTTCCCTAGCCTTGCCAGAGACCTAGACAGCCAAATACAAGAAGCACAAAGAACACCTGGGAAATTCATCGCAAAAAGATCTTCACCTAGGCACATTGTCATCAGGTTATCCAAAGTTAAGTCAAAGGAAAGAATCTTAAGAGCTGTGAATCAGAAGCACCAGGTAACCTATTCAGGAAAACCTATCAGATTAACAGCAGATTTATCAGCAGAAACCCTGTAAGCTAGAAGAGATCAGGGCCCTATCTTCAGCCTTCTCAAACAAAACAATTAGCTAAGAATTTTGTATCCAGCAAAACTAAGCATTATATATGAAGGAAAGATACAATCATTTTCAGACAAACAAATACTGAGATAATTCGCCATTACCAAACCACCACTATGAGAACTGCTAAAAGGAGCTCTAAGTCTTGAAATAAATCCTGGAAACAAATCAAAACAGAACCTCTTTAAAGCATAACTCACACAGGACCTACAAAACAGAAATACAAATTGAAAAACAAAAACACAAAAATAAAACCGAAGTACACAGGCAACAAAGAACATGATGAAAGCAATGGTACCTCACATTTCAATACTAAGATTGAATGCAAATGGCCCAAATGCTCCACTTAAAAGACACAGAACTGCAGAATGGATAAGAACTCACCAACCATCTGCTGTGTTCAGGAGACCCACCTAACACATAAGGACTCACATAAACTTAAAGTAAAGGGGTGGAAAAAGGCATTTTATGCAAATGGACAACAAAAGTGAGCAGGGGTAGCTATTGTTATATCAAACAAAACAAACTTTAAAGCACCAGCAGTTACATATAATGGTAAAAGGCCTTGTCCAACAGGAAAATATCACAATCCTAAATGTATATGCACCTAATGCTGGAGCTCCCAAATTTATAAAGCAATTACTAAAAGACCTCAGAAATGAGATAGACAGCAACACAATAACAGTGGGGAACTTCAATACTCCACTAAGAGCACTAGACAAGTCATCAAGACAGAAAGTCAACAAAGAAGCAATGGTTTTAAACTATACCTTGGAACAAATGGACTTAACCTATATATATAGACTATTTCGTCCAACAACCCCAGAATACACATTCTATTCAACAGCATGTGGAACTTTCTCTAAGATAGAGCATATGATAGGCCATAAAATAAGCCTCAATAAATTTAAGAAAATTGAAATTATATCAAGCATTCTCTCAGATCACAGTGGAAGAAAACTGGAAATCGACTCCAAAAGGAACCTTTGAAACCATACAAACACATGGAAATTAAATAACCAGCTCCTGAATGAGCATTGGGTCAAAAATGAAATCAAGGTGGAAATTAAAACATTATTCGAACTGAATGATAACAATGACAAAACCTATCAAAACCTCTGGGATACAGCAAAGGCAGTGCTAAGAGGAAAATTCATAGCCCTAAATGCCTACATCAAAAAGTCTGAAAGAGCACAAACAGACAATCTAAGGTTACACCTCAAGGAACTAGAGAAACAAAACCAAACCCAACTGAAGAAAGGAAATAACTAAGATCAGAGCAGAACTAAATGAAATTAAAACAAACAAAATACAAAAGATAAATGAAACAAAAAGCTGTTCTTTGAAAAGATAAATAAAATTGATAGGCCATTAGCGAGGTTAACCGACAAAAGAAGAGAGAAAATCTGAATAACCTTACTAAGAAATGAAACAGGAGATATTACAACTGGCACCACTGAAATATAAAAGATCATTCAAGGCTACTATGAACACCTTTACCCACATAAACTAAACAACCTAGAAGAGATGGATAAATTCCTGGAAAAATACAATCCTCCTAGCCTAAATCAGGAAGAATTAGATATCTTAACAAACCAATAACAAGCAGTGAGATTGAAACGGTAATTTTAAAATTACCAACGAAAAAAGGTCCAGGACCAGATGGATTCACAGCAAAATTCTACCAGACATTCAAAGAAGAATTGGTACCAATCCTTTTGACACTATTCCACAAGATAGAGAAAAAAGGAGCCCTCCCTAATTCATTCTATAAACCAGCATCACCCTAATATCAAAATCAGGAAAGGACATAATAAAAAAGTAAAACTACAGACTGATATCCTTGATGAACATTGATGCTAAAATCCTTAACAAAATACTAGCTAACTGAATCCAACAACATATCAAAAAGATAATATGCCATGATCAAGTGGGTTTCATACCAGGGATGCAGGGATGATTTAACAAATGCAAGTAATAAATGTGATACACACATAAACAGAATTAAAAACAAAAATCACATGATCATCTCAATAGAAGCAGAAAAATCATTTGACAAAATCCAGCATTCCTTTATGATTAAAACATTCAGCAAAACTGGCATACAAGAGACATACCTTAATGTGATAAAAAGCCATCTATTACAAACCCACAGAGAATGTAACACTGAATGGGGAAAAATTGAAAGCATTCTTGCTGACAACTGGAACAAAACAAGGATTCTTACTCTCACCACTCCTCTTCAACATAGTACTGGAAGTCCTAGCCAGAGCAATGAGACAAGAGAAAGAAAAAAAATGGCATCCAAATTGGTAAAGAGGAAGTCAAACTGTCACTGTTCACTGACAAAATGATTGTTTACCTTGAAAACCCTAAGGACTCCTCCAGAAAGCTCCTAGAACTGATAAAAGAAGTTAGCAAAATTACCAGATACAAGATATGTACACAAATCAGTAGCTCTTCGATACACCAAGAGTGAACAAGCAGAGAATCAAATAAAGAACTCAACCCCTTTTACAATAGCTGCAAAAATATAAAATTCTTAGGAATATCCCTAACCAAGGAGGCAAAATACCTCTACAAGGTGAACTACAAAACACTGCTGAAATAAATTACAGATGACACAAACAAATGGAAACACATCCCATGCTCATGGATGGGAAGAATCAATATTGTGAAAATGGCCATACTGCCAAAAGCAATGTACAAATTCACTGCAACCCCCATGAGAATATCGCCATCATTCTTCACAGAATTAGAAAAAACAATTCCAAAATTCATATGGAACCAAAAAAGAGCATGCTTAGCCAAAGCAAGACTAAGCAAAAAGAACAAATCAGGAGGCATCACACTACCTGATTTCAAACTATACTATAAGGCCATATTCACCAAAACAGCATACTACTGGAAAACAAACAAACAAACAAACACATAGACCAATGGAATAGAATAGAGAACCCAGAAATAACTCCAAATACAGCCAATTGATCTTCGACAAACAAACAAAAACATAAAGTGAGGAAATGACACTCTTTTCAACAAATGGTGCTGGGATAATTGGCTAGCCACATACAGGAGAATGAAACTGGATCCTCATCTCTCACCTTATACAAAAATCAACTCAAGATCCATTAAGGACTTAAAACTAAGACCTGAAACTATGAAAATTCTAGAAGACAACATGGAAAAAACTTTTCTAGACATTGGCTTAGGCAAGGATTTCATGACCAAGAACCCAAAAGAAAATGCAATAAAAACAAAGATAAATAACTAGTACCTAATTAAACTAAATAGATTTTCCACAGCAAAATGAACAGTCAGCAGAGTAAACAGACAACCCACAGAGTGGGAGATAATCTTCACAATCTATTCATCTGACAAAGGACTAATATCCAGAATTTACAACAAACTCAAACAAATCAGTAAGAAAAAAAACAAACAATCCCATCAAAAAGTAGGCTGAAGACATGATACACAATTTTCAAAAGAAGACATACAAATAGCCAACAAACATATGAAAAAATGCTCAGCATCACTAATGATCAGGGAAATGCAAATCAAAACCATAATGTGTGGCCGGGCACAGTGGCTCACACCTGTAATCCTAGCACTTTGGGAGGCCGAGGCGGGTGGATCACGAGGTCAGGAGATCGAGACCATCCTGGCTAACACGGTGAAACCCCATCTCTACTAAAAATATAAAAAATTAGCCGGGCCTGGTGGTGGGCACCTGTAGTCCCAGTTACTCGGGAGGCTGAGGCAGGAGAATGGCATGAACCTGGGAGGCGGAGCTTGCAGTGAGCCGAGATCGCATCACTGCACTCCAGCCTGGGCAACAGAGCAAGACTCTGTCTCAAAAAAAAAAAAAAAAAAAACCACAATGTGATACCACCTTACTCCTGCAAGAATGGCCATAATCAAAAAATCAAAAAAACAGGAGATGTTGGCATGGATGCGGTGGACAGGGAACACTTCTACACTGCTGGTGGGACTGTGAACTAGTACAGCCACTATGGACAACAGTGTGGAGATTCCTTAAAGAACTAAAAGTAGAAGTACCATTTGATCCAGCAACCCCACTACTGGGTATCTACCCAGAGGAAAAGAAGTGATTATTTGAAAAAGATACTTGCACACACATGTTTATAGCAGCACAATTCACAATTGCAAAATCGTGGAACCAACACAAATGCCCATCAATCAACAATTGGATAAAGAAACTGTGGTACATATATACAATGGAATACTGTGCAGCCATAAAAAGGAATGAGTTAACAGCATTTGCAGTGACCTGGATAAGATTGGAGACTATTATTCTAAGTGATGTAACTCAGGAATGGAAAACCAAACATCATATGTTCTCTCTGATATGTGGGAGCTAAGCTGTGAGGACGCAAAGGCATAAGAATGATACAATGGACTTTGGGGATTTAGGGGGAAGAGTGGGAGAAGGGCAAGGGATAAAAGACTACAAATATGATGCAGTGTATTCATGTGTGATGGGTGCATGAAAATCTCACAAATCGCCACTAAAGAACTTACTCATGTAACCAAATACCACCTGTACTCCAATAACCTATGGAAAAATAAAATAAAATAATTATTTTTGTTTAAAAAGACATATAATACCATGCACCAAAACTAGATTCTTCCAGCTGGGTTGGAGGGGAGAAGGAAAAAAGAAAGACTTGAGTTTCTGGGGGAAAGGGCGAGATCTGAAGAGCCATGCAGGCAAGATCAACAGACACCTTAACAACAGCCCTACACTGGGAGCTTGTATGAGTTGCCAAGAGCCAAGTGGGAATGGAATAGTTATCCATAGACTGTCTACCCTTCCCTGAAGAGAGCACTATCCCTCGCCCAGGCCCAGAGGCTAGAGGCTGCACTGGGTTGTTCTTTCAAGGTCTGCTAAGGATGGCCCCTCAGGAGCAGCCTGGCTTGGCCTTGCCCAGCAAGAAGGATGCCTTCCTGTTCCCTGTCTTACTCACTCTGAGCAGAGGATGATGAGCTCACAGCATCCCACAGGACCAGAGAAGGTCATGGACTTTCAGAGTAGTATAGGACCTAACGGGGTAGTATAATGCATATATTCTGAGACCCCTGAACAGAGACAACGTTTATTCACCCATTTATTTAGATGCTTTATTTAGATGTATGCTTTACTTAGATGATGTTAAAATTAGTTTGTAGCAAACATCCTGAATTCTGGGGGCCACACCTTGCTCCCATTCCCACCCAGGGAGCATGCTATATTAAGGAAGATAATCCCTAAAGAAATATCATGTGAGCTTGTGAGGAGTGGAGATCTCAATTTGACTTTATGGAACATCCTTGCAAACAAACCACTGTGTCCTATCCTAGGGGCATCCACACCAAAGTAAAGGGTGAGAGGGAGAGAACAAGGACCCAAAATCAGCTCACACTTCACATTCTGTATCTTAGTGCATTTTCCCTCATCACAGAGAGCTCACCTTCTCCCTCCCTCCACCGTATTTCTTCAGTATACTGGAGTTTCCCTACTCAATAATACATGCACCCCTGTAGTTAAAAATGCTAAAGTTTCACTAACTGGACATCTTTAAGAGAAGAAAAAAGAAATGGCAAGGGGATATATTCTTCACCTAGTAAATAAGACCAGTACCTTTGATTTTATCTTTGAAGGTCTCGTCTTCAGAGGTTTTAGAGCCTATTCACGAGCACAGATACTTAATTATTGAGATAGATTACATCCGCACAACCAAACATATTGCACATAGTCCATTTGTCTTCTGGTGAGCTCTCTTCACGTTGAATTATTTAGTTTTCATCATTTTTGATTTTCTAAAGGTTAGATGTTAGATGCTGATAGTGATACTGGAGAGGATGAAGAAATCAATCTTAAAGTCATTCTGAGGCAGAATGAGACAAGCAGTTTGTCAAAGTTGGCCTCAGTAAGTGCCACATTTCCCCCCAACCCTTACAGCATTTGACTCAAAAATTACAAATTTATCATAACATTTACACTGGCAGCACTATCTTTGGGAATTCTGTGGAATCTTTCTAAGTAAAGAAGAGCAGCAACAGCCAGACATTCATTTGTTTACTTTCATTGTTTTATGCATTCATTTACTTGTTCATTCAGCAAATGTATACGGAGCAGCCACATGTGCCTAGAAAGTCCACAGAGAGAGGGAAATGCTTGAGCTTTGTCTTTTAGATCAAGTAGGTGCTTGCCAAGTGACCACCAGGAAAAAAGGGGAGAATTCTAGGCAGAGAGACAAGCATCCGCAAAGAAACAAAGCACAAGAGAGCATGTTGGGAAGACTCCAAGCACTTCAGGATTGATGGACAGTAGAGTGCCAGGGTTAGAGACCCAAGGGAGATGTGGCTGGAAATGACAGCAGGAGCCATGCAGAGAGATTGGCAAGATCACTGTGGTCATAATGTGGCAAGATTTGAGACAGACAAAAGTGTTAGAAGGCTGTTGCCGACAGTGACGGAAGATATATTTAGAATTTGACTCTCTGCAATATTTCAGTAAATAAAATAAGTGCTGATTCTTCACTTCATGCCACATGATCATAAATTCAGGACTCGTTCTAGCTCCCATCTGTATAAGGTATGACTTACCTGGTCTAATCTACAAATTTTTTAATTTGAACATCAGTTTGGGAATTAGTGCACCTAATTGCAGATGCTTCTCTTTAATAACTAAATTATTAACTTGGAAACTTAAAGAGGCAACTAAGAAAGTTAATAAAAGTCTGGACAGAACCACATAGAGTTTACTAAATTTACAAACAGATTGAAAGTACCTTGCAAATCTAACTATAATGTAAATCTGGGGCAATCTTCCTGCCTTTCTCTGAGGTGCATTGTGAATTCCCTAGTCAAGTAAATTCACAGGAGAGGAAAAGTGTTCACCTTAGTTTCCAGTAGGATTTGCAGTTCCCAGATGAGAGCTGCCTGCAGTCCTTTGCGGATCCCATACTGTACCACTTCCACATGCTTTTCTGCATCCAGAGCTCATAGGTTTCCCATGTTATTCAGGGGGCTGGTCTCTTCCTTGTATTGATGCAGATGGCAGCAAACAATTCTTGGTCTCTCACTTCTCTGGGCAATTGAGTCAAGATCTGACTAAATCAACTGCATTTCTAAAAGATTAGCTATGGCTGGGTATGGTGGCTCACACCTGTAATCCCAACATTTTAAGAAGCTGAGGCAGGAGGATTGCTTGAGGCCAGAAGTTCAAGATTAGGCTGGGCAACATATCGAGACCTGGTCTCGATAAGTAAAATAATTAGCTGGGCATGCCTATAATCCTAGCTACTCGGGAGGCTGAGGAGGGAGGATTGCTTGAGCCTAGGAGTTCGAGGCTGCAGTGAGCTATGACTGTACTACTGCATTACAGCCTGTAAGACAGAGCAAGACCCTGTCTCTTAAAAATAAATAAACCGAACATTAAATATTTGCATTATGTTAATGAAGGGATTCACACACATGCTAGGAAGTCAGCGTTCATGATCCTTGCCCTAAAAGTTCAATAGGAAATGTGCCTGCTACAAATGCCAACTCCTCTCTTGTGTCTGTGCTGTAGGAGGGGGTCTTAAGCCTTCCTAGCTTTTGGAAAGGAAGGAGAGAATTCTACTCTGTGCACCTACTGAGAGGTTTCCTTCTATTGCCCTGAAGCCCTCCATATTTTCTTCCATTGCCATGCTACAAAATCCACAATCAACTACTGCTAAGAGTCATTTTGTGTCTTCTTATATTTGTGTATTAGTAACACAGCCTCCACATCCCCCACCTATAAAATAGAGAAGGCAGTGTTTACATCTAATCCCTAGTATAAGATCTCTACCTCACAGTAAATAACCTTGGAAGCCAAGAATTGCCTTATTCACGGTCAACCTAAACAGATGTTTTTCAACATCTAGTAACAGCCAAAAGAAACTGCTCTATGAAGCTCCAAGTTCTGGGCCTGTCCTTTAATTATTTCACTAGCCTAATAACAGGATAAGAGGCTAAATGAAGTTAGGATTGACTCCACCGATAGGTATGTTATAAACCGCTAACAACAAACACCTACATTCCCACTATCTAAGCAAAAATAGGGACAACTTTTAGCAATTTTTTTTAAAACCACCTGGAGGAGGGATGCAGGGCAAACAGAAAACTTTAATCACAGATGCCAACCCTGGAGATGCATTTGATAGCAAAGTCTTTTCCCTTCATGCCTGCATTAGTGTGGCAGCCAGAAGAAAAGCAGATTTTTCCTGTGGGTGGAAACCATATGCTTCTGAGTAGCAGCAGAGATCAAATTCAACTCCTCTGTCACAGCCTGCTCCGTTCAACTCTCTTTCCAGCATCCTCCTTTCAAAGAAGTTCCCAGGTATGAGCTGACTACAGACCCCTCTTTTCCCTGTTCTTTATCCGACAGCTTGGTTTTGAAATGAAGAGGTTGCTGAGGCATGTCTCAGCTCAGCGTGATGGATCCATACAGTGGTTATTTAAATGGGCTGTTGTTCCAGGCTTGCCTGGAATGTCTATAAAACATATGACAGAATTCTCCATTTCTCCTGAATCCCCCTTTTTTTGGTCATTTATGAAGAGACAAGCATTTTAAAAAATAATAAATCACAGCAAAAGCTTTTGTGAGACCTGTCTATAAACTCAGAGTAAGCATGAAAGCCAAGTAGGGAAGGCCGTCTCTCTGACAAGCAGTCATTATTTGGGGAAGCATTCATGTCACCAGACAGGAGTTAGAAGCTGATGACTGAGGGGCAATATTCTTGATACAGTTTACTTTTCCTAGAATGTGTGCTAATTAACTCAGGGGAAAATTTATTTCCTATCTTTGACTCAAAATTCAATCCTCCCCCAATTCATTTTTACTTCAGGTTACTTTGCCTCAGGACAAACTCCTTAACAAACTACCCTCGCAGGTTTGAAACAAGTAGAGAGGAATTAGGTATTGGCAAGCAGCCCTTCTTTATTAAAAGTCAGACCTGACTACTTCCTCTTTCTGAGGCAATCGTGATTCCTTCCAGCTTCACAAAGATCCAGTCGAGGGTTCTCCTTCAAATGATTAAGGATGAGACCAAGATATGCTTTCAGAAAAATGTTTTTCAAGCAAGTCTATCTTAACGGTAGCCATGCAAGAAGCCATTTTGAAAAAAAAAAATCATACAATTATGAAATCTCCCTACACCTGGGGCATCAAATGCCTCAGCCTCTGGACTTTAATTTATATGCATCCTCTACACCAGACTTTTGAAGGGAAAAGTTTTAAAGGGTTGAATCTGTCATTTTTATTGTCTTACTAGCTTTAAAATCCAAAAAATATAGCAAATTTTTGTTTTTTCTTTTATTTATTTGAAAAATAGATACTAATTTTCAGCAATTCAAGCAATTCAGAAAAAAATGCCTTTTCCTCAAGTGAACAAATACATGGAATAAAAATTGATGTTTTCCTTCTCTTCAACCCTCTACTTCCTAAATAACTTAAAGTTTGCAGTAGAACAGCAATGTCCCCAAATCCACAGTGTACACCACTGAGTCCTTGAGGGACTTAGCATGTAAGAACTAGCTGCATTTTCTCATGGCATGCACCAAACAAAATTGCTAAAAGTAAAATTTTCTAAACAAAGCAAGCTAAAGATTCTGAAGAACAGTGAACATCCAGAATTGTGGAGTAGCTAAAAGAAGTCCTGGAGTCTCCCCCAACCCCCTTGTGCCTCAGACTATCTTCCTTGAACTTCCTGAAATATCACTGTTAAATGTGCATGACTTTAAATTAGCAAGTCCTTCTAAAGGAAAATATTTTTGCAACGGTTCTCAACCATTCGGGGATCCTAGAATCTTTTGAGACTCATTGAAAGCTACTGATACTTTCTATAGAATAAGGCGCATAGTTCCTCAAAGACAGAATTTCGCCTATGGTTTCAGGGGTTCGTAAACCTGAAGTTAAGAAATTCAACCCCAGTGTCAATTGATTGAAGAAGATATTTTCTCCACATTAGAACTGAATAAGCATATCGACAAAGAAGATGGATGAGGGGAGGGGTGGGTGATGGAGGAATGAGGTTCCATGAGCACACAAGAGGCAAAACATAGGTGCTCAGGAGTGATGGGGTTTAAAAAAACTCTGCTTCATGCGAATGTCTAGAACCAACTCAGCATACATGTAATGTATTTTTTCTAAAACATTCTGTTCTTTTCCCTGATTATTATGATGTTATTTGTATACCTATTTTTCAGATGATCATATTAAGGTGAAGAGGGCATTTCTGACCAGCCGTTCTGTGAATCTTGGGCAGAATGACATTTACATCCCCTGGTTATTGAGCTAAATCACAGGCAGTCAGAATGTGATCTTATGATCAGGGCTGGACAAGGAATATGTGTGAAGTAATTGCTGCATGTGCTAACAATCTGTGCATCTTAACAGGCCCAGATTAACTGAAAGGGAAGACAGTGAATACCTTCATTACATTTTATTTTTCCAAATGTTTGGTCAGGTTGGAAGGGCAGTGGTAATGGTAGAAGTGCATAATGCTGAATTTTATCTATGAAGAGAGGCTTCTGGGAGTACAACAAAATATCATGTTTGTATGCTTTAGGATAAATTACTGAAAGAGTCATAAATCCTGTTCTTACTATTTTCTTATATTTTCAGACACCAAAAGTTTGCTTTGAAAGCATTTAAAATCGGAGAGCTTTAGTGAAGCTAAAGTTTCCCGAGAAGTTATGCCCAAGAACTGACATCACAGCATTAACCCTTATCTTTAAACTCGGGTCATTCCTGTTCTCACATTGTCTAAATGTACCAGAAGCTTCTTTTCTTTCCTTTAAAGATTTTGACTTTTGAAAAGAATTTTACAAGTTCAAAGCACAGTGCACTGCAACTCTGCCAACTTGTGATATGTTCCGCCTTCCCCCGGCCAGTGGAGACTGAGAACCTTTCAAGTCAGAATGAGTTCGATATGTGAAGAGAGAATGAAAGAAAACTCCAAAGAGGCTCAGAGCAGCAGCTGCCCTTACTAAGAACTGTTGCTGGGAATTCAGCGAAGAAGGAAATGCATGTGCCACAAATAGAAATTCTACTGAGGAGAAAAACCAAGACGCCGTCTGCCTTGTAAAATTCCAACCCATGTTGGTTTGAAGTATGGTCTGTAGTGATAAATACAGAAGGATAAATACAGAAAAACGGAAAATTAAGAGAAACCTAAGCAAAAGGTGGAGCAATTTTTATGAGATGACAAGCTCTGTCTGACTCAGATAGCCATGGAGAAATGGAGATAGTCAGAAGGAATGGATATGCTGAGGAAAAAAGCGATCAAGACACACATGTCAGAGAAGTGTCACATTGATTTCGACAGACTGTAATCTTTTTCCGTTTTTTAAAAAACACTGATAGAGTAGATAGTTTGATATCCACTCTGAAACTATCAATTTAACAGCTACTGAAGCACGGAGTAACGAGATGTCAGAGTCTTCCAGTCAACTTTTAGGTTTGTTGAAAGTTCCATCCATGAAAAAACTGGAAATTGGAGGGAAGAAGGGATGGATAGATGTTTTGTCTTATAGGAACAAAAAGAAGACATATAAAATTGAACTTTTGCGAGGAAGGAAAGTCTAAGACAAGGAATAGAAAGTCTAGCATATTTTAAACCATAATTAAAGGAAATGTTAATCCAGACAACTTTCGGAGAAGCAAAAACTTGTATTTATTCCTCTCTGAGCCGAAATGGTTTTTGTCTATGTATAACAGCGTTTCTCGGGTTTTATTTGGGATTTAGAATGCTAAAATACTATTGAGTCTGCTCTTCAGACCAAAAAGCCATAAACAGTTGGTACAAAGTAGATTAAATAGCCCCTGAAAATCTGAGAAAAGGCTCTGAAGTAAACCTTGCTATTTCAGCAGACAGGCTACCCTCGCCATCATGTGGCAAATCTCAAATAGGGCTGGTGCTGCAATCTGGCTCAGCAGGCACTGCCCAGTGATAGCCCTCTGACCTCCTAGTTGCATAATTATAATCACAGAGAGCTGCTCACAAAGAAAAAGTAAGTGAGAAAGAGAGAGAGATAAATCAATTCCCCAGAAAAATATACTGCTGACGCCAATCATAAAATGCCCAGAAGGAGAAAACTTTCTTCACTGCCTGGGGAGAACAACGAACAATCTCAACAAGTTAAAATGTGGCTGGGATATTAGCACAGGACTAGGGTACTTTGTCAATAGTTCTTTTTTGTTTTTTGGTTTTTTAATCAAGTCATGATTCTGCCACTTCAGTTTGCGAATAGAGACACCATCAGTAAGTTTAACAAATGCTTTTTCCTATTTATTTTGTTCAAGAACTATGGATTATGAGAAAGAGACAAAGGAACTAGATTGTTAGACTGTGATCTTGTTATCAGCAGCAGCTCATGTAAGGTAGGGTCTAGGGTATGGCAATCATGCTTCAGCTCACCACTGCTACCAGGTCGTGAATGTGTCTCCATTATCTGCAGCCTTGGACTTCATGGGCCAAGACATCATTTTAACAACCCTCCCCCTGCAAGATCTTTTTCATATCTGTATTGGATGGAAGTAGATCTAGTCTAACCCAAAGCTCCATAAAATATTTCTTCAGATCTCCATAGGCTCATCAAAGATATATATTCTATTCACCACATTATTCATCTCTCAGGTTACCCTTGATGACCTTCCCTGAGACCGAGATCCACATCTAGGCATTGATCAATGTGATTTCTTCCTCTCCAAGGTTAAGGTGGAATAATTGGGTATGTAGGGTGAGAGAATGGAGTGAGGGTCTAGTTAAGTACCAGATTAGATGTGAAAGGACAGAGATTTTCCATATGTTTATCCTCCTCTTCTAGTGATGGACACACAGTTCAATTCCTTTTCGTGCTATGCAACATGACATATAACTTTATATATATGTGGTCTGAATCTCTCCTTTTCCTCATCCTTGTTATCTTTGCCTTGGAACAGTGATACTAGATAGAAAGGAGGAGATCCGAGATATCTAAACATGCAATTTAATATGACTTTGGGTGTGGGAGGTGGAGGTGAGGGCTGGAACCTGGAGTGACTTCTAGATTTCTTGCTTGGGCAATAGGTTGGATGGTGGCACTATTCACAGAGATTAAGAATCTAGAAGAGAAATCAGGTTGAAGAAATATAATGTAATAAATATTATATACTTCGAGTCTCAGGACTCAGTAAGCAGGTGAAGATGCCTGCTACAGTACTGAATACAGGCTCTGGAATGCAGAGAGATGTTTCATTGGGAGAAGTAGACATGAGTCAACAGCATAAAGATGGGAGATAAAGCCATGGGAATGAATAGGATCACTCAGAGGGAATATACAGAGTGAAAATATGTTGTGGTCTGAGACTCAGAGAACACCAAGAGTATGGGGCAGGAAGATTAAGAAACCACAAACAAGGTATATTCATTAGAGCAATGCTAAGTATTCCAACAGATAAACCCCCAAATCTCAGAAGCTTAACTAATAGAAGTTTACTTCCCATTCATATAACTCTAGTACAGATGTTCCCGGTTAGTAGACAGCCTTCCACATGGACACTTAAGAACCTCAATTCCTTCCTTCTTGTGGCTTTACTAAATGGGGAAAGAACGAAGATAGAGAGTCAGGTGAGAAGTTTTTGGGGCCAGAACTGGGGGAAGCATACATCACTCCTGCCCACATTCTGTTGACCAGAGCTCCATTTTCATGGCCACTTAATTCCAAGGGAAGCTGAAAAATATCATCTAGCTGTGTGTCTGGGAAGAAAATAAAATGGGTTTTGTAAATAGCCAGCCATTCTCTTCTTCACAAAAGGAAGAAGCAACAAAGAGGTAAGCAGAGATTTTTGAGGCAGCAGTGTGTTGTCTCAAGAGTAAAGGGAATAAAAAGAGTTTCAAAAATAAATGTATTTTTAAATTGTGATGACTATAACACTGTCACAAAGATCCTCCTTTACATGTAACATTTTTTATCTGCTCAATTATTTTCTTAGCAAACATTCATAGGAATAGAATTACAGGGTCTCATAGGATGAACATTTTACACTTATAAATTCAATTTGGCAACTTTTTCAGCCATAACCCAAGGCTCACAGCACAAAGAGTTCAGTTTTGATGCTTGCCATCATTTACGCCCACAGAGTCATCTGGCTAATGGTCCTTTATTGCCTCTCTGCAAAACCTCATCCATCAGCCCTATTAATTTTTTTCCATCAGTGCTGTAACCATAATCTGCTCTGGCCATCTATTCTGAACGGCACCATCATCCTTCAACCATCTAAACCTCCTGAACACCAGCCCCTGCACCACTGCCTGGCCTCTCCACCGTCCTCAACCTGTCCGCCATGGCCCCTGGCACTGCTGTTTCATAACCAGTCAATTCCTCTATATCTTCAGCTTTCCCCAGCATCGCCCTGACCTCTCTTTAATTAAGACATGGTTTTAATTAAAACCAGGACTTTCTCTGAGAACACTGTTCCCTTACAGTCTCAGAAGACTGGGTGTTTTTTATGTCATACCTTATCTACTCCAAGATCAGAATGTTCTTTTGTCCACTTCACTCCACTTTCTGACCATTGTGCCTCAACCCAAAAGAAGAAAGAAAGAAAGGAAAAAAGGAAGGAAGGAAGGAAGGAAGGAAGGAAGGAAGGAAGGAAGGAAGGAAGGAAGGAAGGAAGGAAGGAAAGAAAGAAAGAAGGGAGGCATGGTGGCTCACACCTGTAATCCCAGCCCTTTAGGAGGCTGAGGTGGGCAGATCACGTGAGGTCAGGAGTTTGAGACCTTCCTGGCCAACATGGTGAAACCCTGTCTCTGCTAAAAATACAAAAATTTAGCTGTGCATGGTGGTGGGTGCCTGTAATCCCAGCTCCTCGGAAGGCTGAGGCAGGAGGATCACTTGAACCTGGGAGGTGGAGGTGGCAGTGAGCCCAGATTGCACCACTGCGCTCCAGCCTGGGCAACAAAGTGAAACTCTGTCAAAAAAAATCTAAAAATAAATAAATATATATTTTATATATATATATATATATATATATATATATATATATATATAAAATAAAAAAATAAAAATAAAAAAGAAGGGAAGAAGAAGGAGAAAGAAATTCTCCTGCACTTTTGAGGCCTAGCCTATTTGGCTCTACTACCTTCTCCCTCTCTGTCAGGGAGGTTTCATTAGGTGTGAGATAAGAAAGCTTTCTGTTTTCCCAGATTTCTCAACAAGTAGAGCCTACTACTGAGGATAAAATGCACGAAATAACCCAACCCCTATCCCTGGGACCTCTTTCCCTCCTCACCTCCACCATCCCTGTTCTGAGATTAGAAAAACGCCTCTCCCCAACCTTTCTTGGGATTAATAGACAGAAGCCTTCTGTTATCAGATTGGACACTCCAGCAACAACTCCCAGCACTGATATGATGAGGGTTACAAGGGGTGCAGGTCTTTTATGGGGCACAAGAGTAGTAGAGTTGTGAAGGAACAACCATCTGTCTTCCTCCCCATATCAGGTCATGGAAGATTATTCCAAATATGCTCTTCTCCTTTCAAGATGAGGGGATCTCTAATCTGCCCTTCCACATCCACTAAGTCAGGGACTGGTGATGACAAACTCCCTAAATATGTTGGAGCTTCTAAACTCTGAACAGGCTGAAGGCCTGATAATGCAGGCCGCTGGCAGGAATTTGGAGATAGGAGAGAGGGGTGGCAAAACAAGTAAGGAAGTAGAGAGTGGGACTAGAAGGTTGGGTAGACTATATTCCCTCCATCTCAGATGGCAAGGGTGAGTGAGTTTCCATGTTGGGGTGGTTTGGACACTTGCAGAAGGTGACTAGCTCTCAGTCATCCTGCTATTCACCCCCAGGACAGCAAGCTAGTTCAATTACCTTCTATAAGATGACTTCCAAAGGTGTAGCTCCAGGACTAAGGGCTTCTCTGAGCTGCAGACATGCATGTTTAGTTACTTGTTTCATCTCCCCACTCAAGTGTCTGAAAGCCATCTGCATTAGTTTGATAGGGCTGATGTAACAAAGTACCACAAACTGGGCAGCATAAATATTAGAAATATATGGTGTCACTGTTGTGAAGACTAGAAGTTCGAAACTAAAGCGTCGACAGAATTGGTTCCTTCCGCTGTGAGGGAAGGATTTGTTCCCAGCCTGTCTCCTTGACTGGTAAATAGCCATCTTCTCCCTGTGCCTCTTCACATCATCTTTCCTCTATGTGTGTCTGTCTCTGTGTCCAAATTTCCCCTTTTTATAGAACACCAGTCAATCCCAGCACTTTGGGAGGCCGAGGTGGGCGGATCACGCGGTCAAGCGATCGAGACCATTCTGGCCAACATGGTGAAATCCCATCTCTACTAAAAATACAAAAATTAGCCGAGCATGGTGGCACACACCTGTAGTGCCAGCTACTCGGGAGACTGAGGCAGGAGAATTGCTTGAACCCAGGAGGCGGAGGTTGCAGTGAGCCGAGATCATGCCACTGCACTCCAGCCTGGTGACAGAGCGAGATTCTGTCAAAAAAAAAAAAAAAAAGAGTCATATTGGATTAAGGGACCACCCTACTCCAGTATGACTTCATCTTAACTAATTACGTCTGCAACAACCCTATTTCCAAATGAGATCCTGGGGATTAGGACTTCAACAAATGAACTGGAGTTGAGAGGACACAATTCAATCCACAATAGCATCTCACATTCAACCTGTCGCCAATTGAACTCATGATCTCTCCTCCAAAACCTGATCCTTTCCCAGGGTTCCTCATTGCAATGAATGATGCTACTATCCATCCAGCATGGAAGCCAGGCTTGCCATTTCCTGCTTTTCATTTTTTGTTTTGTTTTCCCCCACAAACTTTGCTCACTACTCTATTCTGGCATGTGCAAATATTTCTATAATCCATCCACCACTTTCTCCTATATCAACATCTTCCTGGTCTAAGCTACCATCTCTTTCTTGGCCTCCTGTAACCAGCAATTTCAATGGTTGTCCCTACTCAGCTACTGATTTTTTTTTCCAAATGCAAATCAAACTATGTCATCACCACCACTTAGAATAATTACATGGCTTCTCATCTCCCCTGGACCAAAATCCTTATCACCTACTTTCTAGTCTTATCCTTCCATGCCGCCCGCCATTCCCATTGTACTTAACTTTGCTCAAATGTGAACAATCTCCTTCCCCTGCCTTTCTCCACTACCCACATTTAGTTCATTCTTATTTTCCATTAAGTCAGTCAGTCCAAAACCAAGTGATTTCTAGGTGACTAGGTGTGGTCTAGTCACTTGGGGTACACTGATGAGCAATTTATTAATTCCTTCCCTGTGGAGCTCACAGTGGAAGCTCCTAATGGAGGAGACAAACAATGAACAACAAACCAAATAATTGGATTACATAGTATGTTGGAAAGTGATAAGGGCTATGGCAATAAAGAAAAATCAGGAAAAGATTGGAATGAAGTGGGGAGGACATGCAGAAGGGGAATATGTGAGTGACAATTTTAAATAAGGTGGTCAATACAGGACTTACTGAGAAGACGACATTTGAGCAAAGGAGGTGACAGAGTTAGCCATGTGGGTATCTGGGAGAAAGAACACTCCAGGCAGAGGAAACGACCAGCCAAGGTCCCTGGGAAGTGGTACACCTGGCATATTTGAGGAATAGCAAGGGGGGCATTTAACTGGCACAGACTAAACAAGTGGAAGAATCATAGGAAGCAGAATGACAGAGGAACAGTGCTGGGAGGGCACAGATCATGTATGGCCTTGTAAATCCTTGTCAGAACTTTGTTTTTTACTTTGGGTGAAGAGGAGATCATCACAAGGTTTTATGCAGAAAAGAAATAAGATCTTACAGTTTAAAACATATCATTCTGGCTTGCCCTATTGAAAATAGACCTTAGAGGGCAAGGGTGAAAGTGGGAAATCCAATTAAGAAGCTATTAAGTAATCCAGGCAAGGAACGACAGTGGCTCAGACCAGAGATGGTGGTAGCCCAAGTCTTAGGACAGTACTTGGCAAAGAGGCAAGATCAATTTGCAATGCCACTGGCTAATATTACTGTGTAAGATTTACCATGCACATTACCCACATTCCCCTACAGGCCCTTCCAGCCCAAAATGCAGCTCTCCTTTGTGTATCTTTTGCTAGCACAGAAATATCTAGAGTCCTTCATTCCATGCCCTCAATGTCTGGTTTCCTGGACCTCACCAGATGACACCAAGGGTCCTCATGCTCTATCCCTCTTTGCCACTGCTTACCTCTGCCCCAGCATGCTAAGCTGCACAGTTTATTTCAAACTACTGTTCCACCTTCTGACTCCCTAACTTTCTCTTCTCATCACAATATCGCTCATACTATTTCCTAGTGACTCACCTTTCACTTTCTCTTCACTCTCCCAGGTCAGAGTTTAGCAGGGACTGCATCTTAATCACACTGTGCTTCTCTCCATGGATTTTCCTGGAGCTGGCCCTTATATTTTGTGTCTGTACTCAGCGATCAGTCTTAGTCAAGGGATGCTCACCTAGACCTATTAATCCCACTGCAGCGGAGGGTCACTGTGCCAGTATTCATTAATTCTTTCTCTACTTCCTCCCCCATATGTTTCTTTGTCTGCTTTCTTTCTCCTCTCTTGTCTGAAAATGGTCCTGAATTCCCTTTTTCCCTTTTCTTTTCCCTTTCAACCTCTGACAGTTTCTGCTTATTCATGTCTCAAACCTCAAAAATATATTTGTTAACCTTCATCCTGACCTTTCTTTACAAGGACTTGACTTGCCCATTCATCCACAAGCAATTGCCAAGGAGGCCAGATAAGTTAGTGTCTGCATCGAGCTCTTCTGAATGCTCTTATCAACACCAGGAGCCCTTCAAAACGAGGCAGCACATAATGCTGTCTCTCTCCACTTAATGGCAGGTGCCCAGTGAATCAGTAATATTGTCCCCTATTACCAGAAAAGGATTAAGGACAATACAATAATATTTCATCTAGAACTTTACAATAAGCAATGTCACCTTTTCAGAACACAGCTTCGAACTAAGAAGAAAGTAAAGAGGTCTCAAAGCAGCCAAAATATGCCACTAACTCCAGACACTAAAGCTGAGGCACTTGACTCATAGGAAAGCCACCTGGGGTTTTATCATCAATCATTTATGCTTATTTTTCCCATGATTCTGAAGAGTGGGGAGCTGATTTCCAATATCATAGCTAATTAGGAGTAACACATATGAAGGAGGGACATAGACTACCTAAGGCAAGAAAATGTTTAGCAGTGAGATGAAATAGTGTGCAGTCTGGGAGGACAAAACAGCTGTAAAACTTAGAACTCAAACTGCACAGACATGGAGTTTATAGGTGTAGAGCGAAGCATGCTCAGATCAGAGGTATGATGTTTTGACAACATGGGCCTAAGAGGAAGAGGATAAAGATACTGGGATGTTGGAGTGGTGGGACAGCAGAGGGTCTGAGTTTGTACATGAGGGGCTTTCATGGCCAAGAAATGATGCAAGGACTCACAAGCCTCCAGTGCTTCATTTGCCCTGAGGCCACACCCCCATCCACCTTCTCTGCACCCTATTCTGAGCCCACTGATTTTCACACCTGATCACATGTTCCAGAGGCACGGAAGAATTACCATAGCTTTCCTTGTGGTGGGACAGTGTTCCACTCACCCTGTGAGGCCAGCCAGGGATTTCAGCACCTGTGCTGACCACTAGCCTATTCCATTGTGACTTCCTATGCCAACTTCTACACCTGGTCCTTTCAAACTCAACCAGCATTAATTGTGAACCTACTACAAGCTTGGCACTGTCCCAAGAGCTTTCACAAAGGTAAGAGCACTTGATCCTCCCTGTAATCTGTTGGGGAGATATTGCCATCCCCATTTTATAAAAGTGAGAACTGAGGTTTGCTAGCAGAGGAGATAAGACTTAAACTCAGTTCTACCAACTCAAAGCCTGTGGTTGTTACACAACATCATGCTACCCCAAAGTACATGCAGACATAATACCAACTCACTCCCGGGGTGCCCATCCATGCTTCAAACCACTTCAGTGATCCTCTTCAGAATGCGTTTTCTTTATCCTTTTTTTTAGAGAGCCAAAAACTGTATGTTTTTGAAAGTTTCCTGGTGTTCTGTTGGTTACAGAAAATTATCCAAGTCCAAATACTGTAATATAGGTGTTGAAGATTAGATTAGAAGGATTTAGAAAAAGTTTCTCAACACTGCTGATCTGCAACTTACCTACCTCTAGGTTATTTATATTTAGCAAACAATATATTAAGCAAAGTCACATTTTTGGTGAGGAATGATGTTCGCATGATTCCCAAATGACATAGGCTACGTGAAAACAGTGAGCACAGGGTGTGGCTTATCTCCCGAGTGGTTTAGTGATGCTTCATTTGTTCACTAGATTCTGGCTTTGTCTGTATGCTAATGATGGTCAAAATCAGTAAAACACAGAGTAAAAATATTCCAGCTACTATCATTGCCATAACTGCCAGTTTCCCACCTGTATTCAAGGAGTTTCCTCAAAGGCACTTTAATGATATCAGTTGTTTAAGCTGATGTAAGCCCTGGGAGGGAGGGAGGCAGGAACCGAGATGTATACAATTTTAATAGATTTCTATGTGTGCATCACATATCTGGACTTGAGCATTTCATATATTCCAGTCTAGAATAATCACATCCTTGCTGATTACCCAGTTGGTCAGTTTCTACATTCCCCTTGGCGCTCTTTTTATCTTCTTCTAATGTAATGGATAATGCCTTCAGCCTTCTGCAAAGTTTACTCTGGTTAAAGCAGCAATTATTCACATGCTTGTAGAGCAGCTGTTTTCTACACAATCTGGCCTTAAATCATATCCTCAAAAAAAAATCCTTATTCAGTTTCAAGAGGGAGTAAAAGAGTGGCTAATAGAGTCACCCTCTTGATGTGCATATCATAAATCATGTCCATTTCTGTTACCAGTACACATGAGGAAAGTAGCATCTTTCTCAGTACAAAAACTTCTCTAAAGTCTGCAGAAGAGTGATCAACACAAAGGAGCCCTGCATAATGCATATGTTGTTTTCTACTGCTTGTGAAGTATAGTGGCAAGTCATGCATTTTAAACCATCCCATAAACCCCAAGGAAATGCTTCCTGACCCACTAAAATTGCCCATGAATGATAACTGAGGCTTCTTATTTGAACATAGTAATCATGAAAATGGAGAAGAAAAGACAGAATAATGAAATATAGCAGGATCTTTTATCTTAATAAATATTCATTCATCCGTTCAACAAATATTTATTAAGGAATTACTGTGTGCAAACCACACTGGTAGGAACTGGGTTAGGGGTTGGACAAAGGAGGAAACCAGATGGATCGGTCATTGTGTAGCATTCAGGGTCCAGTCAGGAACAGACAAACCACACTGGATATTTCAACAGGGTATTTATTATAGAGAATTGATAATGCGGGTGTTAGAGAACCGAAACGACCTTTTAGAAGGAAGGTTGGGGCAACATAGACTTCATAATTGCAAGACGCGGTGCATTCTTGGGCTGAGGAAACATAGGGAAGGACCTAGAAGCTAGAGGAGGGCCCACTCAGAGCTGGGCTCTAATATCTGAGCAGGGGCTTCTACTTAGCAAAGCTCACAGGACAGGCCTCAAGGAGCTGGGGTCCAGATGCCTGAGAAACATGGATGATGCTGGTGCCTCTGAGGGACACTATGAGGTGGGTTCTGGCATTTGGAGAGAAGCTGCAGGCTGGAACCAACTGCTACTGACTGAGTGATGTGCCATCCTTGGAATATCGTTTTCAGGAACATGAAGCAAACAGGAAGAAACAATTTCCGTCTCCCTCCCACCTCTTCCTTCCAGTTTCTCCACCTGGTGCCCCTGACAGGAAGCAGCCAGCAAACCAGACGTATGGTTTGCATAGTATCAGCCCCAGCTTCATATGCAGAGTGAAAAAGGGCAAATTGAGCAGAGAGTCAATAGCTTAATAACCAGCACGCACGGCTTACGTTTTCAAATCTAGTAAGGAAGATAAAACACATGTGCAAATATAAAAATTAGTAAGCAACCTAACAGGTATAGAAACTGTTGTAAGTGTCCTGTGAAGAACATATGTATTTCCAAGTGGGGAAATCAGGAAAGCGTTATAGAGGGGTGGATTTTCACATCCGCCTTGAAACAGGATAAAGTTTTAATAAAATAGAGAAGATTAAATAAAAAACACTTCAGGCGGAAGATACAGTGTGAGCAAAGATGGAGTGGTCAGAAATCACAGAGAACAACAGATTGGGAAGTAGGCTGGAAAAATATTGGAGAGGGCTTTGAATTCCAGATTAAAGAATGTTCTGAATTTTTATGAATTTTTGAACACTTTGAATACTTGACCTTGACAGATTATTTGAATTCTAGGAGAAAAGATTCCAATGTAGTGCAGAAAGTTGGGACATCTCTTTTTAGAGGAACAAAAACCCACAAGATAAAGCAGATTGTAAATTCCCTCAAAAATCAAGTGACTTTGCAATTCTCTGCACTGGGCAACAATGCCAAGCTCTCTAGGAGTAGCCAGTATATTGAAGAAGTGTCAGACATTTCACGAAACTTACTGTGGTGTTTGGACCATTTGCAGTTCATTTTTGGCATGGTCTATAGGTGGAGACATTTTCCATTTAAATCTCTGCCCAGCTGCTGTGTGCACAATGGTTTAAATGGCACACCAGCTGCGTAATGCAGTCATCTGTCTTTCCTAAACATGAACAAGAATACCATCAGTTCTGTGAATAAATATATTTTTTTCCAGTTAGGGAGGTTAACACATGGAAGATTAACTTCATGCGGTGTGCCATTAACCACATATTCAGGGGTGTGAAATGACAGAATCAACTTGGAGTTGGGGTTCTTCATTGGAATCCATGGTCTTACATAGTGGTGGGCAGGTACACTGGCTTGGAGGATGGGAGGGAAGAGCCCTGACTTTTCATGGTGTTGGCTGATTTTTGTGGTGTAAATACTCCCACCATGGCCAATTTAAGCTTTCAACCTGACGTCACTGACTGAGAACTTGGGAAAAGATATGCAAAATTGGCTTTCCCAAGCCAGTCTGAGCTAACTCCAGCACAGTGCTGGTAGGTGTTAGGTGGAGGAGGAAATGATGAGATGCAGCCAACTGCAAGAAGCCTAGAAATAAGGACTACAATTTAAGCTAAGCGAGAGGAGAGACACAGATTCAGGAACCAGCAGAACTTGAGAGAAGTATTGAAAGCCCTTGAAAAACAGTGATCATAGGGAAGAGAAGATGAAAGAACTGACCAAAGATGACCAGCCATAGTCAGCTGTCTCCCTGGTGATCTAGCTTGGCAAATTGTCTGACCTACTTTATGGAGAATGAGCATTTTATCCCCTCCCATAGCTGACCCTGATATTTTCCATATAGAACTTGGGAAAATAAGTTGTTGTCAGTTAAAACTTCTGAAGCTAAGACACGTGAATTTTATATGAGAAATGGGGCCTATGCGTAGCTTCCATTTTTTTTATTTGAGAGATCAAATGTTTTCCTCATGACTTTGAAAGATGTCCCATTTCTTTGTACTGAATAGGTTAATAGTACAGATAAATTTCTACTGTAGTATTTCTGATGCTTGGCCTGACAGTCCTATGTAGTCAATTGCTAATGGCCTTGTTCACAAGCTTGAGTCTGGTAAAATATTTAATTCAGCCATAAAAATGACTACATTAAAAATTAAATTAATAATGATTAAAATTAAGTATTAACTATTCAATTAAATTTAAAAATAAATCCAGGAACTTTTAATTCTCCTTATGGAGAGAAACAAACAGTGTTAATATGCTTGACAAACAATAAATATTTAACTTCATATTTACACCCTATATGGAGAAGAAAAAAGTTAAAATTTGATATTATGTTATAAAACTGTCTGTGGCTGTGCTTTTACAATGCCCTTGAGTTGAACTAGAATGCTGATGGAGAATGAGCTTGCATTTTCAATCAAAGAGAAAGCATATAAACCAGAGCCAGGAGTAGGTATGCATTTTCATAAACCAGGGCGGTCTAATCATCTAACACAGTTTCTCATGGAAAGCAAAGGATGGGGTGCCAGCAAATTATTAAACTACGTGGCATATTCCCCTCAAACACAGACGTGAGCACACTCACAGAGAAGCAGCAGCTGCAGCTGCAGCAGTGAAGGTAGGGGCTAGTGACCAGCTCCTGCCTTGCAAACAATGCAGCATCCCCGCCTGGCATTTGGAGGATCGCCTTATGCTTATTCTGCCACCTTGTGTGATGCACATATATTACAAGACAAAACATCTTCAGACACTAGTTCTATTAGCCCTTACTTAACACGCTGTTTTACTTCATTTAAAAAAAAAAAAAAAAAAAGAATTGTCCTGCTTCAAGGTTTACCCCTACCAAATCATTGGCGCAGCTGAAAAACTGACTTGACTCCTGAGATAAATATATCTCAGGAGTATTAGCTCATGGTGCAAAGGCACAGACACTGGTCCACAAAAACACACCGGCAAGGATAGGCTCATAAAGATGTGAGCATGCTCGCACTAGGCTCAGATGGCCCTTGGTCTAGGTCACCAACACAGAGATGAGTTGGAGCACAGGGGACCATGGCATTTATTTCCAGTCTCTAAGAAAGTGACCAGTAGGGCAACTGTCCTTGGCATTAGCCCATCTGTCTCATCCACCACTGTTCAAGCCTCGAGGCCAGTTCCCACATGGCTGCGGCTGCACTGTTTTTGCTTTTGCTTAGTAACAGCAGCAGTGATTTGGAACAAGACATTCCAAAGGACTTATCTGACCCCTTTGACTCAACGTAGGAGGATGAACCCAACAGCCAAAAGTCGAGCAGCATTTGGAAGTAACAGACACTGTGAACTGCTGAGCCTACCGAGCAGGGACACAGTTACATCTCCCAGACCACCCACTCCAGACAAATGTGTAGTGATAGCAGGACAACTATCTTTAGACAGAACATAAAGACGTGTCGTTCTGATCTGTTTGGACAAGGGAACCGTACTGTATAAACTCTGGTTTCAAAGTAAATGTCATATTTAATTTTTGGCATTACTGATTCCTGCTAACACTATCTTAAATACTGCCACACTGGAGTAATGGCTATTTAAATCACAATACTTGGAAAATATTATTATTTTTAATAATATTGCTTCCCCTTGTAAGTGCTGTATTTGCTGATAAAATTGCTCTTTTGATTTTTAGAAGTATATCTGAAATCTTATTAGTTGTCAAAGAAAGCTTATAATGACCCTGATGAGGTGTGTTGTAAACATGTGCAGGAAGCCCTTCTTAGGAGGTGGCTGTATCTGTGGAGAGAGGACTGCAGCTCTGGCACCTGTCAGGCCTGGGCTTGAACCTCCACTCTGCCTCTGGAACAAATCTCTCCAAATGATTTCAACTTTCAATGTGTAAATGAGACATAATAATACCTACCTTGGCAGAGTTTCTGTGAGTATTGGCTGTAATAATACATGCAAAATGTCCAACACATCATAAGAGGCACATGATAGGTGGCTACTGCTAAGTTATCAAGGGCATTCAGTCAAGTGTGCTCAGAAAAACAATTGCAGAGAGAAAGGGAGAGACAGACCAGAATTGTCTTACACCTGAGACTAAATAGGATGCCTAAATCTTATACGTACTTTGATATCCCTAAGAAAATAAGGGTTTTCCACCTTTTAATCTTGTGGTTATCATTTATTGACAAGAACTTCACAGGGATGTTATATTATACTATGTTATGTTATATGATTTTATATAGTGCAGTAAAGGTCAATTTGTGAAATTCCTACTCAAAATTTAACAGTATCAGCACTGACAGCATCGTGGTAATTTACTGGATATTTTCATGGTCCTTATTGCCCAAGTTTCCTGTCGCAGAAGAACTGACGTTGCTGGATTTGGAGAGGTTAAGGTTGCTGCCTGACCTGATAAATTCTCTCTTCAGAATCATCCCAGTGAGACCATTAAGAAAAGGTTGTAGAGAGAGGTTTTATTAAACGAAAGCAGCAAGGAACCCTGAACTTTGCATGTGGAGGGAGCATGAGAGCCTCTGCCCGCAGTGAGCATCACCTCCTCCACTTCAGATCACAGGGACCCAAGAACCCCCCAGGACTAGATTCTGTCCCCTCCCTTAGCACTGTGCACCCTCTTGGCTCTCCAATTCAGACCTGCTCCAGACTGGGAGAGGGGCCTTTCTTAGCCTCCTGAGGCATTGGCAGAACTTTCTGCATGTCCTGGTTCACAGCAGCAGTCACTCTTTCCCGCAGTCACTAGGATTCTTCACACCCGCTGTCATCACGGACGCCCATAGGAAAAATTACCTTCCTCTAAGCACACTCCTCTTTTTTTCTCAATTACAGCATCCCAAGCAAAATGCCCCTAACTGGCATATTAGGAGTGTGCAAGACTTGCCATTCTCACAACTTATGAAATGCAGGGATGAGGTGAGCGCTGCCTACATCCTTCTGCTCTTTGTCAGCTTGTCCCTCAAGAAAAAGAACGACATCTCAATCACTGTGCCTGAGCTTCAATACAGGGACCACATGCATGAGCATAGTTATTCCTTGAATGGCCAGATGAATGAACACAGCCCTGTGTTAGGCACGAAGTTTTCCAATAATTATCAAGGGTTAAACTGTTCTGTTTTAGCACATATTCTTATTTTGCCTTATCTTCCAGAATGACATCTAGTGATCTTTTAAACAGTTTCTGCCACCTGCTTCTATATTTGTTATCATCCATTTCTTCTCTGTCAGAAATCTTTGTGTTATATTTAACTGGATCCTAACAGAAATTTAACATCTCCTGATCAGCATCTTTTAATTAGCATATTGAGCTTTCCTGAATGTCAGGGTAAATTGCAGTATTCATCGAAGCTACTAATACTGACAGAATTGGAAAACACTAGAATATTAAAACAACTGGTGCAAATCGAAAATCAATTTCCAGAGAGCCCCTACAAGGTAGGAAAACAAGAAATAATGACCAGAAAAAATTATTTCTGTTTGCTTGAGAGAAATGTCAGAATCTTTATGCAAAATGATTAATTTTTTAGAAACCCATGAGGCTTCAATAATGCACATCTACTAATTTGGTAAAGCATGTAATGACATGTGAAGTGCTTAGAACACTGCCTGACACATAACAAGTAAGCAGTCAAACATGTTATTAAAAAAGAATTTTTTTAAAAAAAGCTTACAAATATTTAAGAAGGTCACAAAGAAAAAAAGGCATTAACAAGATTAGAAACTAGATGCACAAAAGAAATAAGAATCTCAAATTGTTCTGCCTTTTAAAACTGTGATTTAATTGGTGCTTGTATTACCACAAGGAGACAAGACACCTAACCGGATCTCCATCTCTGTGGAAAATGGAACCAGAAAAATATGGACTTAAATTTGAAGGATTTGTACAACCTAAGGTAAAGAGATCCACAAAGTAAAGATGAATCAACACTATAACAGTCTACCTAAGGAGATTTCAAGATCTGCTCCAAAATATATTTAAAGAAAATGTTAGTTGGACTTTCAGGTTAACCTTATTTATCAATGTAACCATATTTATTGATGACACAGAATTGACTGGGATGAAGAAACCTTTCTAATTCTCCATGAAGTTCCAGCAATTGGTGATTTGTATGTAGTGAAGCAAGAAGACCCCCCAAAAGAGTCTGAATTCCTCTTCCTTGCCTAGAACAGCAAAACAGAAAACAAAACAAAATTACATAATCTGAGCATCAAAAAATGTGCACACCCAGATGGAATAGAGGTTCAAAGGAATTCTGTAAAAATCAGGACAGCCCTAATGTGCTTACCTGTTCCGTTTGGCTTCTAGGAGCATTTGTCTTTGTGGTACCATTTCTGCATTCCTCTTGTCTATCTCACTCTGGTAAGCAAGAAAACCAAAAGTATAGAAACATTCTTTTCAGGTGCTTAAGAGAGCAAGAGTCTATGTATTCCAAATGTTGACTGCCACAGAGATAAAGCGTGCCAAAACACCAGCTATACATGATCTTGCTTCCAAGTCTCTGGGGATGAAAACCTTCCAGATTAAGACTGAATCAGCCAGAAAGCAGAGAAGATAGATTCTGAGCAGTACTTGTTATGGGAGAAAAATACATTTTTTTATTTTTTAGACTTACAATCAAGATCAGTGGATTGAGACCATTTGGGACTTGTCAGGTTTGACAATGCCCCTTTGTATAGTAGCAAGGGTTCTGCAAATTTCTTACAAGATTCTAGAGCAGTGGTTCTCAAAGTGCAGCCTGGGACCAGCAGAGTTAGAATCTCCTGGGAACTTGTTAAAATACAAATTCTTGGGTCCCACCCATATCTGCAGGATCAGAAACTCTGAGGGTGGAGCCTAAAAATCAGTGTTCTAAAAAGCCCTCCAGTGGATTCTACTGCCTGGTGATGTTTCAGAACCTCTGTTCTGCGGTTCTAGGGTAATGGTACAAGGTTTTCTGGGACCACATTTGGACTCATCCTTAGCCGGAAGAATCAGGACAATCATTTGCCCATTCTAGTCTATCATAATAGAATACTCTGGTATGAAGAACCGAAGGATGCAAGGGAAATAGGTCAATGGTTCTGAATGACTGAAGATAATTAAGAAGAAAACAAAAAGGTCACAAAAATCGTGACATGATCTACATCAGTACATGATGCTTATATGATGAAATATGACCTAATTTGTTACAGCTGATGTGTAACTAGGTGATGTTGATGTTAGATACATCCTGAAATGAAACAAATCACCTACTAAAAACTGAAACTATTTTGGGAAAGATAAGACTATGTGCCCTGAATCTTGGCTGTATGCTCATATCAGCTTAGTAATTGATGCAGAAATTTACTAGCTAAATATGAAACAGTGAGCAGACCAGTTATGTTATACATGGCCACTGGGTGTGGTTGGTGTGTGTTAGTATCACCGCCCCATTCATAGAAAAAAAAAAAAGCCATATGTGTTTCCTAAATCCAACACTGACACTAAACACAAAAGCTACATGTAAAGAATGCAAAGAAAAAAATAGAATACACTCTTTGGCACAACACATTAAAATCGTAAGTAACATATTCAACCTAAAACCCCACTCATTAAAAAATAATTTAGAACTACCCTCTTAAAAACAATTAGGTCAATGAGGAAATCAATCTATATAAACAAAAATAATTTTCTATGTATTTATTACAGAATTTGAAGGCTATATTTGGCACAGTCTGAAGTAAAATATATGCTATAAGGTATATATAAAATTTATTTTGGGGAGTTACTGAGGAGCACCATATTGAAAATAAACTAGTTCTTTAAGAGCAGCTGTAACTGAAGAATAATGTAAAGATAGACAGATGTTCTTTGTGTACTTTGTGGCCCTGGGATCAAAGAAAGCAAATAGCCCTTTAAACATAAACCCCAAAACTCTGTTTTTTACAATTGCAAAAGCAGACCCTCTACATTGCAGCTGCTGCAATGTAGGTAACTGTTCACGGGGATACTCTACACAGTGATCTAAGACCAGGAGCACTGGGTCCAGTGTTTCTCCTAAGCCACTTAGTTGTTTGCTGGACTCAGACCTCAAAACCTGGGGCCACCTGCTCTCCTGGACCACAGTTTGCTTTGTGTCTTTTGATCAGTGTAAGGCAGAAACTACAGAATATCAAAAAACAGACAGCAGTGTTTCTTCTCCTTTTATTTTCCACCTAATGTGATGCCAAGTACTGTCTTGATATCACTCATCTTTCCCATGCCCCAGTGATAGGAGATTTTGATAATCTGAACATTCTGGGTTCTGCAGCTGTTAAGACTGGAGATGAAGATGGACCCAAATAGGTTTTTCCTGTAGCCTATGGCCAAGACTCACAGGGAGATGATCAGGAGGCAATTCCAGCCAATAGTGAAATAAGACCCCATTTATTACTTTCCTGGGGCAGGTATCAAAATCTATAGTTATACACAGTCATAACCTTGTGTAAAATCTTAATTGGGGTATAAAGGGAGAGGTTTTCCTCCAACTTACTTATGGAGACATTTGCATCAAAGGAATAAGCAAGCAGGATTTAAAAACAGAAAAGCAGCTCAACACAATGCGTCAGACCAGACTCTGAAGCCAGACCCGTGGGGTTCAAGTCCTGGCTCTCACTAGCCTCTCTGCCCTGGTTTCCCCAACTGTAAAGGGGGAAATAATACCTATCTCCCAAGGTTTTTAAAAGATTAATTGCATTAATATTCATAAAATGCTTAAAGTGATGCTTAGCACTTACTAATTGCATTAATATTTGCTAAATAAATGTAAAGTGGCTTTAAATAGACACTTTGAAGGTCACATATATTCTCTTCTCTCTGAGCAAATAAGATGCTAAAATTTTACAAGGATTTCAGTGATTTCGGCATATCTTGCTTCTCAACAGTCATCTCAGACTATTAGATCCAGCAGATAAAATTAGAAAGAAATAGTAATGCATAACAGAGCCACAAGTCTTAGGTTAATTTAGAAGAGTTTTCTCAAGATCTTCAACAGTCTAGCTAGTAGGGCAACAAAAGGTTATTTAGATACAACAAAGATGAAAAATGAAAAAATATATTAAACTTTCTGAAATTCATAGATCTACTCACAGGCAAATTTATGGCCAAAGGTATTTATTGCTTAAAAAGCAAAAGAGAAAGGACAAATCAAATTAATATTTTAGGAAATCAATATTTAGGAAAAGCAAATGGCTTCAGAAAATGGAAATGTCATAATAATAAAATCAAAAGTTAGGAGAAAAATTGTGGAGTTAATAAGTTCAAGCAGTAGCTCTTATAAAAGAGAGGCAGAAACAGTGCAATTAGAAGAAAGGAAAATATAGAAAGACAGTTGCAGAAAATATTTACGAAGTATAAAGTATGCTATGGATAATTATAAGAAAATGAATTTGGTAATCTCACCAAAATAGACAATTTTCTGGAAAAAAAAACATAAATTACCAAAATTGATTTAAAAACAGAAAGAAAACTTTACAAGAGCAATACTGAGGAAATTATGAATAGAGTTATTAAAGAACATCCCCTCTAAAAGCCTCAGCCTATTAACCAGGGAATTATTCCAGACCTTCAAGGAACAAAGAATTCTGCTGTTGGATACAAACAGTTACTGTATTGAATAAAACATAGGAAAATGCTCCGTCATCTAATGGAGCAAATATAAAGACCTGATACCAAAACCTAACAAAATTGGTGCAAAAATGAAAATCATATGCCAATTTCACTTATGAATATAGATGCAAAAATCTCAAGTACTGTAAAGTTTAGTAAAGACAATTCAAGGTATTTTTTTAAAATAATCCACCAATCTCAAGTAGGTTTTATGCCAGGATTCCAAAGAGGGTTCAATATTGGGAACTTTTTGTTATATCATGTCGTATTAATAGACAAAATAACACAAACTAAATTGTTCAACAGATACTTAAAAGACACTTAGTATTCATTCCTTTTAATAACATCTTTAAAAGAGAGATAAATGGCTACTTCCTTGGCACTATTAATAAAATATTATCCATAGTAGTCCCAGCATTGTATTTTATGGGGATATATAGTATTTTTTTCCAAATGCGAGTTCCCCAGAGCACTGTCCTCCAAAACGTTAATATGTGCAGTTTTTTTCAAAAAGAATGTAGGGATCCCTTGTTCAAATATGTGTGGAAAATGCTGAGTTGAACAAAGTTAAATATATATCTGATGGCAGGACTTCTTGGAAACATTAAGACAGTGGTGTGAATTCCAAATCTCAATGGAATGCAATGTTTTTTTACTCAAAGCACTGGTCCCCTCAGAACACAGTTGTGAAAATGTTGTCCTAGAGGGATTCCTTTTACATTCAAATAAAACATGGATGCCTGTTATCTCTATTATTACTTATATTGATTTAGAAAGTCTGGCTGGTAAAAGAATAATGTGGAAGCAGACACAATAGATAAGAATAGTAAAGAAAGTAAAAAATACAGAAAATATATATCATATAATCATCTATAATTATATTATCTATAATTATTATGATTCATGAATATTCCCAGTAGCAATAAGACATATAAAATTCACGAATGTTCTCAATGAGAAACATGGGCTATATGAAAAAATGTAAATATTTATGAAAATAGAAAATATTATAATAAGTGAGCAAGCACATGATATTTCTGACTGAGAAGGTTGAATATTACAATCAAATCCTATTTGCATTTTCAGGAGCTTAGAAAGACGACTGTCAAGTTTACCTGAAAAATATAAAATGAGACTAGGTTCTTTCATACCTTGATGGTATGATTTAAATTACTAAATTCTTTTGGAAAGCAACATGATACAGCAAGTCAAGAGTCTTTAATCAGAACTACCCAGAAGTTGCACTCTGGAGTTCTAGCCAAAGAAAATAACAGAAAATCTGTAAGCGTTATGCGTGCAAAGATGTCCCACATTACATTATTTATAAGGGCAAAAACTGGAAAGAGCCTTAATGATAAGAGCTACCATTTCCAGATCACGTATTGACTAAACACATGACAGATTTTACAGACATGAAGACTGAGGCTCAGAGAAGAGAAATAACCTTCCTTTGACCATGGAGCAAAAAAGTGGTTGAGCCTGCATTTAAGGCCAATTTCTGGGCAAAGTCCATGTTCTCTTCATTGTCCCATGCTGCCACTAAGGCTATAAAACAAGGGACTCTTTAAACAAATGTTCCTCATCTATTCTTCAAGGTATTATGACTCGTCACAATTAAGATGTTGAAGATGTTGTAGTAAAATGAACAATATTTATAATATAATGTAAAATGTAAAGAAGCTATCAGTATATATGTACACTGTAACAACTAAAGAGGAAAATCCACAAGTCCAGAAAAAAGACTGGAAGGAAGAAATGCTAGTAGTCTTGTGTTAGCATGGAGACTTGTGGACAATATACTTTTTCTTGTTTCCAATTGGGTTGGTAATATATTACTTTTATCAAACAAAGACAAGCTCATAAATTGAAAAAGAAGTAAAAACATTGTAACACACAAGAGTAAATTTCATGAGAGAGGAAAGGTGCCAGAGCTGTGTCTAATACAAGCTGTGTTTCTTTCACATCGACTTGTATGACTTTATACATATTAGGAGCTAAATAAATATGTGGTGATTAGATTGAAGCATATCCACATATTATATTTAGCCTTTTGCAAGAAACTTAATGCTCACCAAACAGCTTTGGACAAGAAACAAAAACCTTATCTGATTGAAATTACAAAGGAGATAGGAAAAATACAGTATCCATTTTGAAATTTGGTTTCAACATTGTATTCTATTGATTTTATAATGTCCAGAGCAGCTAAATGCAACAAACGCATAATGTGCTATGCAATATAGTCTCTGAAGTTACTTTGGTCATCACCTAAATTTCAGAGAAAAGGTAGGGGACATAAAGACACTATCGAAGAAAATTGATTTTTTACAGCTAATAACCTTGTGCTTGGTGGCAGAACACAGTATCAAAATCACCATTTTGTGTTCAGATAATTTCACCAGCCTCCCCTGCTGTTACCCCGACACTCCCACAGCTCTCCATCTGCCGCCAGCTACCTCCTGCTCCTACACATTCTGATGACCACACAAGTAGGGTTCAAAACGTGACCCAGTAATTTGTATTGCATCTTTGATCCTCAGCTCTGTTTCCACTGTGATAGAGAGACTAAAGTTTCAGGAAGGGAAAAGTGGTGACTTATCTTTCAGGGAAATTGAATTTTTCCTACTAGAGGTGAGAACACTTGAGAGGACACTTTATCCCCCATACAACATTTCCCCTACTTTAGGAAAACAGTTTGGCCTGGAATGGATACAACATACTCTAGATACAACTCCCAGCTCTCCTCTAGCAAGGTTATTTATTACCAAATGAGTCCTCCTCCCAGGGTTAGATGAAATAAGCCCAACACCAATAAACTCTAGAGAATAGTCTTAACATCTGGATTAAACCTACATAAAATGCTAAGAAACACTGAACCACAGTCAGATGCTGGCAGTCCCCTTGAGGAGACTGCCAAATATCCACAATAAAGGGAGGGCACCAGAAGAGCCAGATGAGTTACTCATGAGCTCTTTTCGTGGCTTCTAATCTTTATTTAATCTTTCACTCATTTCCACTCATTGAGCAGGACTGACCAGGCTGTGGTGGAGACACAGGGTAAGAGGGTAGCTAGTCTGTCCGTGTGAGAGAGGCATGTATAGAATTCCATATATACAGAACAACAAACCTCCGAGTTCTCACTGAAGAGAGAGGTCAAGACATACCAGCAGTGCATTGAAAGATGGGCAGTATTCCAACAAGACTTTTTATTTTGTCTTTCAAAACAAAACGATTTAACAATTTTAAGAACTAACCAGCTACATGCCCAACACTGAACCAAGCAGTTGGGAGATAATGAGCTTAAATAATGTAGTCACTTCATGAGTTTCAGATTTCAGTAAACACACACACACACACACACACACACACAAAATGGAAGTTTAGAACAAGAGTCAGGGGAGAAACAAACAGAAATTGTGGATTGAGCTAAAGCCAAGAGGATTTTGAATATATTTTTTGAAGATTCAGGATTATCATAAGGAAATACTCTCATGATTGCCAACAGCAGAAGAAAAGGAGTAATAAACAATCAAATTCATTAGTGGAAAGCACCTATTACAGACTTGTGTATCCATTACTATTTACTCAATTTACTTTTGAATAAACAATTGTTATTTTAAATTTTCCATTCAAATAGTATTTGCTTGCTCCTCCTTCTCCATCCTTCTTCTGACTGATGTATCTTCCCTGGACTCACTCCATCCACCTCTAGACCAAGAATCCCACTCCCTGGGGCTGATATCACTCAAGTATTACTCCGATATAAGCACTTTGTACCAAGCATAAATGACAAATAGATTTAGTCCTCTCAGAAGGTTTTTACAAACTCATTATTGACCTCAAGGGTAGCAGTTTTTAGAAATAACCATCTTAATGCAAATGAAATTCAGGAAATCTCTGCCATTTAGACATGTTCTGTAAGCATCACCCTCTACCAGCCCTACACCCAACTCATGAGCTTTGTGATTTTGCACCATAGTCAGTTTCTCATAAAAATCTAGAACCCCAAGATTAATACAAAATTGACATCAGCATCAGAATTCTTTCAATGTTCTGGGTCTCTTCCACTATGTTTCTTAAATTTCTTCATTAATGTTAACTTTGTTTCTAAATTAATTTTATTTATTTATGTATTTATTTATTTAGACAAAGCATTTCACTGTTAGCCAGGCTGGAGTGCAGTGATGCAACCATAGCTCACTGCAGCCTCAACGTCCTGGGCTCAAGTGATCCTCCCAACACAGCCTCCAGAGCAGCTGAGACTACAGGCACATGCCAACATGTTGGCTAATTTTTTTTTTTTTTTTTGAGATGGAGTCTTGCTCTGTCACCAGACTGGAGTGCAGTGGCGCAATCTCGGCTCACTGCAACCTCCACCTCCCCGGTTCAAGCGATTCTCCTGCCTCAGCCTCCCGAGTAGCTGGGACTACAGGCACATGCCACTACGCCCAGTTAATTTTTGTATTTTTAGTGGAGACAGGGTTTCAGCGTGTTGGCCAGGATGGTCTCGATCTCTTGACCTCGTGATCCACCCGCTTTGGCCTCCCAAAGTGCTGGGATTACAGGCGTGAGCCACCACATCTTGCTGTGTTGCCCAGGCTACTCTTGAACCCCTTGGCCTCCCAGTGTTCTGCAGTTACAGGTGTAAGCCACCATGCCTGGCCCTAAATTAATTTTGAAAGCCGCACTTGCCACAAACTGTAACTTCAGATTCAAACAATATAAAGACCTCAGAGATTCCCAACTTTTCTGGATTTGTTTTGTTTTCAACACATATAGCACTGGAAATTAAATTGACTTTTTTTATTTAAAATCCCAGCACAACTTAAACTGAAGAAAAGAAACTAGTAGTATTCAGGTAACCCAGAAGTCACATTTGCAATGAAAGAAAAAGGAAATTAGTTTGCCCTGCCACATCTAGTTTAATAGTATTTTCCCATACATAAATTAGAGATCAAGAAAAGCAAAGACTGTATGTGGTAGAGATGGATATGCTTCAAGATCTGTGATCTCAGAAACTCTGCTCCAAAAAATTAAGAAGATCTAAAAGAAGCACAAGATATGGGTCTAAAACTATTTATAATATAGATAAAGATGTTAATACAGCTATATAGACATAGCTACATAGACAGCATTCTACCAATGACCTATATTCTGGATTTAAGGTTGTAATTCAGGAACACTTCAAAATGATCTCTAAAAATAAATGGTAACTTTCATGAGTGCTCGTATAATAGCAGTGAAGAGAGTAAAATGTACTATCATTGCTAAGCTAAGGAAGGATTGCCCCAGCAAAGAAGAATGGCTCCTCTGTGCCTCATGAGGGGCTCCTGTGTGATTATTATGTATGATTATATACATAGAGGTGAAGGGTAATGGATAATGCTCTCTCCCAAAACTTGTCATCAGAGCTGCTGTATTAGAAAATTCTGGGTAATTGATCCAAGGGCAGAGATATTTAATCTGGGGCAGCAATGAAGTCAGCCTAAGAGATAAATTAAGGTGTCCTTAGTCTAGTTAAACTCTGTTCAAAATTGCAATTACACTGATGAGAGGATATAGCTTCATTCATTTTCTCAAAGAGCAAATGTGGATATTACTTTTTCCCCATTTGGGAACAAAAGAGAAAGGGAGTCCATACACTCTCTGTAGAGAGATTTCCCACATTTATCTTCTCTTTCTCCATTGGCCATGTTGACAGCAATGATGCAGTAAGAAGCATACATCTCCAAGTTTACATGAAGGGCTAAGTCAAGCAAAGAAGATACTTTTAATTAAGAACCAAATGGTACCTTTAATTATTTCCAATGTTATAAATAGGATGAATAGAGGACCTGTGGCTTAAACAGGAAATCATGATTCAGACAGGTGGTTGCCACATAGCTGTTATGAATTCCTGGAGCCATCTAGAGGGGAAAAAAGGAGAAGAGGAGGAGAGGAAAAAACCAGGACTCACTTTCTGAGCATTAGCATATGATAAGCACTCTGTCTCATGCTTTACACATAGCATGTGCTATTATGGTATGGCTCTACAACATAATTCCAAGAAAAATAGAAAAGCCATTCAAATTTTTAAAAATCAATATAAATGGAAGACTGGTTACATTAAACTGCAAATAACAATTAAGTATAGATGAAAAGGATTTTTTTTAAACAATTTTCAAAGTGATTATTTAATGTACTGATATATAATTGATAGGTTTAGTATTTGGAAGAACTTACTATTTTAAATTGTTAATAGTAAAAATGTGCCATTCCAGTCTGGATTCTGGGAAAGGACAAGCTTTCTAGTTCCAGCCTCTTCAGAGGCCATGTGAATTAAGGCTCATCACTACCAGGTGTTTGCACTTCACTTTAATTGGCACAAAGGTATGTATGGGAGAAAAATTGCCTCTGCAAATATTGCCCACCTAAAGTTTAAAATTCAAAAGCAGTGCTTCTCAAATACTACTATTATAAGGGTCCCCTGAGTGTGCGTGTACATGTGTGTGCATTAAATTCTAATATAGCAGATCTGGTGTGGGACCTAGGATGAGAAAATTTGGCAAATGCCCCTACATCAGATGATTCTGATGTAGGTGGCTGGGATCTTGCTTTAAAAGTATTCACTTGTTATTTAATGGGTGCCATGATAAGATGACATTGGCCATAATTACTCTCATAGTCTGAAGACTGTGTTTCAGGTACAGGAAATTGAACTAGCTCAATCAATGTTGGCTAAATTTATTAATTAATTGACCCAGTGAAATCAAGATTGAAGCAAAAATCCCTGGAAAATATAATCAGGGTTATCAGCTAAGGTATAATGAGCCCAAGTCGTTGTAATCTCAAATTTGGCTGCAGATCCTCCTTATTCATCCACATTTTCACCCTTCTAACCTTTTCAAAAGACCAGCATCTATATAAACTGCTTTTATTAATTCCAACTAGGACAAATTGTTACTTAGCAACAAACTTGGAATCCCCATGCTCTGCAGGGCTGGGGAGGAGTCATCACTACATCAAGAAAGTCAGAAGCTGTCTGCTGCGGCAAGCCACGCCTGTGCCCACAATGCATCATGTCTTTCTCACTCCTTCACTTGGCTGGGACTAGCTGTTCTGTAACATCTTCCCTGTTCTTATTCTTCGCTTCCTGCCTTACTGGCAATTTGAGAATCTGTCTCAACCTGCTGATACCTGTGGGCCAGGTGAAAACTTGCATGCTCTACATTTGGCATGCCATAGCTCTGAAGTTTTCCCAAATCTGTTTCTACAGACAGGAATAGAAATTTCAAGAAATGCATCCTTCCTGGCAAGAATATGTCTGCTGCAATGCCAGAAGAGCCTCCTCCCACTCCCAGCTGACTCCTTTGGACAGCCATAGTCTTCTCTCTCTCTCTCTCTCTCTCTCTCTCTCTCTCTCTCTCTCTCTCTCTCTCTCCCTTTCCCTGATGTCTGCATGCTCATGATTCACTGAGTATGCCCTTCACATTAGCTCTGATGGAAGGTAGGCTTGTGCCCTGAGGAGATAATGGGCCAATCCACCTGAAGAAGTAAGCCCTCTGAATGCCTGAGGCAAATTGGTACCTGCCCAAGAAACATCTCAGCAGTAACATTTGGGCAGTCCCACCCAGTCGAATCAGACACAGTCCTCACATTCCTACTCACATTTTCTTTGCCATTCTCAAACTTCAGAGAAGTGTAATGCACTCCAGCTAAGCTTGTCTGGAAACTCTTTACTTTCATCTTCACGGAAAGAAAAGATTTTTGAAAAGAAAATTTAAATGAAACTTCAATCCTCATTAACCATCCCTCCACAGGGAGCCTACTGGCAATGAATCACAAGACTACCCTGCCAAATGGGAAATGTAAGCTGATGAACTGGATTTGAAATCTTAAAGCCAACCTGGGCTGAGCAGCTCTGGCTTTTGTGGACACTGAAGCCTGCAGCCCATGAGGAGATTCCTCTGTTACACTCAAAAGACAGCTTAGCCAGGCATGGTGGCTCACACCTGTAATCCCAGCACTTTGGGAGGCCGAGGCAGGCGGATCACCTGAGGTCAGGAGTTCAAGACCAGCCTAGCCAACACCATGAAACCCTGCCTCTACTAAAAAAATACAAAAATTAGCCGGGCATGGTGGCATGTGCCTGTAATCCCAGCTACTCAGGAGGATGAATCGCTTGAACCTGGGAGGTGGAGGTTGCAGTGAGCCGAGATCACGCCATTGCACTCCAGCCTGGGCAACAGAGCAAGACTCTGTCTCAAAAAAAAAAAAAGGACACTTTAGCAGGCATGAAGAAAACTTGTCTTTATCATTCTGTCTACTCTTGCTCCAAGACTTATTTGTATTTATCAAGCATTTTTATTTGATTTAAGTAAAGTACATTAATGAGAAAATAAAGTCTTTTCTCACTTCACTTTCTGCACCACCTGAATTTCTGTGCCCTTTGACCTTGCAGTAAATCGCAGTAACATTCAGGAAAGCCAAAGAGTTAAGAAAACTAAGTCTTGATTGGGACATAAAATTTAAAAAAAGAAAAGATTATGCACAGAGATGCAAGGAAGGACAATAATCATATGATATACTTGCACAATATTTACTAATTTTTTCAGAAATTTTACATCTATTGTCCTTCTCAGTGCAATTACATCACCCTTTCTGCTCTGAAATGTTTTTCAGATATTAAAATGCAATTGTAATTATTTCTATAGGAAATAGCAGGCTGAAAAGACCAAACTCCTATATGATTTCTGGTAGTGTTTTTCTCTTATTTAAACTGGATTTAATGAGCAGTCTTCTATGCTCAATAGGGAAACCATAGCAATACTCCTTTCTACAATTACTGATACTGAGTTTCTGCAACCAGTTTTCTCTCTCCTGTTTTCACCAACTCACCATACATACAGTCTTTTCTTTCTCAATCCAGCTTCCTTGCTGCACCCCAAGTTCGCTTTGTCTTCAAAGTTCACACCGACTTTCAGTAATATAGTCTTACTTTAGATACTTTCTCTTTAACAGTAAATGACACTGTTAGATTTTTACATTTATGGTAGACACACAAATTTGGAACTAAATTAATAATTAGAAGAATAAGTGTTACTATTTATTGAACACTTTGAGTGTGCAAGCTATGGACCAGACCCTTATATCTACCTGGTAAAGTAACTCCATGGCAAAATAGGTATTATACCCATTTGATAAACGATAAAACTGTAGAGAGGTTCAATAACTTGCCCACTTTCATATTGCTAGTAACTGAAAAACTGGAGATTTAAAATAAGATCTGTTTGGTGGTAATGCCCTTATTCTTAACCATTATTCACACCCTCTCATGAGCAGACAGGAGTCCTCTTCTTTTCCAAGAAATCTTTATTTAGACTTGGCATTACTAGCTAGGGAGAAAACATACATAGGGCAATAGTTGGCACTCATTTGTTTGTTTGTTTTAACCATGGCCATAATTTCCACTGCTACTCTTGCTGTTTACACATCTCTTAACTACGCAAATGCTATTAATGTTTCTTTTAATTTCATGTTTCATAAACAATAATATTCAATAAAACACCCATAGCACAATCAAATGTGCCTATACAAACACTCACTGCATACTAGTTTTAGGAATTCTTAAGAGTAACAATGTTGATACTATTTTTTATTGGTGCTCCATTGATATAGAATTGGCCTATCTTCATAAAAAGCATTAATTGTAGATGCCTGCAATTGATTTTGATATTTTTATTGCATGTGTTTTGCTGTGGTGGTAGCTGTGTGTTTTAAAGTTGATTCCCATCTCCACTCCACCCCCACCCTAGTACCTAGACAGTGTTTTGCCCATGGTGGACATTCAGTAAATGTTTATTTGATTTGGCTTGAACTACTTTAGAGACACATTATGCTCCAGAATGCATGGAAGAGTGAAATAATCCATCCAGCGAGCTGTTAATCTGCTAAGCTATCAATTAAGGGCACAGCCATCCATAACAGCAATCATTAAAGACTACTAAGTCATTTACCTTGAAGTCTGTAAAACAGATTTCTGTTGGCAGACTTGGACAGCTCAAAGCATCTGCGATATGAGTGAATAGGTCAATAATCCATACATTAAATGGTTGCTAAGTACTAAAACTCTTTGAAATGATAGGCCATTAAGGCTAAGACAGTTTCATTTAGGGATATAAAATTCACTTTTAAAACAGTCTCTAGATATGAATTTCTATGATAAATCACCGAAGATGTACCAAAAAAGGTAGGTATTCATTCACTTACTCAAAAAGTATGTACAACAGGTTTTTTGAAACTGTTACTTTAAGCAAAATTACATATAAAGAAACTAATTTTACCATAGGTTAATTGATATAAACAAGAGTCAAGTACATGTAAAAAAGATTCATAAAAAACAAGTAAGACAATTACTTAACCAGTTATTCCAATTCAGGGTCACAGGTGGCTGGAGCCTGTCCCGCAGCTCAAGGTGCAAGGCAGGAACCCAACCTGGCCAGGATGCCATCCCATCATGGGACACACTCACGCATACACCCATACTTCCTCAGACTGGAACAATTTAGATACACCAATTCACCTAATGTTCACATCTTTGGGATGTGGGAGGAAACCAGAGTGTCTGGCGAAAAACCCATGCAGACATAGGCCACAGCTGGAAATCAAAATTTTTTCTCATCGATGTTATAATAAAATGACACTGAATGAAACAACGTTATTTGAAGGACCTGCTGTATTGTGCACCTGCCATAGCAGTGTAATGCAAGTTACAAAAGATACAAGTTATGAAAGAAAAAAATGTTGTCCTCAAAGAGTTTACAATCCAGTTGAAGTCTTTTCTAAACAGATGCATAGTTCAACAAGTATAAATCTGTATTGTAAATGGGCAGCATCGTGAGACATGGAGCCTATAATGTGAAATGAGGGTAATGTGCCATTTGAGGTGAGCTTGGCTTGGCAGAAGGGGACTACAAACACTTTAATGAAAAAAGATATAGAAACTTACCTGAAATTAGGGGATCGCACAGAGAGGTAGCAACCACACTGTCTCCTCACAGTTTCCCAAGGCCCCTCCCTAACCTCGAAAAGTGGTGTATAGCTACTAGTGATACTTTCCAAGCAAGGTAGGGACTTGTCAGTTCCATAAAGCTTAATTTTGCATTGTAACATAGTTCTTTTATACTTGGAGGCTTACGTCCCTATGCAGAAACACCCATCTATTCATTTCCATTTAAGGTAATACTTACAGACATCATAAGTTTCCTACTTCTAATATCAAGCTCAATACTACTAACTGTAAAAATAGATCCCCAGCTGATGTGATAATGCCCATGCATACATTCTTCTGACTCTGCCTCCAGCTATTTGGCATCTAAGAAAGCCCACATCTGACTTTGAGCTAGTTAGTAGAGGGTGTCATTAAAAAGAAATTTAAATTAAGAAATTAACAAAAAATATATAGACCCAAAGACTTGTGGATAAATGAGTAAAATAATGATTATAAGACAGCAGGGTTGTAGAATGCTTTGTATTCTTGCACATCACAAAAATATGGGAAGCCAAGATACATATTTACTAAAATCTGACCACATAAAAAGGAAACCCAGGTAAAGAATGCACTCTAGACTTCCAATTCTAGCAATATGGTACATAGATATACCAAAAAAAAAAAAAAAAAAAAAAGAATCCTTTCTGCGTGAAACACCTAGACATATTGGATGAGATATAACCATCAACTTTTGAAATGTGTAGCTGAGAACATAAAAATAAAAAAGAAATGGTCACAAACTGAAAAAAAAAAGGAAAACCAGCATAATAACCTAATGTGAGGTTTGGCTTCTTTAGGCATTTGCTCTTATTCCTAACGTAATCACTTGCTTTTAACAACAACCTCTAGGGTAACAAAACCTAAGTACTGGGCTTTCAAGTTAGGAACTAAGACCTCTAGATAAAGTCTGGATCTTTGAAGACCTACACAATTAAAGGGTGGGCATTACTTGGAAGACAAGCCTAAGGAAATTGCCCCAAATGCAACACAAAGAGATGGAAATCATGAAAAATAAGAAACATGAAAGATAAAATGAGTTACTCTGAGTTATGTCAATTGGATTTCTAGAAGAGAATAATAAGAATGGATATTAGACCACATTTGTAGAAATTATAACTGAAGATGATCCAAAACTAATTTTGTAGATATAGAATCTTAAGAGTTAATGGCAACAATGGAAGACAAAAGGTAGAGATGTAATAGCATCAAGCATCCAGTGAAAATAACTGTCTGCCAAGAATTGTGTATACAGATAAAAAGAACAAGAGCAAATTAAGAGAGTTGACTAGCAACTGAACACCATTAAAAGAATTTATAAAGGATATACTTCAGGAAGAAGAAACATGGTGTTAGGGGCAAAGTTTGAGAGGCTAGAAGAAGTAGGGAATGAAGAATCTAGCAAATATGTGAACAGATCTAAGCAGACTGTATAAAACAATTAACTTGGAGGATATAAAAATGGGGTAGAACTTAGATACTGGATAACAGCAATATAGATAGTAGGAGTGGTAAAATCATGTTCAAAGAATTCTGAAGTTATTTCACTGTTCAAGAAGAAGGTAGTGATATTAAATTTAGATTTTGTTAAATTAACTAGGCATATTAAAATGTTATCAGTGGTCACACAAAGATTAACAATAGTGTATATAGCTCCCAAAGCAGGTGAGGGTATGGAATAAAACAAATGAACAAACAAAATCTCAAATAATTCAAAAGTAGGCAGAAAGAGAAAAAATATAAAATTTAAAGCAAGATGTCAAGTGAGGGAGATAAATCAAAAGTATAAGTAATCACAATAAATGTAAAGGGTCTAAACTGTTTAGTTAAATGGCAGAAATTGTAAAATTGGGTTAAAAAATAAACAGCTCTAGGCTTTGTACACAAAACAAATAAAATGTAAGGACTCGGAAACATTTAAAATAAAAGGCCAGGAAAAGTTATTAACATTAGACTTCTAAGAACCTAACATCAACGTACATGAGGCAAAAAGCTGACAACACTGCAAGAAGAAATGGGCAAATTTACCACAATAGGGGAGATTTTCATATGTTAATACTTCTTTCAGAAATTGATAAATCAGGTAGAAAATGAGTAAGAAAATAGAAGATTGAAAAACACTCTAAACAAGTTAGATTAACTAACATATACAGAACTCTGCATAAAGCAATTGAAAACTAAAGATACTTTATGATAATTAGCCACATAATGGGCCAAAAGCAAATCTCATTAAATATCAAAAGAATCATTATTATAAAGTCCATGTTCCCTGTCCACTGTGCAACTAAATTAAAATCAATAACAAGGCAAAACCTGAGGGAAAGAAATCAGATCAGTTGTTGTCAGAGGCTGGGAGATGGAGTAGGAGATTGATCACAAAAGGACATAAGGGAATTTTGTAGTGTGATGGAAATATTTTATATTTGATTTTGGTAGTGGATTCGTGACTGTATATATTTGTCAAAACTCATCAAACTAAACACTAAAAATGGGTAAATTTTACTGTATGTAAATTATGCTTCAATAAACCTGACTTTTAAAAAAATCAATAGCAAGCAATAACTTTCAAAAGTCTCATGCATTTAGTCCCCAAAATTAAATAACAGTGGAAATTAGAAATGCTTAGAGCTGAATGATTATGAACATACTCCATTTCAAAATTTGTGATGACTGTAGTTGGAAAGAAATGCATAACCTTTAACAGCTTAAAAACGCAGCAGGGTAAGTCCAAAGGACATAGTTTCAAAAAAATAATAAAACTGAGTGCAGAAATCTATTAAATAAAAGGAGAAAAGGCGGTTCTATGAAAGAATAATTATTAAAATAAAGCTCTGTCAATTCTGAGCAAGAAAAAATTAGACACAAGTAAATACCAGGAATGAAAATTAAAACATACCTAGATTCAAAACAGATTTTAAAACTATGTCAGTGATATTGAAAGTTTACACAAAACAAATCCCTAGAAAAATATAGCTCATCAAAAATTATCTGAGATTATGTAGAAACACTGAATACAACTATAATTATTTTTTAAATTAAATTAATAGTTTAGAGTCTATCCACAAATAACCAACAGATTCAAACGTTTTTATGGGACAGTTCAACTAACCATCTAAGGATCAGATGATTCCAATCTTACGCACACTTCCAGAGTACAAAAAATATAAAGACACTCTTCAACATATTTTTATGAAGGTAGTGTATCATTAATACTAAAGCTTTATAAGAATTCCAGAGTCTAGAACCTTGTTTAGAGCTGCCACCCATTTATTTTGACATTTCTGAAGCTGAATTCCTAAAACACAAACTTTGACATAAAAATATGAGTCCTCTACCTTCCAAGGAGTAAGATATGTTCTTGCTCTGCTCAAATCCCCCCTGCCCTTTCATTTTATCTCAAAATATTTTTCCTAACATAAAATAATAGTCTACCACTTTCTCACCTCATTTTTAAACATAGAAACAAAAATAAATTATTGTTCTAGTGCTCTATTAGTCAGGGTTCTCCAAAGAAACAGAACCAACAGAAGATATAGATACCGGCCAGGCGTGGTGGCCCACACCTGTAATCTCAGCATGTTGGGAGGCCAAGACAGGCAGACCACTTGAAATCAGGAGTTCAAGACCAGCCTGGCCAATACGGTGAAACCCCATCTCTACTAAAAATACAAAACTTAGCCAGGTGTGATGGCAGGTGCCTGTAACCTCAGCTACTCAGGAGGCTGAGACGAGAATCGCTTGAACCCAGGAGGTGGAGGTTGCAGTGAGCCAAGCTCATGCCACTGCACTCCAGCCTGGGTGACAGAGGGAGACTCTGTCTCAAAAAAATGATATAGATAGATATGGATAGATATATAGAGATACATATACAGACAGATATGGCTCTCTCTAGAGAGAGATAGATATAGATATATAGACATAGAGAGATTCTAAATAGGGTATTAGCTCATACCTTATGCCTTTTAAATATATATATTTTTTCAAACAGGTATTAGCTCATGTGATTATGGAGGCTAATAAGTTCCAACATCTGCCATCAGCAAGCTGGAGACCCAGGACAGCGAGGGGTGTAGTTTTAAGGCCTGAAAGCCAGAGAACTGATGTTATAGATTCCAGGCAAGGTGTGAAGGCCTGAGAACCAAGAGTGCTGAGGGCAGGGGAAGATTGATGTCTCAGCTCAAGCAGTCAGGCAGATGGCAAATTGAGTCTCCTTTCAGCTTTCTGTTCCATTCAGACCCTCAACAGATTAGATGATGCCCACACACATTGACGAGAGCCATCTGCTTTATTCAATTCACCAACTCAAATGCTAAGAAATGATGCTTAACCAGATATCTGGGCATCCCATGGCCCAGTCAAGTTGACACATAAAATTAACAATCACAGCAACCAAATCCAAATATATTTTTATTTTTAAAAAATGGCCAAATTGGGTTTCTTCTAGAAACACAATGATGGTGATCTTTGTCAGATTGGGGCAGAGCCGGGCTGATCATTTCTGCTAGGAACACACATCTTTCAGAGCCTTCCTTTATCTGAACAGTACTAGAGAAAAACGTTTCCAGAGCTTTTTAATAAAAAATTATATAACTTATTTTTTCTTGTTATAAAATTAATGTTTATTTTAGAACCATTATAAAGAAGGCAAAGAGAGAATGCTTCTATTTGGAGGAAACCACTTTCAAACTTTCACACTGCTGTATGATCTTCCATATCTTTTTCCCCACATATTTACTCACCTCTTTACTGCCCTATCTCTTAATTGTTTTAAAAAAAAAAATTAAAAATACCAACTCTCTGAAGTGACTCAATGACCATTGATTAGCCATTGCATATATTTGTGCTGTGTCTACACATTATCCCTACAATATAAGAAAATAATCACATACCAACAGTGCAGGCAGAGGGTCATCATCTTAAAATTCTTAATAATCTTATCTTTGAATAGGTATTTTGTAAATGAAGGCTGAGTAGACAACAAGGCCTGCACAGAGGTCTTAGATACTTATCTCCCAAATGGCAGTGCCCCTTCACTTCCCCAGGAAGGATTCTCAGTTGAAAGCCCCCAGGCCCCACCTAACAACCACTGCAGCCCTCTGTCTGCCTGCAGCGGAGGTCGAGGCACAGGTGCAGGGAGGGCTGAAGTCAGGCTCATGCACTTGGAGTTGCAGACTAGGACACCCCCTAACACCTGAAAGGGTCTGCAATCATCCAGCAAGTGTATCCCCGTGCCCAAAGGAGCACAACATTAAATCGCAAATTTAAAAACAGGTCAAGACAGAGAAGGGAAAGAAAGGAAGAGGCTTTTTCCCCCTGCTTTGAAAATGTGAAATGTTACGCATTTTCACACTGAACTGGACCCTAAAATTATGTAGTCATCCCAGCGTAACGTTCACTTTCCTGCTACTGCTGTGCCCGTGCTCAATGTGCTGCTACACTGAACTTTGTTTTGTTGTTCAAACAAGCCCAACTCACAATTTTCCAGGCTTCTACATACATTGTTCCCTCTTGGATGAGCCTTCTCTGACCATCACCATCCCAGGCCTATTTGGGATGTTCCTGCTGGATACTTGAAGAGTTCCCTTCTTCCCTGTCCCCTTGCTAAGCACAGTGCGCTGTAAATCCTTCTTTAATGGTCTTGTCCACTGTTCCTATTGGACTGTAGACTCTGTAAAGACCAGAATGTGGTGATTTTCCTCAGACACCAGCATGAGCTCATGAATGAGCCCTACGTTTCTATAACATGCACCAATTTTCCAAGCACTTTCATCTTTTATCTCATTTCCTCAAACACACACATGGGCCTTTATCTGGCTAACATCATTATCCTTATTTTATGGAAGGGATAAAGAAGCTACTGTGAAGTTAAATGATTTGCCTAAGGCCACACAGCCTGTGGCATTATAAAAATAATTACAAAAACTAACATTTACTCAACACCTAGTATATGTGCCCCACTTTGTTTGAAGCACCTTACACATGTGAAATCACTTCATGTTTACCACCATCTGTCTTGGTAGGCACTGTTATTATGCTCCTTTTTAAAGAGGCGATGTGAGAGGTTAATGAGTAACTTACCCAGGTCTACAAAAGCAGCGAGGATCAGAGCCAAGCGAAACACCTGCAGTCTGGCTGCAGGCCTGCTCTATTTCCCGACATGCAACCTTGCCTCTTATTTGGCGCTGCAGGTAAGACACATGGTTTCTGGTCTCAAAGTGGTCAATCAAAGACAGAAATGAGATATCAATATATACTCCATGATATAAGAGATTTTGTATCCTAATTAGTTCATAGATAATTGATGCTCTAGAAATGGAGAGATTTTCCCTGTTTCACACCAGGTTTTTTCTAGACTGGAACCTCCATGAGCATACAGACTGTGTCTGTATGTTACATCCGTAGGGCTTGTCATGTACAAGGAGCTTAATGATCATCGGTTGAGTAAATTTTAAGAACCAAAATACCTGTTGTCCCAGGTGATGGAAAAAAGTTCCACAGAGCAGAGAGCACTTCAGCCGAGTTTAGAGACTGGCAATGACCTGGATACGTGGTGGGGTGGTGGGAGCACCCTTTGGATGATGAAGAAACACTACGCAAAACACACACAAGGGCGGAAGCATGCTTGGGTAGTTGTCAACCAACTAATCTGAAATAAAATGTAAGATTATTCCTTGGAGAGATCAGGGGCTAGGTGAATATAGATTAAGGAGGCTGCTGGGGCCAAATTATGTAGGGACTAAATGCCAGTATAAGGAAGTTGGATTTTATTCTCTGGGCTCTAAGACATCTTTAAGGTTTCTGAGTAGAATAATAGTACAATTGAGTGTCACTTCCAGAAGATCAGTATGGCATCTGTATATGGGATAAATTAGCTAAGAATAAGAGTGAAGAGAAGAAGACAAAGAGTCTTGCTTAAGTGTGAAGGACTGAAACAACAGGAACCTAAACACTGATGGTGGGCAGAGGTAAAGAAACGCTCAGATTTAAGAAGCATTTTGAGGGATTTGATTAATGAATGGAAATCTGCTACCATTTCACTAGTATGTGGAGAAAACAGGGGCATTGGAAGGTGAGTAAAGGGAAAATCTGGAAATTACCAATCATATTTTTAATTGGAACAATATTGCTGATGAGTGACTTTTAAAAATCTACATGCTCAACCCCTTGCAGTATCTTTCAGCTATACATTAGCACATTTTTCCAAATATTAAATACATCTGTTGGATAAAACATTTTTATTCCTAGAAATATCAAAATCAGCTGCCTGTGCATAAAATGCATGAATTTGAATTATGGTATTAAGAAGCTGCTGTTAGCTGCTGACAAATCAAACAGAGTAGCTGGCCACCTTATTTCACCTCTTTGTCTATAATTTTAGGTATTACTACTGGTGTGGGGCTCCACAGATTTTTTTTCCCATTGCACCCTGTTCCAAGTAAATAGTGAACTGCAAAATAAAGATGCTCTGTTAATTTTACACTGAAGCATTGGCCCTTAGAGCTAAGACATTGACACTGAATTTTTATCATTAGATAAGATACTGTTAGCATAACAATATGTAATTTGTGACTGACTAACCCTTTGAATTAAAAAAAAATGGCATTCAATGTTATGGTGAATTGCCACCCAGTTTTCTGTCAAAATATTTTAATCTTATTTCAACTCCCTATGTACATATCTATACAATATAAGAGACAGATCTAGGTTTTATTATGTTCTAATGGAGTTAAATCATAAGTGTATTTCCTTCTTATAAAAGCAAGATAGGTCCATCCCCAATAAAAGGATTCACTTGGATTCTGAATGCTTAATAAAGTATCTTTAACATACTAGCCCTTATACAACAAAATATTATTTCCATCCCAAGGAAAGGAAATGCTTCCCACCCCACACTGAAGACAGTGCACAAAAATAATGTAAAATATTAAAGCTTGGTGTTTTAAGACAAATTTTCTAAATTTAGGGCATGCGGGGAGTGGCTGCAGAGGGAGGAGTTTTAATGGTGTTAATATGAAAGGGCCAGGACACTCAAAGGAGGAGGATCTATGTCTAGCTAAAATGCAAAAGGATGAAACTCTTTCCTATAAAGGGCTTTAAAATCCTTGTTTCCACAACACGGAGAAAACAGCCACCTAAATAAGAGGACACTGACCTTTGCAAAAAGAGACAGTAAATTACAGAAAACTTGGTTTAGAGCAACCATCGACAAGTTTAGCAAGTAAGAATTCAGTGACAAAGTGTATGTCAAGGACAAGACTCATTAACGTGTATCCATGCTCTTGCTCACCTCACTTGAAAAAAAAAAAAATCTCTTCTTCCACTCAGCTTCTCTCCCTCCCTGATCTCCTAAAGACTTAGAGCGGTCTCCTTGCCAGGCCAGTTATAGTGGAGTTACTCTGGAGAGTGAGTATAACAGAGAATTGTAAAAGAACCCTGTGCTCAGAAGAGCCCTGTGCTTGATTTAATGCTCTACTGTAGTCATCTGGAAATTGTTAATTTTTGAACAAAGGGTCTCACATTTTCATTTTGCACTGGGTCTCACAAATTATGTTGCCAGTCCTGATTGCAGGTGGTGGAAAAATTTCAAGTAGCAGCAGCAGCTACCACACAGCATACAAACAGGCCAGACAGGACAAGCCACACTCAGCAGATGTCAGTGACTAGGGAAGTCGAAAGGGCTATCCAGGGACCTCGCAGAAGACACCAAGCAGGCCAAAGCTTCCACCCCACGGGCATAAGGTCCACCTTCTCTTTTACCTGATGCCCTCTTTGGAAAGGACAGTAGACCCTTTGAAAGGGGAGAAACAACAGTGATAGAGTTTGAATTTTAAATCAACTGAATATTTACTCAAAGTATAAAACCAAGATGTCTTTATAAATGTAAGCTTTTTCAACCATTTTCAGGAGCTCGAAAAGGAGCATCAAATAAAGAAAATAAAGTTTTTTCTTATATTTTTATCCTATCTAAACCATTGTGTATAAATGTTGACCCCTCCCCAGAAGGTAAAGAGTATGCTTTCAGAAAATGAACTATTTGAGGTTCATTGAGGGAGGTTTTCCCACACGCGAGTTATTCATGAATATTTTAGGTGTATATGCCCCAGTTGAGATTCTTTTTGGCTAAGCATTCTGAATAAAGGATGGGCAAAATACTGTCATGGGGGTGTAGGGGTTTTGTTGGTTTCTTTTTTTTTTTTTTTTTTTTGTACTCTTCCAGCAACCATCTGATCATGCGGCTCTGAAATAGGGGTATTTGCAAGCATGCTTGGCAGTAAAATACGACAATCCAGAAAATATGTAAAATATACATTCCAGAGCAGATTTAAAAATATACCAGATGGTTAGTCATTGTTTTTTTTTTTCAAAGTTTCTCATAAAAACATATGAAATACTTTGCTTCTCTTTAGATTAAGCCTACTGAAGCACAACAGATGACATGATTTCTCACTTTGGAAAATGTTTCATTACTTCAAAGTAATAGAGATGGCTATAAAATGGCCTTTTCTTATTAAATTAAGAGGTGAGCTCACTGGTATTACTCTTCCCATCTGTTTCTCCCTCATATGCACCCTTTCTTCACCAAGAAGCTCTCTTCCCCTTACCCTTTCTCTTTCATTTAGTCCATGTGGTGGCCTCTTGTGCTGTATTTTACTAAATAGGAACAGATGGCATGGCAAAGAAGACAGAAAGCTCTAATGGAAAACCATCTACAGTTTACTTGGGAGTTCAGGACCAAGAGCAATGGGATTGAACCTCCCAAACTGAGATAACACATGTAAAACCCATAGTGCTATACTTAGTGTATAATAGGTGCTCATCTCTTGATCACTTTCACTATTTTTCCCTAATCCCTAAAGACAGTCCTTCTGCCAGCTGTATCTGTGCTGAGGCCTCTATGCAGCCTCCAATGCCTTTTTTGAGCACCAAACACTGAACTTGTGAAAGAGTTGGTTCAGAATGCGCAGGAAAGTTTGAAGTGAAAGTATTGCTGTGAAAAGCTAATTCTATTATAAAGGAATAAGGGTTTGTCTCATGGTTTTATGTGGGAATGTCATTTTATAATCTATTGTAGAGTTTCTGAATTTATCTATCCATATAAAAGCACCATGAAGTCAATGACCATGCCCATCTGACTGAACACATCCTAGCACCTAGGATTGCACACAGTAGGCATTTAATACATGTGTGTTAAATGAATAAGCAAATCAAACAAATCATAAATGAGGACATTTAAAATCACCTAGCCCATCCATTTCACAGTAGCCCAGGGACTTGCCCAAGGTCAATGGAATATAGAGCTAACCCTAAAAGTAATGGATTTCTATGTCCCACTGCACAGATCCCTGAATTATTAGCACTTTCTCCAACTGAAATAACATGAACATAATTTTCTTCCCAATTATTCTGGCTGAGAGATATACAAAAGGTGTCAGTGGGTGGAAGATTTACAGCACAGCTTCTGGAAAGCCTGGAAACACCATGGGGCAGCTGCAAAAGGTCTTATGGTAATTAAATCGAGAAACCAAGGAACCCTTGGAGGCACACTTTGTGGGCTCCAGGACAGCCCTCCTGGAGGAAGGCATTTTCACAGACAATCATAATATAATAGATCTTTAGGCAAGCAAGACTGAAAGAAAATACAAGAAAGGAGAAATACCTATGGTTTCCTATCGTTTCCAAGGTTGTCATATATGCTAACTTTTAACATAGCCTTCAGCTCCACTACCTATGAAATATTTTTCTCTCCTATTATAACAAGGTGAACAACTCACACAATTCATCTCCTAAAATTCAGTTATACCAAAAACAGTAACTTTCTTTGTATCCCTAAAGCTGAACTAAACTGATGAGCACCCCCATCTCCCTGGGAATTGGGGGAATAGGGAAGGTGGTGATGGAGGCGATTAAAGAAGGAATTTTAAACTAATGAATTAAAGGTTTCTCTGTCCACGCTGGTTTAAAAGAACTTTTTAAAGTCTCATTTGGAAAAATACTCGTCTCTCAAGTTTTCTTTATGACACCTGTACTTTTTTGAAGAGAAGATGTCATGTGGATATAAAAAGTAGCTTACCAGTCCTCAGTGTAATGGGGCTGGGAGGTGGGGCTTAATCAGCAGAGTGTCCTCTCAGCTTTGGGCCCCAAAGTCCTGGGTTGTGACAACCTGTGGCAGCAATGTGCTGGAGCAGCTGCTGAAGTCTGTAGTCAATGTTGCCTATTATAGTTGAGTGTACCTCCTGATCCTGACCCAGACCTGCTGACCCCTTCTACAACTGGATATTTCTCCAAGAGGCCCCACGGGAACTTTGGGATACTCTGCATCCCACCCACTGGCTTTGAAGACAGAGCAATGTCAGGTCCATCTGCCTCAATGCATCCCTAACCGTGGCCAAATCACCTCCTGCCACTATTAGCATCAAGCTCAACCTACCGCTGTTCCAACAGGTCAGCTGCCTCTCCAACCTACTCCTAAGGAACTAAGATATTCTCTTTCCCCTCCCAGTACTACAGGACTTTCTCTTCTGCTTCCTACTTGGTGAGGAAATCCTGAAGGTCATATCCCCCTCCTCTACCTTGTGGACTGATTTGTTCTAAGAGGTGTCTGCCTTGCCTTTTGTAGGACATTATGATTGAAGGGGAATGAGAAATATATCAGCTTATTATATTTGCAAATATATGTATATATATTTGGATATATGTAGTGATATATATATACATATATATGTATATATATATGTGTGTGTATATATATATGGGTGTGTGTATATATATATATATATCGCTATAATTTCAAAGAGTTAAAAAGGATACAGGTCTGACTCCTATGATTTTGGCCAGACATGGTTCAAAGATTAAGCTACAATACATTACAGAACCAGAAAATAAGTTACATAAAATAATATAGTAAAAAAGTCCTACTGAATGTAGTAGAGTGAACTATATTTAACATCTCCAAGACATAACTAAGCCTTAGTTTTTGTATCTATAAAATACAGATAATAACGTCTGCTCTGCCTACATTACCTGGGTGTAAAAAAAACCCAACACTTTGAAAGCTATAAAGTTTGGAGAAATGAAACTTAGAGTAGGAAATCTATAAAATGAATTTTATCCCTGAGCCCCAACCCTATGGCATAATGGGATCTGACTATATATATGGCCTGACCAGATATCAACTGACAACCTCCTGAGAATTAAGCAGCAGTATCCCATGGCATGGCATAAAGCTCAGTGGGGTATATAAAGTTGCTATTGAACCAGATTTTAAACGTATTCTTTCTCTTCTATTCATAGAAAAAGCCACATTTACATGAGTGTGGTTGAAAAGATTTGCTGTAGAGCAGCAATTTTATGGGAGCATGTGTGGGGGAAAGGTTTGATTGAAGTGCATATGGCAAACCTTTAAGACTGATTTAATAAAGGGAAATGCCTGCCAGCATCTGAAACCCTGGACTGGAGTAGCTCAGAGCCCACAGATGATACAAACATTTCAGGAGCCTTCGACTGGGTAGAAATTGGACATACTTTGAATCAAATCATTCTACAGAGTAGCTTATTCTGCAGTTGTTCTCCCAGCATCTGGGATACTTTGCCAAGAATGATCATATTTTTGTAACCTCAAATCCATAATAAGTTACACAGGGCAGGACCTCCTCTAAAAGACTGGCTGGAAACAGAAAGGTTGGGAAACACAGTGGCATGATATCCATCCCCGGACGGATCCTCCTCCATTTTCCTTCTTGCAAGGTTCTGTGCTTGCACTCACTCCCAGGACTGCTGCAGGGTCTCTATAGTCCATTTTCTCCTCGTGTGTCCATAGAGTAAACTGCTCATTTCACCTTTCATCTAAAACGTCAGGTACGTGTTTTAGGGATTTTTTGTACATATGGCTAGATACGTAGAGTCCTGAAAAATAATATGAAGAAAGTTTGAAAATTTAAAAATAACACCTTAATTAGTTGTGACTTTCAGGTAACTTCTAACTCAGCCAGGAGCAGTTGCTCTCATCTCATCAGCTGGACATTACAATACCCATCTTATGGCCTGTGCTTTACGGTTCATGAGACATTTTCCCATGCATTGCCTTGTGTGATCTTCTCAACAACCTTGCTATGGCCAAGTACTGCAGCTCACACCCGTAATTGCGGCACTGTGGGAGGCTAAGGCGGGCAGATCACTTGAGGTTACGAGTTTGAGACCAGCCTGGCCAACATGATGAAACCCGGTCTCTACTAACAATGCAGAAATTAGCCAGGCATCTGTAATCCCAGCTATTTGGGTGGCTGAGGCACAAGAATCACTTGAACCCAGGAGGCGGAGGTTGCAGTGAGCCAAGATCGTGCCACTGCACTCTAGCCTGGGTAACATAGTGAGACCCTGTCTCAAGATTTAAAAACAATTAAAAAAATAAAATCTTGTAGTAACAGCAATGCAAACAAGGTAGAGAATGACCCAGAGATAATATGTAGAGAACATACTCACCTACTAAGGAGAGTCAGAGTGATAATCCAGATCTCCAAAGTCCCAGATGAATCCCTTTAACTTTTCCCATGACTTCCCAATCATGGATGTTTTGAAGCTTATTAAAGAAAATGACAGGCAGTCATGATTCTTTCAGCTGCAGTCATTGCAACTGATGTTTACTTATACCATTTTCAAAAAGCTAGATGTTTCAAACTCCAAAATCAATGTTCTTTCCCATTCCTCTGTTCACGTGATTCTCTGCCATCCACAGGGAAAATGAGTAGTGATCATTTCTCTCCCAGCATAAAATGTTCAGTGCTATCAGTTATTTTCGTCTTTCAATACAAGATGCAGGTATAGATAGAAATTAGGATTCTGAAAGAGTATTGATTAGCCTTTGTCAAATAAACTGTGTAATTTATGAAAATACAAGGATCCAGCTGACATCTGACTAGAAGGGAAAAAAAGTTCATCTTATAAAACAAGTTGTATATGCCATGCTTCTAATAAGGGATATTCTATTTCTGAAATGTCAAGATCAGGAAGGACCACAGTGGTGCCTGGTCTCCTCTTCCAAGCAACACCACAATTGGCCAAGGCAATTAGAAAAGGCTCTGCAGAGTCTTTGGGATGACACCAATACAGTTGCCTAATTTTCTGTCTTCCAGATTCCTAATAAAATTGTATAGAAAACACAATGTGGAAAAGGCTATATTTTTAACAGGCACAAGCAAGAAGTTTTATCACAATGCTGTCAGATACTAACAGGACTGGACTGAAGGAGATATAGAAAGGCAATCCATGAATCTCCTTCTAGAAAAAGCAGAAGTCAATAAGGACAACCTGAAAGAACCAGATAGAAGCAGGAGATGGAAGTAAAATGTTGCTGGTAGGGCACTTGCAGTGACACCTGAAATTCAACAAGAACGTCAACAGATGTTCCTAATGTTGCCACACACATCAAGAGGGGAACTGAATTAAAGATCTAAATTAGAAAGCAAAACTTTGAAACATTTAGAAAGCAAAATATAGAGTAATACCTGTATTAGTCCATTCTCACATTGTTGTAAGAACATACCCAAGAGTAGGTAATTTATAAGAAAAAGAGGTTTAATTGACTCACAGTTCAGCATGGCTGGGGAGGTCTCAGGAAAATTGCAATCATGGCAGAAAGGGAAACAAACATGTCCTTCTTCACAGGGTGGCAGGGAGAAGAAGAATGAGAACTGAGCGAAGGGGGAAACCCCTTATAAAACCATCAGATCTCATGAGAGTTCACTCACTATCATGAGAACAATATGAGAGGAACTGCCCCATGATTCAGTTACCCCTGACAAGGTCCCTCCCATGAAACATGGGGATTATGGGAACTACAGTTCAAGATGAGATTTGGGTGGAGATACAACCAAACCATATCATTCCACCCCTGACCCCTCCCAAATCTCATGTCCTCACATTTCAAAACACAGTCATGCCCTTCCAACAGTCCTCCAAAGTCTTAACTCATTCCAGCATTAACTTAAAAGTCCAAGTCTCTCATCTGAGACAAGGCAAGTCCCTTCCACCTATAAGCCTGTAAAGTCAAAAGCAAGTTAGTTACTTCCTAGATAGAATGGGGGTACAGGCATTGGGTAAATACACCCATTCCAAATTGGAGAAATTGGCCAAAATGAAGAGACTACAGGCCCCATGCAAGTCTAAAATCCATAGGGCAGTCATTAAACCTTAAAGTTCCAAAATGATCTCCTTTGACTCCATGTCTCACATCCAGGTCACAATGATGCAAGAGGTGGGCTTCCATGACCTTGGACAGCTCCACCTCTGCGGCTTTGGGGGGTACAGGCCCCCTCCCAGCTGCTTTCACACTCTGGTGTTAAGTGTCCCAGTGGAGACTCTGTGTGAGGGCTCCAACTTCACATTTCCCTTCCACACTTCCCTAGCAGAGGTTCCCCATGAAGGTTCTGATCCTGCAGCAAACTTCTGCCTGGACATCAAGTCATTTCCGTACATCCTCTGAAATCCAGGTGGAGATTCCCAAACCTCAGTTATTGACTTCTGTGCATCCACAGGCTCAACACCTCATGGAAGCTGCCAAGGCTTGGGGCTTGCACCTTCTCAAGTCACAACTCAAGCTGTACTTTGACCCCTTTTAGCCATGGCTGGAACAGCTAAGACACAGGGCACCAAGTCCCCAGGGTGCACACAGGAGGGGGCCCTGGGTCCAGCCCATAAAACGATTTTTTCCTCCTAGGCCTCTGGGCCTATGATGGGTGGGATTACTGGGAAGGTCTCTTGACAATGCCCTCGGACATTCACCCAATGCCGATGGACAATCACCCATTGTCTTAGTGATTAACATTCAGCGATTTGTTACTTATGCAAATTTCTACAGCAGGCTTGAATTTCTCCCCAGAAAATTTGGTTTTTCTTTTTTATCCCATCACCAGCCTGCAAATTTTCCAAACTTTTATGTTCTGCTTCCTTTTGAATGCTTTACTGCTTAGAAATTTCTTCCACCAGATACCCTAAATCATCTCTCTCAAGTTCAAAGTTCCACAGATCTCTAGGGCAGGGACAAAATAATGGCAGTCTCTTTGCATAGCAAGAGTGACCTTTACTCCAGTTCCCAACAAGTTCCTCATCTCCATCTGAGACCACTTCAGCCTGGATGTCATTGTCTATATCACTATCAGCATTTAGGTCAAAGCGATTCAACAAGTCTCTAGGAAGTTACAAACTTTCCAACATTTCCCTGTCTTCTTCTGAGCCCACCACAGGGTTCCAACCTCTGCCTCAGTTACTCAGTTCCAAAGTCACTTACACATTTTGAGTATCTTTATAGGAGTGCCCCACTCTCTGCAATGCCAATTTACTGTAGTAGTCCATTCTTGCACTAAGGAGATACCCAAGACTGGGTAATTTATAAAGGAAAGAGGTTTAATTGACTCACAGTACAGCATGGCTGGGGAAGCCTCAGGAAACTTGCAATCATGGTGGAAGGGGAAGTGAACAAGTTTTTCTTCACATGGCAATAGGGAGAAGAAGAATAAGAGCTGACCAAAGGGGGAAGCCGCTTATAAAAACATCAGATCTCATGAGAACTTACTCACTAACATGAGAACAGGATGGGGGAAACCACTCCCATTATTCAATTACCTTCACCTGGTCCCTCCCATGACCCGTGGGGATTATATGAACTAAAATTCAAAACGAGATTTGTATGGGAACATAGCCAAACCATATCAATGTCTTTTTGACCTTTGAACAAGATGAACCTCTTAAAGGAAAGACTAAAAATATAAATCACAAATTAAAATATGGATAAATATGACAAAATTAAAATATATACTTTTGCTCATCAAAAGACAATTATTTAAAAGGGTAAATGAGAAGTCACATACTTGAGAAAGATATTTGTAATGAATAAAATCAATGTAGAATTCATGCCCAGCATATGGAGAGAGAATTACTAAAAATCAATTAGAAACAAAAATTGTTTAACTGAAGCAATAAACAGACAAATTAGACTTCATCAAAATTAAGAACTTTGTGCATCAAAGAAAATTTTCAAACAAGTGAAAAGACAACCTACAGTAGAAATTTTTTGCAAATCATATGTCTGATGAGGGGTTAGCATACAAATACATAAAGAACTTCTAAGATTCAACAACAAAAAGACAATCTATGTTAAAAAATGGACAAATAGGTTGAATAGACATTTCTTCAAAGAAGATATACAAATAACACATGAAAAGATGCTCAATATCATTAGTCATTAGGGAAATGCACATCAAAATCACAATGAGATACCACTTCATACCTACTAGAATGGCTACAATTTTGTTAATAAAGAAAATAATAAGTTTGGTAAGGGTATGGAGAAATAGTAACCTTGTAGGTTTACGATGGAAATGCAAAATGGTACAGGTTCTGTGGAAAGTAGTTTGGCAGCTCCTCCAAAATTTAAACCTAGAATTACCATATGACCCAGCAATTCCACTCCTAAATATACATTCAAAAGATTTGAAAACAGGAACTCAGACACTTGTGTGTTACTGTTCACTGCAGTATTTTTCAGAACAGCCAAAATGTGGACACCCTAAATATGCCAATAAAAGGATCAACAAAATGTGGTACATATATGCAATGGAATATTATTCAGCCATAAAAAAGAAATGAAGTTCTGATGCATACTACAACATGAATGAACTTGAAGACATTATGCTAAGTGAAATAAGCCAAATGCTAAAGGAAAAATACTGTATGATCTTATTTATGTGTATATATATATATAATAGGCAAGTTCATGGAGACAGAAAGCAGATTAGAAGTGACTAGAGGCTGTGGGGAGAGGTAAGAAGGAGAGAAGAATTATTGCTTAATGGATATAGAGTTTCTGTTTGGGGTGATGAAGAAGTTCTGAAGTAGATAGTGGGAATGGGTGCACAACACTGTGAATATACTTAATGCCACTGAGTTGTACAACTACAAATGGTTAAAATGGCAAATTTTATATTTCATATATTTTACTACAATAATTTTTTAAATGATAGAAAAAATGATAATTAAATCTGTTAGTAATGGGCAAAACATATGAACATAAATTCAGAGAATATGAAACCAAATGGCCAATAAATATATGAGTAGATGGTCAGTCCCATTAGTAAAAAGGGGTGTGAAGATTAAAGTCATAGAAGATACCATTTCTTACTCATCAGATTAAAAAACATTAAAGTCTTAAAGTCACAAACGTTGGAAAGCATTGGAACAACAGGAACATTGATTTGCTGTTATTGGGAATGTAAATTAGTATTCACTACTTTGAAAGTATTTCAGCAGTATCTAGTAAAGCTGAATTGCGAATCCAAGGAGTACACAATTCCTCTCCTAGCCATGTATTGCAGAGAAATTCTTGCACATGTACACAAAAAGGCATGTTCAACAACTCTCATAGTAACAGTATTGGCAAAGTCAAAAGCAAGAAACGATCTGAACATCCATCAAGAGAAGAATGGGTAAATTACTTACAGTATATTCACACAATGAAAGACTACAAAGCAGTAAAAATGAACCAACTAGAGCCATACATATTCTCATGGAAGAATTTCACAAACATAATGCCAAGCAAAAAAAAAAATGCTAAGTTTCAATGGAATAGATTATTCCATATGCATAAAATAGTAAAACATGAAAAATTGTATTCAACATTATATTCTATTTATTCTCTGTGTTACTGTCTTTACTAAAAGAGTAAAATGAAAAGGAAATGACAATTACTAAATTCCCTCTGGTGGGTGTGGGAAGGGAATGAGATGAGAAGGACACAAGGAGTTTCAAGTTATTGGTACTATTTATTTCATAAGCTCAGTGGTGGATACACAGCTATTCATTATATTAGTATTTAGAGCTTTTCTATGTTTTAACATCTCATGATAACTTCTAAAAAAGAAGTCTAAAAAGAATTATACATGGTTATTGAATAAACCTTGCCAAAGATACTGTGCCTGACATTGCCAAGCTGTTGAGCACATGATCTAGCTGTGGGTAAGACATTTGCAAAAATACATGATATCTAAAGTTCACAGATATCAGGCTGCATAATATAAGAATTGAGAAAAGGAGCCTATAAACCCTATAGCCAAGTCCTGGAAAATTAATTCCATAAAACCTTAATAGTAGATTCAAAAAATGGAGAGAAAAAAGTATACTTAATTACCTCTCAACTCTCCACCCAGTGTTTCAAAGGTTTGTGCCTGATTTATTTTTCCTCATCTAATTTCTTTAAGTGTTTCATCCCCATAAGTCATACAAAATTTATTCTCAGAGAGGTCAGATGTGAACAAATGAATGCTTCATCTTGGTTGCCTATACCAAGGCTGTAGGAATTCTGTCCCATATTTCCAGAGTTTGACATACTCATCCTGGGTGGGTTTAAGTATGTTTCACAGTACTTTATCCATCTTTCCATTTGCAAAGTAAAGAACCAGGAGTAATTTTCATATTCTCCTTGTTTAATAGTTTTATACCTGCCCAAACGCAACTTTCCTATGAAAAGTCACACAGCATGTGGGAAGTAGAAAAGGACACTAAGTGCCCATTAAGAACTCACAAAATTATTCTTCTATATTAATGCAAATATATTCTATATTCCATATTTAGTATAAAATATTTAAGGGTCTCTATCCATGAGGGAGAAAAGAAGTAAAGTTTATTCTCTATTTTACCTTAAGAGTAAAACTTAGTTAAATGGCTTGATTCACATTGCACCCCAGAACTTGATAACTTGAGAAAATTATCTCACTTAATGTGTGCAACAATTGTACTATTAAATTAAATATTATTAATAGTTGCTATTATCATCATTAATATTATTCTCAGGAGCAGAGTCAGAATGGAAATTCAAATTGCATATTTTTAATCCCTATGTGGTTTTCAGCACATCGTCCCATCTCCAGCAATGATATTGTGCCCTTACCCTGGTCCAGAATGGGAAAATAAATCCATTTCTACTTTGCCTCCTTGATGACAGGAGTTCCCAATAGCAGTGTACAATATCAACTCACCTTATTGAGAAAATGGTCACGGAGGCTTTTCTTCATGTATTTTGAATTTCCCATCATTGAGGAAATGTTCACTATACATAATTGCATGCTTTCTAATACTGCTTTCCTTCAAATTGGATTTTTCCCCCATGGATTTTAAAGCTACTTCCATTAGAGAAAAGTAAAAACAGTTGTAATTTCAGCAATTTGCTATTTTCCTCCTTTTGGGATAGTTTTACTCATTGTATCTGAAGGATAAATAACTAAATGATCTTGAAATATTTAATGTGAAAGAGATGCCAAGATTTTCAACACAAGAAAGCACACCTAATATGCCATAAAAGGTAGCTTGAAAAACAGAACTCTTTTCAGTAGATACAAAAACTCCTATTTAACTACTAGCACTTTCTATTTCCTTATTCCTGCCCTATAATGAGCTATTCCCTGTTTACTGTTGCTAAACTTGGTTACTAGTGCCACTTAATATAATCCCAGATGGTTAAGGTTTCGAGAAGCTTCACACACAAATAAGTAAATCAAACAGGAAGGGAAAACAGCAAAAGGATAATGTAACTGAAGATCCAATTTGAGGGTAAAATATAGTAGTGGGTCCTCTCAGATTGCAGAGATTTAAACACATCATGAAATTTTATCAAGCATCCTGCAGTGGGCCACCATACTGCTTTTACATAACTTCACATCCTAGAAATGTTATGATCTAGAGAGTTGCATTTTTTCAATTGGTTTGGACATTTGTTCTTCAATTCATCAGATTTTCCATTGGCCTATCTTAAGTTATATAAATCAGAAGTATTCCCTACTGAGAATCAAACTTTGAAGACAAAGACTATTTGGTAGAATATATTATTTTTGTATTATAGATTTATAATGAGTGCTTATCCCCTTCACCTCATATCACACTTTTGTTTTGTTGGAAGAGTGGTTTTACAGCCCCTCTCTCACCAAGGGGTCCTCATATTGCATTTACTTAGAAAGCTAGTCTTGGCCAAGTCAATGAACATCAAGAGCCATGATCATTTAAAATATCAGCTTTCTCAGCTACTAAAAATAAATCCCAAGAAAGGACTGAGAGTAAACCATATGTTACTCTGAACACTTATTAAAAGAATACTAAGGGACTGGAAACCTCATTTAAGTTTTTAGTAATAAGGTAGAATCCTTTTATTCACCTTGCTCTCAAAGGATCACTCCCAGGGCATGAGTAATAAAACAATGACTAACACACAGTACTTACTATGTCTCATGAATTGTTGTAAGTGCCACATGTATTAAATAACTTTCTTCTCACAACAACTCTATGAGGTATATTCTACTAATTTCTTCACTTTACAAAGGAAAATACTGAAGCAAAGAGAGGTTAAGTAATTTGTCTGAGGATGCACAGACAGTAAGTGTAGAGCTTAGAGTCAAATTCAGACAATTTGGCTCCAGAGTCTATCATTTTTACTCTGAATACTGTGGTACACACAATGCTAAATATTAATCAAAATACAACCTAGAACTCTTAACCAAAGACAAAAGCATGAATTAAATAATTATCTTGTTATTATCTTTTGATCATTCCACATACTATGAATTCATTTTTTTAATTCAACACATATTTATTGAGAATCTACTTGGTGCCAGGCACTATCCTAGAGAGTGAAGTTAACGAGAAAAAAAGAGTGGCTTTAAGATGCTCAGAGACAATCAGGAAAGAGAAAAAAAAAATGAACAGATACAAGCATGTGAGAGAGAGAAGCCCAGGGTGCCAACCAGTAAAATACTTACTTATACAGTGCGAGTACTAAATTGACAAAATATATCCTGGCTTTAAAAAAAGGAAGAAAAGAAAAAGAAATTTCTCTTAACTGATCGTTTCTGAAAGCTAAAATACAGGCTTTTTGCCTCCTACCCTCCACTGCTATCATCCCCAAGAGCGTAAGGTTTATGGCACCTTTACTCAAACATTTTTCTTAGCATTAAATTAGAATTCCAATGTTACCTTTATAGTTTTCATATTACTTTTGATATTTTAAAATCAGTATGAAAGTTGACTTTAAAAATTTTCCATTGAGAGCAAAGGTTTATTATGTTAGCAGCTTCAGACAATGCAGGTGCTTGAAACTCCAGCACAGATGTCTAACCCCTCCATCAGGCCGGCCCAACCTGAGTGAAATGATTAGAATTCATGTGCCAATACAATGCAATGACATAGCTCTTTATAAACCTAGACTGTGTCGCTATCCAGGCTCTTCAGAAACCATTTGCAGGCTGCAGATGGAGATAACTGAAATGGCTTGGACTAAGGAATCGGAAACCAAGAGGAAACAGAAAGACCAATTGTCCTGGGACGACAGCATGAGGCTGGTTTTTCATAGACACAGACTAATTCTGCTTGAATTAAAGTCATGCCTTGTTTCAAACATATTCCACCTCGGGCTGCCTGCTTGAGGATTCACTGCTAAGTGAGACCGTAACTACTTTCTTTTTGAAAGGATTAGGCCACAGGCTGAAGCTTCCAATACTGGTTTTGAAATCCACAGTCATTTAGAAGATGGCTTCTCACATCTGTTCTGCTTCCCTGCTCCACTCGAAGCTCCGAATCTCCCTCCTCATCCTAAAGAGATTGCAACAGTCATGAACTAAACCATTTTAGTTCTCTTCGCTAGAATTAAATTGAGCTTCCTGTGCTGTTTGGATTTTATAATTTTTAAACAGAAAGACAAACCACACAATAAAAACAGGTTGGTTCCTGCCCTTTATACTGCCTTATACTACTGCAGGGCCTTGGGCCATTTATTTTATTTTATTTTATTTTTTGGCTTCAGTTTCCTTTTCTAGAAAATAACACTCCCTATTGATATCAGTTTATAAGCAACACAGGTATACATTTTTAAAACTATGTTCATTGACTCAGTTCCTGAAAGATGTCTTTATGAGTTTTTCCTACAGAAATTGGAAGCCATTTTTATTTCCTTATGCGCCATTGCACCCAGGCATCACCAGAAGTCTATCTAGCATCCCATAATTTAGAAAGTGCTGATCTTGCGCACCTCAGCTGACTAAGTATCAGGCTTCAGGCCTAATTGCTGTTTAGTCTCTGCCTAAGTCACTTACTTCAACTCCCCTTCTTCCTTGCTTTTCCAACTCATTCAACAATTGTTTATCAATCAACTATAAATTATGACAGACCCTGGGTAAGTAGTAGAAAATAACTGTGCACATGCCCAGTCATTGCCTTTAAAGATCCTGCATTTAAAAGGGTAAGACAAGCAGGGAAACTTCCCACCAAAGTCAGCCTCAGCTTGACCCTGGTTCATCAGGCAACCCTGATTTAAAAGAGCAAACTCTTAGGTAGCTTTAGCCTTTTCCCCAACAAGGCTCACCCCCAGCACCAGTCCAGGCCATTTTGGCTCAGATCACTATCCCAGACTATCAGGCCCAGAATGCAAAGTTAGTGATTTCCCAAGACTCCTCCTCTGACAGCTGGAATGACATAACTCTCAATGACAACTGCTACTGGGAAAACACTGCTCTCTCTGTGATGTCTTCATTCCTTCCTGGCAGCATGCATTCCTAGGGTTTTGGAGACCAAGTTGGATACTGTGTGGCCCAGTTCCCATGATTGGGAGCTTTCACATAGCCTTTTAAAAAAAAAAAAAAAAAAAAAAAAAAAGTTTATATTCTGTTCATTTGCCTGATAATAAAAACTCAGCTAAGCAGAGGGGCCCAGGGGCCCAGTGTCATTCACTCCAAGCCTGCACCTAGAAGGCTAAATCTGTCACCTCATTCCCTGGAACACTCATACATTGTCAGTGGGAATGTAAATTGGTACAGCCACTATGGAAAACTATATGGAAGTTCCTCAAAAAACTAAAAATAGAATTACCATATGGTCTAGTAATCCCACTGCTGGGTATATATCCAAAAGAAAGGAAATTAGCACAGTGAAGCAGTATCTGCACCCCCATATTTATTATAGCACTATTCTCAGGAGCCACGATAAGGAAGCCACCACATTTTAAGCAGATTTTTTAAATGTAGTATATACACACAGTGGAATATTATTCAGCCATAAAAAATAATGAAATCCTGTTATTTGCAACAATCTGGCTGAAACTGAAGGTCATTATGTTATATGAAATAAGCTAGGCACAGAAAGACAAATGTCACATGTCCTCACTTATATATGGGAGCTAAAAATTGATCTTATGGAGGTAGTGAACAGAATGGTGATTACCATGAGCTTAGAAGGGTATTGGGGGTGGGGAATAACAAGGAGTTAGTTAATCAGTACAAAAGTAGAGTTAGAAGAAATAAAATCTAGTTTTCAGTAGCACAATAGGATGACTATAGCTAACAATAATTTATTATTTAATTCAAAATAATTAGAAGAGTATATTTGGAATGTTCCCAATACAAAGAAATGATAAATGCTTGAGGTGATAGATATCCCAATCACCCACATTTGATCATTACACACTGTATGTTTGTATTAAAATATTATGTGTACCCCGTAAATGTGTATAATTATTATGTATCCATAAAAATTAAAAAATAGTGTTTAAAAACTTAAAATATTGATAAAACATCATTTGTTCAAAGTGTGTGTTAGGTACTTAATACAGAGAATTGCTATTTCATAACTTTGTATTGCAAAATAGCTATATGTATATGATTACATATATCTAGTTTTTATAATTTTTTATGTTACATTTATTGATTATGTTAATTATTAAAATGTAATTTTGTCAGATTAATAAACTACTCAAACTTGTAAACAAAGAAAAAAATCTGCCTCCCTGAACCAAGCTCAGAGGGGAAACTGGAATTCGGTTCTCCTGCAGACCGTTGAAGTCACTCTCACACCACTCCAGGTCCAGGTCACTTTCCTGACACACTATCTTAGGAATGACAACACTTCAACTGGGCTCCCTAAGTGCCAGACACTGTTCTACTCTTCTATACTGTGACAGGGGTGAGTGTGTGTGTACATGCTTTTCAATCCTCACAACAAGCCTATGAGCTAGGGACTACTATTATGCCCATTTTATAGATTATGAAACAGAGGCACCCAGAGGTAACTTGCCTATGGTTACATAGGTAGGAAGCAGCAGAATCAAAATTTGAAACCAGTCTGGTTCCAGAGCCTCCAATCTTAACCTCTGTGCTGGGACTCAAAGGGAAAGTCTGCCATTCCAAGAGAAGACTCCTTGCGCAGGGTCAAATGCCATCACTTATACCAATTGTTTAACAAATTCTACACATAAATTCATGTATTGATAAGGGGACACAGCTTTATGTTGCTATTTAAATTTTGTTATTTTCTATTCAAGTGTGTTTTTAAGACATATTCTAAGAACTCACAAAAAAGCTGTTGCTCAGGAATACTTCCATATTATTTGTGAATAATTAAGAAAAATTGTTTTAAAGTCCAGCATGACGGCAGCATGGCTTAATGGAACTAGTCAAGATGACTTCTCAGAACACTGCCCTTCAGTCCTCAGGTGGGCACCACCAGTACAACTGTATTAATTTCCAAATTTTCTGAGCCTCTGGTTTTACACTGGAAAATGGAGATGATAAGGAAAATTCTGTCTACCTCACATATTTGTTTTGAGGCTCAATGAGACACCATATAAAAAGTACTGTGTACTACAAAGCTTCATGTAAAAATAAGTTTTCATCAAAGATAAAAAGATTAAGAAAATAAAAAATTAATTATTGCTAAGAAAAGAGGCAACTACATGACTTTACACAAGCAACCATAGGTCATAGGTCTTTGTTCTGGCATCTGCTAAGATAGAAAGAAAAGAAGATATAAATAGGAGAAGAATAAATTACTCCTGAGGACTCTCTTGAGAAATTGGCTCTGGGGAGAAATCTTCAGGGGAAGAATCATTCAAATGAGCAGTCTGGGGAGTGCTGGAGAAGGTCTGCCTTCTTATTCATGATCTCTGATAGTTTCCTTCTTGGGGGTTCCTTTTTGGACTACTAGCACCAGAGTAGAGTGGAAACAGAAGAAATGACCAGCACAAAGGAAACTATTGCAACAGTAACTTCTAATACAAAAGAACTTCAAATAAATTAGGAGGATAGGAAGAGGGGTAGTCAGTGAAGCTAGTTTAAGACAACTTTCCTTGAAAACTATAATGTTAAAAGTGTACGAACAGACTAGGATTCAAAACAGTTACCTAGAAATTTACATGTTTGAAACATTGCTTTAAATCACAGATGTACTTCATCAAGAAGTCAACATCTGCAAGGTTGGTTCAACATACGCAAATCAAAAAATGTGATTCATCACATAAACAGAACTAAAGAAAAAACCACATGATTATCTCAATAGATGCAGAAAAGACCTTCAATAAAATTCAGCATACCTTCATGTTAAAAATTCTCAATAAACTAGGTATTGATGGAACATACATCAAAATAATAAAAGCCATGTATGACAAACCTACAGCCAATATCATACTGAATGAGCAGAAGCTGGAAATATTCCCCTTGAAAATCGGCACAGGGATGCCCTCTCTCACCACTCCTATTCAACACAGTTTTGGAAGTTCTGGCCAGGGCAGTTAGGCAAGAGAAAGAAATAAAGAGTATTCAAATAGGAAATGAGGAAGTCAAATTATCTTTGTTTGCAGACGACATGATCCTATATCTAAAAAAACCCATTGTCTCAGCCCAAAAGCTTCTTAAGCTAATAAGCAACTTCAGCAAAGTCTCAGGATACAAAAATCAATGTGCAAAAATCACAAGCATTCCTATACACCAACAACAGGCAAGCAGACAGCAAAATCATGAATGAACTCCCATTCACAAAAAGAATAAAATACCTAGAATTATAGCTAACAAGGGAAATAAAGAACCTCTTCAAGTAGAACTATGAATCACTGCTCAAAGAAATCAGAGATGATACAAACAAATGGAAAAATATTCTATGACCATGGATAGGAAGAATCAATATCGTGAAAACAGCTGTACTTCCCAAAGTAATTTATAGATTGAATTCTATTCCCATTAAACTACCATTGACATTCTTCACACAATTAGAAAAAACTATTCTGAAATTCATTTGGAACCAAAAAAGGGCCCAAATAGCCAAGGCAATCCTAAGCAAAAAGAACAAAGCTGGAGGCATCATGCTACCTGACTTCAAACTATACTACAAGGCTACGGTAATCAAAACAGTATAGTACTGGTGGTACAAGAACAGACACATAGACAAATGGAACAGAATACAGAACTCAGGAATCAGATCACACACCTACAACCATCTAATCTTTGATAAATCTGACAAAAACAAGCAATGGAGAAAAGATTTCCCTGTTTAATAAATGGTGTTGGGAGAACTGGCCAGCCATATGCAGAAAATTGAAACTAGACCCCTTCCTTATACCATATACAAAAATTAACTCAAGACAGATTAAAGGCTTAAAAGTAAAACCCGAAACTATAAAAACCCTAGAAGAAAATCTAGGCAATACCATTCAGGACATAGGCACAGACATAGATTTCATAATGAGAACACCAAAAGCAATTGCAATGAAAGCAAAAATTGACAAATGGTATCTAATTAAACTAAAGAGCTTCTGCACAGCAAAAGAAACTATCATTAGAGTGAGCAGACAACCTACAGAATGGGAGAAAGGTTTTGCAATCTGCCCATCTGACAAAGGTCTAATATCCAGAGTCTACAAGGAACTTAAACAAATTTACAAGAAAAAAATCAGACAACCCATAAAAAACTGGGCAAAGGACATGAACAGGCTCTTCCCAAAAGAAGACATACATGCAGCCAACAAATATACATAAAAAAGCTCAATATCACTGATTATTAGAGAAATGCAAATCAAGACCACAATGAGACACCATCTCATGCCAGTCGGAATGGCTATTACTAAAAAGTCAAAAAAACAACAGATGTTAGAGAGATTGTGGAGAAAAGTGAACACCTTTACACTGCTGGTGGGAGTGTAAATTAGTTCAACTATTGTGAAAAACAGCATGCGATTCCTCAAAGACCTAGAGGTAGAAATACCATTTGACCCAGCAATCCCATTACTGGGTTTATACCCCAAGGAATATAAGTCATTCCATTATGAAGATACATGCATGCATATGTTCACTGCAGCACTATTCACAATAGTAAAGACATGGAATCCACCTAAGTGCCCATCAATGATAGACTGGATAAAGAAAATGTGGTCATATGCCCATGGATTGCAGCCATAAAAGGACTGAGATCATGTCCTTTGCAGGACATGTATGAAGCTGGGAACCATTATCCTCAGCAAACTAATGCAAGAACAGAAAACCAAACACTGCATGTTCTCATTTATAAGTGAAAGCTGAATTATGAGAACACATGGACACATGGCAGGGAACAACATACACTGGGGCCTGTAGGAGGTTGGGGTTGGGGAGGGAGAGCATCAGGCAGAATAGCTAATGGATGCTGGGCTTAATATCTAGGTGATGGGATGATCTGTGCAGCAAACCACCATGGCACACATTCACCTATGTAACAAACCTGCACATCCTGTATATGCACCCTGGAACTTAAAATAAAAGTTGAAGAAAAAAAAAATCAACATCCTGCTGATCCAGCCCGTTAGTCTACTGGAAAGGAGATAAAGCCTAGTAAATTTCATTTCCCAGGGTCTGTATCTGTCTCATTCACTTCTGCTTCCACAACAATTACAAGTGCCTGCCATAGAGAAGGCCCGCATTATAATTAAATGAAAGAGACAGAGTCGAGTTTAAGCCCTGGCCTTGCCATTAACTAACTTTGTGACTTCAACCTCTCTAAGCCTCATTTCCACCATCTCTAAAGTCAGAGTGTTAAAGAGTCTCTAAACTCCCTTTAGTTTCCAAAATTCTGTGGTTCTATTGTTCTCATTGGAAACCAGATACTTAGGAGAAAGTGAAAAGCCCCTGGAGCACCAGCCTTTTAAATACAAGCCTACAAAGTGTAAGTATGAAAGTTGGAAGGTTTCATTGATGAATACAGCCTAATGTACAAGGTAGTCTGTTCACCTTGCCTTCATGTCTAGCACACAAAGGAAATCATTATTTCCTGGAGAAATGGTGAGAAGAGGACATTTGAATGAGTAGCACATCTATCATCACTACGCACAAGTCACTCAAAGCATAGACCCTTTGCTGAGTCAGTTCTTTGTAGAAAATTGTGGCAGTAGCATAAGTGCATTATCACCAGGAGGTATTCATGAGTTGCCAAAATATCATGAGCACAACACTAAATATGAACAATACAAAATGAGCAGCATTAGCTTAGCCCTGGCCTGTAGGAGTTTATAGTGTAGGACTTTCTAATGACAAAATGAACAGAATGTGATATCTGGGGGTCTTAATGGCAAATTTTAAAGGAGTACACATCATTCAATCAAGTGTATGGTAACTAACTATAGCAAGTTGAAAAAACTTAGTGAACTAACATAACCCATTCCCTGAAGTGCTAAATAACAGAGATTAAAAGGGGAATTCAGGAAAAAGAAACTATTACTATCATTTTTATATTGGGCAAGATGTATGTAATCCTTGCACACTGGGGTTTCACCTGAATTAGAAGAGTAAGAAAGATGAGGAGAGGTGCACAACCAACGCATTCACTGAGAAGCAACACATTCACTCTCCTCACTCCCAGAACAGAATCTCCATCCCTCCAACCCCAGATGCACTGTCTGTGGCGCTGTTCCTTCCACGGCCTTCCCTCTGAATTGAGTGAGCACACAATTGAATTAGATCTCGCCATTAGAGAAATTGGTCTCTGGAGAGCAGCTCTGAAATCATCCAAGCAGAAAAGTGAGAAAGCACGTTTTATGGTTTGCTGAATGATTCCAGGGCAAGGTATAAACCCAGAGCCGAGCCTGCCGTGCACTGGGCTCCATCTATGAATTCCACGTTAGATCAAGGGGTGATAAACACTCAGATAAACATTTTTATTTTATGCCTCAACAATTTATCCTCTCTTCCTCTTATCTGACTCTGTTGACCCAACTTACTCGGTGAAAGCACGCATTCAGCCAGTAATTGTTTACCTATGCTCACTCAAGCAGGTGTGCGCTCAGATTCCACTCATTTGTTATCCGGGTTACCTACTCTCCTTTGCCCATTCATCTTGATTTTCTCTGCCTTGCTATTGATTTTATGAAGGAGGTATTTTTTTAATTTGTTCTTCATAAATGGTATTGACATAACTGTGTTTTGCCATTGTACCTTACATATTGTACTGTAAACATGTTGTGTGAGATATTTCATTTTCTTCCACGGGAAAAAGCCTGGTATGGGTGCTACAATAGCAACCCAGGGGTCAGGAGAGAATCCCTTCTCCTTGACAGTCTTTCCAAATACTGGGGACATTTGTTTAAAATCATGCCAAAACTCCTTGCTTCTCTCTCTCCATTTGTAAAGCAAGAATATAAGGAACGGCTAGTATTGTGCAAACAGATGAGTCTACTTTTGTAATGCATTGTAATATCACAACAGAAGCAGTCTATAAAAATCAGAAACAATAGCATTGCTATTAGATTTGTGAATAACTTCACCACAGATGTATTTCTCCATGACACTCATAAAAACAAGAAATGAGGTATTTGGGAGATATATGCATATCATTTTAAAGGCAGATTTTTATTTGATGTCTAGCATTGTCATGGGTTGCCATAACAAACTATAATTATTATTACTTAGGAGACATTTTTAAATATTTCTATTGTAAAATCAGTTTAATCAGAAACAAACAAAATAAAGTCAATATGTAGTGGGGAGGAGGGGGGTCCTAATACTTTATTATGAAATTTAAAATTATATATGTATTCAAAGGATTCCAACAAATATCCTACTTTTATAGTTTTTAATGTTAGCAATTTTTGTTGAGATTAAACTTGGTCTAGAATATTGCATTTTCTTGAAAATAATGAAATCATGTCTTCAATATTAACTATATATTTGTTTTGGTTTGGTTTTACTTCCCATTTTCTTACAAAAGATAAAATGAGAGCAATATCTCAACCTTAGTGATCCTCATTCTCTACTAACTCAAACTTTCTAGTCCTCAGAAAGCATGCGAACATTGGCCTTTATGAAATAGTGTTCTTTTCTCTTTTAGACTTTGCAGAGTATAGTCTAATTAACAATATATATTTTCCCCCTTTAGCTTCTGTTTGTGTCCCCAGGCGTGAAACAAGCCTCTAACAGAGAACTTTGCATAAAGAAGCTCAAGAGTACATAGAGATAGATTAAAGTGCCTCAGAGGCCATGCCAGAGGCAAACACATCCAACCCTACCTTGAGTTTTGGCCCCAAACTTTGCCCTCAAAGAAATCAAGGAAAGATAGCATGTTAAAAAATAAAAACAAGATGTAGGTATTGATACCATTTTCAATCTCTCATTTGAAATTTATCTTTCAAAGCTTCTTAAATTTTTGGATTTCAGTCTGTGACTGTATTTATCATTTATCTATCATCTATAATTGGCCAACTAAGAAAGAGAACCCTTTTTCAACGCATCAGACACCTGGTTTAGGGGTTGAAAGAATTGTGAGGAAATATTTCTTCAGGTAGTTATATTTGTACAATAAGAAATACTCAAGTTCCTCAGCACTGGCTTATACTATTAATATTTCAACACAATGTTTTATTTTGTAGACACAAGAAAATGATGAATTTTATTTTAGATCACAAAGATCCCACATTGTTGGAGGTTTTTTGTTGTTGTTGTTGTTGTTCAGAATTATTTTACTATTATTAACTAAGACTACCATTGTTGAATACTCACCAGCACTTGATATTCAGATTCCTGAATTCTATTTTGAGGATGCTGAGAATATGAGTATTTCAAAACCCTACAATAGTCTTCTTCTAAGTAATTCTAATATCTTACTATTCAATTATTAATTTTAGAAAAATCATATAAACTGGATTCGGCTTAAATAATATCTATAGACAGTCAAAGATTCTTAAAGAGTACCAACTACTTCTGCTAAGGCATTCAGGGATATTTGTCTAAATCACCCTGTTATGGGCTGTTTTCCCCTTGGCATTTCAAAAGGTAATTATGGTAAAATGGTGTTTTCAGGGTAGGCCCTAATCCAACATAACTAGAGTTCTTACAAGAAGAGGAGGTGAAGACACATACATACACAGAGGGAAGTTCATTTGAAGACAAAGGGAAAAGATAGCCATTTATAAGCCAAGAAGAGAAGCCTCAGAATAAAACCAACTCTGTCAAAATCTTGATCTTGGATTTGTAACCTCCAGAACTGTAAGGAAATAAAATTTCTATTGTTTAAGCCACCCTATTTGCAGTCCCTTGTTATGGCAATCCTAGCAAATATACACCCCTCCCTCAACAACCTGAAAGAGTTACTTACCCAACTTAGCAACAGAGGGTTAGTTCGACACCCTAAGCAAAATCTACTTACTAGTTGACAGCGGCACACAATTTTTGTCAATAGAATGCCAGCAGATATCTAGGGTCTGAGTCTGCTGACGCTGAGGATATTACAGGGCTGCTCCATAAGAACTTTAGGGCCTGTCTATTCCATTTTGTCTGCCCTGTGTCTTAACACCATCTCAAAATGCAACCCCCTATGGCTCCATTATCTTCTCAAGTGGAGGCAAACACTTACAGTTCTTCGCTCTGTATCCCCAGGTAGGGGAGAAGCCCCCAGGAGGGTGGAAGGCAAGGGATTCTTCACTGTCTTCTCTCTTTTTTAACATGAGACATCGAAGTTCTGACTTTTGGGCATTACTATTTCTCCTTAATTTTTGACTTCTTTTTTTTTTCCTATGTTCCTTGTTTGGCAGCAGGCACTGTTGTTTCTCAAAGAATCTTTCTTCTGTATTAATTTGTATCCCTTAAATTACCATTGGGTTCATGGGTTTTCTAAAAAATGAGGTAAAACCTATTCTGAATCTGTTTGCTTTTTTATTTTTATTTATTTATTTATTTGAGACAGCGTCTCTCTTTCGCTCAGGTTGGAGTGCAGGGGCGATACCTCGACTCATTACAACTTCCGCCTCCTGGGTTCAAAACATTCCCAAGCCTCATCCTCCCGAGTAGCTGGGATTACAGGCATGCATCACCACTCCCAGCTAATTTTTGTATTTTTAGTAGCGACGGGGTTTTGTCACATTGGCCAGGCAGTCTGGAACTCCTGGCCCCAAGTGATCTGCCTGCCTCGGCCTCCCAAAGTGCTGGGATTATAGGCTTGAACCACCGCGCCCAACTTGTTTGCTATGCTTTAATCGATATGCAAGTGTATTTTCTACCCAAAACCAAACACAGCTCATTATAGCAGGGTCAGACATGGTTGAATCTATTCCTTCACTGTAGTTTCTAAGTATGCATGATTTGCTGACATTTTTGCATTCTTTTTATCCTGGCCCAAGTTTCACTTTCTTGAGCATTAATGGATTTTTTTATAATTATTTTTAAATAAAACTTTCCACAAAAGACCAAATTAAAACCAGCTAAGCAGCCAGGTTGCTCACTAGGGAAGGTCCCCCAGTGAGATGGCAAATAGCCATGTCTGCTTAAGGAAGACTGAGATAACTAGGCCTGGAACCTATCACTCCTGGATGTAAAAGTGGCTGTTCAACACAAGAAGTGGTACCTAAGGCCACATTTACAGAAGAGGCCAATCACTGTAAAGCATGTTTAGCTTCCCCAAACACCTAGAAATTTGAATGTGAACCAATTTAAAGCTATTAGCATATCATAGTCTCTTCAGTGTTTCAAACAGTGATAATATCCCAGTTGGAGTGGGAATTTGACCGAGGAATTATCTTTTCCTCAATTAGCATATTATGTGAATATTCTGATCAAGCAAAACATTTTAAATCTGCCCATAAATTTCTTCCACCCTTGGCTCACTCAAGCAGTGGTAAGTTGGTATCGTGTGTTGTTGCCTTTTGTTAACTTATGAAGTGCAAATTTAAGAAAAGTTTTGCTTTATTAATCAGTTTCCTTGATGAAAGAGTACTGACCACAACATGTGTGTTTAAACACAAATTTATGTGTCCATCAAGGATAAAATATTTTTTGTGGGGTGGTGAACAAAAAAACCTCTAGAATCAAGCCACTCTCAATTCTCAGCCTCAGCTTTCACCACTTCCAGCCACTTCCTTTGGCCAGTATGGCCAAATGCATAGACCACCATCCTCTTTTTTCATGTTGGAGCAAGCTACCCAGAATCAGATAATTCCCTAACCAAAGGCAGAACCTTCCAGAAACCATTTCAGACAAAGAATAAAATCCCCTCATAAGTGTGAGGAAGAACTCAAATGATGACACATTACAATGACAGTCTCATTCACAGGATTGAAATGCTGGGGTATAAGGTATTTTAGGTGAGACACAGGTGGACTCTTCCATTGTAGTAGACATATATTTATTTAAATAAAATAATAGTTATATTTTCATTAGAAAAATTATAATTGACATATCAAGCCCATGATTTCATAGGCTTTTTCTTCTATACTGATTTAAACTAATTTACATTTTTTTAAAGTCAGTTTTAAAAAAGATATTAAACAAATAATGGTACAAGTAGTCAGCAGAAAAGGCAAACATTGTGAAGGTAACCTATGAATGATGGAAATCTAGGAAAGGCAGCACAAAAACTCTTGTCTAAGGCTGTAGGCAACTCTTTTTTCTGGTCTACACTTTCAGGAGTCCTAAACAGGATGAACAAAAATGAATTCTGCCTAGGCACATGGTGGAGAAACTGAAGTACAAAATAGACAAAGATAGTTTATTTAAAACAGAGAATCCAGAAAGCAACAGTATCTCATTGAGGACTTTCTAATTAACAGTGATAAAAACTAATAAAGAAAGAAAATAATACAAAGTGCCAAAAGAAAATAACTGTCAATTTCCTATTATATGCCCAGCCAAACTATCCTTGAAGAATGAGGATAAAATAGATGCTTTCAGATTACAAAACGGAGTATAATTACCATTAACAGATCCCTATGGAAACATGTTTTAAGAGATACATGTCAGCCCCACTGAGTGAATTAGACTTAGAATGAAAGAGTGTAAAGAAAGGAAGGAAATGCAAAGAGGAATGGTGAGCAAAGAACTAGAAGTGTGGGGTAAATTTAAATACACATTGGCATGCGGGGCTTAAAACCTAGGTGACGGGTTGACAGATGCAGCAAACCACCATGGCACATGTATACCAATGCACATTCTGCACATGTATCCCAGAACTTAAAGTAAAATAAAAAATAAAAGAAAAAGAAATTGAAAATAAATAAGATAACTGGCTTGATAAGATAATAATAATGACTAATTTTGAGTTTTTAAAAACTATATAAAACTAAGATATCAGATGACAACTACATGCAAGCTAATAGAGAAGCGATGAGAGCCACAGAGTCTGAAGGTCTTTATGTCATTTGGGAGGAGGGCAGAACATGGACTAATACTTGACATTACTAAGTCAAAAAGGTGTTAAAAGTTAGAGTGCCATTAAGGAATTTAAAAGGCAATAAACAACTTTCCAATGAGGAAGGGGCAGTGAGTGCAAGTGGGAGGGAATGAAGAAAATCCCATCATCCTATAGAAAATAGGGAAGGAGGTAAAAGAAGGATAAAGGAAGCCACCAACAGAACCAAAGCAGAATCTAAACCAAACCTTGACATTATGGAACGGCTACATCCAAAAGCAGATTGCTTATTTCAAAATGCAAATGCTTTTCAATTCACACACAGCATACCCTGTTGCTGCCATTATTATCACAACCACTTTTTGTTACAGAGACTGCCAGATTTAAGTTGCCAGGGTCTAATTAGGAAGCCCCCTCCATCCACAACTGCAGTTATAAGGCTCACCCACCACAAGATCCTTATTATCCCAGTTGGTGCTCAGTTTCAGAAGGCATCGATTTGGAAGCACATAACAAAAACCATTTCCAAAAAAAGAGCTCACATTCATAAGTACACATGGATACACTCCAAAACTCTAGAGCTTGTTTCACTCCTTTTCATCTTGATCCTGAGTATGTACTGTACAGACCCCTGAAGTCAGATCCTCTTCCCACTATAATTTAGCTAAGGATTGTGTTACAACCATCTGCAAAAGGAATTTAATTTTTCAGAATGGAAAGTAATAGAGCTCACCCAAAACTGAAATTGCAAGGTTGGAACCTCACTGCTTCTTAGCATCAGCAGGCATGTAAAAAGAATAAGATTTATGTCCCTAAACCTAAAATATTCTGAAGCAATTATTTACTTAATATTTTGCTAAATTACCTAGGATTGCAGTTTTGATTAGGAAAGCAAAAGAGAAGTCTGCAGGTGGCCTGTAAAGCTAATTTTGAAGATAGCTCTGCTAAGCTCATGCAGTGGTCTTGGAGAATATTAACATAGTGTTACAAACCACAGTATCCTTGGGGTGTTCACCTGCCACAGAATTTAATTTATTTTATATCTCATCTAATAGACTGAGCCTCATCCATTAGGTAAATATAATGTGGAAATATTGTCTTGTTTCTCTAAAGAGGAAGCCAGCAAATACAGGAGATTTATTCTCACGGAATCTTTTGCTACTCTAATTGGGTTCAAATTCAGGCTGTGTTGTGACCTATCTCTCATTAAGGTTCAGTGTACAGGATGCTGCCCACATATAGTAGGATCATATGTGTTTCCTGAGTATATGGAAGATAAATTTAAAAATGAAATCAAATAGACAATTTCTGTGATGATAAATTTACCAGTTGAACTTCAGACGTCATCCTAGTTGCCTGACATTAATAGGCGGAAAATATTTTTAATCTATGGACTCTACTTAGGTGTCTGAGGTATTCACAAAGCCTAGTAGGGCAAACAGACCCAGAACTGGATAATTCTGAGAAATGTTTTATATTAGTGGTGACAGAGAAAGAGGCTTGGGGCTGTAGGCAACCTTTAAAAATAAAAATAAGAAGTAAGTGAATCAAATATGACATTACAATAGAAAGGAAATTGAATTCATGTGCACAAGATAAGGGTGGGTTCATTATTCTTGGGCGTCCTGGCTGTGCTGTGACACCAGAGACTGATGAGGCCACCCCATCTCTGGAAGATAAATTCAATACGTAAGGTATTGTTCTAATATATTCTTGAGTTGTACAGAATATACTTAACAGATGGCAATGGAATAGTATTTTTATCTTCAAATGTTCATAACAAGAAGGAACATAATTTGCAGCAAAGCAAACCTGGAATAAGTTTCATACAGACTCACCTCCCCAATTCATTTGGCAAAATTAGAACAGTTTCTCAGGAATACAGAGTGAAAGCCAAAGGCATTAGGGTGCTTTTATAAGTCACCTTGGTAGAATTGAGTTCTTCAACATCAATAAAACAGCTGAGAAAGTGCTATCACTAAGCCTTTAAATAAGAAAACCTCTAAACATTTGGAGAAATCATCCAAAGACAGAAAATTTCAATAAAAATTTACTGATTCATTTAGTTAGTTTAATCTTTGTTGGCCAAGGTTCTTTTTTTTTTTTTTTTTTTTAAGCTTCTTAAATTCTCTCTTGGCAACTGATAATTCTTTCTTTCTCTTCATCTCCTCCCTGACTCCTCTGAAATTATAAATCCAGTTGAAGAGAAGGCAAATGCCCAAGTCTCTACCCACGCATTTCCAATTTCTAACATGCTCTCCTGGGGCTTTATCTCATCTTTTTTTCCAATTACTTGACCACCTGATTTCAGCAAATTTTCCCATTTACAAATAACTTTTTGCCAGCCATATAATGGATTTCAGTTGAGAGACGCATGATTTCTCCAAGATAGAGTTACCTCAAAACATGCTTTCCAAGTATACAGTCTAAAAGTAGCTAAAACAAAGGTGAAAAATGTCCAGGAGAAAAAAAAATGAAATCAACTTAGTGGCATGAGATATTGCAACAACCATTGGAGCGTTTTTGGAGAAAGCTTTGGACTATAGAGGAAACTACTTGTCCAAATGATTGTGAACCATCCAAAATACACAGAATTATTTCTTTGTTTCCAAATGCTAATGTTTGCTCTTTTCTAACTATAGAGGAAATCATTGCAAATGAGGTGTCATTGTCTCTGGGTTAACCATCCCATATGAAGGACTAGAGACGCAGCTTTCATTGAGGTGGGCGAACTCCAAACAGGAAAATTTCAGGATATACTTAAACTTGAGATATGTGTCTCTTGAGACCTTATCATTAAAATATCTAAGAAATAGTATCTCACGATGTTTGATCAGAATTCAACACTTTTAACCCCAAAATTCCATAAGAGATCACCTGACCTGTGGCTTCTCAGTTCTTTTGTTACATATTGGACTGAAAGAGAGGCTCAGGTTAGTGGCATAAATTTAAGTATTAGGCTCATGACCAAAATGTAAAGAGGCTTTCTTTCTTACCTGTTGTTAACTATAAAATAATTACATCCTCAAAAAGTTAGTGCTGTCTCTTTTCTTGCAGCCCTTTTTCTCACCCTCATCCACCCCATAAACTAGGACTATTAGATTCATTATATCATTTACTGAGATTTTTGTCCACTATTAATGAAGAAGCATACGACATGCAACAAGTGTAGAAAAATTACTACACCAAAATTTATATACAATTTTAAAGTTCAGAAAGTGTTCTCACATGCGTAATCTCATTTAACTCTCACAATAAGGCTGCAATGTGTTATATTAGCTTAAAAGACAAAGACTTTAAAATTTGGAGACACATTGTAACTTTCCCAGGTTTGCACTGCTATTAGGCAGCAAATGATTCTTGATTCCAAGCAGTATTTTCTTCATTTTAGTTTCTTTAAGGATATTCTGATCCAACCAAGATTGGAACAAAAAAATAATGCACAAATTCACTGGATTTTCTCTTCCTGGAGAGTAAAGACTCACTCCAAACCAGGATGACAGAGATGGGGAAAGTTCTTGGGGAAAGTGAGAATGTTTCAGTTCTTCCAGGAAATGCTCTAGGACTTCTTTGAAGAAACTACAGAAACCCAAAGTCACCAGGAGCCTGGAATGGCAACTGCTGGAGGAAGAATGCAGGAACAAAGTTGGTAGAGTTACCATGCATAGAAATAAGGGCAAGGTGCAGATATTTAGAAGGTGAAACTACCAGGCAAATCTTTAAGGAGAAGATTCCAAAGATTTTCAAAAAAGATCCTTTCTCTGGTCAAGCAAATACATATGGCATGTTCAAGTTTCCAGAAGTTAGTACTTTCTAAAAAGAAAAACTTGCTGCAACTTTCTGAAGGGAAAATTGAAGGAGACAGTCAGGGGCTGGCACATCCAGGGTTTTTGCTTTGTCAAACCTTAAACACTTGAAGGAAAACCAAAGTGACTTAACCCCAGATATCTCAAGAAAGCAAAAATAACCTTATAAACCAGAAAGAAAGACTGGCAGTGAAGAGGAGATGCACTTAAAGGAAGTATTTCAGAAAACCTCCACATTGTTTGCCTGACCCACTAAGAGGAGGTCTCTCTACTTAATGATGTTAATGATGTTAATGATCTGTTAATGAATGGTCATCTAGATAATGATAGCTCAGCCCAAATGGCCATTTGAGATAGCTCAAAACAGCAGCCCTATGGACGTAGCAACTGAAGAATTCACAAATCTAGGACTCAAAGTTAGATCTAAGGACACTGAATTATATTCTTTTCTTCCCTATCATAGAAGAGAAAAGGCATGCACATGAAGTGAAAAAAAATTACAAAGAAAAATTAAATATTATCCATTCCCCTTTCACATTCTCATGTAATTTCTTGCTTGGACAACTGTGACTGTCTCCTGATAGGTCACCATTCCTCCTTGCCCTGATCCCTCTGCCACACGGTATCCACAATGATCTTTCTAAAATATGAACCTGGTTGTGACATCCCCATCCCCTCCACTCTCCCATACATGCTTAAGATGCTTTAATGACTTCCTGCTGAATACAGATCAAAGTCTAAATTCTTCAGCAAGAATATTCCTTGTACCTTTTCCATACCGGTTTCCCAGACAGAAAGCACTTCACCCTCTGTGCCTTTGCTGATGCTGTTTGTTTTGCCTGGAATATTTGCACACTCCCTTCTTCTGTCTCTTAATTCCTGCTGATACTTCCAGGCTCACGTCCCCTAGACAGCTTTTCCTGACCCCATCTCCCAGTGTATTTCTTCTGCTTACGTAATGTGATTGCGTTTTTGCACAGATGTGGAACAAAATGTTATTTCTGGTGCCAGAAATTCTCTTAGGAAGAGAATTGTATTTCTTGGGGAAAAGTATATCCTAAAAATTACTAGAGTAAAAGGTGAGATCACAAACGTTCTGAGTGTGGAGAGAACTTTTAGGAATGAGACAATAAAGGAAACAAGTTGTTCTGCAGAAGAGTAGGGAGGCAAGTGTCAGAGTGAAAGAGAAGGAGGGGACAGAGGACTCTGAAAGGGCATATTAAGTAACATTCAAGGAGACCCCTTCATGAATAATCTAGAATTATTGGTGCATCCTGTAAAAATTCAAAGAAATCTTTAAGTGGGTAGATTTATACTCAGAAACCAATATAGGAATGAATTTCTGTGTTCCGGAGAAAATGGATAGAGAAAGAAGGCATTAATGCAGAAGATGGACTGTAAAAGTATTAATTTACTAAACATTCCATTCAAAACTCGAGATCCAGAAGCCAGGGCCTGACCCAAGGCCTGCCACTCTTCCAGTTCTGCTATCACCTCCTGGCTTCCTGCAGCCTCTCCTCTACCTGTGTTCTGATGCTGAACACTGCCCTGTGAATTCACAAAAATTTTAGAAGGCTCACATATACCCATGCAGTATATGAGGCACTGCTGCCTAAATCTGTAGAGCCAGGAAGACCCAAGCTGACAGCTAGGTTACCCTTCAATTATAGCTCTACTCTAGTCTGTCTTGATTATCATTAATTATGTATATGTCTGGCTCTCACACTAAATTATGATCTCTTATGGGACAAGGACCCAGGCTTATTCACCTCTGTATTCCCTTACACAGGGAATATAGCAAAATAGTTATGAGCAAAAACTCAACAAATGTTTGTTGAACTGAATAGAATTGAATTATTGATAAGAACACTTTCAAAACATTTAGAAACTCCACAATGATCCCTTTCAGGGGCAGTTTTCAAAAGTCAGCCAAAGTATGAATGGGGAAGAAGAAAAGATGATGCAAGTGCAGTGGTAGGGAAGGTTGGGAAGAGATAGCCATCAGCATGGACCAACATGTAATGTGAAGCCAACATGTAGGAGATACATCCTTAAGAATGCCTTCTTCCTTTAGCTTTCACAACCTCGACACTCTTGACATGCTGGATCAGATGATTCTTTGTTGCAGGGGGTTGTCCTATGTACTATACAATGTTTGGCAGCATTCCTGGTCTTCACTCACTAGATGCCAGTAACATCTGCCAGTTGTGACAAGCAAATATATCTTCAAACATTGCCAAATGTCCCCTGGAGAGCAAAATCACCCCCAATGGAGAACAACTAGACTGAAACGTAGAAGCTTTAAAGCACCTCCTGAGGCAGAACAGATTTCCTGGGTCCCAGCTTCTAAAAAGGATGGGGTGACTGCCATGGAGAGAAACTATTGCCAAGACACACTCCACTGACTTGTTCGCACGCTCACTCATGGATTGTCAGCCTCACTCCTAATTTCAGCTCTTAGCCTTCAATGCCCATTGGTGCCTGACTGCCACATCTTCAGCTTGGCAAGACTTAAGCCCTGTTAGGGTGAATACAATCTCTGCTGTCTGGCTAGTTTGTTGCATGGCTTCTTACAACCACTTGTTTTTGTAGTTTTAAGTATTTATCAATTTGTCATTAATTTACTAAACATTCCATTCAAAACTCAAGATCCAGAAGTCAGGGCCTGACCCAAGGCCTGCCACTCTTCCAGTTCTGCTATCACCTCTTGGCTTCCTGCAGCCTCTCCTCTACTTGCGTTCTTATGCTGAACGCTGCCCTCTGCATTGGCATCAAAAGATCAGCATGCAATTTATAGTACATAGATCACCACTAGGGACCTAATCTATAAATAGGAATCACTGAATCCCACTAAGCATAGCTTCAAGATGTAGGATGGCATTTTGCTTTGTGGGATCTCAGTATTCACAAACTGCCACTGAAGGGAAAAGGACCTAACAGTATTAAGAAAAGTGATGACAGTATTTTTGCACTATTTCAGAATGCAATCCATTCCAAAGAAATGTACACAACAGTAGCACTGTGATAGAGTTTCAATATTTGCCCCCATAAATCTCATGTTGAGTTGTAATCCCCAGCGTTGGAGGTGGGGCCTGTTCGGGGGTGATTGAATCATGGGGGCAGATTTCTCATGAATGCTTTAGCACCATCCTGTTGGTGCTGTCCTCGGATAGTGTGTGAGTTCTCAGGAGATCTAGCTGTTTTAAAAGTATGTAGCAACTCCTGCTCCTCTCCCTCTTGTTCCCTCTCTCACCGCATGACGTGCCTGCTCCTGTTTTACCTTCTTCCATGAGTAAAAACTCCCTGAGGCCTCCCCAGAAGCCCACCAGATGCTGGAACCATGCTTGTACAGCCTGCAGAACCATGAGCCAACAAAACCACTTTTCTTTATAAATTATCTAGTCTGAGGTATTTCTTTATAGCAATGCAAGAACAGCATAACACACACTCTATATCTTGCATTGCTATAAAACAATGTAAGCTTAATAATGTAGATTACTTAAGACTTCAGAAAAATAAAAGAAACCAGGACACTATCACTGTGACCACATCAATCACTTCAGAACAAACGATATGGTGGAATGGAAAGAAAATGGAGGATGGTGAGAAAACAGGAGGGTGAAGTCTCCATCCATGCAGAAATGAGGAGAGGCTGCTGAAAGAAACTGCCCAAAGACAAGCCAATGAATAACTCAAGAATAACTAATGTTATGTATGAATTACAAGTACCCAGGATTCCTCAGAAACTTCTAATTCTAATTAGAATTGAGAGAGTTGACTCTGAAAATGAGTTATGGTAATCAGTTTCCTATGAGACTTGAGTCCCAGGAAATCAAGAGTTTTAAACTATTCATTGACTCATTTCATAAGAAAGATATATATTTAAATCAACTTGGATTTCTCTGTTGATCCTATTTTACACAAAGAGAAGAAAGAATGAGAGGGTGAGATATTGAAGCATACAACCCATATCTGATTAGAGACTAAGAATTTAAGATATGTTTTACCATTAAACCCCTAAAAAGAAATATCGTTATTTTTCTATCAGATGCTGCTTGAGCACAAGAGCTCTACCTCATTTAGTTTTCCAATTACAATAATTAAAAAACATGTAGGTGGACTTGCTTTAGTCCAAGCTTATCCAAACCATGACCTGTGAGCCACATTCAGCCCAAGACAGCTTTGAATGTGGCCCAACACATATTCATAAACTTTAACGAAACATTATGAGATTTTTTTTGTAATTTTTTAAATCTCATCAGTAATAATATATTTTATATGTGAGCCAAGACAATTATTCTTCTTCCAGTGTGGTCCAGAAAAGTCAAAAGATTGGACACTCCTACTTTAGTCTCAAACGTGAGAATATTTATCTCACACATACAAACATACACGCTTCTAATCATAAAACAAAGCCACTCCATTTATTGTCAGTCATTTATTCAACAGATATTTATTTATTGAGGACCTCTTATGTGTTAGACACTGAGACTAGCAAGGTAACTTCTAGTGGAAGTGTGCTGCTTACAGTCCCATCCACGGCAATCTTCCAGGTCTACAGTCCTTGCTCAAGGAACAGACACATTTTGTTATCAGATGGCTCCCAAAGCCCCACCAAAGCTGATTGGCCATGGATGGTCCCTGACACAAGGGCAGCCACTCCAGAGGTTGGCCAATAGTCTGGCCTGAAAGATTAGCAGAAACCAAGAGATTTACCCTCAAGAAATTTAAGGAGAGGATCCTAGGAGACTGAAGTCGTCCACTGTGAGAACTGAAATCCATGAAGTAAGAGGGCATCAGAATAGTCACAAGGCTGAAGTTCTAAGGAGGCTGTCCTGTGAATCTATAGAGGAATCCTTCAGGAAAGGAGCATACATGCTGCCTCAGCAGAGAGCTGCAAATGTGACCACAAGACCCTAAGAATACCAATTCCCCAGAGTTGCCTCACTTCTGATCACTTCCCGTCCCAGTCCACCAAAATTTTAATAATGAACAAATCTCCTTTTTCTTGAGGTATTTGTGTTTCTCCTCTCAGTCCCTGAATGACAAAGCACAGGCATCAGACAGTCATATGCTCAAGATAGCAACAACCCATTTGAAAAATTAAAAACAAACAAAAATCTGGAAAAAGCTCACCCCAGTATTAAGTCAAAATTCAGTTTTGATACAAGCATTGATATGTCAGGCCAGAAACTTAACAATCTGTTTTATATGCAAAACTAGGACACCCCCTACATCCCTCCCCAGTGAGCCTTCTGCTAGTTGTTTAGATCTGCGGAGGCACTTCCATTTGAATCTGTACCTCCCCGTCAGGTTCTGGTCTAAACTGCATAAATCCCCCACATTGCTTACCCTGGAGTTATGAACAGGAAATAAAGGCAAAGCGGATGGCACCTAAGCTAGCAGGGAGACTAATGTAAGTAAAACACAGTATTGTACTGCGGAACTTGTAATTGGTTTTAATCATATTTAACATCTGTTTCTCTACTTTAGCATATAATTTAGATGAAGCAGCTTAGAAATCTCAGCAAGAATCCATATTTTACATTTATTGAAAGAGGAGCACTTTCCAAGTGATCAAATTGCTCTCCTAATTCACTCATAATAATGTAGTAATTTGGAAAGTCTTTTTTATTTTCCTCATGAAATGTTCTTAATTAGTGGTCCTAGCTAGTAAAGACTTCCCATCTGCCGTAAAGGCAATGTAAGATTATCAACCCAAGAAAACTTCTCAGAATTCTCCCCTCCTTGGATATGTCTCTCTCCTCTCTCTCTCTCTCTCTCTTCACTTGGCCTCTACCTTCACCTTGCCAGTGAAATTGCTCTCTGGAAGATCACCAACTACCTCCTACTTGTCAGGCTTAATGCAGCATCCTGACTTCGTCTTTCCTCCTACTTCTCTGAACATTCCATCTCTATCTACCTCAGAAGGAGAGACCCATGGCCCCTGGTCTAGGTCAGGGACACAGATATGTTCTATTTGTTCTGCACAGTGGTTTTTAAAGTCTGACTTAATGTGTTACAATTCCTTGATTCCCATCACAATCTAGATTTATGACTTCTCTTGAAAACTCAAAAGATCTGCAACACTGGGCCCCCTCATTAAAACTGTGTCCCAGTGGACCCCTTAAAACAGACCCACCCTCCCTAGTGCCCCCACAATTCCCACCTTTTAATAAGTAGGTGAGGATGTTCTGACCCCAAGCTCGCCTCCCAATTAAGTTACCTTCCTGACTCCGGTAGGTTTTTCCTACTCCTGATCCCACAAAGCCTTCAGCCACATCCCTTCACCTGCAGTGGATATTTGCCAGTGTTCTAACTTCAGCTTTCTTATTCCCTTTCTCTTTTCAGGAATCCTACTCATTTTCATTGCTTCAAATATTACCTGCTTTGAGATGATGCTTAAGTGTATACTTGAATCTTTAGCTCTCTTCTCGGCCCATACCCAAATTCCTAACAGCCTGCTTGTCACCCCCACTTGGAAGCCTCACTCACAACTTAAATTCAGCATACTACAAATTCATATCATGAACTACTCCATCTTGCTTACCCCACAGACCAGCTTCTCCCAACTTTTTCATTTATGTTATTTCTCTTTTCCTATGTCACCTGGGCCTCAAACCTCCAAATCGTCTTTATATCTCCCCTGTTTCGATAAAGCCAGTGCAAAGCTGTGTAAGTGGTGCGTCTGCAAAATCTCTTGAATGCCTCGCATGCCCACCACCACAGTTCAGCATCATGTCATCATAACTTCCTTGGCCATACAGAGCCAAGTCCTAAACTAGCTGTTGAATTGCTAGGCCATTTCCTAGTGGGACTACCTCAGTCTCTATCTCTCCTTGCATGTTTGAACCCTCTGATGCATTCTACATGCTGCTACCAGATTAATTTTCCAAAGCACAGCTCTGTCCCAGTTAGAATATGTTCTTGTTTTTTCCTGACTGCCAGCTATGTGAAGAACATCCACAGTACGGCCCAGTCTACCCTCTCAGATCCATCTCCTCACTAGTCTGGTGCAAATATCATGGTGCGCACAAACTAGGCTACTCACTGTTTCCTGCACACGTGTTATATTCACCCAACTCTTAGTTTTTCTTTATACTATTTCCTCTTCCAGCAACCATTTCTAATTTCTATCCTCTCTGCCTTTAGAAACCTACTGACTTTTCAAGACCCACGGCAAAATCCACTTCTTCATTGAAGACATCCCTGTGTTAACTTTTCCCTAATTTCCATATACATTAATTGTGCTATCAATTTATTACTTGAGACTCAACCAGGGGTGACCTAAATGTCCATGACATGGTGTAATTTATCATTTGAGTTGCATACATAACAAGGCTATTGAGTAGGAGTGAGTCGCTCCTTTTGTGAATTAGCCCAGTCTGCACAAGCCTACACAGCCTTGTCCCCCTGTCATACATAATCTCATTGGACCCACACTTAATAACAATGAACTGTGAGACAGATATTATTGTCTCTCCTTTTACAAATGAAAAAGCCAAAAAAAAAAAACAGTTGACTGTGGTAATATCTAGGTATGTAGGGATTCCAAGCTTTCTAGACAATGAGGAACTTACTGTACTTTGGGTAAAGCATGAACTCCTTAACTCAAATGCTTACAATCATTGTGTCTTTGTCCAATTTGTTATCTTAGATTGTATTTTCTTAGAGCAAGCTATCATAATGCCAAGCACATAGTAGGCATTCAACATATTACAAAATGAAATTGGGGGAAGTTGATTTTTCATGTTCAGCTTTTTCCTAAAATTTTTGAATTTGGAATAATTCAATAAGCATCAAAGCATGAAATGTGCCATTGGAAGCACACAATTTCAATAAAGAGTCAAGTGGTGTTCATTCCTGCTTCTCAAGGAATAGAATGTGAGACACAAGAAGAATCAGTATCATAGGCCAACCCCCTCAGGGCAGATGGGTTAAAATCTCCACAGTGCTCAGAAGGCCTCTTGACTCAGCTGCTCTAGGGAGTAACTGGATGGAGACCTTTCCTGGGGACTAAAGCCCTGATGAGGGAAATTTACTTTCAGCAGGATCCACTTAGCCTGATGCTCCTCATTCTTGCTTCCTTCTGCCATGGCACATTTTCTTATTTAAGCTGTTGGCATTTGAAAGGTCCCTCTGAATAACTGATGATTTTCTGGAAATATGCAAAGAGCATTTTTGCCAAGAACAGGAGCCCCATTTGGGGAGTTGGTCAGATTAGAAATTCAGTTTCAAGTCCAAATCCCTTTCAACCTGAAACCTTCTGTCAGCTTGGAAAAGGAAGGCCAGGCCTGGTCAGCACTTGGCAAGGAAATAGCCATACATAATTAGGAAATATTTTTTAAGTAACAAATATCACTCATTTCAATGAACAAAAGCGGCTTTGGGAATAATTGTCACTGTCATTATTCTTTTGTAGTGCACAATCACTGTATATGATATCACTACATAACAAATCTCATGTCCCTACATAAGCACAAAGAATTAAGGTCATGTCTCCACTTTATGTGACTTTTTATAAATCGTTTACCCATCGCTGAGAAGGTGCAAAAACATATTGTTAAAAGTACTTTTTAACCAATGTATGGGGGAATAAAGGAAAGAGCAAAGGATTATGACCCCTTTTCTCATGCAGACAGTTTTGGCACATAGTTGTAACAAAATGTTGCCTTTCCAGTCTCCATTTATAATCACAATAGACTTGGTCAGTAAAGGGATTCTTTCTTTGTCAACTGTGAGTGAGACTCCTAGTCTTCAAAGTTTATGACCAGTTAATTCCCAAATACAGACAATCTATGTTTTTAGCTGCCATTAGATCAGGGTTTCTTAACCTTTTCTGAGCCATAAATCCCTTTGGGAGTCTTGGGAGTCTTCTGTGTTCGTTCCCAGAAATGTTCCTAAGAGCATAACCCAAAATAAATGAGATCACTAAGGAAGCCATGTATATCACAAGATATATATCATAAAGATACTTGTGTAACTTAAGGTATAGTAATCTATGTGCTTGTTAATATATTAAATAACAGGACATAGTGGATTTGTCTATTAACAAACATAATTTCAAAGCAGAGGTGAGAATACATGGTACATCAAGATAGCGGCATCAACAATAATATGATATTCAAAAATATTGAGCCAACGTCACAAATACTGCTCCTTGCTGCGGTGGGTTTTGTTTTTTGTTTTGGGAGGGGGTGGGGCTTGGCCTACATTCATAATAGATAAAAATGTGAAATTTTAGTTAAAGTTCAGTAAAATTGCAGATGTAAATATGTTTCATCCAAGTTCACAATTCTTTGGACTTTATTCTCATGAAGAAAAGATGCATATCCTTTTAATTAGCTTGGCTGGTTATTTTTAATTCCTCAAGATTTTTAGAAGCTTTATACTCACCTTCAATTAATACATAGTATGTGTTTGTTGGTCCTAACACAGGCATCATGAAAGGGGCCGGGAATAGGGTTTGTTGCCTGTATAGGCAGACTGCAGATCTGTAACTCTTTCTTCTGTTCACTAAATTAAGTGATGCACATAAATATTTTTCATTGTACATCTTCCCTGTTAAGATTTTCATTAAGTCTGTAGATTCTTATGTAATGTTAGGATTATCTGATTTATTTGTTTAGACTGGAGAGCTCCTATTTAGCATGCTGTAGTGCTCAGTAAAGGGCTTATTACAACAAGCAAAGATTTAAACAATCATTTTGTAATCAGCAGGCCCTCAAATCACATCTTAGCTCTAAGCCAAGGTACAAATCAGTGGGCTTATTGTGAACAAAGCACCCCATTTATTAATATAATCCTTTAAAATTATTCATGGGGTGAAATTCTTATTAGGCTCTACACAGAATCTGAATAACACAGGTGTGTATTTTTAATGAATTACTCCAAAATATCTATTGAGAGAGTACCTGTTCTTTACTAGATATTGAGGAAAGTCAAAGAATATGAAATGGACTCCTTCCTACTTTCAAGAAGTTGATAATCTAGACGTAAAAAGAGGAAGGTCTTAGAAATTAGAGATGACAATTTAAAAGTCACAGTCTTACCTACATTGTGTTCCACTACCCAGTTGTGAATGTTAAATAGGAAGTATGTCTTCACCACATTGATTGCAGGCAAATCAGATTGTATGCAAGGGAGGTTTTCCTAAAGAGGTATTTCAAACCTTGCAAAATTCAAGACTAATTTTCTCAAAGGAATAAATTTAAATAGGATATTTCATTCTCTGAGTGAATACCACTACACTCATGATAGTCTGGGGGCACATTATAGGGAGTTCATCATACAGCCACATCTCCACAGTCTTACCCATTTTTTCCCATTATCCTCAGCTGGATATATGATGACTTTAAAGAATTTGAAAGGAGGACTGCTTTACTATTCCTTCTTTGTTTACTCAGGATTATCTCTAATATTTCCCAGAGTTCTTTCTGCCAAATAATTGAGCAGTAAAAATGGTATTTTATCACATCTCAATTATGTTGCAAGGTTACTACTTTGGAAGGTAGGAAAAAAAAAAAAGAGGATTCATAGCCCGAATGCTAACACCACTGCTTGATAAAAGTTTGAATGATATTTCTTTTGGCTCTTCATATTGTTTCATTATAATACAATGAATTTTAAATAGTACATTTTGACACATGGTACAAGGGCCTGGTTCACATTTTTCTGACAAAGAATGAGTGCCTCTTTTCTTTACCAGCTAAAGTGGCACTGCCAACCAACAATAGTCAATGCATAGTTTATAGTTTACTCAGGCCAACAGCTTTGAAGTGGTATAATTTTGGCAAGTATTTTTTAATTTGGAAGGCTTTTATCTCAAAATTTGTATATAAAATGAGACATTAATATTTTATATTATAGCACTTCAAATTTACATAATTCACATTCATATATATGTAAACGAAATTGCATTTATGGTCTAAATCACTATTGTAATTACTTTTTAATCATCATTGCCCCAGCCACATTTAAACTTCTCACATCCTCAATAGTGGGGCTATATTAGCAGCTTACAGTCATATAGCATTTAAGATTTGCAAAACATTTTCTCCTATTTTATTTCATTTGAGCATTATAACCACAATGTTCAGTAGGTAGGAAAGTTAAAATAGATTCTCATTTGAACAAATTGAGGCTCATCAGGCTTCTTTCCAGCAAGTCATGGAGCCAGAATACAAACTCGGAGTTCCTGATTTTAACTGTGGAGAACTTCTTCACCAAAAATGAAAGACATCAGGAGAGGAGGTAGGTAATTAACTGGCAGGTAAACAAACAGTAACTGCTACGATGATTTGAAAAGGCACTGGAAAGTATAGTGGTCAGGAGGGTTTTACAAAAACAAAACAAAACAACTGGTGTCTGAGCCATTTTGAGGGAACTGAGCAGGATCACTGAAGGGCACAACTTGGCTCAGAAGATCGGTATATGCCAGAGCAAGTGTGAGAGACCGACAGAGAGTGAGAAAAAGAGAAAGCAACAGTCTTTCAAAGAAGACTATCACTGACAGAGCTTCAGCTGGCTCACCGATGGAGCCATAACACAGTCATAACACACGGCCCAGAGAGCAGCTGGGCCATAGGAGCCACAATGTGTTTCAGACCTGGAGAGTGAGGAGGCCTATGTGTGGCATGAAAGCCTGTGTTATGGAATGAGAAATCCAATGCTGGCCCAAAGATTGTTCAGCCTAGTTAAATATCCTTTTGGGTAAAGCAAGCCACTCATCCTCTGGGAGCTTCAGCTGACGTGTCTGGAACATGACTGTTGCCTTGCCTGGTTCACAGGAAACTGGATGAGTAAATAAGAAAGCATTCTATGGAAGGATTCTGTGGACTCTAAACTACTTTAGAAATACCAGGGGGCACCAATGCAGAGTATAACAGAATGCTAGCTAATGAGGGAGTCCTGTGTGATGGCAGGCTGCTATAGGTACTTAGGAAAGAGCAAATAATAAAACCCCTTGTTTCCCCATATTCCTGATACTTGCTGGTATATTTTTTGCAGTTATGAAAGTACTACATGGTCACTGTGAAAGTTATTCAAACAGCCCAGGAATTAAGGAAGTAGAAATGATTTACCCTTCTCCTCCTATCCCATTCCCCCAGAAAAAACACTGTCACCAGTCTGGTGTACATTCTTCTGTAGGCCAAACATCTTCAGCAGCATAATGACAGGAAGGGAACAAAGTACAGATGCCCATCCTCAGTTCTATCTGAGGAATGAGACACACTCTCTACCCTGACCTTGGCCCTGGGCTGTGCAGTGTAATGCAAGTGTTAATGCTGACTAGAGTCGCGCCAAATGCCTTGCATGTATCTCAGCTGCTTTACTCAGGCAGAACTGGAAGTCTTCACTATCTGGTCACCACCTTCCCTCTCTGACAAAGAAGATGAATGGTTTGCTGTCTTCAGTCTGATTAGTGACCGTTTTAGCCAGCCTGTGGGATGTGGCCCTTTTTCCTCACCAGCACAGGCATGTCAGAGCCGGAGGAGCCTTGGCCAGCTCGAGGCTGCTGCCTTGTAAATCAAGCCAGCGCAATTCGATGCAGAGAGCAGGACTTCCCAGAGAGAAAGTGGACTCACTCTGCCAGGGGTGCTCTCAACTCCTGATTTATAAATCACTTCCTGGAAAACCAGGTGCAAAATCCAGGTTTGTAAATCAAGTCTTTATTTAGGATTTATTGGCACGATTTTAAAATCTGTTTCAGGACTTGTAAATCTATATTAGGATTTGTAAACCCATTTAAGGATATGGAAATTAATTTTTGGACTTATAAAACACTAAAAACCAGTTGGCTACAACTACCATTAAAAAGAGGAGAGACTTATAAATCAAAAGCAGGCTGCTAAAATATATGGGCAGGTTCCATAAATTAAACCCTGAGTTTTTAACTTCAAGTGAGTTTAGATTTATAAATCCAACTTGTGAATCATCCAAAAAGTACAAGATTTCTATTATAATTTGAAATATTACAGGGCAGTATCACTGCTGATGCCCTATTGATTAGTTGAATATTTCAAAATAATGGTAAAAATGTATTCAGATTACAAGGACTTGATTTATGGAACCTATAGGTGTTCTCCGAAAAAACGACGGGATAGGTGTCTATGCTTCTATCTGGGCTGCACTGAGAGAGCTGAGAAAGTCTGAGACCATAGACTAGCTGTAGTGGTTGCGTTTATATGTCCTCTTGACTGTGCTAAGGGATGCCCAAATAGCTGGCAAAATATTATTCCCAAGTGTGTCTGTGAGGTGTTGCATTTGAATCAGTAGACTGAGTGAAGAAGATCACCCTCACCAATGTGGGCAGGTGTCATTCAATTTGTTGAGGGCCCAAATAGAACAAAAATGTGAAGGAAGGGCAAATTCTCTCTCCTCTTGAGCTGGGCCATCCATCTTATCCTGCCTTGGACATTGGAGCTTCAGGTTCTCAGGCCTTCAGACTCTGAGACTTATACCAGTCCTCCTTCCTCACCTTCACCCTACCCTATCCCTCACCCCTGGTTCTCAGGCCTTCAGACTGGGAATGAATTACACCACCAGATTTCCTCTGTCTCTAGTTTACAGACAGCATATCGTGGTGCTTCTCAGCCTCCATAGTCCTGTGAGCCGATTTCCAGAATAAATTCTTTCTCTCTCTCTCTCTCTCTCTCTCTCTCTCTCTGTCTCTCTCTCTTTCTCCTCTCTCTCTTGAAAGGGGTGCCAGGGGTGCCCTCAACTCCTGATTTATAAATCATTTCTCACGAGAGAGAGAGGAGAGAGAGATATATATTATGTTGGTGCAAAAGTAATTGCGATTTTTGCCATTACCATTGACACTATTGGTTCTTTTTCTCTGGAGAACCCTGACTGATGCAATGGGCATAGCATGGCAAGAAAATCCCTATATTAATTCTGAAATTCCAGGTCACTTTGGCTGTGATCTGGAGTCTTTAATAAATGTTCAGTCTCCACAGTGCAAGCCAACCTCAACATTTTATCTATTAGATCTCATTCTATGTTACACTTCCTGAGTAAAAACATTGCCCAAATAGGCTGGTCACAGTCACCAAAATTGTTCCTATAGAGAAGTGGTTCTCGAACAGGGAAATTTTGCCTCCCAGGGAAGATTTGGCAATGTCTGGTGACATTTTTGGGTGTCATCATGGAGAAATGCTGCTGGTGTCTAGTGGGTAGAGGCCGGAGATGCTGCTAAACATCCTACAATGCACGGAGCAGCCGCTCACGACAAAGAAGATCTGGCTGAAATGTCAATAGTGTTGAAGTTGAGAAACCTTACCATTAAAGAATATTTAGCACAAGCCAGCATAGGATGACCCCATCAGGACTCCTCCATCTCTGATTCCGATTATTCTACCATTCAGGACAACCCAGGAGCCTTTCCCTATTTAGTTAATCCGAAAGGAAAATATGTTCAAAATTCATAATGCAGTAAATATGAGAGATCATATTACAAATATATTTTGCTACCACAAGTGTGCTCTATATTTGATCAACAGGTCTTTTGCAGAAACTGAAGTTATAGCATTTAGTGAAATTATACTATTTGAAGAGAGAGACTCCTTCATTTTATTTGAAAACAAGTACGTGAGTTAGGAAGGGAATATAAGGCAAGAATTCTTTCTAGCTTTGTTCGACAGTTTTATAAAGCAACCCCATGTAGTGAACTCCTAGGGAGCCTGAGACCCTTTTGATTACATGGTGTTTGGAATAAAATAAAACAAATCCCATGTTCTTTTATTCTGACCTGAAAACGATTTCTAAATGATCGCCTTGGGTGTTCTTTCCCTCTACTTATTGCTGTGTTCTTCCATTTGAATTACTGCTGAGCATCACCTCAGAAGCCAGCTGAATATTGGCCGATTGTAAGAAGGCAGTCTCATAGCGAGATTATAGCAGCTCTCCCCAGACTTGCTCTATCTGTGGGCCGAGCCATTATAAGAACCCTAAAGATAAAGACAGGACTCAACATTCAAATGGTGCATTTGAAGCACACAGTGAAGTATATTGTGTAAATGCAAATGAACAGAAATATGGCATTGTAAGAGCTCAGCCACTTGTGCAATTAGGAAGGAAATCAGGCTTGTAGAGTGCAGCATCCAGCTGAGCACTCAATTATGCACATGAAAAAAAAGTTTAAAGAAACTTGATGTGGTGATTTGGGTCTTTGGAGAGTTTAAATCCAAAATATCTGAGATGCAACCGGTATATAAATAACTGTAATCATGCCCCCCCACCTTCTACCCTCTGCACACATTTCCCCATTGACCTATAAGAATGCATATTATTCCCCTGACTTAGACAATGTTTTAGTCCATTTTAAAAACCACAGCTCTAGCTCAATAGCTTCCAAACTCATTTTCCTTGCCACAGGGTCCAAAAGTATCAAGCTATGTGAGGCCAGCAAGGGCGGGGGAGTCTCCCATCAGGTCATTTGCGTTGTTCATAGCAGCTTAATATATAAACACAGATTTTAATGGATCAGGAAAATACTGAATGTCTTGCAATTTCATCATTATATATGAGATGGCACTAAGCAAACATAAAATTTGATAGAAGCAGTGGTCTCATTTTATACTGTTATATTATTCATTATCTAATAGGTGAATGCGTAAGAAAAGGATATAGGACATGTTAAGGCTGACCTATGAAACAATTCAAAATAATAGATATTTTTTATCAGATAACACACTCCTTCTCTTACTATTCCCAACTTCTGCCCAATAAGCTTCCTTCTGCTGCCTAGGATGTCCCATATGAACCAGTCCTCCCTTAAAAGTATATAGACCATTTCCATGATCCTTTTCAAACTCTTTTCTGTCCAACCACAGCTGCTAGAATTTTTAGGTATAGCCTTCAGATCTCAATTCACCCAGCAAATAATCATTCAGCCAATATTCATTGTGAAAATAGGCCTTCTTCGATTCTGTTAGATGATGGGATAGAAAGATGAATAAGTCACCCTCTAATACCAAGGCATTCACATTTTAATGAAATAAACAGACATTGCTAGGTTTCAATGCTACCTCCCCAAATCATGTTGAAATTTATTTGCCATTCTAACAGTATTGAGGTGGGACTTTTAAAAGGTGATTAGGTCATGAATGGATTGGGTTACTTATCAAGAGAGTGGGCTCCTGAGAAAAGGGTAAGTTTGGCCCCCATTTTATCTCTGCCTCATGTACTTGCTTGCACTTCCATTTTCCACCATGAGACAATGCAGCAATAAGACCCTCACCGGAGTCTGGTACCATGCTCTTAGGCTTCCCAGTTTCCAGAACTATAAGCCAAATAAACTTATTTTCTTTATAAATTCCCTAGTCTGTGGTATTCTGTATATCAGTAGAAAACAGACTAAGATGAATGTGTAATAAATAGTCACAACACAACCTATCCCATGTGCTGAAATAAAGACACTTAAATATATATAGGAACACAGAGGAAGGTGGTAAAATCTGTAAAAGGTTACAGTGCTTAAACACATTCTTTATTTTATTTTACGTTTATGTTTATGTTTATTTTTTTTTTTTTTGAGACAGAGTCTTGCTCTGTCACCCAGGCTGCAGCTTGGCTCACTGCAACCTCTGCTTCCCAGGTTCAAGCAATTCTCATGCCTCAGCCTCCTGAGTAGCTGGGATTACAGGCATGCATCACCACACCCAGCTAATTTTCGTATTTTTTTAGTAGAGACAGGATTTTGGCATGTTGGCCAACCTGGTCTCGAACTCCTGGCCACAAATGATCCATCTGCCTCAGCCTCCCAAAGTGCTGGGATTACAGGCGCGAGCCACCGCACCCAGCCTTAAGCTAATTCTTAAAAGATGAATAGAGTCTAAGAGGAAGCCAAGCAGAGAAGCGGTAGGAAGAACATTAAAATGAGGAAGCAGCAGAGTCAGACATGGTTTCATAAGGAGGTCAATATTCAGAGTATTCAAAATAATTTGGCATAGCTAGAGCAATTGTTTTCAACCAGGAGGAGAAACAGAAGTAGAGTGATGATTTTACTTCAGTGAGGAGAAGGTGGTGTCTGAATCACCTGGGGAGACTTAGAAAACTACATACGCTGTGTTGGTCAATTTTATGTGTCAACTTACATAAACCGTGGTGCCCAAATATTTGGTCAAACATTATTCTGGATGTTTCTGGGAGAGTTTTGGGATGAAATTAACATTTATGGTAGATTTCAAGTAAAGCCAATCACCCTCCGTAATGTGGGTAGGCCTCATCCAATCAGTTGAAGGCCTAAATAGAAAAGACTGACCTCCCCCAAGCAAGAAGAAATCTGCCACAGACTGCCTTCAGACTTCATCTGCAACACTGGTTCTGCCCCGGATCTTTGCTTGCTGTCCCACCCTACAGATCTTGGACTTGCTGGTCTCCATAGTCTCATGAGGCAATTCTTTAAATGAAATCTCTCTCTCTGTCTACACACATACTATTGGTTTCTTTTATCTGGAGGACCCTGACTAATGCATGTGCCTAATCAAAAAATCACAAAAACGGGGGCCTGGGCTGCATGTGAAGAACTTTGAGAAATAAGATTGGAGAGGAAGGCTGGTGGAAATAGGACAACCAGATAATCAAATATTTAAATACTGCCAAGCCATTAGTAAGATGTTTTTTGCCTTGTGTATTCTTCTCTTTTCCCTTAAAATGCATACCCAGAGAGATACCTTATGCTTTTCATTGGTTTGGCAAGTGATATCAACCTTATAATTGCATTCTCTCATGACACTTCATGCAATAGCTCAGGTAGTACAAAAGAAACAAAAGAGAAACTAGGGATCTGGAGAGTCTGATACAGTTTGGCTGTGTCCCACCCAAAATCTCATCTTGAATTGTAACCCCCATAATCCCCACGTGTCAAGGGCAGGACCAGGTGGAGGTAGTTGGATCATGGGAGGCGGTTTCCCCTTTGCTGTTCTAGTGATAGTGAGTCTCAGGAGATCTGATGGTTTTATAAACATCTAGCATTTCGCCTGCTTGTACTCACTTTGTCCTGCCACTCTGTGAAGAAGGTGCCTACTTCCCCTTTGCCTTCTGCTATGATTGTAAGTTTCCTGAGGCTTCCCCAGCAATATGGACCTGGGAATCAATTAAACTTCTTTCCTTTATAAATTACCCAGTCTCTGGTATTTCTTCATAGCAGCGCGAGGACAGACTAATACAGAGTCCATAAACCATATCGCTAATTTCCAGACAATTCAATATTGATTTTATTAAGCTTTTCTTGTCATCAAGACTTATTTGCTTTATGAATAGTCAGACACAGAGAACTTAAGAAAACATCATTAAATCATGTCCAACTAGACTAGCTAAATTTAGCACTGAAGTATGGCTTTTAGGGAATGATCTCAGGGATGTGTTATATATATATACAATATTTTCTCAAGTTTCTTTAAAAAAATCTTACTTCTTCATATAAACTTATTTCCAGTTTCTCTCAGGGGTTGGAAAAACATCTTGATAACTACCCAAATCTTTCCTGTAAAGTCTTTCTGGTCCTACTTATGTCAAAACCAATAAGAAAGTAAATTTATGTGGAAACAATTCATGTCAGAAATGCAAAGGGGAGAAGACTGAGAGATGCCTGCCCTCAGATTTTTCAGAGCAATAGCTCTTTAGACCAGAGGCATGTAAATTGGTGTTAGTCTTCCCAGGCACCCTATGAGAAGGCTGGAGGGCTTTCCTCGGTGAATGTTGCCTAAATCTTTCATGTCTGCTCAACAGAAATTTCAGTTTATGAGGGAGGAAAATTATAAATTGAAACCCGCTCTTTCTGTAAAACTCTGGTCATAATGTTCGGTGAAGTGATAAATGAATAGGTTTTTACAGGCAAACTACAGTAATTAGGTCATTCCTCATTTCTTTATTGGAGGCAGACCTAGATGTTTAATCATCATTATGCAATAATTTGATTTTAGCAATGCATTACTGTTGGAAATATTATACATTTACTTTACCTCCCTCACTTTTAAAGGTGGGGCTGAAAGGAAAAGCAAAAAACCTTTAAATCATGTCTGAAGTTTAAAGAGAAATAGGACCCTAATTTTAAATGTCAAATAGTTTAGTACCTTTTTCTGATTTTCACAGTAATACTATATGATATGCTAATAATATTGTAGAAAATGTCACAAACACATAAAATATAAGAAAAAAATTAATATAATCACCCACGATCCCACTTTCCAAGAAAACCACCATTGTTAATATTCTGGTTGAATTTCCTTTCAGCCTTTTTTCTTTGAGAATTTCATTTTCAAAATAATATTCACAAAATAACAAGATTAAGCCTAGTATCAGACACACAGAGGCATTCCAACGAAGGCAGCAACAAAATATGATTATTTTAAAAGGCAATCTTGGAAAACTTAGAAAGCGTTTTCATACTAATCACAGACCAGGCATGGCCACAATACAGAATTAAGTTTTTCTTCTTATCTTTGTGCCTGAAATCAACTAGGGGAAATGAATAAACACAAATTAAGAACTTTGAAGGAATAAATATCTTCAAAGAGCTTGAATCTGTAATTTCCCCAAAGAACAGATTTATGATCTAAGCCCATTCTTTTCAACTTAATGCATCGACTCTTCCATAGGCTGGTAAAAAGCAGTTCAGTAACCGCATCTTCCATCCTCGGTGATAAGACCTCCTGCAATAGGATCAATAAGACCTGCTTTCATAGAACTTTTTTTCTTATCCCATAACCTCAAAAATCATTTTGTGCCACAATGATCACTACAGGGAGGAAAATAAAGAGATGTTGAATCTATCAAAGTTTTTCATAGCAAGGCTGGTTTATTTCAAACCATCACAGCATGGCGGTTAACAGCTCTGGAACAGCCAAAGGATGGAAGCAGAAGTAAAAAAGAAACTCAAAGATCCTCTTCTTTCTTTACAGGAACCTTCAAAGTTAAAGGAGAATAAGATTCATATTCCAGGCATTTACTACCCAATTTGGCAACGGGAATTTCAAACCAGGTTTATTTTTTAAATTTCACTCTTCACTACAAGGGAAATTTCTAAAATAAGCTGGAATTCAGCATTAATATGGGAATTGTTAATAAGTGGGATAAAAAGAAAGTTCCAAGCCCAATTAAATTTGGGAAGCGATAAACGAATACATTTATTTTTGCAGTATTTCTCAGGGTTGTAACTATGCCATTTACACTGTGAATCTCCCAGAGAGAACTTAGTAGATAGTATTCCCCACATTTATGTTTTCATTTTTCCCCTGCTCTGAGTTCCACAGAACTCATTTTGAGCAATAATTGTTTTGTAGGTTTCTGACCACCCAAATAGAGTAGGTCTGAGTTCCACAGTCTGTTTCTTATGTTTCTTACAGAGGTCATTCTTATAAATACAAAGTCACATTTATAAATGACTTAATTGGGATGAAAGCTTGCAGCATAGCATTTGGGAAAATATCTCTGAACATGGAATCAGTGGTGTAGGGAACAATGACCACTATATCACTTTTTAGGTCTATGACCTTGGACAGATTATCTAACCTTTATGAATCTTGGTTTCTTCTCTGTGAAATGGAAGCAAAAGTTTTGCCTATCTCACAGGATTGTTGTGAAGATCAAAAAAAGCTACTCAGAAAACAGAGACTAAAGAAAACTGTGGGGAGTTATTGTAATTGTGGCTAGAGTCTGCTTTAACATTAAAACACATTGTCTTTGCTAGATGTTTTCAAATAAGTTATTTTAAAAAGGCTCTGCATCTTGTCCAGCAATTCCTTTTCTATTTTAATGTCTCACAGTGCTGTTTTATCCAAAAATTTTTTTCTGCGTCTTGACTAAGAGATTGATGATATTACATTAAGGTAGAGAAGATCATAAGTATAGTTGAAGTTATCTTATAGAAAGTGTGTTCATTGATGCAGATGTACATATTAGAAGATAGAAGACTCTTACCTATGCTACATTTCTGCTAGAATGATATTTATATACACGCTTTAGTTAAGTAGCAATTTGGGTCAAAATAGTCTAACCATCTAACATGTTAAAACAGTGCAAGAGTCTTTATTACTGAGATAAGTAGATAACGATGATTATCAAAAAGAAATACTCCCCCAAAAGCTAACAGGCAAACCAAGAGAGATCAGAAGTAGAAAGTGTGAAGCAAGGTGATAAATCTACTCTCTCCAAATAAATAATGTCTAATTCCAAAATAGCTTTATTGCGTTTTAAATAGAAGGCCGAGAATGCAAGACCTGTATTTTTCCCAATTCTGTTTGCAACTAGAGGAAAAGTTTTATCAGAATGAATTTTGAGGCAAAACTATATTTGAATATTTTTGCTTAAGTTGTCATTTAACCACACGGTTTCTACTACAGCAAGACTGTAGGTCTTGCTCCCCGTTGTTTAAGTCAGTCTTCAAATCTTCCTTTCAAAATATCCTTAATTGAAAGCTGAGTGTACTTACCCTGGGAACCTGGAGGCCCACCTCTGCCAAAGCAGTCCAGCATAAATGTGAAATTTCTTTAAAGTCCTATGTTTTGTTTATCTTAAAATGCAGGGAAGTTGTTCAGTATATTCCTAATGCATTTGTGCCTATTTGAATACAAAACACATTTCTTATCATTAAGGAAATGAGATGCTCCAGGAAGGTGTGCAGTGTGTATATGGTATGCCTTGAAGGACTACCTGGCATGCACTGAGTGTGAGGATCCCAGTAAGTCATCGGAAAATCATCCACGCTCAGCCCTTCAATTTTAGCAATGATATTAAGCCCTTTCTTCCATGTTATCCAAAGACATACTACGAAGATAAAAAATATATTTGCTTCTTTAAGAAAGAGAATATCTGAAATTCACATCTGGGTTCTTGTCATGCAATAATAAAGAAATTTTTTAAATGGATGAAGAGCTATAGTGGTGAGACTATAGCATTACTTCATGCTCCAAGCAGAGTACATGAACTTAATGAAGCTAATGCTTCTATGTTGAACTGAGAAAATTTCTTCTTAATGGTTTTTTTCTCATTGTAACTTAAATTTATGTCAAGGAATCTTACATTTCCCTAAGGAAACATGTTCAAGGTTTTTTCCTTCAAATTTCATTGATATACAAACTCTCCTAAGTCCTATCATGGGAATGCAAGCATTGTGCCTTGCCTTTCAAGAAAAAAAAAAAAAATCTTTGTAGTATTTGCTCAAATCTAAAACTGTTTGACATAAGATGCTTAGCCCAACAGTATCTGAATATGGTGCATTAAATGCTATTTATAAAAAGTAAAGCTATGCTAATGTGCCTATCTGCCCCCTACTGCTTAACAGTATTAAAGATTAAAGCCAATTGTTTTGTAAACTGAAGAGGCTGTAATGGTTTCTTGGGAAGTGCTCCCTGTCAACATTCCAGATAAGATTGCTATTAAGTTTTTTTGCTGCTAGGATGGCTGGTTTGGGTCATTATACACTTAAATTGAGTTGCTGTCATTGTTATATAATGAAACGAAAGAGACTTTGGCCTATACTAATGTGGTGTGCCTTTTAAAGAATGGGTAGCACTACCTGATTTATAAAAAAATGGGTCTGGCTGGGAGTGGTGGCTCACACCTGTAATCGCAGCACTTTGGGAGGCTGAGGTGGGTGGATCACCTGAGGTCAGGAGTTCAAGACCAGCCTGGCCAACATGGTGAAACCCTGTCTCTACTAAAAATACAAAAATTATCCGGGCTTGTTGGTGGGCCCCTGTAATCCCTGCTACTCAGGAGGCTGAGGGAGGAGAATCGCTTGAACCCGGGAGGTGGAGGTTGCAGCCTGGGTGAAAGAGCAAGACTTCATCTCAAAAAAAAAAAAAAAAGTCTGTTTGCATTCTCTTACCAAGCTTCTGGGTGTTTCAAAGTGATTTAGATGAAATGCCCAAAGAATTTTCAGGTATATCAAAGACAAATAGCTGAGTTTTGCATTAACCTGCTTTCAATAATCATTGAAATCTAATGAGTGATTATAGGGGGTAGCAGATTCATGGTTCTTTTTTCCTCTCGTAATTTAATTATGTCTCACTCTGTAGTGGGGTTAGTCAAGAACCTGGATTTTTCATAATCCTATAAATTACTTGTTCAGATTAAAGACTTGTTGTCCTGATCTCTTCATTCTAAGCATGTTATTTGAGAATCCTCTTACTGACTTGAGGAAGCTATGCATTATTTTAATTTTTAAGTGGGCCAAAAAGTCACAAAAGAAGATGAAAGCTGACATCACATTTCTTAGGTTTAAAGTCTTTTTCCTTTCTAATAAAAACTGAAAATTCCAACTAACCTTTCCCTCGTGAAAAGTAATTTTCTCCTCCCTTTCCCTAGTTTGTGCCATCTTAGCACACTAATTATGGAGAAGGAGGCTAGTGACACTTTCAAAATATTTATTTATGGCTATTACCTATGTTTTCAAAGTGTTTTCTCTTTCTCCTCACATTTTTAAAGTATACACATACTGAAATTCCCTTTTCTTATATTACATGTCAATCCAGGAGAAATATAATAATTTTCTTAATATTTTAAAATTAGAAATTAAAAAAAAACTGAACTGAATTTAAGAACTCAACAGATCAACGGATTTGGTGGCAATGCGGATCTTTGCCATCTCCAATTCACGGCAATGTGAATTGCTTTGTTAAAACTCCAAGTCAGCAATATTTAAATTTAAACTTGCATGGCCACTTTTTTTTCATTTATAGTATTCTCTAAAATTTGAAACACTCATGCATTTTGAATTGATCCAATAGCTCAAGAATACCTGAAATTCTAATCATTATCCCTTTTCTGAGTTTTTTAACACTTCACATACCCTGTTCTTCTTCTCTGGGAGAAATATGTTTTCCTCCCCAGTGTATCTTTATCTTCATCTGTGTGCTTCAAACAGCAGAGAAAGGACACTCAAATGCTTAGAAAGGGTTTGCTTTATTATGTGACTCTATTGAGTCTGAAAATGTTGCAATCACAAATAACCCTCTGAAGATGCTTGTATACTTAAACAGACACATGACTTTTCCTAGCAATGGAAAGCAATTTACGGCTTTTTCTATTGCTTCAGAAGTCCTTTAGAAAATAGTACTTGCAAGAATAATGTTATAGCACACAATCAAAGAAGACATATCTTTAAGGATTAACTGGCTGTCCAGACTCTTGTAACCATGCCAGCTAATGTTGGTCAATAGCAAAAATGCCAGTCCTGTTGGCAGCACACCTCGTCAAGTGAATGGGGCATCTGGTTGCAGTATGGTGCTGGAGAGTGAGCATCAGTGGTGCAAAAATCACCTTTGGTACCTCATTCAGGTCTGAACTGGGACCCCGTGTTGTTTCACATTTTTATCACAATAGTTCTGTAGGAAGATGCAGCTTCTTGCAATCCAAGCCAGTCTGGAGAAGATGGACCCCTACGCAGAATTGAGAAAACCCACAAAAACCAGGCATCTGTATTTTAGAGATTCTTTTCCACCCTATGTCCCAAGTTATACCTTTATGATCTAGGTTCCGAGGTAAACTATTTAGGCTTAGTGCTAAGGTCTGTGTCATAAGCTGGTGTCATGGCATGGAAATTAGCAGCCAAGTGGAGTTTTATGTGTGAGGTAGCCACTCTTTCATAGCCAGTATCAAGACTATGAAAACGTAGGACTGACTCCCATACACAATTTTATTTCATTTTATTCATCAACAAACCCAATTTGTACTAAATATTTGGAAAGTTGTACCAATATGGTTTCTGCCCTCAGATAAGATATTAATGATGCATTATTTATGAAATCAAAGTAAAATTACATTAGTCATAAAATACTTATAGAACAAGATAAGAACCTGTACTAGAATAATAATAACATATCACATCACATACTTATATAATGTTTATGGTTCTAAGAATTTTATGTATATTAATTCATTTAATCCTCACAACAAACCTCTAGGGTAAGTTCTGTCATTATTTGCATTTCCCACGTGGAGAAACTGAGACCCAGAAATGAATGAGTTCTCTCAGTTAGTGGTAGTAAATGAGATTCAAACTCCAGCAGTCCATCCCCAGAGTCTGTGTTCTCAAACTCTCTGCTCTAAGTAGATTGAAATTGATAAGGAAGAGGTAGAAGGTAAGATGAGACAGGAAAGCAGGGAAAGAGGGTGAGACTGTGAGGTCACAAGCCTGGCTGGAGTGAAGTGATCCTAAAGGGGAACAATAAGAGATCACTTTGAATGGGTATAGGGCTACCAGTCATTGGAGGGTTCTGAATGCCCTGTGGAGAGTCTTTTGATCAGAATGTCATTATGGATTTCGGGCATTTAAATAAAGTAATTTAAGAAAATATATTCTAGCAAGACAAGTTCTCATAGGGAGAAGCTACTTTGAATATAATCAAAGATATGAACACCCTATGAAACAATTTGGCATTACCTTGTGATGCAACATTTACACACTCAATGACTTAGTTTTTCCACTTATAGTATCAATCTTTTCTTTTTCTTTTTTTTTTTTTTTTTTTGAGACGGAGTCTCGCTCTTTTGCCCAGGCTGGATTGCAGTGGCGCTATCTCAGCTCATTGCAAGCTCTGCCTCCCGGGTTCACGCCAGTCTCCTGCCTCAGCCTCCCTATAGTATCAATCTTAAAGAAATCCTTACACATGAGTATCAGCAAGTGTGTAGAACAACATTTGTTCATGATAGTAAAATGCTAAAGATAAAATTAAATAATTTTCAACCAGAGAATGAAAAGATAAATTACAGCACATTCACACAATGAAATAGTATACAGTAGTGAAAAATAAATGAACTGCAGCTATACTCAACAACATAGATGAATTTTAGTAGCATGATGTTGATAAGGCAAAACTAGAAGTCTTCATTGTCACATGAGCATTTTATAAAATCCTGGAACAAGTAAAACAAATATATATTATTTAGACTATATGTATGATAAAAACTATTTTAAAAAATAAAACAAGAGAAAGATAAATACAAAATTGAGCTCAGTAATTATGTCTGTTGGGGAGACCAGGGCTTAGAATAGAGAAAGAACATGTAGGCAGATGTAAGTTATTTTCAGTGTTCTATCCCTTGAGTTAAGTGGTGGTTCATAAATGTTTTGATTTTATTAATAAATAAATGTCAAAAAAAAGGAAAAACATTCAGAATGATCCAGATAAAAAGGAAAAGAAATGAGAGTAAGACAGAAGAAAAGAGGGAAGGAAAGAAAACCAGCAAAGGTGTCTTCAGTGTAATGGTGACTATGGAAAAGGATGACCTGGAAATATCTCTTCAGCTTCTGGAATCTTCTGGTTCCAAGGTCAGTTGTCTGTCTACGCTTCAAAATTGGTCTTCTCTAATAATCTAAGTTCTGTGATCAAATCTTACTCATTTTTATACTGTTCAAACATCTAACTTGGAATTTTTATGTCCTCAAAAATTGTAAGGAGAATGAATACAAGTGAGAGAAAAAGACACCTACATGGCCAAACCACGCAGATGGGCCTCAGAAATCACTGTCTCCTGACACAGAAGTCTCTTTGGCAACGTCCCTGGCTTTCTCCTTCTGCTAGAACACATCTAGTAATGAGTAAATCACTGTTTTGAAATACCTTGTCCCATTGTCAAACAGAATGGCTAGAAATGTCTTCTTTATGTGAATCCCAAATTGATGATAATAAGTAGTTCTTCTCCGTAAGACAATGAAAATCAGTCTATTCTCTTTCCCAGGAAACCACCTTTCAAATATTGAAGAAATATAGTAAATCTTTGTAATTTGACTTTTTTTTCCCGAGATAAGCCTTCCTAATCTTTATAACATGATTTCCAGGCCCTATCCTTTTTGGCACCTTCTCTCCCAGTGCTCTCCAGAACAATCAAATTAAAGCACAGTCTCCACAGTCCCCAGAAATGAGCTCAGTTTTTCCAGATGAGACCTGACCAGTACAGAGTAAAGAGGACTTAACACAACTTTTTTTTAATCTGAAGCCGATGCTTTTAAATTTGCTGTGTGGAAAGAGGTTGGCTTTAAATCTAAGAGGCAAAGAACTGGAGTTGAAGGCTTAAACACAAGCAAATTTTCCTTTTCTCAGATGGATTATTTCATGGATATCATAAAAATAACAATATGTGATCTGCAAAACTGTTTAGAGTCTATCAAATGCTTTCATGGACATTATCACATCTAGTGTTTGCAGCACTTTCACGGTCAGGTGTTAGTACCCCCATTTTCCAGTTGGGAAAACCAAAATCATGGAACAAGCAAGAGAGGGAGCCAGAGCTAGGACTCAAGTATTCTCACCCGATAGTCTAGCACTCTTTCCACAGAAGAAAGCTGCCTCAAATAATCAAATCATCGTTAAATGCCTGGGCTCCCTCTAAACAACAAACGAGGAAACAAATTTTGCAACAGAGACCTAAATACGTTATTGACTTTAAAATCAATAAGAAAAAGACAGGCAATCCAATAGAACAATGGACAATGAATTCAACTGCCAGATTCACAGAAAAAGAAACACCAGTAGCCAATAAACATGTTTTAAGATGCTCCATTTGATTCATAGTTTTAGAATGCAAATTAAAACAACAGGAGGCTATTATTTTTCACTAACCAAATTGACAAATTTAAGAAAAATAATTATAATACACAGTGCTAGTGAGAGTAGGAATAACAGAAACTTACTGAATGAAAGAATAAATTGATTCTTAATTTATTAGGAATTAATATTCTGTGAAACAGAATTTATTAAGAATTAATATTCTGTGAAACAGAATTTATTAATTCACAGAAAGTGAAAGTGAACTCTACTACAAATTTTTGAGTGGCTGCTATGGCTTGAATGTGTCCCCCAAAAGCTCACATTTTGGAAACTTAATTGCCAATGTAACAGTTAAGACGTGGGGCCTTTAAGAAGTAATTAGGTTCTGAGGGCAGAGCCCTCTTAAATGGATTAAAGGCCTTATCACAGGGAGTGAGTTCTCATAAGAGCAATTGTCATAAAAGGGAGCTCTGTTCACTCTTGCAGTCTCTCTGTCTCCCATACTCACTTCTGCCTTCCACCTTCCACCATGAGATCTTCAACAGATGCTCTTGGACTTCTCAGTCTCCAAAACCATGAGCCAATTAATTTTCTATTCTTTATAAATTACTCAGCCTGTAGTATTCTGTTATAGCAGGAGAAAACAAACTAGGAGAGTGGAAATTTGTCAGTACCTATTTAAATTTGAATATGTTTATCCTTTGGCACAGCAATTCCACTCTTAAAATGTGTCCCTAAGGTATATAAGTGTGCAAAAATATCTGTCCAAGGATGTTTATTGTTGCATTGCTTACATTACCCAGTAAATGGATACATTCTACATGTCTGTCATTAAAAGATTATTAAATAAAACACAGTACATCCACACAATGGAGCACTGTGCCATTACTAAAAAGATGAAGAATGTCCATTTTTAGTCTACAGAAATAGGTCCATGTAATATGAAGTGAATAAAGCAAATTGCAGAACAGAATATAATACAATTTCACATGTGAAAGAATACACATATATGAGGTCATTATGTATATCTATTCATACTATATCAATTATATACATATATACACACACATACATTTATGAAAACAAAACATCCAGAAGAACACAATACATAATGTAATGTCTAGAACATTACAAAAAGTGGTATACAATAGTTTCCTTTTAAAACAGAAGTCCATCAGCTCTATTACTTTTTATTTACTAAGCAATTACTTTGCATCAGGCATTACACTAAGCAGTTCATACACTTTACTTTGAATAATCCATACATTAAAACACATGTGAGTTAAGTGTTAATATCCATCCTTACACTGAAAGTATGACCCAAACCTGCCAATGTTATGGTCCATTGCCTCCACCAGGCTATAAGGGATGCACATGTTTAGCCACCTGATGGTAAGAGAAATCAAAATAACAACAATTCCAATTTTAGAGGACTCCAAGAGGCATGAAGTTTTCAAGCTCACAACCAATGGAATAGGAGAGCAGGGTATTAAAATTATTTCATCTTTGCCATTGAAGCCAAAAATTGACTATATTTCTAATGTCTAGGAAGTGTCGTATATTTTAGGTTATGGTTCACCATTCTTAAAAGGTCCTGGGCATCCTGAAGAGGTTTTCTCTGAAAATAAAAGTTTCCTACAGGATTAATTTCTCTTTCCATCAACCGTCATCTAGAAAATATTCAGGAGACTTTAGATTCTGAAATGCAGTCAGGGCAAAAATTATATATATCAATTGAATGATTGATTAAACCTATTATAGGCAATGAGATCACTTTGAAAAAAGCACCAGGAGAGAGAGTGGAGATGTGGGAGAATGCTTGAAATCATGTGTCTCATCTATTCATGTGTCTTTTTGAAAAATGGAAGGGATAGATCACCAT